>NC_000017.11:46310980-46935980 GCF_000001405.40 Homo sapiens
AATTAACCAGGCATGGGGACGGGCATCTATGATCCCAGCTACTCTGAAGGCTGAGGCAGGAGAATCACTTGACTCCAGGAGGTGGAGTTTGCAGTGAGCCAAGATCACACCACTGCACTGCACTCCAGCCTGGGCAACAGAGTGAGACTTCATCTCAAAAAAAAAAAAAAAAAAAAAGGAAAAAGGCTCACCATTTCAGATTCTCTAGATTTTGCCCCTGAAAAAGCATTTACGTGATGCAGTCCGAGGTCTTGTATGGAGGAGCTTGGTGTGGGGAGATGTGTGGCTCACGAACCTATGTAGGTGAATAAAGGAAAGAGGTTACTTTCTCCCCAAGTACATCGCGCATAGTGGGTGAGGGTCTAGGTCATCTGCTTATTTCTTTGACTACCTTCTTCCATGGAACCAGTTTTCCCTGACAGCCTTGGGATTCTAGCATAGATCATTTTGGAGTTTGTCATTTAAATTTATTTTCACGGCCTGCTTTGGACATTTTTTCAGCTAGAGCTGTTAGGATTTCAGTACATTTAAGACAGTGATGACATGCTCCAGTCCTTTCATCTCTGTCTCCTCAGTTAATAGAAAGGAAACATAGCTCATCTATCTGGACCTGTACAGAAGAATTTGGAGGGAAAAAAAAAAACAGGCAAGAAATGTTCCCTTATTTTGTGAGCTACCTTTATTCTGTCCCATTGTTCTACAGCAAAAGGCTTGTATAAAAATATTTCAGTTTTCCTCATCTAATAAGGCATATTTAATAAAATTATTTAGAGCAGTACTTCTTAAACTTTTACTCTGAGACAGTCTTTGAGGCTGAAAAAAAGCTTGCCACATTTTACTTCCATAAAGATACCAAAAAGGCGATGGACTGGGAGTCAGTGCACCTTAGTTTAATGTATAAAATGAAGGACTTGAACCAGAAATGGAAATGGTCATCTACTGTGAATCTAAAAACACTCGAGGCTGGGCGCGCTGGCTCATGCCTGTAATCCCAGCAATTTAGGAGGCCAAGACAGGCAGATCGCTTGAGCCCCTGGAGTTCAAGTTCAGCCTGGGCAACAAAGTGAGACCCCAATCTCTACAAAAAGACTTTTAAAAAGTGGAAACATAAATATAAATAAATAAAAACATTCATATCATTTGGTTTGTGGAAAAGAGTTGCTGTAGAGTCCTCAAACTTGAGCCATTGAGCCAGTTCTCACTCAGTCTCTCCATGGCCCAGGCACAACCTTAGTCAAGAAAAGAATGCCTTAGAACAGGAGGAAAAGAGGATAATATCAAATGGCCCTATATTTTGATTTCATTAGGGACAAATGCAAAGATCCTAATGTCAGCTGGAGAAGAGCTTCCTAGTTCAGAGGTAATGCTGAGCTCAAGGCTATGGATGAGCTATCAAGAAAGAGGGAAGGTTGGAGAGTGAGAGAATTTTGGAGGAAAGATAACAAACTTTGCCAAGTTGTTTGGCTACATACTGCCTTACAGTCATTATTTTTGGTGTTTAGAAAAAAATAGAAACAGGGTCTCACTTTGTTACCCAGGCTGGTCTCAAACTCCTGGGCTCAAGCTCTCCTTCTGCTTTGGCCTCCCAAAGTGCTGAGATTACAGGCTTGAGATGCTGTGCCCAGCCTACATTCATTTTTAATAGCTGGGAGGAAAGTGGGCAGAGGAAGATATAGAATGAAGGGGTAGCCGACTTTGTACAGAGCCCACCAGTGGTCTTACAAGTTTTCATGCCAAAAAAAAATCACGAAGGATATTTAAAGCCCTAGTTTGAGAATCCATACTTAACCAGTCATGTAGCACTCACATTCTTTCTCTTTGTAACATCATCTTATTGAATATTAGTGTTACAAAACAAGTTAATGGCACTGAAAAACCATCTGGAATAGGAAGAGGAGGGGGATCACAAGGCAGGACAAGCTGTGTGGCTCCCAGCCTCGCCACTGACTCACTCTGATCTTGGTCAAGGGAGAGTGAATCTTCACTCCTCTTTTTTCCATCTGCCAGCATGTTTGGTCTTCTGGCACCTGGTGTTCTATACAGTACAACATGCTTCTTTGTGTTACATTGAGACTTGATCCACGTACCATCAACGCAGTATTATAAAGTGTACAATTCAGTGGTGGTTAGTATATTCTCAAGGTTGTATAGCAAACAATCACCATTATCTAACCCCAGAACATTTTCATCATCCCAAAAAGAAACATGGTACCCATTAGCCATCACTCCCCAGTGCTGTCTTCCCGCAGGCCCAGGTAACTACTAATCTACTTTGAGTCCCTATGGATTTGCCTATTCTAGATCTTTCATATAAACGAATCATACAGTATGTGGCCTTTTGTGTCTAGTTTCTTTTCACGAAGCATGTTGTTTCTAAGGTCCTCCCATGCTGCAGCATGGATCATTCCTTTGCAAGGCTGAGTGATATTCCATTGTATGGAGCCATCACTATATCCGTTCATCCATTCATCACTTAGTGGACATGTGGTTGTTTCTACTTTATTTTGGCTTTTATGAATAATGCTGCTATGGACATGCATGTACTACTTTTTGCGTGGACATGTTTTTAATTCTAGGGTGCATCCCTAGCAGAATTGCTAGATCGTATGGCAACTCTTATGTTTAACTTTTTGAGGACCTGTCAGGCTGATTTCCACAGTGGCTGCTCCATTTTACACTTCCATCTGCAATGTTTGAGGGTTTCAATTTCTCCGGGTCTTTGTCAACACTGTCGTTGTCTGTCTCTTCTCATAGCCATCCCAGTGAGTGTAAAGTAGTATCTCGCTGCAGTTTTTGATGGACATTTCCCTAATGATTTAAGACATTCAACATTTTTATGTGTATATGAGCCATTTATATAACTTCTTTGAAGAAATATTTATTCACATCCTCTGCCCATTTAAAAAATTGATTTGTCTTTTTATTGAATTATAGGAATTTCTCTATATCTTCTGGATACTCTGGATATTAGACCTTAACAGATAATTTGCCAATATTTTCTCTCATCCTGTGAGTTCTGTGACTTTCTTGCCAGTGTCCTTTGATGCACAAAAGTTTTTAATTTTGATAAAATCTAATGTATCTATTTTTCCTTTGGTTGTTTGTGCTTTTGGTGTCATGTGTGTGTATAAAATGTCTTATTCTTCTTTAAAAAGGTTCAGTGTTTGGTTTTAAATCAGGCTGTGTCCCTTTCATCTGTCTGACATTCTTGTCACCATGTCAGGCTGCCTTCAGCTAGTAATACTTCATTAAATTCAAAAGACAAAATTGTTTTAAAAGAAAAAAAATCCAGTTTGGAGAAGAAAAAACTGTTGTCTAATTTAAGGTCATGAAATTTACTCCCATGTTTTTGTGTAAGAGTCTTATCGTTTTGGCTCTTACATTTAGGTATTTGACATATTTTGCATCAATTCTTATAATCGTGTGAGATGTAGGGGGTCCACCTTCATTATTTTGCACATAGATGTTCAGGTGACGCCATTGCACTCAAGCCTGGGCAACAGAGTGAGACTCCAATGGAGACGGGGTTTCAGCACGTTTATCCGTTTATCAGGCTGCTCTCGAACTCCTAACCTCAGATGATCCACCTGCTTCAGCCTCCCAAAATGCTGGGATTACAGGCATGAGCTACCATGCCCAGCCAATAAATGAAAACTTTTTCACTCAAAAAAACAACAATTGTAGTGAAACCATAGATCAGTTTGGAGAATCATGCTATTATTATCTGCTTCATGTTTACAGAATACTCCGTTGAATTTGGTTTGCCAGATTTTGTCAAGCATTTTTCCATCTACATTCGTAAGAAATACTGGTCTGTAATTTTTTGTGTGTGATGTCTTTAGTTTGGATACCAGGTTAATATCACCCTCATAGAATAAGTTAGGAAATGTTCTCTCCTCATCTGTATTTTGAAAGACTTTATGAAGGATTGGTGTTAATTCTTCTTTAAGTATTTGGTAGATTCACCAGTGAGGCTGCCTGCTGGTCTTCAGCTTTTCTTAGTGGAAAGTTTTTTGATTACTACCTCAATCTCTTTACTTGACATAGGTCTGTCTATTCAGATTTTCTGTTTTTTTCTCAAGTCAGATTCAGTAGTTCATATCTTTCTGGTAATGTGTCTTTCATCCAGCTTATCCAATTATTAGCATATATTGTTTATATGTATAATCCTTTTTATTCATATTATAATCCTTTTTATGTCTCTAAGAACAATAGTAATGTCCCCTCTCATTTCTAGTTTTAATAATTTGGTCTTCTGTATTTTTGCAGTGCAGTGGCTCATACCTGTCATCCTAGCACTTTGGGAGGCTGCGGTGGGAGGATTGCTTGACCCCAGGAGTTCAAGGCCAGCCAGGGCAACATACTGAGAGCTTATCTCTACAAAAAAAATTTAAAAGTTAGCTGAACGTGGTGGCACATGCCTGTAGTCACAGCTACTCAGGTGGCTAAGGCAGGAGGATCACTTGAGCCCGGGAGATCGGTGCTGCAGTGAGCCATGATTGTTCCACTGCACTCCAGCCTGGGAAACAGAGTGAAAACCTGTCTTGAAAAATGAACAGTAAGAAAACAAAATGTTTGTGGCCAGATGCAGTGGTGCATACCTATAATCCCTGTACTTTGGGAGGCCAAGGAAGGAGGATTGCTTGAGGCCAGGAGTTTGAGACCAGCCTGGGCAACATAGTGAGACCCTATCTCTAAAAATTTTTTTTAGTTAGCCGAGTGTGGTGGTGCGCACCTGTAGTCTCAGCTACATCTTAATTTTATAACGTTGTAGTTCAGATTAATTCCAACTTTGTTTCAATGGTATACAAAAACTTTGCTTCTCTAAAGCTCCACTCTCACCCCCTCCTTTATACTGTTATTGTCACACATTACATCTTTATATACCTTATGTTCATCAACTAGATTTATAATTATTGCATTATGTAAGTATCTTTTTCTTTTTTTTTTTTCTTTATTTTGGGACAGAGTCTCACTCTGTTGCCCAGGCTAGAGTGCAGTGGCACAATCTTTACTCGCCGCAACCTCTGCCTCCCAGGTTCAAGCGATTCTAGTGCCTCAGCCTCCTGAGTAGCTGGGACTGCAGGCACGTAACACCACACCCAGCTAATTTTTGTATTTTTAGTAGAGACAGGGTTTCACCATGTTTGCCAGGCTGGTCTCAACCTCTTGACCTCAAGTGATCCTCCAGCCTCAGCCTCCCAAAGTGCTGGGATTACAGGCCTGAGCCACTGCGCCCAGCCAGTGCTTTTTATTTCTTTGTGCAGATTCACGTTAGTACTCCTTATAGGGCAGGTCTTCTAGCAACAAAGTCTCTCAGTTTTTATTTATCTAGAATATCTTAATTTCTCTTCAATTTCAAAGGTAGTTTTGCCAGGTATAGAATTATTGGTTGACAGTTTCTTCAGCACTTTGAATATGCCATTTCATTGCCTTTTGTCCTCCAGTGTTGTGTGTGGTTGCTTTGTTTTTAGACAGGGTCTTGCTCTGTTACCCAGGCTGGAGTGCAGTGGTGCAACCACTCACAACGTTGCAGCCTCCACCTCCCAGGCTTAAGCAATGCTGTCACCTCAGCCTCCTGGGTAGCTGAGACTACAGGCATGCACCACCATGCCCAGTTTTTTTTGTTTTTGTTTTTTTTAATTTTTTTTTATTGATCATTCTTGGGTGTTTCTCGCAGAGGGGGATTTGGCAGGGTCATAGGACAATAGTGGAGGGAAGGTCAGCAGATAAACAAGTGAACAAAGGTCTCTGGTTTTCCTAGGCAGAGGACCCTGCGGCCTTCCACAGTGTTTGTGTCCCTGGGTACTTGAGATTAGGGAGTGGTGATGACTCTTAACGAGCATGCTGCCTTCAAGCATCTGTTTAACAAAGCACATCTTGCACCGCCCTTAATCCATTCAACCCTGAGTGGACACAGCACATGTTTCAGAGAGCACTGGGTTGGGGGTAAGGTCATAGATCAACAGCATCCCAAGGCAGAAGAATTTTTCTTAGTACAGAACAAAATGGAGTCTTCTATGTCTACTTCTTTCTACACAGACACAGCAACAATCTGATTTCTGTATCTTTTCCCCACATTTCCCCCTTTTCTATTCAACAAAACCGCCATTGTCATCATGGCCCGTTCTCAATGAGCTGTTGGGTACACCTCCCAGATGGGGTGGCGGCCGGGCAGAGGCGCTCCTCACATCCCAGACGGGCATGCCCAGTTAGTTTTAAATTTTTTGTAGAGACAGGGTTTTACTCTATTGCCAGTGCTGGTATCCAACTCCTGGCTTCAAGCAATTCTTGAGCCTCAAGCCTCCCAAGGTACTGGGAGTACAGGTGTGAGCAACCATGTCCAGCACCTGCATTGTTTTTGAAGACAAATTAGCTATTAATCTTATTGAGGATCCCTTGTATGTGATGAGTTGCTTTTCTCTTGCTGCTTTCAAGATATTCTGTCTTTGGCTTCTGTCAGTTTGATTACAGTATGTTTAGATGTGGATCCCTCAGTTTTTCCTACTTGTAGTTCCTTGAGCTTCTTGAATATGCAGATTGTTTTTCATCATGTTTGGGAAGTTTGGGGCCATCATTTCTTCAAATATTCTTTCTCCTTTTTTCTGTTTTTCTTCTCCTGGGACGCTCATTATGTGTATGTTAGTAAGCTTGATGATGTGTTCCACAAACAGGTCTCTGAGATTCCATTCACTTTCATTCATTTTTATTTCTGTTCCTCAGAGTCAACAATCTCAATTAACCTTCAAGTTCCCCATTCTGTCTTCAGCCTGCTGTAATGTGCCATTGAGAACCTCTAATAATTTTTCCATTTCAGTTACCATACTTTTCAACTCTAGAATTTCTATTTGACTCCTTTTTATGGTTTCTATCTCTTTATTGATATTCTCTATTTGATGAGACATTGCTTTCATACTTTCCTTTAGTTCTCTAGTCTACAGAACTGAATCGTTTCTCTTATCTCTTTGAACATATTTTAAATAGCTGAATTAAATCCTTCTCTAGGCCAGGCATGGTCGCTCGTGCCTATAATC
Organism: Homo sapiens; assembly: GCF_000001405.40. Classification (NCBI taxonomy): domain Eukaryota; kingdom Metazoa; phylum Chordata; class Mammalia; order Primates; family Hominidae; genus Homo; species Homo sapiens. Next base: position 46,318,015 of record NC_000017.11, read on the forward strand.
CCAGCACTTTGGGAGGCTGAGACTGAGGTTGAGGCTGAGGCCAGGAGTTCAAGACCACCCTGGGTAACTTCGCAAGACCCCACCTATAAAAAATAAAAAAATCTTTGTCTAGTAAGTCTAACATCTGGTCCTTCTCAGGGACAATTTCTGCTTATTTCTCCCCCAACCACGTGTTTGGGCCATACTTTGTTTCCTTGCATCTTTCATAAATGTTTGTTAAAAATTGAATATTTTAAATAATATAATGTAGCAATTCTGAAAATCAGATCCATGCTGCCAGGGTTTGGTGTTACTCCTGCTTGTGTTAGTAGTTGCTATTTATTTAGTGACTTTTCTGAACTTCTTCTGTAAAGTCTCGCATTATATGTCATGTGTTCCCACTAAAGTCCCTCCTCGGTTAGCTTACCGATCAGGTAATGATTAAATGAAGATTTACTTAAATTCTTGGAACTGATAAGTCTCCTAGTTTTTGCCAAGGGGCTCTGTGTACATGTTGGGGCATACCTTCAGCACTCAGCTAGACAATTTACAGCCATGCCTTAGCTTTCACTTCTTGCTTGTGCAGAACCTCAAGGTGTCAGCCAGGGGTGAGAGTTTATGAACTTAGTAGGTCTTTCCTGACCATGCTGACAGTCTGCCCTATGCATGCGCGTGACATTCCAAATTGCCAGGAATATGTCTTATGGACTTCTAGTTTCCCAAGCATATATCAGAGTGTTTCAAATTCCTGTGGACATCTTATTCCTCAGCTTTTCCTATTAAGCTTTTTGATTAGGCTTTTTTCCCCCAAACTGTTATTCATTGCCGAATACAGTTGCCATGTTAAAACACTTGTCTGTAATTGTTTTCCAAAAACACCCTCTGTGGAGAGGCTTTAGCACTAGACAGCTTTCATTCTGGTCAAATAAAGACAAACCTTTCAAATGAGGTCTTCCAGGGAACCACCAGACAGATGACATCATGACAGTTAACTGAGAATAAGGCTTTGAAGGAGCTCCAGCTCCATTCTGCTCCCTCTGGTTGGGGATGTGGGCTGTTTTCCAAGGCGACTACTGAGCTAGAGGGTGAGGAATGGTCTAAGGCAAGTTAACACAAATCTCACTGTTCTTACAGAAATTTTTTTTGAATAAATGCTCCTTGGGTTGCTGCAAGACTTTGGTTACATTTCTAGAGTTCTGAAAAAGTTTATTGTGGTCAATTTTTTTTTTTTTTTTTTTTTTTTTTTTTTTTTTTTTGCTATTTTTTTTGGTATTTGTTGCTTTTATGAAGGGATGAATTTTTGGATGTCTCTTTTTTTTTTTTTTTTTTTTTTTTTTTGAGACAGAGTCTCACTCTGTTGTCCAGGCTGGAGTGTAGTGGCATAATCTCATCTCACTGCAAGCTCCACCTCCCGGGTTCACACAATTCTCCTGCCTCAGCCTCCCGAGTAGCTGGGACTACAGGCGCCTGCCACCACGCCCAGCTAATTTTTGTATATTTAGTACAGACGGGGTTTCACTTTGTTAGCCAGGATGGTCTCGATCCCCTGACCTCGTGATCCGCCTGCCTCAGCCTCCCAAAGTGCTGGGATTACAGGTGTGAGCCACTGCGCCCAGCCTGCATGTCTTTATTCCACCATTTTCACTGATGTCACTTACGACATGATTTTAAATCTCTGAAGGCTCACTGGGCACATGCCTGTAGTCCCAGATACTCGGGAGGCAAAGGAAGAAGGATCCTTTGAGTCCAGGAATTCTGGGCTGTAGCATGCTATGCTGATTGGGTGTCCGCACTAAGTTCAGCATCAGTATGGTGACCTCCCGGGAAAAGGAGACCACCAGGTTGCCTAAAAAGGGGTGTACCAGCCCAGTTCAGGAATAGAGCAGGTCAAAACTCCCATGCTGATCACTAGTGGGATCATGGCTGTGAATAGCCACTGCTCTCCAGCCTGGGCAACACAGTGAGTGAGAATGTGTCTCTTAAAAAAAAAAAAAAAAGTCTCATTGACCATAGACTAATAAACTATTTAATCATGGGAAATGATTAGGGGAAAGACATAAAAAGAGAAACTGTAATCCACTTTTTTTTGCTCTGTCGCCCAGGCTGGAGTAGAGTGGCTTGATCTTGGCTCACTGCAACCTCCGCCTCCTGGGTTCAAGCAATTCTCCTGCCTCAGCCTCTGAAACAGCTGGAATTACAGGCAAGCACTGCCGTGCCCTGCTAATGAGAAATTGTAATTCTCATAGAGGTCCTCCCAGAGGAGTAGAAGAAGGTTGAAAGGCACTTCTGTATTTAGTCTTCTCACAATTAAGGCTGGGCCCAGTGGCTCACACCAGCACTTTGGGAGGCCAAGGCAGGCGGATCACTTGAGATCAGGAGTTCAAGACCAGCCTGGCAAACATGGTGAAACTCCCATCTCTACTAAAAACACAAAAAATAGCCAGGCGTGGTGGTGCGTGCCTATAGTCCCAGCTATTTGGGAGACTGAGGAAGGAGGATTACCTGAGCTTGGGAAGAGGACGTTGCAGTGAGCCAAGATCACGCCACTGCACTCCAGCCTGGTCAATGGAGCAAGACCCTGTTTGGGTGGGGAGGGGAGGGGAGTGGAGGGGAGAGGAGAAAGGAAAGAAAGGAAAGGAAAGAAAATAGAAAGAAGGAAGGGGGAGGGAAGGAAGGAAGGAAAAAGAGAGAGAAAAAGAATGAAGAACAAAAATGAAAATTTTTTAAAAACCTAAGGTTAAAATAAACCCTTTTTCTTCATACAGATTAAACACGAGTTCAAATTACAGCTTTGCTGCTTAATAGCTTGGTGACCTAGGACAAGTTATCTAACCTCTCTGTGCCTCAGTTTCCTCATTTAAAAATAGGGCAATAATAATATCTACCACATAAGGTATTTGCTGATCACAAATACCTGGCAACCCAGTAGATACTCACTGTAATAATTATTATTTTTATAATTTCTGCCTAAGTACAAAGATGATTCTTGGGTTAACCTAAAGGTAGATTTTCTTTTATTTCTTCCTGTTTCTTTTATTTTTCTTGTTCACCTTAAAGAATTAAAAAGAAAATCGATTCCAGCATTTTGGAATAAAAATTTGCATCAAAATCAATTTATTCATTTTATTGACATATGAACAAAATGTCATTTGTTTATTCAATAAACATTTGTTAAATGCCTAATACATTTCAGACATCATGCCAGGCACGGGGATGACAGGGCATGGTGGCAGGCACCTGTAATCCCAGCTACTTGGGAGGCTAAGGCAGGAGAATTGCTTGAACCTGGGAGGCGGAGATTGCAGTGAGCCAAGATTGCACCACTGCACTCCAGCCTGGGTGACAGAGTGAGACTCCGTCTCAGAAAAAAAAAAAAAAAAAAAAAAATGTGGTCTCTGCCCTCAAAGCGCTCATAGTCCAGGAGCCTGACAAGTGGACAGGTGATTACATGCAATGTAAGAAAGGCTGTGATGTCATACAAGAAGACAAGTGGGAGTATGGTTTTGACCAGTTCCTCCTCTTAGATTTATTCCTTCTTCTTTGGCTATAAAGCAAAAGAATTGGTCCTATTTTTTTTTAACTGTGCAAATTAAACCATAAATTTTAAAAACTTTATAAAGATAAAAGACAAGCAGCCAGCCACAGTGGCTCATGCCAGTAATCCTATCAGTTTGGGAGGCTGAGGCAGGTAGATCACCTGAGGTCAAGAGTTCAAAACCAGCCTGACCAACATGGTAAAACCCCGACTCTACTAAAAATACAAAAATTAGCTGGGCGTGGTGGTGGGTGCCTGTAATCCCAGCTACTCGGAAGGCTGAGGCAGAACAGGAGAATCACTTGAACCTGGGAGGCGGAGGTTGCAGTGAGCCAAGATCGAGCCATTGCACTCCAGCCTGGGCAACAAGAGCGAGACTCCATCTCAAAAAAAAAAAAAAAAAAAAAATAGATGAACAAGTTGAATTATGATGAGCAACTTGAATTATGGAGGATGCTAGAAATACTGTTTCCTCCACAGTCAGGGCTTCCTACCAACATAGTCACTTTTAGGGTTTTTGACCTGAAAAGTTCTGTGGCATATTTTTTCTTTGCTATCCACTTTTTTTTTCCTTGTAGTTCTTCCCCGCGTTCTATCCTTTATCTTCTAGAGACCTTGGTAGTTCCCATAGGAATAGTGCTTTACGGAGTCTAATGGTGATTTCTTAGGTAAAGACAGGAAACATTTTTTTCTTTTTTACCTACAAGTTCCATATCAAAAAATGAATGTAAACTTTTCATGCAGTTTTACACATTGAAAATGCAGGTTATTTTAATTCTATTCCATTTTTCAGAATTCTCAATCACAATCCTCTGACAACTGTTGAAGATCCGTATCTCTTTAAATTGCCAGCATTAAAATATCTGTAAGTACTATAGTACTCTCATGAGTCAAGAGATGATTTATGCTTTTTAAATTTTTCATCAAAGCTTAAGTATTTTGCATTTAGGCTAAAATGTCATAATTTAAATTTTAACTGGGTTATTGAAAAAAAGTTATTGGCGAAGAAAAAAATTAAGAGGATGTATAATGGTCAAGACAGCCAGCAGGGGAAGAGAACAGCATTGAAGAACCCATACAGATTTGGAACATGTAGACACATGGAGGAATATTATTTAACCAAGAAAGCAAAGGGGAAAAGGTGTTCATTATTCTAAAAATAAAGAAAAGAGTAAATAAGATGGTGAGTGCAATATGAAAATGAGAAGATAATGGTAAAAAAAAAAAGTGTCAGTTCTGCTCTTGAGTATCATTAATTTGATGATGCAAATCAACTTTTAATTTCTTTAATAAGAGCTCCCTGGAATTCTACAGCAAATAAAGTCTTGAGCTGGCTTGTTTAATAGAGAAGCCAAAATTGAATTGTTAGGTACAGAATTTTTTATTGGGGCTCATATCATGAATGTTTCGGCTTTCTTCTTCAGAGACATGGGAACAACGCTAGTCCCACTTACAACACTTAAGAACATTCTCATGATGACTGTTGAACTGGAAAAACTGTAAGTTATTTTTTTCTGAGATTTATTTTTACTTAGTTGGTTCTTTAGGTTTGTTTTATTATTTTCTTAAGTCAGGTTCATTGAGGTATAATTTTCATATAGTAACATTCACGCTTTTTAAGTGTACAGTTTGATGAGTCTGACAAATGTATAGTTACATAACCACCACCACATTCCCAATATAAAGCATTTCTGATGCCTCAAAAAGGCCCCTACTGTCCCTTTGTAGGCAATCCCATCCTCCCACCATCAGCCCCTGTTAGCTACTAATCTGATTTCTGTTCCTATACTTTTGCCTTTTCCAGAATGTCTTATAAATGAAATCATATAGCACATAGCCTCTTGTGTTTGGCTCCTTTCACAAAGCCTAATTTTTTTTTTGTTTTTGAAATGGAATCTCACTCTGTCGCCCAGGCTGCAGTGCAGCGGCATGACCTAGGCTCACTGCAACCTCCACCTCCCAGGTTCAAGTGGTTCTCCTGCCTCAGCCTTCCGAGTAGCTGGGATTACAGGCGCATGCCACCACACCTGGCTAATTTTTGTATTTTTAGTAGAGACAAGGTTTCGCCATGTTGGCCAGGGTGGTTTCGAACTCCTGACCTCAAGTGATCCGCCTGCCTCAGCCTCCCAAAGTGCTAGGATTACAGATAAGATCCACCTTGCCTGGCCTCACTCAGTAGAATTTTTTTTGAGATTATGCTACCATCCATGTTGTTGCACCTATCACTACAGCTGGCCCTCCATATCTGCAGGTTCCTCATCCATAGATTCAACGAACCATGGATGGAGAATATTTGGAAAAAATAAAATATATAAAACAACAATACAACAATAAAAACAGTAGAAAATTTAAAATACAGTATAATTATGTACATACCATTTACACTGTATTAGGTACTTAGAGTATACCTGAGGCTGTATACAAACATTATGTCATTTCATAAAAAAGACCTCAGCATCTGTGGACTTTGGTAACTGCAGGGGGTCCTGGAGCCAATCCCCTGCAGACACCGAGGGACAACTGTTCACTCCTTTTTATTGCTGAGTAGTATTCCGGTTGTGTGGAAATGCCATCTCTACTAAAAATGCACAAATTAGGCAGGTGTGGTGGCACATGCCTGTAATCCCAGCTACTCAGGAGGCTGAGGCACGAGAAGTGCTTGAACTTGAGAGGTGGAGGTTGCAATGAGCCGAGATTGCACCACTGCACTCTAACCTGGGCGACAGAGTGGGACTCTGTCTAAAAAAAAAAGTAAGAAATAAAAATGTTTTCTGAAGAGCAGAAGTTTTTAATTTTGACCAGCTTTAAGTTAGCATTTTTTTCTTAAATGGCTTGTGATTTTTTGTTTCTTACCTAAGAAATCTTTAAGAACCTGTTGTCTAATCCAGCGTCTAAAAGATTTTCTCCTATGTCTTCTCCCAGAAATGATACACATTTAGGTCTATGATCCATTTTGAGTCAATTTGCATATGTGATGTATCTTTTTTATTTTTTATTTTTTTGTAGAAATGAGGTCTCAGTATGTTCCCCAGGCTGGTCTCGGACTCCTGGTCTCAAGTGATCCTCCTGCCTCACCTCCCAGAGTGCTGAGATTACAGGCATGAGACACCGTGCCTGGCCTTCTTTGCAGGATATATATATAGATATAGATATATATATAAATCAGCCAGGTGTGGTGGCACACGCCTGTAGTCCCAGCTACTAGGGAACCTGAGTCAGGAGGATCACTTGAACCCAGGAAGTGGAGGTTGCAGTGAGCCAAGATGGCACCACTGCACTCCAGCTTGGGTGACAGAGCAAGACCCTGTCTAAAATATATATATATTTATATATATGTACGTGTATATATGTATATGTATGCCTGCAGGGCCCTATTGTGAGTTTGTTACACAATTTACTGCAACTTCAATTGTGCCACCAGCCCCCACAATATGGCAAGCTAAATAGAGACTCAGTTATGCTAGGGCTGGTTGAGGGAATTTTGCAAGATTAGCATGGAAAGGGCCCTTCATTTAGCACTCTGCTCCGTTCATTTTTGTCAGGTCACTTTCTTATCTTGACCAGGTTGTCAGATCTCTTTTACTGCTCTAGCCTCACTTTCCTCAGCCTCCTGCAGCATCTTCCCCATCAGCTGGATCCCTTCCTCTCTGGATGAAGTCCCCTTCATCGACCAGCTTTCTCACTTAGTTCTCTAAGATAGTGAGGATCTGTCTGCTTTTTTCTTGACCATTATTGGATAGGAAAAATGCTCTCATCCTCTGTAATGATTTGTCACCAAGGCCATAAAGACATTGAACTAACTGTCTTATGGGAGTTCATTATTGGAAGTCTTCAGGAGTTTACACATTTATGTACAAAGTAAGTAGGCCAGCTCATTTGAGTCTTGGCTCATGTGTAATGATCTTTCATGTGTATTGAAAAATTATTCTCAAGTATACCTCAGGTCATTTACAGTCTCAAAGACTTGTCAGTATACTTTAAAACAATCCTGGGAACAGTTCTAGATTGAAGGAGACTAAAGAATCATGTACTAAGTGTAATGTCTGATGTTTGATTGGATTCTGAATTTTTTAAGCCATGTTATGATTAGGACAATTGTGAAAATGTGTATACGGACCGCATAGTAGACAATGATAATATGAAGTTCCATTGAGTGATGATAGTCCTCTGGTTATGTCGGAGAATGCCTTGGTTCTTAGGGGCTGCACACTGAAGTCTTCAATGGTGAAGGGTCATTATGTCTGCAACTGACTCTCAAATGGTTTTGTCCAGAAAATGTATAGACATACACACACGGAAAGCAAATGTGGCAAAGTATTAGCAACTACTGATTCCAGATGAAAGTTATACAGGTGTTCATTATACCATTTGAAAATGTTTCCCAGCCATTCTAAGGCTTAAAGGAAAAAAAGAAAATGTTTAAAATAAAAAGTTGGGGGCAGAAAAAGAATACCAAAAATTTTGGGCTCATGCCTGTAATCCCAGCACTTTGGGAGGCCAAAGAGAGAGGGTTGCTTGTGCCCAGGAGTTCGAGACCAGCCTGGACAACATGGTGAAACCCCATTTCTACAAAATATACAAAAATTAGCCAGGTGTGGTGGCACACACCTGTAGTTCTAGGTACTCAGGAGGCTGAGGTGGGAGGATCACTTGAGCACAGGAGACAGAGGCTGCAGTGAGCCAAGATTGCACCACTGCACTCAGCCTGTGTAACAGAGCGAGACCCGGCCTCAAAATAAACAAAAGAAACACCTTTGTGGCAGAGGTAAGGTTGCTATACAACAAAATGCTGGGTTACGGTTCCGGGTCCATTCCATATGAAGATCAGAGGCTTCCACTGGACCCAAAGGAATACTACTAGTCACTTGTGATTGTTCCTTTATAGGTTTGAAAGATGTCTCAGGCCAACTTATTGGATGCAGTTTTAATCTAAAACTCTATACATTGTACCCCCAACTCACAGACTTCTTGTATCCATGAAACCCTCTTCTGTTTTCATAGTCTTAATATGGCCCCAATAAAGCCATCCTTTTGGAGGACTCAGAAAAGGCCCCCCACAACCTCTGCAACACAATAATTATAGTTAACTCTTATTGAGCACTCACTGTGCACCAGGCATTTTTCAGGTATTGATTCATTTGATCCTCAAAATTCATTAGAGGTAGGTACTATTATAATGACAAGGCCAAGGAACAGAGATTAAACAATTTGCCCAAATTCACATTATTAGCAGAGCTGAGATTGAAGCATAGTCTGGCTATGGAATCTGTATTCTTAATGACCATGCTATACTGCCTAAGATTAACCTTTTACTTCAGTTACAGGGATTGTTTTTATCTCTCTGAAAGTGCCCCCAATAAGCCACAACAATAAATTAATCAATTGTCTCGGTCACCTCTTTTGCCCAAATTTACGTATTGGAAAAAATTCAAACAAGCCAGAAAGATGAAAGAATAGTACAGAATCCAATCAAAGATCAGGCACTGCATGTCATGTCTTCATTTCCTTTAATCTAAAACATGCCTCTACTTTCTTTGATCTTCCATGACATTGGCATTTTTTAAGAGTCAAAGATAGCTGTCTTGTAAATTGTCCCACAATCCGGATTTGTCTGTTTCCTCATGATGAAATTCAAGTTAAGCATTTTTGGGAAAAATACTGCATAGGTGATGTATCCTTCCTGCCTCGTAACCGCAGATGGCCTGTAATACTAAGTTTGATCACTTGACTAAGGTGATCTTCCAGGTCTCTCCATTGTAATTATTTTGCTGGCTACAGTGGCTCCCACTTGTAATCCCAGCACTTTGGAAGGCCGAGGTGGGAGGATTGCTTGAGCCCAGGAGTTCTACACCAGCCTGAGCAACATGGGGAAACTCTGTCACTACTGAAAATACAAAAGTACAAAAAAAAAAAAATTAGCTGGGCATGGTGGTGCAAGCCTATACTCCCAGCTACTCAGGAGGCTGAATTTGGAGGATCCCTTGAGCCCAGGGGGGTTGAGGCTGCATTGAGGTATAATTTTGCCACTGTATTTCAGCCTGGGTGACAAAATAAAAATAAAAATAAAAAATAATAATTTTCCCCTTGGTAATTAATAAATAATCTGTGGGTTGTTACTTTGAGTTCAGTGAAGATCCTGTTCTCAAATGTTTTTTCACCCAAATGTGCATCAATGATAATCCTTGTCTGAATGAATTTGTATTACACTGACGGTTGCAAAGTGACACTTTTAAAAATTCTGTCATTCCTTCTACATTTACTAGCTGGCATTATTTCATTGAAGAAGAACTCCTCCTCTTTCTTTTTCAATATCACTCTTCGTGGATTCTTCTTTATATTAAATATGTGGTAACTTATTGTTGTTATTCTTTTGAATGCTCAAATTGTCCAGATTTGACCAATGCAGTCTTTGTTATTTTTTAACTCCGCAATCCAGGTTAAACTATTTTTAATGCCCAGAGTAATTTATAATATTTCCCACTCCCAACAGGAATTGAGAAAGGGACTCCAGAAGTTGGGGGCTTATTCAGACTTCTTAAAAGTCTACCTTCTTCCTCTGTACTTTCAGCCCAAAGTGAGACTTTTGAATTGGGAAGAGATACTTCTGAAACTACTAATCACTGTCACCCAATTCTAATCCCAACCATCTTTATTCTAGGCATACCATACTCACTGCCATGCTTACCCTTCAGTTGGGCACTTTTGTCCTCCTTCCTATTGGTCTTCTGGTTCCTACCCAACTGTCCAGTCCATAGGCTTCAATGACACCTTTTTCCCACACCTGTGGTAGCGTTGGCTGCCTCCTTTACCTACTCAAGTAACCGCTTTACCGCTAATTTATTGCTCTCTGTTTTCATCTATAGGATCTTACCTAGCCATATGGCCTGCTGCCTCTGCCAATTTAAAAACAGCATTGAGGCTGTCTGCAAGACAGTCAAGCTGCATTGCAACAGTGCATGTCTGACAAACACCACACATTGTCGTGAGTCCAAATTGCGCGGTGATAAATTGTTACATTAAGTATTTGTTTTTAAACTTTTTATTTTTAATGATGATAAAATTTTAAGCTAATGACATAATTGCTTTATTTTTATTTACTCATTCAGAGTTAAACTCCCTCAATTTCCGAACTACTCCCTTGCTGAAAGTCAGGTTCTCAGTTACTATTACAAAATTTAATAATAGAACTGTTCCATATGCAGAAAGGACCAAGACAAAGGAATGGGAAGGCTAGGGAATAACATTAACATCCACACACTGTATACTGTGCTCTCTGCTTGATGCTTTGCCCACAGTGATAATTTCTTCATATAGTGCAATGTAGTTTGTAAGCTGGTTTTAAATCCATGAGATCTCAAGTACTCTCTGCCTTATAGGACAGATGTAGATACGGTTTTGGTCTTTCTGTTTTTACAGTTTTATAAGAGTACAAGTGATGCTGTTTTATTTGAAGCCTGAGAGCTTCTGGTTCCATAACCAGAAATTGCTACCTGGCTCTTCTAATGGAATGGAGGGCTTTTCCATTCTTAGACCATCCAACTCTGAACTTGCTCCGAATCTCAAACCTTTCTGTTCACAGAACAAACGCTCAAGGGCTTTCAAGAGTGTTTCTGTAGATTAGGCTTATTAGCATCAACTTCATGACTTCTAAAATGTGACTGCTTTCATGTCCAGATAGCTTGAATACAGGTATCTACCAGTGATATGGGGTGGAGAATTAATAATGCTTGGTTACATAAAGTCAGTGTTGCTTATTTTTCAAAACTTTTTTTTTTTTTTTTTTTTTTTTACCAATTATGTTATTCCCTTCTCCCCAAGAAGTGGGCAGAAAAGCTTTGTTAACCTCCTTTTACAGATGAGGAAAAACAAGATCAGAGGTGCTAAGTGCTGTAGCCTAGTGCCAGGTCTTCTGGCCCCAATTCTGGGTTCTCCCCAAGCCCATGTTTCTTCCCCTTTCTCACAATCTTTACTTCTTCCTCTGACCCTCACCACCACCCAAAGTACTTTTAATTCCAGAAAAGAAACCCAGCTGCACACTGGCACACCTGACCTTCATGCAGTCAGAAGCTTTGGATGATTCCCCATCCAAAATATTAGAGATGAAATGAAAGCAAAGTAGGCATCTGACAAAAGTTGCTTTTTCCCTTCTGCATTTTAGGACCTCAAGTAATGTTTATCCAGAAACTGCTATCATACCAGGGATTCATTGTGTATTTAACAACATAGGCATACAATCTGGCAAATTTGAAAAACTCTTAACATACACCCCAAATCCCTGCCCAAATTTAAGAACTAGGGTGGACACAGTGCGTTTTTCCATGTCGCATCTTCTGTGATGGGGCTACGATACGTGGGAGCAGAGAATGGGGAGGGTGGAGCGCATGCCAGATGAGGATCTATCAGCAATGGGACGGGGCCTCCACTTTAGCATCTCCACCCTGCTCCTCTCAGAGGACCGCCTTTCATTGCATTCAGCTGTGATGGTAGCACGAACACAGGTGCACCGAGGACGAGGAGAGCAGGAGCCTTGTGCTCTCTCTGCATCTGAGGCAGGACAGCACAGGGTACGGAGCAGTCTGCAGAGAGGCCAGCTCATCAGGGAAGCACTTGTCTTCCACCTTGGGCTTTGACTGAGCACTGGGCAATTGGCCTCTGGGGATCAACGAAATAATCCTAAACAGAGTTACTCTATGTCACACTATGGAATGTTCCAAGTAGGTGGCCGTGTTTTCAAAAGATGTATTTTCTCCTTTTGTTGTTGCCATTTCATAGGTTTAGGATTGGGTGTGTGTTTCTCCTCTCTGAATGGCACTCGAATGTTTGCTGACTCCTACTCTGTGTGACTGGGGTGTACAGCTATGGACTGATGCATCCCATCCCATCATCTTTCATGATCAAAGCAGTCTCTTCTTTTTTGACAGCTGAAGAAGCATCGGTAGGGAATCCAGAAGGAGCGTTCATGAAGGTGTTACAAGCCCGGAAGAACTACACAAGCACTGAGCTGATTGTTGAGCCAGAGGAGCCCTCAGACAGCAGTGGCATCAACTTGTCAGGCTTTGGGAGTGAGCAGCTAGACACCAATGACGAGAGTGATTTTATCAGTACACTAAGTTACATCTTGCCTTATTTCTCAGCGGTAAACCTAGATGTGAAATCACTGTTACTACCGTTCATTAAACTGCCAACCACAGGAAACAGCCTGGCAAAGATTCAAACTGTAGGCCAAAACCGGCAGAGAGTGAAGAGAGTCCTCATGGGCCCAAGGAGCATCCAGAAAAGGCACTTCAAAGAGGTAGGAAGGCAGAGCATCAGGAGGGAACAGGGTGCCCAGGCATCTGTGGAGAACGCTGCCGAAGAAAAAAGGCTCACGAGTCCAGCCCCAAGGGAGGTGGAACAGCCCCACACACAGCAGGGGCCTGAGAAGTTAGCGGGAAACGCCGTCTACACCAAGCCTTCGTTCACCCAAGAGCATAAGGCAGCAGTCTCTGTGCTGAAACCCTTCTCCAAGGGCACGCCTTCTACCTCCAGCCCTGCAAAAGCCCTACCACAGGTGAGAGACAGATCGAAAGACTTAACCCACGCTATTTCCATTTTAGAAAGTGCAAAGGCTAGAGTTACAAATACGAAGACGTCTAAACCAATCGTACATGCCAGAAAAAAATACCGCTTTCACAAAACTCGCTCCCACGTGACCCACAGAACAACCAAAGTCAAAAAGAGTCCAAAGGTCAGAAAGAAAAGTTATCTGAGTAGACTGATGCTCGCAAACAGGCTTCCATTCTCTGCAGCGAAGAGCCTCATAAATTCCCCTTCACAAGGGGCTTTTTCATCCTTAGGAGACCTGAGTCCTCAAGAAAACCCTTTTCTGGAAGTATCTGCTCTTTCAGAACATTTTATAGAGAAGAATAATACAAAACACACAACTGCAAGAAATGCCTTTGAAGAAAATGATTTTATGGAAAACACTAACATGCCAGAAGGAACCATCTCTGAAAACACAAACTACAATCATCCTCCTGAGGCAGATTCCGCTGGGACTGCATTCAACTTAGGGCCAACTGTTAAACAAACTGAGACAAAATGGGAATACAACAACGTGGGCACTGACCTGTCCCCCGAGCCCAAAAGCTTCAATTACCCATTGCTCTCGTCCCCAGGTGATCAGTTTGAAATTCAGCTAACCCAGCAGCTACAGTCCCTTATCCCCAACAACAATGTGAGAAGGCTCATTGCTCATGTTATCCGGACCTTGAAGATGGACTGCTCTGGGGCCCATGTGCAAGTGACCTGTGCCAAGCTCATCTCCAGGACAGGCCACCTGATGAAGCTTCTCAGTGGGCAGCAGGAAGTAAAGGCATCCAAGATAGAATGGGATACGGACCAATGGAAGATTGAGAACTACATTAATGAGAGCACAGAAGCCCAGAGTGAACAGAAAGAGAAGTCGCTTGAGGTGAGGACCACACAGAAACATGAGACCCAGATTTCCCATCATTTAGCATATCCCAGGAAAGTGCCCACACAGAAGAGTCTGGGACTCCCAGGCCATAGCTTATCTTGGCCATGTAACTTTGGTCATGACAGTGATCTCCCACTTTGCTCATGTAGAGAGAGAAATAGATTAGGGCACAAGATGAACTGTAGGCCGGGGGTGGTAGCTCACGCCTGTAATCTCAGCACTTTGGGAGGCGAAGGTGGGTGGATTACTTGAAGTCAGGAGTTTGAGACCAGCTTGGCCAACATAGTGAAAGCCTGTCTCCACAAAAAATAAGAAAATTAGCTGGGTTGATGACACGTGCCTGTAGTCCCAGCTACTTGGAAGGCTGAGGTGGGAGGATCACCTGAGCCCAGGGAGGTCGAGTCTAGTGAACGGTGATTGCACCACGGTACCCAAGCCTGGGTGACAGAGTGAGACCCTCTTTCAAAAAAATAAAAAAGAACCTGTCAGCTACTCACCTGGAATACTGGGGTTTTGAATAGTTAGCTCTCATTCTGGTTTTTTTTTGTGTGTTTTTTTTTTTAGCTCAAAAAAGAAGTTCCAGGATATGGCTATACTGACAAACTCATCTTGGCATTAATTGTTACTGGAATACTAACGATTTTGATTATACTTTTCTGCCTCATTGTGGTAAGGACAATAATTAATTCAGGTTTTCAGAATGCAGTCCTGTCTTTGTGTGGATTCAGAGCTCACAAACTGAAAACCAAAGCCACTTTCCCACCTGCTGCTACTTGACATACTTCTTCAGTCATTTAAGGCTGAGGTGTATGCTTTGTTCTTTTATTGCAGTGTATATTTCAGGATTTTTAAAGGATCCTCGCTTTCAGATCTCTGTGAATTGAAACCAAGTGAATCCCACTAGACTATTTTAAGAAGTCGATATAATAGCAAAATTTCTCCCACCCAAAACTATGTCAACAATTGGATGTACTCATCAAGTCACCCTTACTCTGCCACTAATTTATTTCCTTGTTGCTGAAATGATGAGAGAGGTATAATCTCCACCCTCACGGAGTTGTCATCACCCTGGAGAGGAAGGAGAGAGCCAAAAGACATACGTATTGTCTTGTAGACTTATTAGATTTACACAGTATCATCCTCCAGTGTGTAAGGCATTGTCTAAATAGGTCCAGTTAAAGCACTACAGAGTAGCCATCTTTTACAAAAATTTTTGGCCACATTTTTAAGTTCACTGGTGAGGAGGAACGTCTCATACTCTAGCCCTCCTGAGCCTATACCCTCTGTGAGATGTGTCACCATTTCTTGGACACCATGTGAGACATTCCCCCTCAGATTAGAGATGCTCAGCTTGCATCAACTTACCTAAAGCCTACATCTGGCTACTCTGGGACAAGTCCTGTTTACAGTGCCCATTCCTGGAGCTTGCCTCTGTCTTTTGTTCGATTACATGATGTATTACTTTTCCCAACAGGCCAGTGCTAGCATATTGGAAGAGTGATTTAATAAAGCTGGCAACCTTGACGCTATGCTACCAGTCCAACCTTACTTGCCTCATTTACCATTTCCATTATTGTGGCAGCCCTCCATTCCAGCCACAGCAGCCCCTCACCAAACCCCAGTCACACCACCCACATTTCTGCTTTTGTCTGTGTGTTTGTCCATCTAAAATGCCCTTATTTCACTCTGCCTGTGGGAGTCCTATGCATCTCTCAAAAGCCAACTCAAGTTCATCTTTCTTCTTGACACCTTCCCTGAATATTCCAGCCCTGCTGAGCCTGGTCCCTTTGTGAGATTTGTCACCATTTCTTGGACACCATATGAGAGACTTCAGAGGCTGAAGTGGGAGGATCGCTTGAGCCTGGGAGGTCGAGGATGCAGTGAGCTGTGGTCGTACCACTGCACTCTAGCCTGGGCAACACAGCTAGGCCCTGTCTTAAAAACAGCCACCACCAAAAACTATCTTGGGATTTGAATAGGATTACGTTAAATTTGTAGATTAATTTGAGAATTTACATCTGTACGACATTCTAGGAACGTGCTATCTCATGTCATGTATTCATTTCTTGTTAATGTCTTTCAGAAGAGCTTTAGTGTTTCCATATATAGATCTTATACATCTTTTGTTAGATAAAAGATCTTTGTATTTTTGTTCCTAAATTCTTCATACATTTGTATTGCCATTGTAAATGGGATCTTTCTTCCATTTTCTAATTAGTTATTGGTGGTACATGGGAAAAGTATTTGAGGTTTGTGTGCTGATTTCTTGATTTTGTAGATAGCCACTGTATTGAATTCTCATTACTTCCAGTAAAATCTTAGTTGATTCTCTTAGGCTTCTTTGGCTAACATTTATCATTTAATATGCAAATAATGATAGTTTTGTCTCTTCCTTTCCAATACTTCTACTCTTTCCTTCCTTTCCCTTTTCCTTTTTCCTTTCCTTTCCTTTCCTTTTTTTTCCCTTCTCAGGGCCTTGTTGTCACCCAGGCTGGAGAGCAATGGTGTGACCTAGCTCACTGTAACATCAAACTCCTGGGCTTAAGGGATCCTCCTGCCTCAGCTTCCTGAGTGGCTGGGACTACAGGCAGGCAGCTAATTTAAAAAATGTGTTCGTAGAGACAAGGTCTTGCTATGTTGCCCAGGCTGGTTTTCCTGCCACTTCAGAGGAAGGACTCAGGTTTCCTTTTTCTCCTACTTTTAAGAGTTTTTATTAGGAATTATCTGTTGAATGTTATCTAAAACAGTCAATAAAATGTATTAAGTGCCAGCTGCATGCAAGACCCTAAGTTAGATACAGTCAGCCCTCTTCATCAGCAGGTCCACATCTTCAGATTCAACTAGATCAGGCTGAATATTTGAAGAAAAAAAAACCAATAAAAATACAAACAGAAAGTACAATATAACAACTGTCAACAATGTACAATATGTATACATTTTATTAGTGATGACTTAAATTACATGGGGCCAGGCATGGTGGCTCACACTTGTAATCCCAACACATTGGGAGGCCAACCTGGGCAGCATAGTGAGACCTTGTCTTTATTAAAAATTAAAAAAAAAATAGCCAGGTGTGGTAGTATGCACCTGTAGTCTCAGCTACTCAAGAGGCTGAGGTGGGCGGATCACTGGAGCCCAGGAGGTTGAGGCTACAGTGAGCTGTGATCGTGACACCGCACTCCATCCTGAGTAACAGAGGATGACACTGCACTCCAGCGTAAGCAACAGAGGGCAATCCTGTCGCTAAGTAAATAAAGTATAGGGGGGATGCGTGTTGGTTATAAGCAAATATTACACCATTATATGTAAGGGATTGAGCATCCACAGATTCTGGTATGGTGTGGGGGCGGTATCCTAGAACCAATCCCCCGCAAGATAGCAAGGATGACTGAACTATGGAAGAATCAAAGCAGTGTTACACAGCATACAATTCCTGTCTTCAAAAAAGTTACCTCATCAGGTACATGAGACTTATAATGAATAAAAGGAATCAATACAGATTTGGAGATGGTGGTTGTTGTCATAGATAATCTTAATTGCGTTTTCTTCTAAAACAGATATGTTGTCACCGAAGGTCATTACAAGAAGATGAAGAAGGATTCTCAAGGTAAATATTAGTCTGGTGATTTTTTTTTTCTTCTCTTTTGAGATGGAGTTTCCCTCTTGTTGCCAGGCTGGAGTGCAATGACACGATCTCGGCTCACGGCAACCTCCACTTCCCAGGTTCAAGCGATTCTCCTGCCTCAGCCTCCCGAGTAGCTGGGATTACAGGCATGCACCACTAGTCTCGCGACGTTTTAATTAGAATTTTAGAATTAGAGGAGGGCTTAGAACTCTGCCCTCATTTTTCAGTGAGGAAACTGCCCAAGACAGGACAAATACTTACCCTAATGCTTAGCCTGGCTCCAGTGAAATTAGCTCCCCAGCCAAAGCTGAGCTGGATGGAACTAACAAGGACACACCTGCTGTCCCCAGCCCTTTCGGGAGGTGGGGAGGGATAGGAAGGAGAAAGGTTTTGGTGCCTATTGCTGCTGATGGTGGGCATCAGGCCAGGCCAGGGGCCTTCTTGGAGGCTCTGGGAAAGGGGAAGGGAAGGCCACCGGGTGTGAGAGAGAGGGCACTTGTCTCCTTCAAGGCTGATGGAAGGTAGGATATGCGAGTCCTTCCTCTTAAGTGGCAGGAAACAGTATTTTCTCTTTTATTTCTTTTTTTTTCCCCTGGATCCTAGAACTGAGGAAACACTATTTTCTCATCTTACTGGTTTTTGGGCCCCTACTCTATTCCTTTTATGCAAACCTCACAGAATTTTAACCAGAAAGGCCAGGCAGGATGGCTCACGCCTGTAATCACAGCACTTTGGGATCACTTGAGGTTAGGAGCTCGTGACCAGCCTGACCAACATGGTGAAACCCCATCTCTACTAAAAATACTAAATTAGCTGGGTGTGGTGGCGCAGGCGTGTAATCCCAGCTACTTGGGAGGCTGAGGCAGGAGAACTGCTTGAGCCCAGGAGGCGCAGGTTGCAGGGAGCCAAGATAGCACCATTGCACTCCAGCCTGGGGAATGAGCCAAACTGTCTCAAATAAAAAAAAAACAACAAAAAAGAATTTTAACTACGGAGACCTTAGATAGTAGTTTGTCCTTTTATGACAGGAAAACTGAGAAGGAGAAAGGGAGAGTGTCTTACTTACCCCATGGTCACACAATGCACTCTGCCTTTTCCTATTTTATTCAAATTCAAAAATAACATGTTGTGCTTTAAGCTGATTTCGTAGCTCACTCACTCATCAGCGACAGCCAGCCATATGAAGACTGTGAGATAGAGAACTTGGCTAGCTGCACTCACGCATTTGCTTGAGGTGATCCAACTTATAGAATAAAGTATCTAGAAAACGAAGAACCACTTCATCTCCCATCCCCCATCAAATGATGCCTGTGAGACTAAGTCCGAAGGGGACTGATATAAAATGCTTCTGCCCAGCATGGTTGTGCAGTTTGTTCACTGCACAAGGGCACTTGGCCAAGGGAGTGAGTGGGACTGAAAATCCTGCCCCTGCTCCATGCTGAGCCACATACAAAGTCCCCCCAGTATATTGTGGGGCCCTTCTGGGCAGACATGGAGAGCTTCTGAAAGTCCCACATGCATGGAATTATTTTCAAGACCCCGGGTATGTGGTCTGTGGTGGTGGTTCTCCCTGTGATTATGGACTGAGATACTCATTTAGTCCTAATAAGACCAGAGAAGTACATTGTGAGATACGTGGGAAACGGCTGCATCACTCACTGTCTTGTGCATGTGTCTCCCCAGGGGCATTTTCAGATTTCTGCCATGGAGGGGATGCTCTTCGCGAAGGGAGAGTCAGGTACATTGGAGGATTCATTGCTGTGGCCAGGGAAAGCAGAGGACATGCAAAATTAATATTTCCCTTTCTATCTTCTAGGATGGACTTTCCTCATTTGGACAGCCGCTCTGGTTTAAAGATCTGTACAAACCTCTCAGTGCCACAAGAATAAATAATCATGCATGGAAGCTGCACAAGAAGTCATCTAATGAGGACAAGATCCTCAACAGGGACCCTGGGTAAATGATGGGGCCCTCACAGTTCCCATCTAAAATGAGGAGGGGGTGAGAAGCTTAATTGCTCCTTTCAAGAATGAAAACCTTGGCATTGTTATTCTTATCCCAGGGACAGCGAAGCCCCAACGGAGGAGGAGGAGAGTGAAGCCCTGCCATAGGAGGAGAACACAGCCCACCTCAGGCCTCCTGCAAAAATACATAGAATAAACAACAACAGTTACTAAATGAATGAAAATTGTGATTCCGATGAAGCCTGCCAGAGAAACAAAGCATTTTTTAAAAGAGGAAATAAGGTGATATCTGATTAGGGCAAACATGATGCAGACAAGAAATGCACCGGTTCAGAGGAGGGAAGGTCAGGCCGCCTGGGGAGAGTCCATGAAAAAGATGGAACGTGCCAGATGCTGTACCTGGTGCTGGGAAAGAGTTGACTAGGCCAGCATCCCTTTCCTCAAAGGGGGGGCTCCTAGACTGGGGGGAGGGCTGGACATCTGAATACATCCTGAGGAGACAGTGTGGGACAGCATGGTGGCAGTGGAACCAGCCGTGGTTCTGCTCTTGGTCGGCTGGAAAGGAGTAGATGTAAGGGATGGTTTAGAAGAAGGGAAGTGGAAGAAAAGTTTTCTGAGCTGACAAGAGGAAGGAAAGGCCGCCTAGAAGGACACTAAAAAGGCAAGAGAAGCCCTAAGCAGAGTGAGCACCAGACTCCACAGGTTAAGGGCTCAGTCACACAGAACCATCCGCATGTCAGACCCCAGGTGCAAGGCCAAGCATCACCTATGCATCTGACCAACTGGCTGTAAATTGGAGGTCCCCACAACTCCCTCCTCAGGTTTGAACATTTGCTAGAACAGCTCATGGAACCCAGGAAAACAGTTTTCTTACTAGTGCTGATTTATTACAAAGGATATTTTAAAGGACACAAATGATGAAGCCAGTTGAAGAGATACACAGGGTGAGGTTTGGAAGGGTCCTTGTGGAGTTGGGGTGCACCACTCTCCTGGAACATGGATGTGTTCGCCAACCCGGAAGCTCTCCAAGTCCTGTCTTTTAAGGAGTTTTCTGGAGGCTTTATCACGTAGGCATGATTGAGCTCCAGCTCTACTCCCCACGCCAGAGGATGGGGAATGGGGCTGACAGCACAACGCTTCCAACCATAGGTCTTTTTGGTGACCAGTCCCCAAATAAGGAGCCCACCAAGAGTCACCTCATGAGAACAAAGGACGCTTCTATCACCCAGAAAATTCCAAGGGATTTAGGAGCTCTGTGTCAGGAACCAGGTTTAAGGACCAAATGTTAGAACAAAAGATGTGCAACCATAAAAAACAGCGAGATCATGTCTTTTGCAGGAACACAGATGGAGCTAGAGGCCATTATCCTCAGCAAACTAAGACAGGAACAGAAAACCAAATACTGTATGTTCTTTTAAGTGGGAGCAAAATGATGAGAACTCATAAACAACAGACACTGGGCCCTACCTGAGGGTGGAGGGTGGGAGGAGGGAGAGGAGCAGAAAAAACTATTGGGTACTAGGCTTGGTACCTGGGTGATGAAATAATCTGTACAACAAACCCCCATGACACAAGTTTAGCTATATAACGAACGTGCATATGTACCCCCTAACCTAAAAGGAAAGTTTAAAAAGGAAAAAACACCTAGGAGAAAAGA
The DNA here is from genome assembly GCF_000001405.40 of Homo sapiens. Classification (NCBI taxonomy): domain Eukaryota; kingdom Metazoa; phylum Chordata; class Mammalia; order Primates; family Hominidae; genus Homo; species Homo sapiens. Next base: position 46,339,234 of record NC_000017.11, read on the forward strand.
AAAATGATAAATTAACAAAGGACAATGCTCTTAGCACCGCCATCATTCAGGAATTTCCAAGGGTTTTAGGAGCTTTGTGTTAGGAACTGGGGTCAGAGACCAAATATATATTTCTTCTTATGTTACACTACCCCAGATAGGAAAACAGAAATTACTCTAGATATTTCAAACAAAAAAGGGTTGTATATAGGCAATTAGTGCTTATCACTGGAGGTGCTAGAGGTGGTGAAGGTTGTGGGGATGGGGTTGCACCACTGGCTTTCAGGCTACTTTACCACAGCTGATTTCCAGAGGATGGAAGAAGTCAGGAAACTTGGGAAACCGCTGCTGAGGTCCTTGCAGCCCCACGGTCCCCAGGCTGGTGACTGGTGGGGGAGTATGGAGTCCAGCTGACCACCAGAGCCTGCACACCTGCTGCTATGGGGGAGGAAAGGATGACTTCTACCTCCTTTCCACATTCCAAATTCCACGTGACTACATTTTATTGGCAGCACCCCGCTGGCAAGTGAGCCTTGATGTGTGCTTCCTGGGCTTCTGGCACCTGCACAGAAAGGGGTGAAATGAGTGTCACGAGCAGCCACCACTCTGCATCACACCTCCACATCCAGGTGTGCTGGAGAGCCCCACTTACACTTGGAGTGTCCTGGTGCCCTACCCACTTTTGGTAGGTGTTTGGGTGTCTGAGGCTTTGCAAAAGAAGAAGGTGGGGAGTCTATGGTGGAGTCACATGGTGGAGACCTAGCTAAGTCAGAGGCCTGGAGAGGTGTCACTGGCTGGGCAGCAGGTAACACACAATCATCCTGAGCTGATTGGAGAAACACCTGGGATTGATTCAGAGTTTTTTCTGGAATGTTTTCACTGGAATGAAAGCTGAGCGGTCTGCAGGCCATATAGTATTGGAGAAAACTTAGCCCTCATTGAAAAAGGCTGCCAGAGAAAAGGTATCCACAGGGAAATTCAGGAGTTTTGTTTGTTTTTTTTTCTTTTTTTTTTTCTTTTAAGGTGGAGTTTTGCTCTTGTTGCTCAGTCTGGAATGCAATGGCACGATCTCAGCTCACTGCATCCTCCGCCTCCTGGGTTCAAGCAAGTCTCCTGCCTCAGCCTCCCTAGTAGCTGGGGTTACAGGCATGCACCACCATGCCCGGCTAATTTTTGTATTTTTAGTAGAGATGGGGTTTCACCATGTTGGTCAGGCTGGTCTCGAACTCCTGACCTCAGGTAATCCACCCGCCCTGGCCTCCCAAAGGGCTGAGATTACAGGTGCGAGCTACCGCGCCTGGCTTGTTTTGGGTTTTGGGGTTTTTTTTGTGTTTTGTTTGTTTGTTTGTTTTTGGAGACAGTCTCTGTCACCCAGGCTGGAGTGCAGCAGCGTGATCTCGGTTGACTGCAACCTCTGCCTTCCAGGTTCAAGTGATTCTCCTGCCTCAGCCTCCCGAATAGCTGGGATTACAGGCACCCACCACCATGCCCGGCCAATTTTTTTTTTTTTTTCTAAAAACAGTTTCACCATGTTGGCCAGGCTAGTCTTGAACTCCTGACCTCAAGTGATCCGCTCACCTTGGCCTCCCAAAGTGCTGGGATTACAGGCATGAGTCACTGTGCCCCGCCAGGAAATTCAGTTTCTGAAAATACACCTGTGGATCTCTAGCCTAGAAAAAGGGACCTCTTTTATTCTTTTTTTTTTTTTTTCCAGAGACGGGCCTCACTTTGTTGCCCAGGCTGGTTTTGAACTCCTGGCCTCAAGTGATCCTCCCGCCTTGGTCTCTCAACGTACTGGGATTACAGGTGGGAGTCCCCGCGCCCGGCAAAGCCTATATTAAACCCTTTTATGCACACTCGGCGGTACTGCAGAGAGGGCAGGGAGGAAGCAGAGGTGCCCTGGCATCTTCAGCTGGAGGTGAGCAGGGCGCTGAGGGTGGGAGAGGCCCGGCGCCTGGGGATGGGAGGCAGGACTGCACCTTCACAGGGACGCTTCCACCCTACCCCGGAGGTCAGGGCCTCTCGCCCAGCTCTGGCTCTGAGGTCCTGGAGGGAGGGAGATGCTGTTGCGACTCAGAAGATTGGGGGAGGGCCACCCCCATTCGAGAAGAGTGAAAATCCTGAGCCTGAAGAAGTGGAACCGGTTGGAGCCGAGGCTTTAGAGGATGGCGTTCGAAAGAGGGTCTGGCGCCGCCCTGTGGACCGTTCGGGCTCGCAGGGCCGAAGGCTCCGAAGACTGAGACCTGTGAACCATGGGGAGGCTCCATGCGGATGGGGGCCACAGCCCCCGCCGGAGCCCCCACACTAGCCCTGGACTTCTCCACTGGCTTACGACATGAGAGCTCAATATGCTCCTTATTTAACGCACTGTTGTATCAGGTCCCTGTGGGAGCCACTGGCTCTATAGCCTAATAAAGGAGCGGGTGCACGCACTGGATTGGTGAGCTACCGCCACTGCAACGCGTCCTAATCAACCATCCTAAACGGCGGCTGGAACAAGGTTCTCGCAGGCCTGTGCTTGGGCTTGAACGCTGGTCCAGCCGCTGCGCTCTGTGGCTCCCTGTAGGCCTGCGGATCGGCCAGGGGGCTCCGTTCCTTTTGGGCGGAGGCTGAAGAAGCAGCGGCTGCACCAGAGAAGGCCCTCTGGGTGAAGGTGGGAGCGCACGGGGCCCGCGGAACCACCTAAGGCGACTTCAGACGTGGGCTCGGAACTGGCAGCCTTTCGTTTCTGCTTCATTCCAAGGCCAGAGCAAGCCACGTGGGCAAACCCAAAGCCAGGGGACAGGAAAGTATCCTCCACCCACAACGAAACCATGGCAAGCGGTGGATGCAGGTACGGCCAATAGTCTATCTATCCCGGTGAGTGAGGAGACCTGCTTTGAGGGTTGCACAACCTGGATCTGCTTTTACAGTGGTGTCTGTCACTATGAAGACTCCACCATGGGTCGCCATCAGGTCAGGGACCCTGACAAGGCAAGAACTGCATCTTCCTCTGCACACAGCTCTGCTCCCTTCCCCGCCATGCCTAACACCAAGCCTAGCCCTGAGGGATGACTCAGGAATATTACTGAGAGCATTTTAGGCCATTCCTTCATTATCCCCATGTGACTTGTTATGAAATATAGACTGACTTCCTGAAGATCAGCACATAGTGCTAAGTATTTGGCTTGTAATCTGTAGAGACTCTGCCATTTGGAGCTGGGATCTGTCCCCAGAGCTGTCAGACACCAAATCCCGTATCTACTGCCACCCAAAGGGACCTCCAGAAGAAAGGGGTTATACAGGGTCAAACACCAAGGCAGGTTAGTGAAATTTCTCTAGAGGCCATTTAAAGCTGGAGTCTCACCACCTGAACTGCCCTCAGAGGAAGGCTGTCTAGGGCACAAACCTAGTCAGGGGTCCACATGGACTTAAGGACAATTTTTTTTTTTTTTTTTTTTTTTGAGACAGTCTCATTCTGTCATCAAGGCTCGAGTGCAGTGGTGTGAACTCAGCTCACTGCAAGTCTCAACCTCCTGGGCTCAGGTGATCCTCCCACCTCAGCCTCCCGAGTAGCGGGAACCACAGGCTCGTGCCATGATGCCCAATTAATTTTCTTTTAAATTTTTTGTAGAGATGAGGTCTCCCCGTGTTGCTCAGTCTAATCTTGAACTCCTGGACTCAAATGATCCTCCTGCCTCTGCTCCTCAAAGTCCTGGGACTACAGGTGTGAGCCAATGCACCTGGCCTCTTATGAATAATTTTAAAAACAATGAGGTTCACCGTCAGAGCCCCTGCTGCTCTACCAAGTCCCTTGGCCCCTCTCAACAGGGCAAAAGCAAGATGAGCCCCAGATGTTCTGCTTAATGACCACCTTTCCCAGGAGACTTTGCTCTTTAAAGGAGAACCACTTAGAGATATGAGCAACCTTAAAGAATGCCACCAGCACTAGTGAATGCCAGGCACGGGCCACGTGGGTGGAGAGTATACTTTAGGGCAGTCACTCATGGTAAATTATTTCCACCAGCCCCCAGAAGTGACTATTCAATGTCCAACTATGTCAGGCCCAGGCTAATAAAAGTAGAGGCATGAGGAACCTAGGGTTGTTCTGAAGTGCCTTGATTATGGTACATGTGGAAGATTTTAGAGCTTGTTGTAAAAAGTGATGACCCATGGCCCCCCAGGCTGGGTCTGGGATTCCCTTTGTGGATTACAAGAGGATATTATGCAGCAGTTTTTAAAAATGAGGCAGACTGGGACAATCTATCTCCAAGATGCATAGGTGCTGTTAAGGGAACAAAGCAAGATTTAGTAGGGCGTGTATAGTATGCTACTGTGCGCTGTGCGTTATCTGTACAGAACTGTGAGGTCTGATACAGTAGCCACTAGCCACATATGGCTATTTACATATAAATTTAGGTTGGCCACAGTGGCTCATGCCTGTAATCCTAGCACTTTGGGAGGCCAAGTGGGAGGATAGCTTGAGGCCAATAGTTCAAGAACACCCTGGGCAACATAGTGAAGCCCCTTTTCTACAAAAAATTTATTTATTTATTTATTTTTATTTTTTTTGAGACGGGTCTCACTCTGTCACCCAGGCTGGAGTGCAGTGGCGCAGTCTCAGCTTATTACAACATCTGCCTCCTGGGTTCAAGCGATTATCGTGCCTCAGCCTCCAAGTAGCTGGGACTACAGGCACGCACCACCATACCCAGCAAATTTTTGTATTTTTGGTAGAGACAAGGTTTTGCCATGTTGGCCAGGCTGGTCTTGAACTCCTGACCTCAGGTGATCTGCCCGCCTCAGCCTCCCAAAGTGCTGAGATTACAGGCATGAGCCACTGCGCCCAGGCAAAAAATTTAAAATTGTAAAAATCAGCCAAACATGGTGGCATTCATCTGTAGTCCCAGCAACTTAGGAGGCTGAGGTGGGAGGATTTCTTGAGCCCAGGAGGTCAAGGTTGCAGTGACCTATGACTGCACCACTGCACTCCAGCCTGGACAACAGAGTGAGGCCCTGTCTCAAAAAATAAATAAATAGGAGTTTGAGGCCATGTTCACACATCACTGCAGTCCAGTCTGGTAAACAGAGCAAGACGCTGAGTCTTTAACAAAAAAAAAAAAATTTTTAAAGTCAGCTGCTAAGACACACTAGCCACATATCAAGTGCTCAACTGCCCCGTGTGGCTAATGGCTTCCAAACTGGCAGCACAGGCAACTGTTTTCATCACTGAAGTTCTGTTGGACAAGAATACCTCTGGAAGCACACACGAGAAACTGGTAATGGCGGTTGCCTTCCGGGAGGGAAACTGGGAGAGTGCAGGGCTGTATGCCCTTTTGTACCTCTTGAATTTCATATCATGCGTTTGTACTAGGTGTTTACAAATTATTTTAAAAACATACTGGGAATTAGGAATCCCCATATGGAATCACTGCAGTGGGACACTGATTCCCAAAAAATTACTTTGCAATTTGCCTAAAACAAATTAAGCTAATAGCTATCATGATTTCATATTTAATATTTTTTCACAGCTTAGAGTTTTTTTAGCTCCTGTTGCTATCTCTCTGCTCTTATGAGCTCACAGGGTGACAAAGTGAATTAGTAAGTAGCAGGAGAACATTAAAGGAAAAACTCCTGGGCAACAGGGCAAAACGCCGGCTCTACAGAAAATACAAAACATTAGCCAGGCATGGTGGCATGCACCTATGGTCTTAGCGACTTGGGAGGCTGAGGTGGGAGGATCGCTTGAGCCCGGAAGGCGGTAACTCAATCCCAGCAGAATCCCAGGGAGCGAAGGTGGCTCATCCCAAAAGAAAAACAAGAAGGAAATTCTATTACCAGAAGACAAAGGGATGAAATGAGGGATGGAGAATCAAAGACTGAAGCTACTAGGGTTTGTTTTTATTAATATTTAATTTTTTCAGAGGCGAGGGTCTCAGTATGTTGCCCAGGCTGGCCTTGAACTCCTGGCCTCAAGCAATCCTCCTGCCTGAGCCTTCCGAGTTGTTGGGATTACAGATATGAGCCACTGCATCCAACTTTGGTTCTTGTTTGTCTGTTTTGTTTTGTTTTGGTTTGTTTTTTTGACAGAGTTTTGCTGTGCCACCCAGGCAGTGACTCAGCCTCGGCTCACTGCAGCCTTGACCTTCTGGCCTCGAGTGATCCTCCCACCTCAGCGCCACCCCCCACTGCCCTCCAATATCTGGGACTACAGGTGCGCGTGACCGCACACAGCTAATTTTTAAATTTTTTGTAGAGATAGGGTTTCACTATGTGGCTCAGGCTGGTCTCCAACTCCTGGACTAAGCGATCTGCCTGCCTTGGCCACCTCCCAAAGTGTGAGCCACCATGCCCACCCATTGAACATTGAAGCTAGACTGGGCAAACCCTTAAGCCTAAACCAGTAACAGTTTTTCACAAGTTCATAGATGTTACTGTGGTTAATAACACACAAATTCATTTAAAAGCATGTGTGTCCACATAGTAATTTTTGGTCCTTATTTTTATTTTTATTTTTCAGTTAATGGATATTAAAGATACAACTTTATTTTGTTTTTTTTGAGACAGGGTCTCACTCTGTCACCCAGGCTGGAGTGCAGTGGCATGATCAGAGCTCATTGCAACCTCCACCTCCTGGGTTCAAGAGATTCTCCTCCCTCAGCTTCCTGAGTAGCTGGGATTGCAGGTACATGCAACCACACCTGGCTAATTTTTGTACTTTTTGTAGAGATAGGGTTTTACCATGTTGCTCAGGCTGGTTTTGAACTCCTGAGCTCAAGTGATCCACCTGCCTCGGCCTCCCAAACTGCTGGGATTACACAAGTGAGCCACCACACCCGGCCTAAAGATATAATTTCTATCATGAGGAGGTCCAAGAACTATTCTCTTTTTCTTTTTTTAATGTTAGAAAGGGATTAACTGGGTATGTGCTGCAGCAAAGGGAGGGGAAATTAAGCAAGAAGAGAAGGGAGCCAGGAAATAAAGGCCCCAACCCAGGAAGCAGTTAAGCAAAGTTCCAGGATGACCCATGTGACAAGTTTAGGGGATAACTTGAGCACATGGAGGACAGAACTTGGAGAGGGCACTGTGGGCCTGGGCGCCACCTGCTCCGCCAGAGCACTGGAAGAGAACGAGGGCACGATAATGGCAGATGGCACTGAAAGAAAAGGAGAGAGCTTGAGGCACCCTTGGGGGAAGCAGCCATCATCAGAGTGTATTTTATTTTTATTTTATTATATTTTGAGATAGAGTCTCACTCTGTTGCCCAGGCTGGAGTGCAGTGGCATGATCTCGGCTCACTGCAACCTCCACCTCCCAGGTTCAAGTGATTCTCTGCCTCAGCCTCCCAAGTAGCTGAGACTACAGGGGGGCACCACCACACCCGGCTAATTTTTGTATTTTTAGTAGAGATGGGGTTTCTCCATGTTGGCCAGGTTGGTCTTGAACTCCCGACCTCAGGTGATCCGCCCACCTTGGCCTCCCGAAGTGCTGGGATTACAGGCGTGAGCCACCATGCCTGACCTCACAGCACATTATTAAGCTCTGTGGTGAATAATATTTATATAGTCACAATTCTGTAAACACTGTTCATTTTCTACAAATTGTGGCAAACCCAAACCTCAAGAATGGACAGGGCTAGGGTGTAAAAGAGCTAAGTCCTTGCCAGGTTTACCAGGAAGGCAACAGACAGTGTCTAAAACTATGAGACAGCTGGGCGCGGTGGCTCACGCCTGTAATCCCAGCACTTTGGGAGGCCGAGGCGGGTGGATCACGTGAGGTCAGGAGTTTGAGATCAGCCTTGACAACATGGTGAAACCCCGCGTCTACTAAAAATATCAAATTAGCTGGGCATGGTGGCAGGTGCCTGTAATCCCAGCTATTAGGGAGGCTGAGGCAGGAGCATTGCTTGAACCCAGGAGGCGGAGGTTGCAGTGAGCCAAGATGGCACCATGCATAGGTTTTATGCCAATACTACACCATTTTATATCAAAGCCTTGAATATCCAAGGATTTTGGTATCTATGGGAGGTCCTGGAACTAATCCCCCACAGATACCAAAGGATGAGTATACACCTTTTCTTACTTTCGAATTTTGAACCAGACAGATACGCTGCAATTCAACAAATTAAAATAACTGAACCTACAATCAAGGAGAAAAATATTTATCCCTAATAACTAATGGACCATCTTACGCCGTCTATAAAAATATCAATTAAGAAATCACGGCCGGGCACAGTGGCTCACGTCTGTAATCCCAGCACTTTGGGAGGCCGAGGCGGGCAAATCACTTGAGGTCAGGAGTTTAAGACTAGCCTGGCAAACGTGGTGAAACCCCATCTCTACTGAAAATATAAACAAATTAGCCAGGCATGGTGACGGGCACCTGTAATCCCAGCTACTCGGGAGGCTGAGGCAGGAGAATTGCTTGACCCAGGAGGTGGAGGTTGCAGTGAGCCGAGATCACACCACTTCACTCCAGCCTGGGTGACAGCAAGACTCCGCCTCAAAAAACAACAACAACAACAAAAAACGCGGTGATACACGCCTATAATCCCAGCACTTTGGGAGGCCAAGGCGGGCGGATCACAAGGTCAAGAGATCCAAGACCATCCTGGCCAACATGGTAAAACCCCATCTCTACTAAAAATACAAAAATTAGCTGGGCATGGCGCGCACCTGTAGTCCCAGCTACTTGGGCGGCTGAAGCAGGAGAATCGCTTGAACCTGGGAGGTGGAGGTTGCAGCGAGCCGAGATTGTGCCACTGCACTCCAGCCTGGCGACAAAGCGAGACTCCGTCTCAAAAAAATAAAAAAGAAATCAGAAACTGTTCAAATTCCAATCTATACAAGTGAAACCTACACAGTTAAATGTCTTAATAGAGAGCTAAAAGCATTAAGTTCTGTCATACTCAACATACTGATGAAAAAAATTTGAACTAAAAGACAGCCTGATCTTTAGAAACTGGCAGAAAAAATAGGGGCTGCATCCAAGACCACTCACGGCACGTCCATTCTTCCAGCAGCTCCCAACTGCTATTTTATGAAAAGTCCAAATTTCCCACCCCAAGGTCCTAGAGTACAGCCAGCTCCCTACCATCAAAAACAATAGCTACCAAAACTCAGTAAAATTAGGCTTGTTATGAAGAGAAGATTGAAGAAATAAAGGTATTTATTTCATCTTGGTATTTGAATGTGGAAACTCCCAGTAGGGTAAGAAAAAAGAATTCTGCCAGAGAAATGATGAAGTGAAACCTCAAACAATTTGGGCTTTTGAGTGCCTACTGTCATCCAGCCACGAAATGAAGCATTTTACATAAGTAATTTAAGCCCAGTGATGCAGGCAGTAAGTATTATCTCCATTTTAAGATGAGGAAATTGAGACAGACGAGATTACCTAACTCTCTCAAGGTTTCACCACAGAGCTGTGGTTCAAACCCATGTGTTCTAGTTTTATTACAGTTAAGAAACTGCAAGAGTTTGCCAATTTGTCAAGTGCCAGTCCAAGATAAATGGACACTCTGAGTATCAAAAAAATACATAATCTGCAGATCAAAACACGAAGATACAAACATCTAAGAGTCACCATGGAAGTTGCGGGGCATCCAGTGGTTTTTCTGAAAATCCATGAAGGAAAAGAATAAAGCATTTTTCCAGCCTTTCTTCTACAAACTATATTTCAGGGAAACCAAATATTTGATGAGGGAATTCTTTGTTTAGAAGGATTTTAGCTAATAAATGCAGAGGAATAACAAGATTTAGGAGGGGGGAGAAATCACCATTTTGTGACTTCTAATAAAATAATGGGTCTAGGCAACAGTTTTCAATGGATGCTAAAACGATTAGGTGAAAAGTTGATGGAGAATTTTAATTCAGGGGAATTAGGCTGATACCATCTGAAACCATTTGGCATCATTAAAAATGTGACAACCTGGTGGCTGCCAGGGAGGAAGGGGAGAGGGTGGGGGAAGAACAGAAGTTATAGTTTATGGGCACAAAGTTTTGGTTTTACAAGATGAAAATAGTTACAGAAATGAATGGTGGTGATGGTTGCAGAATATTATGACTGACTATACACTTAAAAATGTTTAAGATAGAGCTGGGTGCAGTGTTGCACACCTGTAGTCCCAGTTATGCAGGAGGCTGAGGTAGGAGAACCACTTGAGCCCATGAGTTCGAGACCAGTCTGAGTAACATATAGAGACCTCATCTCACAAAAACATCACTACCACAAAACAAAACAAAACAAATTGTTAAGATGCTAAATTTTAAGTTATGTGTATTTTACCACAATAAAAAAAAATGAGGCCGGGTGCAGTGGCTCATGCCTGTAATCCCAGCACCTTGGGAGGCCGAGGCGGGTGGACCACAAGGTCAGGAGTTCGAGACTGGCCTGGTCAATATGGTGAAACCCTGTCTCTACTAAAAATACAAAAAAACTAGCCGGACGTGGTGGCTCACGCCTATAGTCCCAGCTACTCGGGAGGCTAAGGCAGGAGAATCACTTGAACCCAGGAGGCTGGGGTTGCAGTGAGCCGAGACTGCACCACTGCACTCCAGCCTGGCCAATAGAGGGAGACTCCGTCTCAAAAAAAAAAAAAAAAAGAAAAGAAAACATAGTTACCCAGCAATTCCACTTCTAGGCATATACCCAAAGAACTCAAAGCAGGGACTCAAACAGATACTTGGACATGAATCTTCATAGCAACACTATTCATAATAGACAAAAAGCAGAAGCAACTCAAGAGTCCATCGATAGATGAATGGATAAACAAAATGTGGTATATCCATAAAATAGAATATCATTCAGCCATAAAAGGAATTAAGTTCTGATACATACTACAGCATAGATGAACCTTGAAAACATTGTACTAAGTGAAAGAGGCCAGGCAGCTAAACTTCCAAAGACTAATATACAATTCCACTGAATAGGCAAATTCATAGACAGAGGATAGAATAAAGGCTAATGAGGGGTGGGGGAGAAGAGAATGGGCAGTTATTGCTAATGGATACAAAGTTTCTGTTGGGGATGATGAAAAAATTGTGGAACTGGACAGTGGTGATGGTTGTAAAACACGGTGAATGTACTTAATGCCACTGAATTGTACACTTAAAAATAAACTTGTAAATTTTATATTATATATACTTTGCCACAATAAAAATTTTTTTAAAAATGTCTAAGTGTGACAACCGAACTTCTGTGTTAGGATAGGAAGAATACTTATGAAGTATTCTTGCCCCTGAAATGAACCAAAATCTAATCAAGTCTCTAGAATAAACAACCAGTTCACAGGAAATCCACAGATAGCCAAGCAAGTTAGATGGCACCATAATAAAGTAATCAACCAAATCCAGAATGTGGAATAAGCAGTTAAAAAAAAAAAAAAAGGGGGGGGGAGGCCAGGCGAGGTGGCTCACACTATGGTCTCAGCACTTTGGGAGGCCAAGGTGGGCAGATGCTTGAGCCCAGGAGTTTGAGACCAGATTGGGCAACATGGTGAAAATCCATCTCTATAAAAAGTACAAAAAAATTTGCTAGGTGTGATGGTATGCACCTGTGGTCCCAGCTACCTGGGAGGCTGAAGTCAGACAATCGCTTGACTCCAGGAGGCAGAGGTTACAGTGAGCCAAGATTGTGCCACTGCACGAGACCCTGTCTCCAAAAAAAAAAAGGAAAAAAAAAGGCATAGAGAAAGAACAACTGCTGTAGAATAAAAGACTAAAGAGGCAAAACAACAAAATGCACTGTGCGAACTCTGATCCAGATGCAAACAAAGCAGATGTAGAAAAGATGTAGAAAGGATACTTTTTTTTTCTCTTTTTTTTTTTTTTTTGAGATGGAGTCTCGCCCTGTCGCCCAGGCTGGGGTGCAATGGCGCAATCTCGGCTCACTGCAACCTCCGCCTCCTGGGTTCAAGAGAATCTCCTGTCTCAGCCTCCCGAGTAGCTGGGATTACAGGCATGCACCACCAAGCCTGGCTAATTTTTTTTGCATATTTTTAGTAGAGACAGGGTTTCACCATGTTGGCCAGGCTGGTCTCCAACTCCTGACCTCAGGTAATCCACCAGGCTTGGCTTCCCAAAGTGCTGGGATTACAGGTGTAAGCCACCACACTCAGCCAGGATACATTTGATACAACTGGAGAAATTAGAATAAGGACTAGGTGCTAGATATTAAAGAATTATTATTAATTTTGGAGATGTTATAATAGCATGAAGATTTTATATATATATATATGCCTTATCAGTTGGAAATGAACACTAAAGGACATATGAATAAAAGGCATCATGTCTGGGATGGGCAAAATGCTTATAACTGTTGAGGCTTGGTGATGGGTACATGGGGGTTCGTTATGTTATCCTCTCTGTCTTTGTATTTGTTTTAGATTTTCCACTAAAAAAGTTAAAAAAATAAATGCACTACTTTGAGAAAAAACATTCTAAAATCTATAGCCTGGAAAAGATAACTGCAAATAGAGTTAATTGCCAAAGGTAACAGCTAAAACAATGATATAAAATATAAAGGGACAGTCGACTTGGGTATTTCATCTGGAAAGACTGACGAATATGTAAGTCTTTACTATCAAGTACATGCAGGAGAATCTTCAAAACAAACAGACTCCAAATAAATTCTAAAATGAGAAATTTGTAGATTCCATATGGTTAATATTTTACATGAAAATCGGGGTGTAAAAACTATAGTCAGCCCTCTGTATCCACAGATTCAACCCACCTTGAACCAAAAATATTAAAAAGTAATAACGCAGGCCGGACACGGTGGCTCACGCCTATAATCCCAGAACTTTGGGAGGCCGAGGCGGGTGGATCACCTGAGGTCGGGAGTTCGAGACCAGCCTGACCAACATGGAGAAACCCCGTCTCTACTAAAAATACAAAATTAGCCGGGCGTGGTGGTGCATGCCTGTAATCCCAGCTACTCAGGAGGCTGAGGCAGGAGAACCACTTGAACCCGGGAGGCGGAGGTTGTGGTTAGCCGAGATCGCGCCATTGCACTCCAGCCTAGGCAACAAGAGTGAAACTCCGTCTCAAAAAATAAATAAATAAGTAAATAAATAAAAATAATAACGCAACAGTAAAAAAAAAAAATACAAATAATACAGTCTAACTATATAGCATTTACATGCTAGTAGACATAAGAAGTAATCTAGTAGTGATTTAAAGTAGACAGGGGGGCTGGGCACAGTGGCTCACGCCTATAAGCCCAGCACTTTGGGAGGCCAAGGTGAGCGAATCACCTGAGATCAGAAGTTCGAGACCAGCCTGACCAACATGGTGAAACCCCATCTCTACTAAAAATACAAAAATTGGCCAGGCGTGGTGGTGCATGCCTGTAACCCCAGCTACTTGGGAGGCTGAGGCAGAAGAACCACTTGAACCTGGGAGGCGGAGGTTGCAGGGAGGCAAGATCACACCACTGCACTCCAGCCTGGGCAACAGGGCAAGACTCTGTCTCACAAAAGAAACCTCCCCAGTAAGTATAAAGAGACCCTAAGAGAGGAAATGGCTGACAGTGTAAATAGAGCAGAGCACCAGAAGGTATCACTTCAAGCATCCGTCTTTAGAGACATTTCACAGAAACAGTATCGAGGCTACAAACCGAATAATCTTTACCTTTTGTGTTCTGGAAAAAATGCTGCCACAGAGGTCTGATTTTGAAGTGGCTGCCAACATCCCAGACAGCGAAGGTGTTATTTTTATATTCTACTGTCTCCACACAGAAACCTAAATGAAACATGGGGAAAACATTTAATTATGATTTGTGCTGGTTGAACAATTCAAAATAATTTCAACATGCGGACAGTACTTTTAATTTACAAAGCAGCCTGCTAGTCAAAGATCTATAGCCTTCAAAGAGAATGTGCTGGCCCCCTCGCCCATTCATCAGGACAGGTGTCTCAAACCTTCTCTACTCTCCAATCTCTAGCCACGCACCTGCCCTTTCTCTCAGCAGGAGACTATCACAGTGTACTTCAGAGCAGAGAAGCCGCCGATGGGAATGACTTCCACTTCCACCATACAGTGTAAAAGCCAGTCTACATCTTTACCCATGCTTTTCTTCCTCCCTCTTGGAACAACAGAAGAAGGTAACTCTCTTCCACCAACTCCCTCCCTCTATGAGCCAGATCCACCCTACCCAGACTGTCTGGAACTTTTTACTATTCCTATTCTCTCCCATATCTGAATATCTCCAATCTGTTCACCTTGGCATGCTTAAGCCTTTTACATCTTTAAAAACAACAAAACAAACCTTTCCTTGATCCCCACATCTTCATCGCACTCTCTTCCTTCACATCTTCACCCTCTATTTGCTTTTTTTTTTTTTAAGAGACAGGGCCTTGCTGTGTTGGCCAGGCTGGAGCACAGAGGTACAATCATAGCTCACTGCAGCCTCAAACTCCTGTGCTCAAGGGATCCTCCTGCTTCAGCCTCCCAAGCAGCTAGAACTATAAGCATGAGCCACCATACCTAGCTAAATTTAAAAAATTTTTTGTAGACACAGGGTCTCACTATGTTGCTCAGATTGGTCTAAAACTCCTGAGGTCAAGCAACCTGTCCACTAAGCTTTCTTCGGTCCTCTCACGCAACAGCACCTTAGCTCTGCTCCACCATTGGGTAGCTGGTTTTCAGTAAGGTCAGCAGTGATCACCAGGTCAATAAATCTAACACAGGCCTTCTCAGTTCTTCCATAATTTGATCTTCTATCTGACGCTACTGCTCACTCCCTCCTTGACACCCTTCCCCAGCTTCCCTTTTCCTTCTATCTCTATGGCTGTACTGTCTCAGTCTCCTTAGTGAACTCAGCCACGTTTAACTGATCCTGCAATGATGGGAGTCGCCCTGGCTCTCACTGGCCCCATCCACTCTCCTCTTTCTGCACCCCTCCCTAGGCAATCTCACTCACTCCCACGACTTCATTCCTATCTCTGTACTAACTCTGAGATTTATATCCCCCAACCTAGCCCTCTCTCCTGAGCTTCAGGCTCATAATCTAACAGCTTTGGCAAATGTCTTCAAGGCCCCAAAACAAGGTGATCAGTCAAAAATGGAATTTAAGGTCCCTACCCCCAACCTCCTCCTCTGCTAGTTATCCCATCATTGACTTCGTTCCACAAGCTGATAGCCTGAGAGGTGCCCTGGAAACATCCGATGCTCGCACCCCTAGAACCCTACTACCACACCTTATCAATTCAACCCCTTCAACAACTAATAGTCACCCTAACCCAACAGACCATCATTTCTAGCCTCAATTCCTGAAACCATATAACTAATTTCACCTCAGCCACTCTCCCTCTCTCCATCCGGTCACCATCTTCTAAACAAAGCAATAGCTTAAAAACACATAGTGTGGTCACGTCATTTCTCTACACATTTATGTTTGATTGGAATATTTTCAAACTTAAAAAAGAAAGAATAATCGCCCCAAAAAATAAAATTAAAAATTAAAAAAAAAAGAAAGAATAAGCCGAGCACAGTAGCTCACACCTGTAACCCCAGCACTTTGGGAGGCTGAGGTGGGCAGATTGCTTTGAGCTCAGGAGTTTGAGACCAGCCTGGGCAACATGGTGAAACCCTGTCTCTACAAAAAAACACAAAGATTAGCCAGGCATTGGTGCCGTGTGCCTATAGTCCCAGCTACTTGGGAGGCTGAGACAGGAGAACTGCTTGAAGCAAACATTGCAGTGAGCTGAGATCACACCACCGCACCCCAGCCTGGATGACAGAATAACATCCAAGAAAGAAAAGAAAGAAAAGAGGAAGAGAGAGACAGAGAGAGAGAGACAGAGATGGGAGGGGAGGGGAGGGGAGGAAGGAAAGGACAGAAAAGGGAGGGAGGGAGGGAGGGAGGGAGGGAGGGAGGAAGGGAGGAAGGGAGGAAGGGAGGAAGGGAGGAAAGGAAAAGAAGGAAAGATGTCCCCTTAGCGGCTTCCCACACCCAAATCCCAAACATGACTGTCAAGACCCAAGCAAGCTGGGTCTGCTCACCTTCCAAACCTCAATTCTAGTCATGCCTTATTTTAGTGAGAGACACTCGTTACATTGCAACAATCTAAATTCTTGCTAAATAAATAAATACAATGCCATTCCAATCCTATAATGATGGTAGGGGCAGGGGCAGGAAACTTAGCAAAATTATCTAAAATTTAACCTGGAGAAATAAACAAGTAAGCATAACCAGGAAATCTCTGAAAATGAGTAATGAATTATTTTTAAGGATATGCCAAGCCCTAGTAACACTTGAATAGAGTTCAAATATAAATGCAACAGGTACTTGCCCAAAAAAAGACACACATACCAGTGAGAATTTAGTATGTAACAAAGAAGGCATTTCAAATCAGCATGGAAAAATTATTCAATAAATGACATTGAACAACTGTCTACCCCAGCACCGTCCAATACATAGTCACTAGCCATTTGTGACTATTTGTTTATGTTTTTGTTTTATTTTGTTTTGTTTTTGAGACAGAGTCTCGCTCTTGTCACCCAGGCTGGAGTGTATGGTGCGATCTCGGCTCACTGAAACCTCCGCCTCCCGGATTCAAGTGATTCTGCTGCCTCAGCCTCCCAAGTAGCTGGGATTACAGGCGCCTGCCACCACGCCCATTTTGCAATTTTAGTAGAGACGGGGTTTCACCATGTTGGCCAGGCTGGTCTCGAACTCCTGACCTCAGGTAACCCGCCTGCCTCAGCCTCCCAAAGTGCTGAGATTACAGGCGTGAGCCACCATGCCCGGCCTATTTATTTATTTTTTGAGACACAGTCTTGCTCTGTAACCTAGGTTGAAGTGCAATGGTGCAATATCAGCTCACTGCAACCTGTGCCTCCCGGGCTGAAGTGATTCTCCTGCCTTAACCTCCCGAGTAGCTGGGATTACAGGTGCATGCCACTACTAATTTTTGTATTTTTAGTAGATATGGGGTTTCACCACGTTGGCCACGCTGATCTCGAACTCCTGGTCTCAAGTGATCTTCCCACCTCAACCTCCCAAAGTGCTGGGATTATAGGCATAAGCCACTGCGCCTGGCAACGTGGCTATTTAAACTTAAAGTTAAAATCAAAAATCAATCAATAAATAAAAATAAATAAAAAATAAACTTAAAGTTAAATACAATTAAAAGTTCAGTTCCCGGCTGGACACAGTGGCTCATGCCTGTAATCCCAACACTCTGGGGGGCCAAGGTGGACGGATCACCCGAGGTCAGGAGTTCGAGACCAGCCTGGCCAACAGGGTAAAACTCCGTCTCCACTAATAATACAAAAATTAGCCGGGTGTGGTGGCGTGCACCTCTAATCCCAGCTTCTCAGGATGCTGAGGCAGAAGAATGACTTGAACCCAGGGGGCGGATGTTGCAGTGATCTGAGATCGCGCCACTGCACTCCAGCCTGGGTGACAGAGCAAGATTCCATCTCAAAAAACAAAAAAGTTCAGTTCCTCAGTTGCATTAGCCACATTTCAAGCACATGAACAGTCACATGGCTATTGGCTACGACACTAAACAGCACAGACACAGAACATTTTAATCACTGCAGAAAGTGCCTCCTGGGCAGCACTGGCTTATCCATTTGAAAAATTTAACCAAATTACTACCTTACACACAACCATCTCATAACTCGAACATTCTCCTCGGTTTCCCACTCCTCAATCGATGCAATCTCTGCAGCTACTGCCCAAGTTGAAAGTTGATCATTTGGAGACCAGGTGCGGTGGCTCACGCCTGTAATCCCAGCACTTAGCCGGGCAGATCATTTGAGGTCAGGAGTTCCAGACCAGCCTGCCCAACATGGTGAAACCCTGTCTCTACCACAAATACAAAAATTAGCCTTGCATGGTGGTGAACGTCTGTAATTCCACCTACTCAGGAGGCTGAGGCATGAGAATCGCCTGAACCCAGGAGGCGGAGGTTGTAGTGAGCCGAGATCGCGCCACTGTACTTCAGCCTGGGGTGACAGAGCGAGACTCTATCTCAAAAAAAAAAAAAAAAGAAAGTTGATCATTTGAGTCCTGTGCCTAATTCAATATTCAGAACAGAACAGTAGTAATGTTCACATGCCACCTGTGGGGTGTATCCTCAGTCAGAAGTTTGGATCTAGAGGCAGTTCACAAGGCAAAGATTCAGTTCTGTCAAAACTCGCTTTGTAAATCTCTTAACAAGCCCGTAAAACACAGTGCTGGTTCACAGTAAGAGCAGTGCAGCCAGCTTGTCTATTTCTCTAGTTGGACATCATCTCAAGCAGCTGGTTTGAGCCAGAGTGAAGAAAAATCACACTCCATCTCTAAGCACTGGGAGCGTACTTGGTGTAGAGATGAGATGCTGCCACTAAGGAAGGCCAGCTGGAACAGAGGCTGACTGAGGAGGCACCAGCAGATTCCCAGCTCCCACCTCAGCCTTCTGCTGGGACACTAGCTGCGAGGAATGAGGGGCAGAACTACCCTCCCTGTTTTGCCCATTATCTTTTTCTTTTTTGCCAAGCAAATGGGGTTAAATTTGCTTAGCCTCCATGTGTTCACATGTCTCCCTTGTGAACCTAAGAATGTGCAAGCCACTAGAAAAGGATACATAACCTGGCCAGGCGCGGAGGCTCATGCCTGTAATCCCAGCACTTTGGGAAACCATGGCGGGAGGATCGCTTGAGCCCAGGAGTTCAAGACCAGCCTAGGCAACATGGCAAAACCCCGTCTCTACTAAAAATACAAAAATTAGCTGGGCATGCTGGTGCACGCCTGTAGTTCCAGCTACTCAGGAGGGAGATGGAAGGATCACTTGAGCCCAGGAAGTTGAGACTGCAGTGAGCAGAGATGTACCACTGCACTCCAGCCTGGGTGACAGAGTCAAAAAAAAAAGAAAAGGATATATATAACCTGGTTTTTGGCCTCTAAAAATGTATGCTCATGGAGTAGACAAGATTTTTAAAAAGAATTATTCAATAACATAAGAAGCATGTAAAAATAAAACATATTTCTCTGGTGAAACAGAACCTAAAAAATATATATAACATACTAAATTGTAAACTGGAATTGCCACAGGTCTTTCATTAACTTACCTACTGTAGGGACGGCAGGCACAGTCTCCCCCAGCTTCAATTTATACAAGATGGTGGTTTTTCCAGCTGTATCCAAACTCAATATAAGAATCCGCATCTTTTTTTTCCCAAGTAGACTTTTAAAGAGCTTTTCAAAAATGTTTCCCATTGTAATTTAATCGAATTCTGTAACATGACAAGAAAAGCAAGCCAAATAATTGTTCTCTGCAGAGATATAGAAGCAACACGCAGAAAATACAAGTGTCAATTAGAAATGGCTCCCAGGAAAAATTCAACAATTTTAGGTACACTTTGGCCAATGAGTAGTGAGTCTTGTCTTCAAAGGGAAACTCAACTAAACCTTTCCATGCCTTACCAGAAAATTCTATTTTCCACTGCAGCATCCAAGAGGGATATGCAACATAGCCTCAGCACTGCTATGACAGTGGCAGCCTTTAGTCATTTAGTACAGAAGTACAAGGCCAGGTGCGGTAGCTCACGCCTGTAATCCCAGCACTTTGGGAGGCCAAGGTGGGTGGATCACCTGAGGTCATGGGTTCAAGACCAGCCTGGCCAACATGGTGAAACCCCGTCTCTACTAAAAACACAAAAATTAGCTGGGCACGGTGGTGCACGCCTGTAGTACCAGCTACTCAGGATGCTAAGGCATAGGAATCACTTGAACCTGGGGAGGCAGAGGTTGCAGTAAGCCAGGACCACGCCACTGCACTCTAGTCTGGGCAACAGAGCAAGACTGTCTCAAAAAATTAATTAATTAATTAATTTTTTTTAAAAAACAAGTACAGAAGCAATGATACAACAAATACAACTATACCTCATTCTAAACTCTACTGAAATGAGAATTTATGAAACAGAGAAGCTTTTTATTTTATGCAATATAAAACAAAGTCTTTAAGACAGGTTAAACAACAATATCCCTTGGAAACGTAGTAGTTCCTTATGGCTAGCAGACACCTTGGAAATAACCTAAGAAATTTCAGAGGCAAAGAAATTCAGCGTTGGGAAGCTTCACTGCCAAGAGAGATAACTTGGCAGAGTTGAGGAGGCACCACAGCATCCAGTTTTCGTTTGAGTTTTTTGTTTTGTTTTGAGACAGGGTCTCGCTCTGTCACCCAGGCTGGAGTGCAGTGGCACAATCACGGCTCACTGCAACCTCAACCTCCCCATCTCAAACAATCCTCCCACCTCAGCCTCTGGAGCAGCTGCGACCACAGGCATACGCCACCTCGCTCAGCTAATTTTTGTATTTTTTGTGGAAATGAGGTCTCACTATATTTCCCAGGCTAATCTCGAACCCCTGGGCTCAAGTGATCTTCCCACCTCAGCCTCCCAAAGTGCTGGGATTACAGGCGTGAGCTACCAGGCCCAGCCAGTATCCAGTGTTCTATTGCTGTAACTATCACCTTACTCTCAACCAGTTCTTAGAACTTTTTATTTAAGTATAATTTACATACAGATATAAACATACATGATAACTGTAAAGTTCAATACATTTTCATGAACCAAACACACCTATGTAACCAAATCAAGAAAAGATGATTTATCAGGCTGGGCACAGTGGCTCATGCCTGTAATCCCAACACTTTGGGAGACCAAGGTGGGTGGATCACCTGAGGTCAAGAGTTCGAGACCAGCCTGGCCAAAATGGTGAAACCCCGTCTCTACTAAAAATACAAAAATTAGCTAGGTGTAGTGGCACACACATGCAGTCCCAGCTACTCAGAAGGCTAAGGCACAAGAATCACTTGAACCTGGGAGGTGGAGGTTGAAGTGAGCCAAGATTGGGCCACTGAACTCCAGCCCAGGGCAACAGAGTGAGACTCCATCTCAAAAAAAAAAAAAAAAAAAAATGATTATCAGACCAATTCTCCTTGTGCCTCCTCCCAGTCATTACTCCATAAAAGGTAATCACTATATTGACTTCTAACAGCATAAATGTTCAATATTTTATTTTTCAGTAGAAATCATGGTAGGTTATATAAAGTAAGTCAATAGTAAAGTCAGACTAACTTACAGAAATTTACAGTCTCTTTGAGATCAGCCTACTTGAAATGTGAGCTTGACATTCTAAGTAAAGACTTACAAGCAGTGCTGGGTCTACACCTCTAACTAAGCTCTTGGAAGTCTGTAAAGATCTTCAGACCAGGCAGGGTGGCTTACCCCTGTAATTCCAGCACTTTGGGAGGCTGAGGCAAGAGGGTCACTTTAGTTTTTGCTTACTGAGATAACAGAAGACAAGGGAGGATTGCTTTAGGCCAGGAGTACAAGACCAGCCTGGGCAACATAGCGAGACCCTGCCTCTATTTTTAAAAATAATAAAACAAAAAAAAATTCAAAAAGAAAAAGACATACATCCTTGTTCCAGAGACTGTGATTTATTTTCTTTTTAAATTGCTAACCAAAGAAAGCTTTACTCCTGGGCAGGGGAGGAGGAAGACACAAGGAGGATAGCCAATCTCCCATTCATTCGGACTCTGGTAACCACAGAGCGGAGGTAACCAAATTCCACAGGCCTCACCGCTGAAATTCAACAGTGGCCAGCAGTAGCTTAATATCATGGATTACGCCCAAGTACACAACATTCCTTTCTAGGATGAGAGAAAGCGAGCACAGAATTTATCCTGTTCACAAATGTGGCGTAAGTGACCAAAGAATGATAAATGTTTTAATCATTCAAAGAAAGTCCATTATAGGTCTATAAAAGTCCAGTGCATTGCAGCACTCAAAATCTTGCCGGGCGACAAAACTAGAGATTCCTTTTCTTTGTTTCGAAAAACAAATCTCACAGATGAGGAGACTTTTCAGGAACATGCTGGGGGAGGGAAGGTACTTCCCGCTCAGATGCCCCTTGAGGCAGCTAGTCCCAATTCCCCCTGCCAACCGCACAGACACACCACCTTGACCTCCCTCTCCCTTCTCTTTCCTCTTATTGCTACTCATGTGCCCCAGGCGCCCGTGGTCCTGACACCCCTGCGCCGCTGGAGACCCCTCTAAGGTAAGATGGCTCCGACTACAGGGCCTTTTTGGCACGCTCAGTCTCCCAGCCCCAAGCGCCAAAAGTGCATTAGGGAGAAACGTCGGCACGACGTCAAGGGCGCGAACAAGCGTGGTGGCCCAGGTGAGCGTGCGCGGCAGCCAGGCACGCCCGGCTCCCGGGGAAAGACGCCCCTTTTTTGCCCCGGCTGCCAGGCCGCTCCTTCTCAACTTGTGCGCCCCTGGAAGAGCAAAGAGAGGGCCCTGCGTGGAACCTATGAAGCCTCCTTCGGTTCCTCGCTGCTCCGGCCCTAGAGAGGGCGAAGAAGGAACAGCGGAGCCCAATCCCTTTCCGAAAGCCACCGCCGCCCTCCAGTTTCTGGCCCGCAGACGAAGTGGAGATCCAGCCAGGTCTTGAGTGCTGCCGCCCCATCCCTGCAGCCGGAGACTCACCTGTTGCCACTCAAGGTACCGCTACCTACAACACCGCCGACTCCGCGGCCTTTAGGATTTCAGCTCAGTTCAGCTAAACCACGACAGGCGTGGGGGCAGGAACAGCAACCAACCAATCACCCACCGCCTCCTGGAGCTTTTGCACCAATGAGCTCGAAGTTTTGTGAGTGACGACATATCTGGCCAATGCAAAGAAGAGTAAGGGCCTGGGAGGGAGGGAGCGCCGTAGGCGACGCCATGAAGCTCTGGCAATACCATGTTCATCTTCAAATCACAGTTAAACGAATTCTGGCGAGACACGCCCACGTCCCCCACCCCCGATGCCATGTGCGACCAATCAGAAAAGCAAAAGGATTGTCTATTTGCACGGCCAATCAGCTGGGAAAATCGCCGAGGTTTGAGCTAACCTCGGAGCGTCCACACCAACCGGGAGGGGACATGTGGGCCGGGCCAAGTTAATAGTGCCATGGAAGGAAATTTACCGCGGTTGAGTTAAACGTAGACATTAGTTTGGGGCGGTGTTCCGCGTAGGAAATACCACACACTGACACTGAAATTAGGCATAAGGAAGTTTTCCTATTCCGCCTGAGGCTAGACTGCCCTCCCACCTCTACACAGATTTTCAAGTTGGGGAAAATACTGGCCACCCGCACCTCGTTAAGACGTCGCAGAACCAGTCCTCGTTTCCGAGAAATGCTTTCTATAGTCAGTTCCCTAAATGCCCAACTTGTTAGCTAAAGAGGTTACAAACGCCTGTAAATGGTACATAACTGAAATCATCAGAACAACAAACATCTATTAAACATATACTATGTGCCAGAAACTATATCAAGAACTTCAGCAGGCCCGGCGCGGTAGCTCACGCCTGGAAGGCCAAGGCTTTGAGCTAGGAGTTCGAGACCAGCCTGAGCAACATGGCAAAACCCCATCTCTGCAAAAAAAAACAAATTTAAAATTAGCCGGGCATGGTAGCGGCTGTAGTCCCAGCTACTCGGGAGGCTGAGGCAGGAGGATCACTTGAGCCCAGGAGGTAGAGGCTGCAGAGAGCCGTGATCACGCCACTGCACTCCAGCCTGGGTGACAAAGCGAGACCCTGTCTCAAAAAACACGAACAAAAAAAGTTAGAAGATACTGCTAGAATTGACTAAATAAATAAATAAATAAATAAGAAAAACAATGTTACCTGCAGGACCGTAACGCCCAGTGAATTACAAACTATTATCCCTGGCCAGACGTGGTGGCTCACACCTGTAATTCCAGCACACTGGGAGGCCGAGGCGAGCAGATCACCTGAGGTTGGGAGTTCGAGACCAGCCTGACCAACATGGAGAAACCCCATCTCTACTAAAAATATAAAATTAGCCGGGCGTGGTGGCACACGCCTGTAATCCCAGCTACTTGGGAGGCTGAGACAGGAGAATTGCCTGAACCTGAGAGGCAGAGGTTGCAGTGAGCCAACATCGTGCCACTGCACTCCAGCCTAGACGATAAAGCAAGACCCTGTCTCAAAAAAAAAGAAAGAAAAGAAACTATTATCCCTGCTGTTTTACAGAAAAATATTAAGTAGCCTGGGTCTGTCCCACTCCCACACCTTAATCTTTTTCTTTCTTTTTCCTTTTTTTTTTTTTTTTGAGACAGGGTCTCACTGTCGCCCAGGCTGGAGTGCAGTGGTGCGATCTCGGCTCGCTGCAACCTTTGCTTCCCAGGTTCAAGTGATCCTCCTGCCTCAGCCTCACAAGTAGCTGGCATTACAGGCATGTGCCACTGCGCCTGCCTAATTTTTGTATTTTTAGTAGAGACAGGGTTTCACCATGTTGGCCAGGCTGGTCTTGAACTCCTGGCTTCAAGTGATCCACCCACCTCAGCCTCGCAAAGTGCTGGGATTACAGGCATGAGCCACCGCGCCTGGCCACCTTAATCTTTTTAAGCAAATACAGAATGGAAACTGCCCTCACAGGATTAAGGAGAGTTACAAGCCAGGCTTTAGGCAGCATTATATATAGTTAGCTGTTATCCAGGGTGCACAAGTGTACTTTGACCCACTTCCCTGCAGCTGCTAACTCACTGAACATCACTCCACGTGCTAGACCACCTCCTACCTGTTTCTCCATGGTTCTTACCATGAGTAAGAATTTCTGACGCTAGACTCATAAGATCGTTTTGCCCAAGAACGGGTTGTTTTTCAGATCCTGAATTCTGACGTCCCCAACCAAGGAACCCACTCAGCACAAGAATGAGGTTTCTTGGTCTCCCTGTCTCATGACTTCGCCCTTCACTTCTTGACCAATCATCGATCCCCACACTGCAGCCCCTGTCCAGAGGACTTAAAAACCCTGCCCCCCAAACCTCTCAGGGAGGTGGATTTGAGGCTTCTTCCCATCTCCTCATTCAGATGCCCTGTGATTATTAAACTCTTTCTTTGCTGCAGCCAGGTGTCTCTGTATGCTGACTCACTGTGCATTGAGCAAACAAAACTATTAAATTACAGTACTACTTACTCTTCTAATTACAGTGCTTATATGTATGAGGGTTAATATAAATACATATGACTCCTTAAAAATTAAAGTATGTTTTTTCTGACTATAAAAATTATACATAACCGGGTGCAGTGGCTCACACCTGTAATCCCAGCACTTTGGGAGGCCGAGGCGGGCAGATCATGAGGTTAGATCAAGACCATCATGGCCAACATGCTGAAACCCCGTCTCTACTAAAAATACAAAAATTAGCTGGGCGTGGTGGTGCATTCCTGTAATCCCAGCTACTTGGGAGGCTGAGGCAGGAGAATTGCTTGAACCCGGGAGGCGGAGGTTGCAGTGAGCCGAGATAGAGCCACTGCACTGGGTGCAGAGCCTGGGTGACAGAGTGAGACTCTGTCTCAAACAACAACAACAACAACAAAAAACTCATGCTAGTTTAATTTTCATTTATTTGATGACTTGCTATTTTTCCAAATGTTTACTAGTATTTTTATTTCATCTATTAGAAATGATATATTCATGTCCTACTGACTTCCAAGGGAAAGATAGAAAGTTGTTTTGCCAGGAACTATGAAGGTTGTTTGAATGGAGTCATCATAACCTAAAAAAAAGGTGAAATAACGAAGGTGAGATTTTTACTTACCATTGTTTGTTCCTACAGAAGGAATGCTGGAGCTGATAATTATGAGAATTTATCCTTCCATCCCTCATAGCCTAAGAATATTCATTATTTTCCCAATATCTGCACTGAGCCTGTAAACCAAAATGTATCTGAGACATGTCTCAATCAATTTACAAGTTTATTTTGCCAAAATTAAGGATGCTTACCTGGGAGACAGGCCTGTGCCTTTTTCCAAAGGTGATTTTGAGGGATTTAGTTTGGTTTGTTTGTTTGTTTTTGAGCCAGAGTCTCACTCTGTTGCCCAGGGTGGAGTGCAGTGGTACAATCTTGGCTCGCTGCAACCTCCACCTCCCAGGTTCAAATGATTCTCATGCCTCAGCCTCCCAAGTAGCTGGGATTAACAGGCGCGTGCCACCACTTCTGGCTAATTTTTGTGTTTTTAGTAGAGACGGGGTTTCACCATGTTAGCTAGGTTGGTCTCCAACTCCTGACCTCAGGTGATCCGCCCACCTCAGCCTCCCAAAGTGCTGAGATTACAGGTGTGAGTCACCGCGCCCGGCCAGAAGGATTTAATATTTTATTTATTTATTTATTTATTTATTTATTTTTATTTTTGAGACAGAGTCTTGCTCTGTCACCCAGGCTGGAGTGCGGTGGCACAATCTCGGCTCACTGCAACCTCCGCCTCCTGGGTTCAAGCCATTCTCCTGGCTCAGCCGCCCCAGTAGCTGGGATTACAGGCGCACACCACCATGCCCAGCTAATTTTTGTTGTTTTTAGTAGAGACGGGGTTTCACCATGTTGGCCAGGCTCGTCTCGAACTCCTGACCTTATGATCCACCTGCCTTGGCCTCCCAAAGTGCTGGGATTACAGGCGTGAGCCACGGTGCCCAGCAAGGATTTAATATTTAAAATGGAAAAGCAGGCTGGAAGGGAAAGAAGGAGAGTATGGTCACATTACTGAATTCACATGTTGCAAGAGACAAGGAGCAAGTAGGGGAATAGTCAATTATGTATTACTCTCGTGCTTACCATAAGATAAGGTGGACATAGAGTAGTTAGCTGCAGTCAGTCCTGCTTAGGAATGAAAGGAAAGGCAACTTCTTGCATGACTCAGCTTTCAGCTTAATTTTTTTTCTTTTGGCAGAATGAATTGGGTTCCCAAGTTTTTATTTTCCTTTCACAAGCCTCTGAATAAACAAAGTTCCTGCCCACATGGCATTCAATTGCTAAACAATTATAATCACATAAATACATACACATATACGTATATGTTTTATATATATATATATATATAATATATATTTAATACATACGTCCGGGTGCAGTGGCTCACACCTGTAATCCTAGCACTTTGGGAGGCTGAGTTGGGTAGACTGCTTGAGCCAAGGAGTTCAAGCCCAGCCTGGTCAACATGGTGAGACCCCATCTCTACAAAAAATACAAAATACAAAAATTAGCTGGTCATGGTGGTGTGCACCTGTAGCCCCAGCTACTCAGAAGACTGAGATGAGAGGACTGCTTGAGCCTGGAAGGCAGAGGTTGCAGTGAGCCAAGATAGTGCCACTGCACTCCAGCCTAGGAGACAAAGTGAGACTCTGTCTCAAAAAACAAACAAACAAAATACATTCATATAGAGAGAGAAAAAGAGGGAGAATTTTATAATGATATGCATGAGGAATGTATAGGGGAAGAGGCTAAAAATAGGCCGAACTTACTAGTGAATATATTCAGGAGGTAGGACTGTGATTGTTTTTAAGTGATCGAGGGAAAATAGTGTACTGATTTTAAAATGGAAAACTCAACTTATTTTTTAAAAATTAAAACTCTGACAAGAGGGAGGTTTAATTGAAATCACAGTGGCTGCTCAGGGAAGTTTATAAATCTCGAACTGCAACGACTCAATAAGCATGAATTGCTTGTGATGATATTGACTTAATAGAGTTATTTTTTCCTTAATAGAAAACACATCTTATCAATATAATGTTATTTGTAAAGCATGGAAAGGACAAAGTGCTCTTGGGAGAAGTAGAAAGAGAATTTCACTCTGAGAAACCTATTTGGAGAAAGCTCCTCATCTCTGGCTTAGACTTTAAAATTAGTTAATAGTGTAATTAGGGATAGTTGTAGTAATAGTGGTATTGGTATGGTAGTTAGAGTTTAAATGTCACACAGAATACCCAGACCACCTTCCCCCAAGTGCCACTAAACTTATTCTTCTAATCAAACCTCTGCTCAAGGGATGTCTTCTTCCTCTCTTGGAAAGCTGTGTTCCTTACCTCAGAAACAGCCCTCCATAAACCTGCCCTTAAGAGAATCCTTGGCCAGGCACAGTGATTCACGCTTGTAATCCCAGCACTTTGGGAGGCCAAGGCGGGTGGATCTCTTGAGGTCAGGAGTTCGAGAGCTGTCTGGCCATCATGGTGAAACCCTGTCTCTACCAAAAAATAAACATTAAAAATAAAAAAATTAGCCAGGTATGGTGGTGCGTGCCTGTAAATCTCAACTACTTGAGAGGCTGAAGCAGAATTGCTTGAACCTGGGAGGCAGAGGTTGCAGTGAGCTGAGATCGTTCCACTGCACTCCAGCCTGGGCAACAGAGCAAGACTCCATCTCGAAAAAAAAAAAAAAGAGAGAGAGAGAGAATCCTTAAGACACGCCTTCTTGGATGCCCTCTGGAGAAATGTCAAGAGTAGCCAATATAGTCACCCCAGTCGGCTGTGGTGTGTGGGCCTCTAGTGTTTTAAGGTTCTAGGCAACTTAGCCCCTCCCAGGAGATGCTGATTTACTTTTCTCAAGGTGCATAAAGTCTCATCACACCAATATCTGAAAAATCTCTTTTCAAAGAGATGCAGGCAGCCTTCCAGCCCCATGATGTTAATACACAGGGTTAGGCAGCCTGGCAAGTGCACTGGGGCCCCCACTGAAGGATCATCTGGTTTCCATAGCAACAGTCCTTCCTTTCCACGGAGGATTCTATCATCTCTCCTGCTCACTCAGGCTTTCCAGAATGAATTGTTTTTTGTGACTATAGGTGTTTGTCCTTGATCCTGCAAAGAGAAAAGACATATTCATTTAAAACAAACACCCCCCACCCCGCCCCGCAACTGACTGCAGCTAGAATACTGCATTGCATCAGCTGGTCTTCCTTTCATTTAAAAATTCCATGTCCTTTCTCCATTTTGCTCCGTTCTCTAGCTTTATCCATCATTTTAGAAAACAGGTTTCTCTGACAGAAAACAAACAGATGGCAACTCCATCATCCTAAAACTGGCTGTGACGGGGCTCTAAAATTAAGTGTTCATGGGGCTCCCAGAAAGCCTAGGCTTGCATGGTATGTGTGGC
Organism: Homo sapiens; assembly: GCF_000001405.40. Taxonomy (NCBI): domain Eukaryota; kingdom Metazoa; phylum Chordata; class Mammalia; order Primates; family Hominidae; genus Homo; species Homo sapiens. The sequence goes on from NC_000017.11 coordinate 46,368,123, forward strand.
TGACCTGTGAGTTACGATTGGAGGGGCAAGAGAAGGCTTTCTATACACAGATGGCTCCCCATACAGTGTCACAGTCTCTGAAGTGTTGCCTTTTGAGGTTTGTTTTCTTAGGTCAGGCACTGCTGTCCTGTCAGTATTTTCCTAAATTGCCAATACTCCTGGGAAGAGTAATACGTTAGGTTACTAATACTGAAAGAACTTGGGAAAGAGAGGAGGGGGTGCAGCGGGAAGGGAATAAAAGGGGCTCTGAAGACCACCTTTGTGTGCTTCACAGTGACATCTTCTGCAAGAGGGGAAGTGCAGGTCTTCATCTCTCTCTTTGTCTCTCTCTGTCACACACACACACACACACACACACACACACACACACTGCAGGACGCCTTCTGACAATTACAATACAGTAGTGAATTCACCGAACAGGACTGTTCCCTGAAACACCTACATACAATCCCGCTGGAAGACCTTTGAAACAGCCCTGCAGTGACTAAAAACTCTGTCCCCAGTGCCACTTGTTTAACCCTACAGTTTCCACAGACTAAAGGTAGTTTTCCTTTGGTTAATATGAAAACACCAAATAGTCAGATTGCTTTGTTAAATAAAGTGGATTACGGTGAATCTGTTCACTTCTATGTTTTATATTGCCCTCACTCCACAAATCACAGAAGATATTTATTTTTCCCCCAGTTAAATTCTGTTACCACAACCATTACAAACAAATGTCTATATAACCAAAATGTTAGTCAGCCCCATTCCAATGGAGCACATTTTAAGTGATGTTTAATGGGACATAATTTGAACATAAAATTCTATCTGTGCACTGTTTTCAAGTCTTTGAATCAGGCCTCCACCTATAGATGTTGGTTACCTATCAGGGAGCAACAGGTGATGCTAAGGATCACTTTGTAAAAACCAGGAATCACATCCCTGTAACTGACAGGAAACTGACTATATTCATCAGGGTTCTCCAGAAAAATAGAACTAACAGAATGTGTATATACATAGGAGGAAATTTTGTTTAAGGAATTGACTCGTGTGATCGTGGAGACTTTGGGAGCCCAAAATCTGATGGGAGAAGCTGGCATGCAGGAGGCCCAGGGAAGAGTTACAGTTCTAGTCCACAGGTAACCTGCTAGAGAATTCCTTCTTGTTCTGGATGAGTTTGGCCTTTTGTCTATTCAGGCTTTCAAGTGATTGGATGAGGCCCACCTACATTATGGAGGGCAACCTTCTTTACTCAAAGTCTACAGATTTAAATGTAAATCTCATCCAAAAACACCCTCACAGAAACATCCAGAATAATATTTGATCAAGTATCTGGGCAACATGGCCAAGCCAAGTTGACACAGAATTAACCGTCACACTGGATCACAAGGGCTGTGTTCAGCAAGAACTGACCTTGGTCAAACCCTGCCCCTGCCCTTATGCCCCACTCTTCTTCATTCTGGGTCCTGCTATTTCCATTTTATCATGTCTTCATCTTCTTTCCCCACCTTTCAGGTACCTTTCCTCTCTGACCCTATCCCTAGACTCACCTCCTACCCCCCACTCAAAGCCCTTCCTTCCTTAAAAAATGATGTTAGTCATTACACTTTAGGATTTAAATTAATCATTCTGTTAGCCGTCTTACTAACTTTCTCACTGTGAAAGGAAAGCATATTAAAAGAATTTCAGGGATCGACGAAGAGCTGAGGGAGGTATTTTTCTAGGAAGAGAAAGTGACTAACAGAAATCAAGACAAAGGGGGACAATCAGATTTTTCAGATGACAGAAAGCAGGTAAACTCTAGAGATCTAGAGAACTAGCAAATGGTCTCTTCAGGGTGTCATCATTGCAGTAAATGAGCTCTAGCTATTTCTGTCTTTATTCTTCAGGGTATTCAAGATTGCAGTTACTTAGGAGAGACAGAGCATCTGACTGATTGAACTTGGGTTCTGTATTCACTCCTGGGCCAGGGGGAGGCAGGGTACCTGGTCTGACAGTCCTTCCAAGGCTGCATGAACCAGAGGAGCTGTTACCAGAAAAGGGCAGAGTGAATTTGGGGCAGCAAAAACATTTATTGCTTATCGACTATCACTGCAAGGATTACTCAGAGGGTGATGCAGAATCAGCACCCCTCTATTTCTAAGATGACCTTGAATGTCAGAGCAAGGCACAAACAGGTTGCAGAGACATGTGGAGTATCTGGAGCACTGTCTCAGGATCCTTCCTCTCCTGCTGGATGCTAAGGACCTTAAGGACAAGAGCTATCTTTGCTTGCAATTTATTTGGCAGGCCCTGCAGGGCTGTGCAAATGATTCTATTTAATTTTTACTACTTGTGAGAAGGCACAGAGGGCTTTGAGAGGGCACAGAGGGCCTCTTATAATGGGTAGATATGCACATTAGCTGATACACTGGAAACTTTCCAGCAGGCATATCCTTCCAAGATGATAAATATTCTTCCTTGTTGGAGAAATTGAAGACATTTGTACTTGCAATCTAGCTTATCTAGTAAAACAAGACAAACTAACCAGTGATAGGGAGAAACATGTTTGCATTATTTTCCAACCTTGAAAATAATGTCAGATTATTGGACTGAGAACCAATGTCATCTTCTGGATCTTGTAATTATTTGGACAAAATCTCTTTGATTCTAGGTTCAAAGTCAAGGTGTCAAAAAAAAAAAAAGGATACAACTGTTAAGCTTATTTAATTATACCTCTCACTGTACAAATAAGGAAACTAGGCCAGGCGTGGTGGCTCACTTCTGTAATCCCAGCACTTTGGGAGGACAAGGCCAGTGGATCACCTGAGGTCAAGAGTTCGAGACCAGCCTGGACAACATGGCAAAACGCTGTCTCTACTAAAAATACAAAAATTAGCTGGGTGTGGTGGCAGGCGCCTGTAATACCAGCGACTTGGGAGGCTGAGACAGGAGAATAGCTAGAACCCGGGAGGCGGAGGTTGCAGTGAGCCGAGATCATGCCACTGTGCTCCAGCCTGGGTGACAGAGTAAGACTGCGTCTCAAAAACAAACAAACAAAAACAAATAAGGAAACTGGGCTCAGAGAGATGAAGGTACACAGGTGATGGGTAGATAGGGACAAAGAAAAGAACCTAACCCTTTGGACTCCCCAAGCCATTCTAATATTTGTTTTTGTAAGTTAGTAGCTTCTGCACGTTAGTATGTCAGAACTCAACTAGTTTCCTATCTTTCCTGATAACCTCTCCGACCCACCCATGATTTAGCTAACATCTGATTTGGTCAACCAAGCACCCTGGTCCTCAGGTTCAGTGTGAGACTTAATGAAATAGGCGTGAATTTTTTTTTTTTTTTTTTTTTTAAACGGAGTCTCGCTCTGTTGCCCAGCCTCGCAATCTCAACTCACTTCAACCTCTGCCTCCGGGGTTCAAGCGATTCTCCCACCTCAGCCTCCTGAGTAGCTGAGATCACAGGCGCCCGCCACCACGCCCGGCTAATTTTTGTATTTTTAGTAGAGACGGGGTTTCACTATATTGGCCAGGCCGGTCTGGAACTCCTGACCTTAGGTGATCCACCCAAAGTGCTTGGATTACAGGCATGAGCCACCGCGCCTGGCTGGCATGAATTTTTTCTTCTGTCCCTAGTTCATCTTCAGGTCACTGTCTGATTTTATTAGTTCTCAAATTTAAATCACTATGCATGCTCAGCTCTTCTAGTTATTTCCCTTCTTTCCTCATGTTGGGAAAAAAACCCCGATTTATTCTAATTGTGAGAAATGAAAGCGAACAAATCCTATCATTCCCTATTGTCTTGTGCAAATATGAAGAGAGATATGATAGTGGGGTAAATAAAAGCATCAGGGAATCCATTCGGCAGAATCTTTCTCCTCTCAGCGTGCTTGCAGTTAGATATTCTGAGATTCCAGTGGAGAAATGGTATGGTGGAAACATTGAGGTTCAACAAGGCTCAATTTAGGGCATATTTTATTCAGATTCTACCATATATATTGTCTAAAATGAAACAACACTGGGGAATGAAAAGGTTGGTCGAAGATGCAAGTTGCCTTTATTAAATAAAGACAAATATTTAATAAAAATAATGTATAAAAATAATCACAATTCACTTTCAAATCTGAAAATACTGAGTTTTCCAGGCTACACATAAATAAAACTGCCAACGATGACAATTCCAGCAACTAGGAAAACAAGTACGCCTACAAAGAAAAGTGAGAAAATTCATGGAGAATTTGAACTCAGAACCAACTCCTCGGAGCTGATCTTTTTTGGGGGAAGCCAGGGAACGCGCCGGGCGCTCTCATCAGCAAGACCATGTTTAAAGAGAGTGTGGAAGCACAGACCAAAATGGACATTCGAGGGCGAACAGCAGCTGGCAAAGGGATAAGTGATCCGAAGCATTAAAGCCCTTGAGACAAATTCCGGCGCGAACCGCCAGTGGGGGATGAGACTCGCAGGCGCAGCCCTCCAGGCCCCGGCGGACTGACACGCACGTTGGAAACGGAGTCACCCACCACAGCCCCGCAGCTCCAGCCAAAATGGCGCCGCCGCTCTGCCCACCCCGCGCACCCCAGGCGGCCGCCGAGCCCGCGCGCGCGCCCTGTGGAGCGAGGACGCCGGGGACGCGGCCAGGGACGCGCGCGTCCTCACGGCGGTTGCACGCCTGCGCGAGGGCGGGCGGCGGGGGCGCGCGCGCGGCGGGGGCGGGCTTTGCCGAGCGCAGAGCTGCAGCCGCCGAGCCGGACGTGTCCGCGAAGATGGCGGGCCGGGTGAGTGCCGGTCTGGGAGCCCAGGCTTGAGGCAGGGGCGCCGGGCTCGCGGGCACTCTGGGGTCCAGGCGGCCCCAGAGGAGTGGGAGTGAATCCGAGCAATGGGGCGCGAGGCCAGAGCGGGACTTGAGGGTAGCAGGGGAGCGGTGGCAGGGGATTAGCCCTCCTCAACAACTCCACCCCCCTCGAGGGGAGATGACCCCTCGTTACACGCGTCTGCTGCGCCTCCCGTCATCCTCCCTTCCCATCCCTTGGGGCTTGTTCCCTCGTCCTCCACACAGCCGCAGGGTCGCGGTCGCCGAAGCCCCCTCTGACGGGCTCTGGGGGTCTTTCCGCACCCCCTTGCGAGGGCTTATTAGGGGGCGCCGGAGTAACTGCCGGGAGCACCTCTGCTGCATTCGGGGCAAGGGGTGTAGGAAGGATCTTCAGGAACCCATGTCTGGCTCTTCACAAATTAAAGGTCGTTGGGAAAGAGGAGGGGGTGCCAATGACTTTTAGTGTTAAAGCCCGGCCATCTGGGGGACCTGTCAACTGTCGGGTCAGGCAGGAATTGGCTTTAGCTTGGAGTGAGGATGGATTTGGGGTGTCACGTTTTGTTTTTATGGATGACACTCGCTTCGAATGCAGCAGGATATGCTGTAGTTTCAGGGTTTTAAATTTACTTCCTCCTTTAGCCTTTAGGATCGTTGGGTAGGATGGGTTTGGCGAGGAGAGAGAGCTGGTTGAGTGCTGTATTGCAGTCTGCCTTGAGCTAAAAGCTCTCAAGGGATGAGTCCTGCCCGGAGATTACACTGGTCATAAACCTGAGGACATTAACTGCGTCATTGGGGGTGAAAGATGTGATTGACTGATCTATTTATAACAGAATTTTTGAATAAGTTTGCATAGATTTATGCATATATGCAAATGCCCTATCTGAAGGGACTTGTAGGTCATGAGATTCTAGAGTAAGAAGGGATCTTAAAGGTCATTTAGTTTGGCTTCTTTCTCTTCCTTTTCCCCATGGCCTCTCCTTTTAAGGCTAGTCCTTCTGCCAGTACTTCAGACCCTATCTGTATATTCACCTGCTCCTTCTTAACATAATCAAGCTTCTCTATCTTAAACCCTTCCCCCACCCCCACAGCTGTCACCTTTTCCCGTCCCAGTTTACAGCAGGAAATTTGATAGAGTTGTCTATATTTATTGTCTTCCATTTGCTTACCACCTACTCACCCTTCAACCTACTGCAGTCTGATTTCTGCCCCATCATCCCACTGAAACCTGTCCCTCAACTTAATTGATACCTTTCAATCCTTATCTTATTTGATATCTCAGCAGCGTTTGACGTTGTTGACCATGGCTTCCTTGACGGAAAGCACTCTTCACATGTGTTCTGGAATGCCTCGCTCCTGGTTTGACTCAGACCTCTCTTTTGCGGCCTCACCCTCCTCTACTTTGTTATTCATTGCTGGTATTCCTCAAAGGCCGTCTTCTCACTCTCAATTTCCCGCTCAGGCAATTTCTTCTAAGCCCATAGCTACAACTGTCTATATGCCAGTGATTCTCAATATTTTACCCCCAGTCCAGACCTGCCCTTTAAGTTTCAGGTTAATATGTCCAACTGCTTATTTAAAATCAAGGTCCCGAAACGCAGCTTTTTCAACTCCGAACCCAGGATCTTAGCCCACCTAACTTGTGTAGATACTCCTCGACTTAACGATGGGGCTACCTTCCGATAAACCCATTGTAAGCTGAAAGTATCAGAAGTTGAAAATGCATTTAATACACCCGATCTACCGAATATCATAGCTTAGCCTAGCCTGCCTTCCTTACACATGCACAGAACACTTACATTAGCCTACAGTTGGGCAAAATCATCTAACATAAACCTATATTATAAAATGTTGAATACCTCATGTCATTTATTACTGTGCTGATAGTGAAAAACAGAATGGTTGTGTAGGTCTTCAAAGTACAGTTTCTGCTGAATGCCTATCACCTTTGCACTATTGTAAAGTTGAAAAATGTTAAGTCAAACCATTGTAAGTCAGGGACCATCTGTACCTATCCAGTGAGATAGGAATATCTCACTGAATGATACCATCATCCACCCAGTTATATAGGCTGGGAATCTGAGGGAGGGAGAGGGTGGGTAACCCTTTATATCTCTCTTTTGCTGTACCCATGTCCTCTGCCCTATCCCCCGGTAAAATTTGTCAGAGTTCTGCTCCTGCCCCCCATAAAGGTATTTAATTAGGGCCAAAGACTCTGGTTTGGGGGAATGGTTGCTTTAGACTAGTTCCAAGTCACCCACTGGACTATCTGGATTGGTCACATGGGTTCTGTCATTTTAACCTAAAAATCTCCAGTCTGTCCACCTTTCCACATCTTCATTTTTACCTCCTTTTCCCAAACTACCATCATTTCTGGTCTGGACTACTGCAGGAAGCTTCCAAGTATTTTTTTGTTCGTTTGTTTGAGATGGAGTTTCGCTCTTGTTACCCAGGCTAGAGTGCAATGGCGTGATCCCTGCTCACTGCAACTTCCGCCTCCTGGGTTCAAGCCATTTTCCTGCCTCAGCCTCCTGAGTAACTGGGATTACAGGCGCCCACCACCACACCCGGCTAATTTTTGTATTTCTAGTAGAGACGGGGTTTTACCATGTTGGCCAGGCTGGTCTCGAACTCCTGACCTCAGGTCATCCACCTGCCTTGGCCTCCCAAAGTGCTGAGATTCGTGCCCGGCCTCCCAAGTAGTCTTCTTAGAGCATGTGGCCCACCTCCAATTCATTCTTGACCTTCATTGTTCCTTCCCGTGCCTATTACTACTTAAACCCCTCCTCAGCAGCATCCCATTACTTTTGGGAGAAAACCAAATCCTTAATGAGGCCTTCAGGACTCTTTGTGGTTCTGCTCCTGCTTCTTTCCACTCATTCTCTTACTCTGTGTGCTCAGGTTATATGGTAAACGAGCCTTTCAATTCCTTGAACCTGTAGTTTCTCTTACCACAAGGTCTTTGCGAGTGGTGTTTCCTTTCTTTGTAACGTTCTTCCCCCCAACCATTTACCTCCTACTCAGACATCACTTAGCTACTCAAGGGAGGCCTACTCTGACCCCACATTATAAGTCAGGATCCTTTGTTATATACTCTTGAAGAACTGTATTCCTCTCCTTAGAGATTTATCTTTTTGTTACTTTGAGTGTGTGTTATTATTTGCTTCTACCACTTCACCTCAGTGAAAAGCAGAGAACATACAAGTTATTTAGTCATTATCAACTGCGCTTTGTGTACCTTGTGGGACTTAGGTACTCAATACATTTTTGTTGAAAATGAATCAGTCTCTGAACACTCTGGTGATAGATGGTATATTACCCTAAAGCTTGCCTGTAATGTCATACAGCTATGTTAGGTCTTTGTTATCTGGAGTTCCATGTAACTTTTATACGTAGTTACTATTTCTGCTGTTTCAAGCCATACGGAACTAAACACAATTCTTTTTCCATGTAATAGCTACTCAAGCTACTCATTTACTTGAATACAGGTTACATATCTCCTCAGATTTTCGATTTTGCAAGTTAAACATCCCCCAATTCCTAGCATATTTCATATTCCAAACCCTTCATCATTTAGGCTACCTTCCTCTGGAAGTAACCTAATGTTACTGTTTTGTCAACCTTTCTTCTAAAATGTGCCCAGAGTGGAACACAGTGATCAGAGAAGAATGTACTTAAGCTATTATTGTCTTGAGATGGACACTACCATTATTCATACCAGATAAAATTGTATTAGCGTTTTTTCTATAGTAAATCACATTCTTGGCTCATACTGAGCTTGTAGTCAGTGAAAACTCATGTTCTTTTAAAATCAGCTCCCTAGCTCCATTCTAGGTTTAGAGCAGTTTTATTGAACCTAAATCAAGACCTTATCCTTTTACAATTCATTTTTTTAGGTCAGTGCATGTCTGCTGTTTGTTGAGGTAATCTGGATTCTTAGTTCTTTCATGTTAGGAAACATAATAGCTGTCTCTTCCAGTTTGGTTAGATCTGTAGGTTTAATCATGACTTCTGTTTCTACGTTTGAGTTATTGGTAAAGGATAGAATAAGACAGGGTCAGAAATAACCCTTGGACATGCTGCCAGTGACATGCCTCTAGACTGATACCCATTAATACACTTGGGCACTGTTGCTTAAATACAGATGTGTCTCATTTAATTCCAACAAAACAACCTGCAAAGTAGGTAGTATTATCTTTGTTTTTTTGCAGAGAGAAAGAGAGAGAGATTTAGTAACTTGAGAAGTTCACATAGCCAGCAAGAAGCAGGGTCAAGATTTGAACTCAGATCAGCCTGGTACTGTTACCTAGTTCACCAGCTTAGTTGCAAGAGTGTAGTAAAGACTAGGTTTACCTCACCTAGAACTTTTTGGACATAATAATGTTCAGAAACTATCTTCTACCTTTTGGAAAATCTGAAAAACTTTGGCCCATCTGATTGTCTATCATTTCTTCTGATAGCCTTTATTTTCTAGTAACTACTGAGTGATTTTTAGCAAAAATAGTTCACCTTGTTGCAATACTTTTATTTGTGCATATTTATGGAGTACATGAAAATTTTTTTACATGTGTATAATGTGTAGTGATCAAGTCAGGGTACATGAGTCCAATGTATTAAGTATAGTCATCTACTCAGCTATCAAACATTGAATTTATTCCTCCTATCACTGGATCTTTTTTTTTTTTTTTTGAGACGGAGTCTTGCTCCGTCACCCAGGCTGGAGTGCAGTGGTGTTATCTTGGCTCACTGCAACCTCTGCCTCCCGGGTTCAAGCGATTCTCCCGCCTCAGCCTCCTGAGTAGCTAGGATTACAGGCATGTGCCACCACGCCCAGCTAATTTTTGTATTTTTAGTAGAGACAGGGTTTTACCACATTGGTCAGGATGGTCTTGGACTCCTGACCTGGTGATCCACCCGCCTTGGCCTCCCAAAGTGCTGAGATTACAAGTATGAGCCACCGCGACTGACCTCATTGGATCTTTTTACCTTTTAACCCACTTCTCTTCAGCCTTTCTCTCCCTTACTCCGCCTTCCCGGTCTCTGTTATCTATTTTTCCACTCCCTGCCTCCTTGTGTTCAAATTTTGTAGCTCCTACATATATGTGAAAGCATGCAATATTTGTCTTTTTGTGCCTGGCTTATTTCACTTAAGAGAATAACCTCCAGTTCCATCCACATTGCTGCAAATGATATGATTTCATTCTTTTTATGGCTGAATAGTATTCCATTGTGTACATGTATGACATCTTCTTTATCCATTCATCTGTAGATGGACACTTAGGTGGTTGATTCCATATTTTTGCTATTGTGATAGTACTGCAATAAACATGCAAGTGCAGCTATCCCTTTGATACATTGATTTCTTTTCCTTTGTGTAGATACCCAGTAGTGGGATTGCTGGATGGAAGGTAATTCTATTTTTAGCTTTGAGAAATCTCCATACAGTGTTCCTTAGTGGTTGTACTAGTTTACATTCCCACCGACAGTGTATGTGAGAGTTCCCTTTTCTCTGCATCCTTACTAACATCTGTTACTTTTTGTCTTTTTAATAATAGCCATTCTGACTGGGGTAAGATGATATCTCATTGTGGTTTTGATGTGCATTTCTCTGATAGTGGTGTGGAACATTTTTCCATGTCTTCTTTTGGCCATTGTATGTCTTCTTTTTTAATGGGATTATTTGTTATTTTCCTTTTGAGTTGTTCGAGTTCCTTGTATGTTCTGGATATCAGTCCTCTGCTTGATGAATACTTTGCAAATATTTTCTCCCATTCAACAGGTTGTCTCTTCATTCTGTTGATTATTCTTTTGCTGTGCAGAAGCTTTTTAGTTTGCTTAAGTCCCATTTGTTTAGTTTTCTTTATGTTACCTGGGCTTTTGATGTCTTAATCATAAATTCTTTGCTTACACCAATGTCCAGGAGTGTTTTCCCTAGACTTTCTTGTAGTATTTTTATAGTTTTGGGTCTTAAAATCTTCAATCCATTTTGAGTTGATTTTTGTATATGGTGAGAGATAGGGGTCTAGTTTCACACTTCTGCATGAAGTTATGCAATTTTCCCAGCATCATTTATTGAAGACAGTGTCCTTTCCTTAGTGTGAGTTCTTGTCAGTGTTGTTGAAGATCATTTGTCTATAATTATGTGGTTTTATTTCTGGATTCTCTATTCTGTTCCATTGGTCTACATGTCTATTTTTATACCAATACCATGCTGTTTTGGTTACTATAGCTTTATAATATATTTTGAAGTCAGATAATGTGATGTCTGCAGCTTTGTTCTTTTTGCCCAGGTTTGGTTTGGTTGTTTGGGCTTTTTTCTTTTTCCTTTTTTGGTCCCATATGAATCACATTGGTATTTTGATAGGGATTTCATTGAATCTGTAGATTGCTTTGGCAATATGGTCATTTTAGTGATATTAATTCTTTCCACAAGCATAGGATGTTTTTTGATTTATTTTCTTTCATTGGTGTTTTGTAGTTTTCTTTGTAGAGATCTTTCACCTCCTTAGTTAAATGTATTCCTAGGTTTTTGTTTGTTTTCGGTAGCTATTGTAAATGGGATTGCCTTCTTAATTTCTTTCTTGGCTAGATCCTTATTGATGTATAGAAATGCTACTGATTTAAAGGTTTTCTAAACCTACAGATATATAATCAGCAAAGAGACAATTTGACTTTCTCTTGTCCAGTTTGGATGCCTTTCATTTCTTTCTCTTGTCTGATTGTTCTGGCTAGGATTTCCAGTACTGTGGTGAATAGGAGTGGTGAAAATGGGCATCCCTGCCTCATTCCAGCTTTTAGAAGAAAGATCTCACCTCTCCTCATTCAGTATGATGTTAGCTCTGGGTTTGTTGTGTATAGACTTTATTATTTTGAGATATATTCCTTCTATGCCTAATTTGTTGAGAGTTTTTTTAATCATGAAGGGATGTTGAATTTTATCAAATGTTTTTGTTGTTGTTGCAATACTGTTTTTTTTTTTTTTTTTTTTTTTTTTTTTGAGACAGAGTCTTGTTCTGTTGCCCAGGCTGTAGTGCAGTGGCGCGATCTTGGCTCACTGCAACCTCCACTCACTGGGTTCAAGCAATTCTCCTGCCTCAGCATCCCTAGTAGCTGGGATTACAGGCCTGTGCTACCACACCCAGCTAATTTTTCTATTTTTAGTAGAGACAGGGTTTTGCTATGTTGGCCAGGCTGGTCTCGAACTCCTGACCTCAAGTGATTTGCCTGCCTTGGCCTACCAAAGTGCTGGGATTACAGGCGTGAGGCACTGAGCCCGGCTGTTGCGATACTCTTAATGGGTTTTATATTTCCTTTTTGTGGGGGACAGTTTATTTTGCATTCTTACTACTTTTGATATTCTGACATCATCTTATAAGTGGGATTTATATTCACTATGTAATTGAAGTTTTTTCCAATGAAGCACCGTATATAGTTTATCTGGGAAATTGGCTGAAGAATAAAATGTGTGATGTTATTCAGTGTACAGTTTCTAGGTCATCAGAAGATACCACTACCTTCCCACTACTGGAAAAGAAAAAAGAAAAGTTTTCCACAGTGCCTGAACTGTTTTGTATGCTTATCTTTTAAAATTGCCAGAAATCTCACTTACTGGAGATTCAGCAGTCCCTTTCTGAAAATACACATACTTTAGTGCAAATAAAGCCAGTGGATCTCTTTCTTCATAAGTCCTTAAACCTAATCGAGGTCATCTGTTTGGCAGAGATAGGAGTAAGATAATGTGAAATAGGAACCAACGAGAGAGAACTTGCTTAGGAGTTGAAAGGGGTATGGAAAGATGTTAGAGGTAAAATTTGTCGAATCTAGTGTTTTGACTAGGGCAGGCCAGAATATTCAGTATCAGTATCAATATCAGAAGCTTTTGTAGCCTTTGTTTAGAAACCTAGTCATTTGGCCGGGCGCGGTGGCTCACGCCTGTAATCCCAGCACTTTGGGAGGCCGAGGCGGGCGGATCACGAGGTCAGGAGATCGAGACCATCCCGGCTAAAACGGTGAAACCCCGTCTCTACTAAAAATACAAAAAATTAGCCGGGCGTAGTGGCGGGCGCCTGTAGTCCCAGCTACTTGGGAGGCTGAGGCAGGAGAATGGCGTGAACCCGGGAGGCGGAGCTTGCAGTGAGCCGAGATCCCGCCACTGCACTCCAGCCTGGGCGACAGAGCGAGACTCCGTCTCAAAAAAAAAAAAAAAAAAAAAAAAAAAAGAAACCTAGTCATTTATAACATTTTGTGGGTGAATGACATCATTACCAAACAAACTTTCAGATGAAACTTTGGAACTCAAGCTGTAAATTGTGGATAGCTCATGTGCAGTACTACAAATCAAAACAAATACTATAAAGTGTTTGGTAGTCCATTTCCTGAATGAAAGTTTGTCCAAAGTATATCAACTTTCTGCAGTCTTACATGCAGTAGTTATTAGTTTTGTGTATCGCTTTAGTGGATATTTTTAAAAGTATCTTCAAATGCAATGAATTTTAGGAAACAAAACAATTCTTTAAAGCATCATTAGATAGCTTCTTCTTTCTGAAACCCAGAGGAATTTATGTATAGGATGACTCTTTTTTTCAAGTAGTTAAGTTAAGGTGCAAAAGTATAAGGTAAAGTATATTATCTTACCATTGAAAATTTTGGCAGTGGCAGAAGAGCGAACCCTTACAAATACCTTCATTGGGCAATACACTAAGCACTTGCTGTAATGCTTTTTAAAACATCTATACTCTGGCTGTGGTATTTTAAGTGAAAATCTCTCAGTGAGATACTCTTTCGTATTTTAGTACTGATATCCTTAATATTGCTCTGAGAGCTACCTTATACTGACTTCAGTTTCCTAGTGATTTAAACTACTAATTTCCAACTTATTTTTTTTTATAGTGAAAACTAAATATTCCTTTTGTAGATGTAACCATTTCTGGAAGCCCTAAGTATTTTTGAATGAGTATAATTCATGCACACTTTAAGAGATTTCAAGCATGACAAGTACAGTGAATAACATATATCCATGTGATTACCACTGAGGTTTAAGAAATGTTAACATATGATATCTGCTTCAGATATTTATCTTTTTAAAAATAGAACATTACAGCTGGGCATGGTGGCTCACACTTGTAATCCCAGCACTTTGGGAGGCTGAGGCTGGTGGATCACCTGAGGTCGGGAGTTCGAGACCAGCCTGGCTGACATGGAGAAACCCCGTCTCTACTAAAAATACAAAATTAGCCGGGCGTGGTGGCACATGCCTGTAATCCCAGCTACTCGAGAGGCTGAGGCAGGAGAATCGCTTGAACCTGGGAGGCAGAGGTTGCGGTGAGCGAGATCACAACTCCAGCCTGGGCCACAAGAGTGAAACTCAGTCTCAAAAATAATAATAATAAATAAAAAATAGAACATTACAGATCCAATTGACTCTTCTTTGTATTGCTCCTTTTTTTTTTTTTTTTTTAGTTTTATTTAAAAATTTTTTTTAGAGGCTGAGTCTCACTTGGTGGCCTGGGCTGGAGTGCAGTGGCGCAGTCATAGCTCACTGCAGCTTCACACTCCTGAGCTCGAGCAATCTTCCTGCTTCAGCTTCCTGAGTAGCTTGGACTAGCAGAGGTGTGCCACCACATCTGGCTAATTAAAAAAAAGTTTTTAGAGATAGGATCTCTCTGTGTTGCTCAGGTTAGTCTCAACACCTGGCCTCAAGTGATCCTCCCACCTCAGCCTCCTGAGTAGCTGTGGTTGTAGGTGGCAGCCACCACACCTGGCAGTATCCCTTCTTGAGACCACTGACCTTTCCCAGAAGTAATCACTGTCCTGAAGTTGGTATAGATTCTTTCTGTCTACATCTATGCATGTTTATGCTCAAAAACAATATATTGCTTTGTGTGTCTTTAAAATGTATATAATGGTTTTATGCTATATCTTTCTTTCTGCAACCTGCATTTTTCACTTAAAATAATTTTGAAATTTAGTCCTGTGGATATATAGTGAGCCAATTAATTCTGCTTAGCTACTCTGTAGTCTGTTTTGTGAATATACCACAATCATCTACTTTCTTATTAGAGGACAATTTAGGCAGTTCCAATTTTATTTTTCCCGGAATGTACATTATTTTAGTCGAGTGCCATTGCCACATTAGCGATATTTTGGTTAGTGAGGGACTGCAGATAGGAAGGTGATCCCAAAAGATTATAATGCCATATATTTACTCTACCTTTCTATATTTACATATGTTTAGTTACACAATTACCCATTATGTTACAGTTGCTTACAGCATTTGGTGCTGTAACATGCTGTACAGGTTTGTAGCCTAGGAGCAATAGGCTATACCGTATAGGTTTGTGTAAGTACGCTCTATGATATTCATATAACGATGAAATCACCTAGTGACACATTTCTCAGAATGTATCCCTATTGTTAAGCAACACATGAGTGTGTGTCTCCATGCATATATGTGTAAGAGTTAGCATGTGTGTCCAGAGGTAGAATTGCTGGGCGATAAGTCATACTCATCTTTACCTAGTTATGCCAGTTTATACTGTCACTAGCAGTATATGAGTACCTGTTATTTATATCCTCTCCAACACTTAATATTGCTGACATTTTAACTTTTACAATATAATAGGTGTAAAACTATTGTTTAAATTTGCATGTTGTCCTCATTACTAGTGAGATTAAGCATTTTTCATATTGGTCATTGGGATTTCCCCTTCTGTGAATTACTTTTGTATATTTGCTCATTTTTTCTGTTGGGCTGTGTATTTTTTTAGTGATTTGTATAATTTTTCGTTTTTTGGGGGGTAGGGTATGCTTTGGATTCTAATCCTTTGTTGTAAATAGCTTCTCTCAGACAGTGATGGTCTTTTCATGATGTTTATAGAGTGTTGGATTTAAATTTTATAGTTATAATTACCCTTTTTTTTTTTTTACCTTGGTGATTTGTGCTTTTATGTGTTTTTCAGGAAATCTTTCTCCACCCTGAAGTCATTTTCTTATAAAAGTTTTAAAATTTTGCCTTGCACATTTTGGTGATTGATCAGGAATTTATTTTTGTGTTTGGTGTGAATTATGAACTAATTTTATCTTTTCCATATGTATAACCAGTTGTCTCAATATCATTTATTGAGTCCATTTTTTTCCTTTACTGATTTGCAATGCTATCTCTGTATTATATCCAGTTCCCATATACGTGTGGGTCTAAGTGTCGACTCTATTCCGTTTCATAATTCTTTTTGTCCATATTTGCATCAATAACACTGTTTTAATTGCTGTAGCTTTAAAATTATTCTTGTTATTTCATAGGGCGTACTTTCATTACCTTTCTTAATTTGGCATTTCTTGGCTCTTTTCCGTACGAATTCTGGGAACAACTTAATCCCCACTCCTTTAAAAAAAAAAAAAAAGACACTTTGGCCTGGCATGGTGGCTCACACGTGTAATCCTAGCACTTTGGGAGGCTGAGGCGGGTGGATCACTTGAAGCCAGGAGTTCAAGGCCAGCCTGGACAACATGGCAAAACCCTGTCTCTACCAAAAATTAGCGGGCATGGTGGCACACGCCTGTAATTCCAGCTACTTGGGAGGCTGAGGCATGAGAATCAGCTTGAACCCAAGAGGTGGAGGTTGCAGTGAGTTGAGATCGTGCCACTGCACTCCAGCCTGGGCAACAGAACGAGACAGTTTTTTGTTTGTTTGTTTTAAAGACACTTTTAACCTTCCGCTATGGATTTTTGACCTACATTTTTCCTCTTGTATTTTATAAGAGTAGACACAGAGAGCACTTCAATAAAATTCAGCTCAATAACTTTATTAACCTGATCTCCTTTTCTTTGACTTTAAGCTGAAAGTGTTAATTTCTCACAACTTGTGCTCTATAGATTTGAAACCAAATCAATTAGCATCAGCTGTTTATGAGTAATGCAGGGTATTTTGGTCTTTTGCTAAATTCAGAAAGAAATGTTAAAGTGCTGATGGATTTGCACTAGCTGTATAGATCTTTGGTGGAGGAGGAAATGGGAAAATTATTAATTTCAGGTAAGAAGTCATTTTTGAAATGCAAGATTCATTTCTTTTTAAAATCACCACATAATAAAAACTTTAAGGGCTGCATTGGTGGGTTTTTAAAAAAAATTGTGAAGTGTTTTTAGTGTTATGTGCTGACAAATATTTTTGTAGTTGCTTTGACAAGCAATGAAACTACCAATTATCACTAATTCTGAGTCTTCCAATGAACCTCTGTGTCAAATTTTTAAATTTAATTATCCTATTTTTCTCCTAGAGAATAATATTGATATAATTTTGTGAACCATAGCAGACAGTTCCCATTGCTGAGAATAGAGCCTGGTGTGGGGATATTATGATTCTTGAATGGTTGAACAAGACATTTGCTTCTGAACATCTTAGTAAATTATCACTTCTGACAATGTCTGTAGTTTGAATTTTGATATTCTCTGCCAAGGTATTGAATACTCTAAATAATGTTGTTTATTCTATTATTTAAATCATTAGTATTATAGATCTAGCTTTAAACAGCTGCTGCACTCCAGTCCTTTTTCTTCACCTGCAGATATTGAGTCTGATAACTGTTTTGTATACATAGCCTTTCAGTAAATCTACTTATCAGTCATCAAATTAACTTAATTATAAGTTAAATGATGAGATGGACCAAGAGTGTTATTGAAATCTCATTTCCACACATTTCTTCTCTTCTTTTGTAGAAGGTAATGAAATGAACCTGTCAGTGTTCCTGTTTTTATGAAGTTTATTTCTCTTAGTACAGTGATTCTGATAGTGGGTTCTGCAGACCAGCAAATTAGCATTATCTGAGAACTTGTTAGAAAAGCAAATTTTCAGTTCCCACTTCAGGCTGACTAATTTAGAAACCCTGGGGTAGGGCTTAGCATTCTCTTTCAATAAATTCTCCAGGTGATTCTGATGTATGTTAAAGTTGAGAAGCATTCACTTAGTGTTTTGAGCTCTCCAATTTAGTTCCTTATAAATTGTTGAAGATATTTTTTCCAGATTTCTTTCCAAATATGTGCTCAACCTTGTTACTGATAGGTTTCAAGGTTATCGTCTTCTTCCCATTAATACCTTCATCTATATCCAATTTTCAAACTTTTAAGAAAGCATGGCTATTTTGCTGCAGTATGGTGAATTAGGTACTCTGACTGACCTTCCCAGATAAACAATTTAAAATTCTAGATAATTTTTTTTTGGAGGGAGGACAGGGTCTTGCTCCGTCACACAGGCCGGAGTGCAGTAGTGTGAACATGGCTGACTGCAACCTCGACCTGTTGGGCTCAAGCGATCCTCCCACCTCAACCTCCCGAGTAGCTGGGGCCACAGGTGCACACCACCATGTCCAGCAAATTTTTTTATTTTTTGTGCAGATGGGGTCTTGCCTTGTTGCACAGACTGGTCTCGAACTCCTGGGCTCAAGCAGTTTTTCCACCTGGGCCTCTCGAAGTGCTGGGATTACAGGTGTGAGTGACTGTGCCTGGCAGATGAAATATTTTTTAAGTAAAAACCTTATGTGCATGGAGATAGCTGGCTGAAAAGTAAGGAATAATCAGGCCAAAAACTATGTGAAGGTGAAAACCCAGAGATATAAGCCAAGTACTGCTGCCTTGAGGACATTATTTGCAAATGACATTACTTGGAAAACCTAGTTAACTTGTGCTTGTGCCTCAAGAAGCTCAGAGAACGGAAGATAAAAGTAGTTTTCTGGTAGAACGTCCCACCTCTCCTGGTAAAGATGGTACCCCAAGGGTCTATACATCATAATAAATGAGAACTAGTAATAAACGTACCTTGTCTAAGGATCGGAAAGAAAAATTTCCTGCCTCAAACTTTGGTGGTGATGGGAAGGGTACAGAAATTCCCTGAGAAGTTTTACCCACAAGCTGACCTTCATGCAGGTTTGAATCCTGATTTTATATTACCTGGATGGTATGAAAATCTTAAGCCAGTAATTAAATATAAAAGTGGTACAAGAGTGACGATGCCTTAAAATGCCTAAGAATGCCTAAAAAGCAGCAAATACAAAGCTTCTTGGGAGAACCCATCTTGATCTTAGGATTTAGAAAATTCCTAAACATAAAGCTGTAAGAAATATGAACTCACATTCACAAAATGCAGAAAGAAATAAGATGCAATGAATGAGAGGAAGCAGAAACAATAAAGAGCAGAATCAGAACCTGCAAAGAGTTCACATATTGGAGTTAGCAGACACAGATTATAAGTACATATATTTAATATGCTTATAGAAAAAAAGAAATTTAAAATAGGAATGAGGAGCAAGTATACAAAAATGACCAGTGTACAAATTTAATAACAGATTAGACACAGCTAAAGAAAGATTTAGTAAAGTGGATCTGAAAAAATTGCAGTATAGAGGCAAGAAAATGAAAAGTAATAAAAGAGTTAAGAGAATACAGAGGGTAGAATAAGAAGGTTCAGTCTAGTCAGAATTCTGGGGCAGGGGAGCAGGGGCATGGAAAAGAATGAGGCAGAGGCAGTATTTGAAGAGATAATGACAGAGAACTGATGAAAAACAACCTACAAATTTAGGAAGCTAAAGAATCCCAGAAAGGATAAAAAGAAAAAAAATTCACACATAAACATTTTTTAAAGAAACTACATGATACCATAGAGAGGTCTTAAAAGCTGTCAGAGGCTGGGCATGGTGGCTCACGCCTGTAATCCCAGCACTTTGGGAGCCCGAGGAGGGTGGATCACCTGAGGTCAGGAGTTCAAGACCAGCCTCAACGTGGAGAAACCCTGTCTCTACTGAAAATACAAAATTAGCCGGGCGTGGTGGTGCATGCCTGTAATCCCAGCTACTCAGGAGGCTGAGGCAGGAGAATTGCTTGAACCTGGGAGGTGGAGGTTGCAGTGAGCCGAGATCGTGCCATTGCATGCCAGCCTGGGCAACAAGAGCAAAACTCCATCTCAAAAAAAAAAAAAAGCTGTCAGAGAAAAAAGATATTACCTTCAACAAGTATTTGGCTGTCAGCTGTTTTCCTGTCTATAATAATGAAAGCCATAAGACAGGGAGTAATATTTTCCATATGCTTAGAGAAAATAATTGTCAACCAAGAATTGTATATCTTGTGAAGAATGGGGGCAAAATTAGACACTTTAAAACAGACAAACACTCAATGTTGTAACCATCAAACCTTCCCTACTAGTGGAAATTCAGATCAATTTCCTGAAGGCTAAAAAAAAAAAAAAAAAGTGACCACTGATGTAAAGTCTGAGATTTAAGAAGGATTGAAGAGTAAAGAATAATGGTAAATCTGTGGATATATTGAAATAAATATTGGCTTTATAAAATGATGTATGCGGAGGTTTTAAAAATAGAACTAAATAGGCCAGGTGTGGTGGCTCACGCCTGTAATCCCAGCACTTTGGGAGGCTGAGGTGGGCGGATCACCTGAGGTTATGAGTTGGAGATCAGCCTGACCAACATGGAGAAACCTCGTCTCTACTAAAAATACAAAAAAAAAAAAAAAAAATTAGCCGGGTGTGGTGGCGCATGCCTGTAATCCCAGCTACTCAGGAGGCTGAGGTAGGAGAATTGCTTGAACCTGGGAGGCAGAGGTTGCAGTGAGCCGAAATCACGCCATTGCACTCCAGCCTGGGCAACAAGAGCAAAACTCCGTCTCAAAAAAAAAAAAAAGAACTAAATATATGATAACAACATCCAAATCAAAAGAGTGGTTAAAGTATTTTATGATCTTTATACTGTTGAAGAGAAAGGTAAAGCTATTCAATTAACTTTAGATTTTGATAGGTATGTGTATTAGTATTTTCAGAGTAACTACTAAAATAATATAAATATTAGGAATAATTTATAGCAGAAAAAACAATTTTTAAAAGGCAAGGAAGAAGTGAAAAACATAGAAAAGGTCAGATAAAGAGGAAACAATAAAATATAGAAATCAAATCAAATATATGGTAGACTAAATGCTTCATTCAGACAAAGAATGTCAGATTGGATTATTTAAAAGCAAGCAGGCCGGGTGCAGTGGCTCACGCCTGTAATCCGAGCACTTTGAGAGGCTGAGACGGGTGGATCACTTGAGATCAGGAGTTCGAGACCACCCTGGCCAACACGGCCAGCTGGCCATGGCCAGCTAATACAAAAATTAGCTGGGTGTGGTGGTGCACACCTGTAATCCCAGGTACTTGGGAAGGTGAGGCAGGAGAATCACTTGAACCCAGGAGGCGGAGATTGCCGTAAGCCAAGATCATGCCACCGTACTCCAGCCTGGGCAACAGGGTGAGACTCTGTTTCAAAAATAAATAAATAAATAAATAAAAGCAAGCAAACAAACTTACTGAAACAACACAAAATCCAGCTATAATTTTCAAGAGAGATAGCTAATACATATGAATGTAGAAAGATAGAAAGCAAAAGGATGGAAAAAGTCTATCAGGCAAACTCTAACCAAAAGGGAGGTAAACTAACTATATTAGCATCAGACAATATGATCTTTCAGACAAAAGAGACAGCTAGAGATAGGTCCCTCAACAATGAGAAAAGGTTTATTTATCCATAAAGGTAAAAACAATTCCAAACTTGTGTGAACCTAATAATTGCCTCAATATACAAAGAACAAAATGACACAATTATAAGATGAAATAGACAAATCTACCATGGTGAGGAGTTTCAAAACTCCCTAATTGAAAAATTAAAAAGACAAAATGGTTACAGCTGAAAATTAAAATTAAAAATTCATTTTCTCGGTTGCAATAGCCATTTTTCAAGGGCTTACTAGTGACATGTGACAATGGCTGCTGTATTGGACAGCACAGAAAGTACTTTTGCACTGCATTAATTTAGAAGACTTAATATAATTAACAATATTAATAATTGAGTATTGAACACCACATCCAAGGTGCAGATCTCTGAATAATATCTGATCATAATGTGGGCAAGTTAGAAATTAATGACAAGAAAAGGCAGAAACATGGGAGACAGGTGAAGATTTCTTAAACAGAATATAAAAAGCACTAGATACAAAGGAAAAAAGTGATTAATTGGATTTCATCAAAAGACACTGACTTAGTTTGCTTAGGCTGCCATAACACAATACTATAGACTTGGTGGCTTAAACAAAAGAAATGTATTTTCTCACGGTTCTGGAAGCTGGAAGTTTGGGACCGGGGTGCCAGTATGACTGCGTTTTGGTGAGCACTGTCTTCGTGACTTGCACACAGGCTTCTTGCCACGTGTCTGTGTGGCGGAGAGACAGCAAGATCTCACCATCTCTCTTCCTTTTCTTATAAGGCCACAGTCTTGTCAGATTAGGGCCCTTCGCTTATGACCTAATTTAGCCTCAATTATCTCCCAAAGTCCCTATCTCCAAAATAGTTGGGGTGGGGGAAGCGCCTTGACTAATGAATTTTGTTGGGGGCAGTGGGGAGTGCACATTTCACTCCATAGTAGACACCATTGAGGAGAAAGACCAGAGTGGAAGAAGGTATTTGAAATACATGTATTTGACAGCCAGGCACGGTGGCCCACACCTGTAATCCCAGCACTTTGGGAGGCCGAGCCGGGCGGATCACGAGGTCAGGAGATCGAGACCATCCTGGCTAACACAGTGAAACCCCGTCTCTACTAAAAATACAAAAAATTAGCCAGGCGTGGTGGCGGGTGCCTGTAGTCCTAGCTACTTGGGAGGCTGAGGCAGGAGAATGGTGTGAACCCAGGAGGCGGAGCTTGCAGTGAGCCGAGATTGCGTCACTGCACTCCAGCCTGGGCGACAGAGCAAGACTCTGTCTCAAAAAAAGAAAAGAAAAAAAGAAATACATGTATTTGACAAGGACTTGTACCTGGAATATATAAAGAACTACAAATCAAGAATAAAAAGAAAGGACAGAAAGCCAATGGAAAAATGAACAAAGGATTCAAACAGGGATTTCACAAAGAACTTACCTGTAACGTATGTTAAATGCTCAACCTCATTAGTCATCAGAGAAATACAAGTTAAAACCTCAGGGAGATATTACTACACACCCACCAGAAAGTTAAATTAAGAACACATTTGTCATGACAATTCTGGGTTTGATTTTGTTTTGTTTTTTGAGATGGAGTCTTGCTCTTGTCGCCCAGGCTGGAGTGCAGTGGCATAATCCCAGCTTGTTGCAACCTCTGCCTCCTGGGTTCAAGTGATTCTCCTGCCTCATCCTCCCGAGTAGCTGGGATTATGGGCACCCACCACCACGCCTGGCTAATTTTTGTATTTTAGTAGAGATGGGGTTTTGCCATGTTGGCCAGGCTAGTCTTGAACTCCTGATCTCAAGCGATCCACCTGCCTTGGCCTCCCAAAGTGCTGGGATTACAGGCATGAGCCCACGCACCTGGCCTGTCATGACAATTCTAAGTGGTGATGAGGATGTGCAGCAGCTGGAACTGATGAAAATGCATGAGCACAACCTCTTTGGAAAACTAGCAGAATTCCCTAAAACTGAATGTAGGCATGATGCCCATGACCCAGCACTTATAGTCCTGGGGGTGGGAGGAGTGAATATATTTCTATTCATGATTTCTATCTCTGATGACAGAAATTAAGCTAGTGGGTATCTGTGGTTGAGTAGAAGGATAGTGACTAGGAGCGGGCAGTATGAGATGCTGGTAATGTCCTCTTGACCTAACTGTTGGTTACCCTGGGTGTGTTCACTTGTAGAAATTCATTGAGCCAAACACGTACAATGTATGCATTTTTGTGTATATATGTTCTTCTTCAATAAAAACTTGATTTAAATAATGTTCTTTTTCTTAAACTGGGTAGTAGGTTTATGGTGTTTTATGTGTTGCCTGTGTTTTATACATATTTTATTCCTGTTCAGTGTCCAAAAAATATAAAAAGTAGTCACTGCTTTGTTGTTAATTTGAGCATCTCCTGCACCTAGCACAGTGCCTGGCACATTATAGATATTTATTAAATATTTGTTCTATGGAAAAGAAGTAGGCTAGTAATTTCTTTTTGCTTTCCAACAGCCAGTTTTTGATTCAATTATTTGTAAATATGATTTCTACTCAGTTGTTTCTAAATAATAAAATATGTAAATACTATTATGTTTATATTTATTAGTAAGCTGAATTTATTAAATGAGAAACCTCTCAATATTAAGGACACATCATAAATTATTAGCATGCTGTGTTATAATGACTAAAAGTAGTATCAACAATTTAGATAAGTATAGTGTGGCCTTACGGATGTAAGTCCGTAAGATCATGCAGCATTGAAGATGTGCAGTTTACTAGATCTTCTAATATTCTCGGGTGTCTCACTGTTTCTTTTTTCTTTTTTTTTTTTTTTTGAGATAGGGTATCACTTTGTCACCCAGTCTGGAATGCAGTGGCGTGATCAGGGCTCACTGTAGCCTTGACCTCCTGGGCTCAAACCTCTCACCTTAGCCCCCTGAATAACGGGGATTACTGATTTGTGCCACCAAGCCAGGCTAATTTATTTTCTTTCTTTCTCTCTTTCTTTCTTTCTTTCTCTCTCTCTCTTTCTTTCTCTCTTTCTTTCTTTCTTTCTTTCTTTCTTTCTTTCTTTCTTTCCTTTCTTTCTTTCCTTCTTTCTTTCTTTTCTCTCTTTCTCTCTCTCTCTCTCTCTCTCTCTCTTCCTTTCTTCCTTTCTTTTTGTAGAGTTTGGGTCTCACTATATTGCCCAGGCTGGTCTTGAACTCCTGGCCTCAAATGATTCTCCCTCCTTGGCCTCCCAAAGTGTTGAGATTATAGTTTTCAGCCACCGCACCCAGCCTCACTGTTTTCTTCAGTTGTTTCTGAACAACTGGAATCTCAGCTGTCTTTTTCCATTAAATCCCGTGTTCGTTCCTCCATACCATGCTGCCTCTTGCCCATTTTTGCATTTCTCCTTTCTGCTTTCCTGAACATCCTGAGTCTTACTGGGCTGGCATTCCCTTGTTGGGACAGGGGAGAGGCTCTAGGCCTTGGATCCTTGTTCTGATTCCTTCTCCAAAGAGTTTTCCCTTTTTCTTCCCCTTTCAAAACAACATAAGTGCAAAAGCTTTGTCAGGATGTTGGGAATTAAAAAAGCTTCAGAAACATTTTGATTCATTTAACAACATTACTCTGAAACTTTTTAGAGTAAGAGTACCAAGTCACTGAATAAGACGATCTTGAAATTAAACGATATTTTACAGTTTTAAAAACACCTTCACAGATCTTTTCTTATTAGATTCTCAGCACAACCTTATGAGTTGGCACTGTCAAAATTCAGTTCAACAAACAAAATCCAACTAACAGGAAAACTCACAGCTAACATCATACTTAATGGTTGAAGACTGAAAGCTTTCCCCCTTAAGATCAGAACAAGACAAGGATGCTCTTGCCACTCCTATTCAACACTCTATTGGTGGTTCTAGGTGGGGCAGTTAAGCAGGAAAAAGAAAATACATTTATATCAGAAAGAAATAAAACTATATTTACCGATGACATGATCTTACATGTAGAAAAATCCTACAGAATTTACCAAAAAAAATTGGAACTAATAAATGAGTTCAGCAAAGTTGCAGGATACAAGATTATTATCTAAAAATCAGTTGCATTCCTATATGCTAGCTATGGATAATCTGAAAATGAAATAGAAAAAATTCCATTTATAATAACATCAGAAAGAATAAAATACTTATGAATAAAGTTAACCAAAGAAGTACACTAAAAAGTACACTAAAAAACAGAAAACATGTTGAAGGAAATTAGAGATCTAAATAAATTGAAAGACGTCCTGTGTTCATGGCTTGGAAGACTTAATATTGTTAAGATGACAGTGCTACCCAGATTTATCTACAGGTTTAATGCAATCACTATCACAGTTCAACTGCCTTTTTCCCGGAAATGGACAACCTGATCTTATAATTCATATGGAATTGCAGAGCCATATTTGCCACAACAGTCTTGAAAAAAAGAGAACAAAATTGTAGGACTCATACTTCCTGATTTCAAAACTTATTACAAAACTACAGTAATCCAGATGGCATGTCACTGGCATGAGGAGAGTCTTGTAAACCAATGGAATGCAATTTAGAGTCCAGAAATAAACCCATACATTTATGGTCAGTTGATTTTGACCAGGGCGCCAAGATCATTAACTGGGGAAAGAATAATCTTTTCAACAAATGTTGCTGGGGCAACTGGATATCTACATGTAAAAAAATAAATTTGGATCCCTGCCTCACATCACATAGGAAAATTAACTCAGAATGGATCAAAGACCTAAACCTGTTAAGTTCTTCGAAGGAAACATAGGTGAAAATCTGTATGACCTTGGATTAAATGGTGATTTTTAAAGATATAACACAAAAACACAAGCAGTGAAAGAAAAAGGTAGATAAACTGGACTTTGTTAAAGTTAAAAACTTTCATGCATCAAAGGACACTGTAGAATGAAGACAACTCACAGAATGGGGGAAAATATTTGCAAATTATATCTCTGATAAGTATATATATTTTATATATATGTTGTTTATATCCAGAATATGCAAAGAACCCTTTCAACTCAACAAAGATAAGACAATGGAATTTAAAAATGGGCAAAGCATTTGAATAGAATAGACATTTCTCCAAAGAAGATGTACAAATGACCTATAAGCACATGACAAGATCTTCAACATCATAGTCCATAGGGAATTACAAATCAAAACCACAATGAGAGATAACACTTTACACCCTCTAGGATGGTCATACTTTTTTTTTTTTTTTTTTAAAGACAGTAACAAGTTTTGATAAGGAAGTAGAGAAATTGGAGCCCTCATTGCTGATGGGAATGTAAAATGATGCAGCTACTGCACAAAAGTTTTGCAGTTCCTTAAAAAACTAAACATAGAATAACTCAGCAATTCTACTCCTGGGTATAGACCCAAGATAATTGAAAACATATGTTCATACATTAACTTGTACATACATTAACATGTGGCATTATTCATAGTTGCCAAAAAGTGGAAGCAACCCAAATGTCCATCAGCTGATGAAATGATAAATACAATGTGGTATATCCATACAATGAAATCTTATCCAGCTGTAAAAAGGAATGAAGAAGCCAGGTGCAGTAGCTCACAACTGTAATCCCATTGCTTTAGGAGGCCACGATGGGAGGATTGCTTAAGGCCAGGAGTTCAAGATTGGCCTGGGCAACATAGACCCAGTCTCTACAAAATAAATAAATAAAAAGAATGAAATACTATTACGTGCCACAACATGAACCTTGGAAACATTATGCTAGGTGAAAATCCAGTCACCAAGATGACGAATTGTATGATTCTGCTTACGTGAAATGTCCACAATAAGCAAATTCATAGAGACAGAAAGTAGATTAGTGGTTGAGAAGGAGTGAGAGAAGGGATGAATTGAGATTAACGGCTAGTAGGGACAGAGTTTCTTTTTGGGGTGATGGGACTGTTCTGGAATTAGATAGTGATTATGGTTGTACAACATAGTAAATATACTAAAAACCACTCAAAGGCTGGGTGCAGTGGCTCATGCCTATAACCCCAACACTTTGGGAGACTGAGGCGGGAAGATTGCTTGAGGCCAAGAGGTCAAGACCAGCCTGGGCAACACAGCAAGACCTTGTTTCTACAAAAAAAAAAAAAATTGTTTTAATTACCTGGGTATGGTGGTGTGTGCCTGTAGTCCCAGCTACTTTGGAGGCTGAGGTGGGAAGATCACTTGAGCCTGTGAATTTGAGGTTACAGTGAGCTGTGATTGTGCCACTGTGATCCAGCCTGAGTGATAGAGCATGACCCTGTCTCTCAAAACAAAACCCTCCAAAAAACAAAAACCACCCAAGTATACATTTTAAATGATTAATTTTATGTGAAATATATCAGCTGGGCGTGGTGGTTCACACCTGTAATCCCAGCATTTTGGGAGGCAGAGGTGGGCGGATCACGAGGTCAGGAGATGGAGACCATCCTGGCTAACATGGTGAAACCCCGTCTCTACTAAAAATACAAAAAATTAGCCAGGCATGGTGGCACATGCCTGTAGTCCCAACTACTCAGGAGGCTGAGGCAGGAGAATTGCTTGAACCCGGGAGGCAGAGGTTAAAGCAAGCCGAGATCATGCCACTGCACTCCAGCCTGGGCGACAGAACGAGACTCTGTCTTTAAAAAAAAAAAAAAAAAAATCTCAAAAACGGCAATGAGAACTCAATTAATATTTATCATACTGTATATTCCCTGAGTGGTGCAGGAGAATCAGAGCTTAGAATCTTGTGAGGAAGGCATGGTACTTAAATAAGTCTAGTGTAAGGCAGCTTGTAATAAGTAGTACTAAGACTGCTGAAGAAGCACAAATAAAGGAGATATTCTATCTTACTAGGAACCAGGGAGTTTCACAAACTTGGCTTTGCAAGGTGGGAAAGATTTTCACAGGTGGAAGGGGTTTGAAATAGGGAATTCAGTCAAAAGGAATAGTGTGAGTGAAGGAATGGAGTTTGGAATGTGGGGTACATGGGGTTGGGGTGGGGTATTGAGGTAGATGACGCAGAAAAATAAGTTAAAGATAGATCTTGCATAGGTGGCTGTGAGTAGCATGCTAAGGAGTTTGGGCTTTATTACTTATGAATCATATTTTTGGTTTCAGGTCATGTCTGGTGGCAGAGGGAAGGCTGAATTGGAGGAGAACAAAAGCTAGAACCAGGGACAACAATTATTACCATTGTAGTTTTTTAGGAGAGGTGATATGGCTGAACTAGGTTATGGTTGTGAGGCTGGAAGGGAGGCACATCCACGTGACAGTGCAGTAGACTTAGTAGACTCTTGATTGTTTATGTGTGCATTCCAGGGATAGGCAGTGAAGGGAAGAATGACCCTGAAATCTTGAATTTAATGACTTGAAAGGATAATGATGGTATTAACAGATGAGGAACATAGCAAGACAAACAAATGAAAAAGTGAATACTGAGGAGAAGGAGGTACCACTGAATTTGGCATTTAGTCATTGGTGATTTTGAAGACAGCAGTTACAGTAAAGTGGCTGCTGGAAAGGATTTCAAAGAATGGTTGAAGAAGATAGCCATAGGATGAGAACATGGAAGGCAAGGAAGGGAGACTTGAGAGATTTGGTAATAAAGAGAAGAGAGAAAAGGGTGCTAGTTTGAAATGAGTTAAAAGAACTACAGAGTAGAATTAAAATAAAGTAGAATTATGGGATTTTTGCTTTTTAAGTGACCCATGAGAGGCTTACTGGCAGTGTGCCAAGATTCAAGAGAGCAAAGATTGGCAGGGTGGGATTAAGTGATGGGATAGCCGGGTGCAGTGGCTCATGCCTGTAATCCCAGCACTTTGGGAGGCTGAGGTGGGTGGATCACTTGAGGTCAGGAATTCGAGATCAGCCTGGCCAACATGGTGAAACCTGTCTCTACAAAAAATACAAAAATTAGCCGGGTGTGGTGGTGGTTGCCTGTAATCCCAGCTATTTGGGAGGCTGAGGCAGGAGAATTGTTTGAACCTGGGAGGTGGAGGTTGCAGTGAGCCAAGATCGAGCCACTGCACTAACTCCAGCATGGGTGACAGAGTGAGACTCCATCTCAAAAAAGAGAAAACAAAAAACAAAAAAAAACGACGGTAGGGAGCCTTCTGCCTCTTTAAACATTTGAGATGCATGTCCTGAGATGCTTCTGTGAAGTTAAGAATATTAATTTTTTGATACGAATCTGACAAAACTAGACATCAAAATATGCCATATATGGTAATTAAAACAATGTGGTATTAGTATAGAAAGCAGACAAATAGTTAATGAAGTAGAACAACCAACCCAGAAATAGAACCAGATACACCTGAAAACTTCATATATGAGGTTTAAAATCAGTGTGGAAAGCTGGAAATCACCCATAGTTTCGTTATCCAGTCAGTTGTTTTTCACATTTTGGTGTGTTTCCATTTAGTTGGTTTGCCATACTTTTTTAAAAATAATGCTTTAAGGCTGAGCGTGGTGGCTCACACTTGTAGTCTGAAGCAGGCAGATCACTTGAGGTCAGGAGTTCGAGACCAGCCTGGCCAATCTGATGAAACCCCATCTCTACAAAAAATACAAAAATTAGCCTGGTGTGGTGGTGCTTGCCTGTAGCCTCAGCTACTTGGGAGACTGAGGTGGGAAGATGGCTTGAGCCAGGGAAGCAAAGGTTGCAGTGTGCTGAGATGGCGCCACTGCACTCCAGCCTGGGTGATAAAGCCAGACCTTGCCTCACAAAAAAAAAAAAAAAATGCTGTAAAGTAAAAGTTCTGTATACAATTCTGTGATATGAACCCTACCTTAGTGTGTTATGAGGATTTTGATCCTTATATGATATGATATATATAATCAAGTGCGGGTACGTTGTAGTTTACAGAACCATTACTTTGAAACAAGACCTTTAGGTTACTCCTAATTCATCACTGTTAAAATAATGCTGTAGGGAAAAAATTACACATAAAAGTTTTCTATATTTAAAATGATTTTTGTGAGACAAAGTTTATTTATTGTAAAAACAGTTCCAGCAGTTCAGAATTGTAAAGAGTTTTACAGAATTGTAAAGAGTTCAGAATTGTAAAGACATTTTCTTGTCTTTCTCCTTGGTGGTAACCACTGTTAACAGTTTAGTGTGTATCTTTTTTTTAAGTTTAGTTTTTATTTTTTTGTAGAGACAGGGTCTTGCTTTGTTGCCCAGGC
The DNA here is from genome assembly GCF_000001405.40 of Homo sapiens. Taxonomy (NCBI): domain Eukaryota; kingdom Metazoa; phylum Chordata; class Mammalia; order Primates; family Hominidae; genus Homo; species Homo sapiens. Next base: position 46,398,588 of record NC_000017.11, read on the forward strand.
TGGGGTGCAGTGGTGTGATCATAGCTCACTGCAGCCTCATACTCCTGGGCTCAAGCAGTCCTCCCACCTCAGCCTCCCAAGTAGTTGGGACTACCGGCATGTACCACCACGCCTGGCTAATTTCTGTATCTTTTGTAGAGACAGGGTTTCACCATGTTGCCCAGGCTGGTCTGGAACTCCTGGGCTCAGGCGATCCCCCTGCCTCGGCCTCCCAAAGTGTTGGGATTACAGGCATGAGCCACTGCACCTGGACTAGTTTCTTTTTAATTTCTGAGTAGTAGTCAATTGTATGGCTCTCCTATAATTTCTTCATTCATTCATCTTTTGGTAGACATTCATGTTGTTTCCATTTTTAGGCTATTATGAGTACAGCTGTTGTGATCATTTGTGTGCGAGTCTTTGTGTGGATATATTTTCATTTCTTTTGACTAAAAACCTAGGGGTGCACTTGTTGGGTCACATTAACTTTGTAGAAACTGCATTGCATCTTTGCCGATATTGAAAGTTGTCAGCCTTTTATATTTTTCTGTGCATGCTTTTCCCCCCAAAAGACCAAAATGGGAATTGTTTTTCTTTTCATTATAAACTTGTAAAGGAATTTTAAAGTTCTAAGGGATGCCAGGCAGGAGGTTCATCTATGTGAACAGTTATTAGTTTGAGATAGATAATGTCAAGGATATCCCTAAAGGCTTTTCAAGAGATAACTATAGGACATATAAGTTTAACTTATTTCTACCCCATCACTTCTAGTCACATGTGACTTCAGAATTTTAACAGAAATTATTATTATAGGAATATGTAGCACAGAGGGATTCCATAGGCCTGAAGATTAGTACTGATGGCCTTTCTTGCATTATTCTAGGCTAGTGCTATCCGATGAAACTTTCTGCAGTGATAACCACTAGCCACAGGTGGCTTTTGAAACGTAGGGCTAGTTCAACTGAAGAATTGAATTTAACTTTAAATTAATTTGAATAGTGAAATATGTCTAGTGATTACCGAACAGTGTAGTTCTGAAATGTTATTTTTCAGGAAAGATCCTCTAGCAAGAAGTAGTTGAGTGAGACCTGTTAGCTGAGCTGGCCCTGGGGCAGGTTTGTGTTTTCAGTCCTTCCCTTTCCTGTGGGAGAAATGAAACCAAAGCCTAGAGCACCACAGAAGAAGAACCAGTGGATTCATAAGGGTGACAGTTCAGGTAGGGGAAGCTGTTTGGTAATGAGCTCTTTTGGTCAGATGCCACACTATTTTTCTTTCTGTTTATTTTGCCCTATTAAATTATTTAGTAAATAGTAAAGCGTACTTTAATCCAGTTTTTAAAGTGGACGTTTGGATGAAAGTATGTGATTTAAATTCCAAAACTGTGCAGTGTTGTCCAGAAGAGTCCTGATTAAATCACCCCAGTTTCTTTGATGAAGATAAGCAAATAATTTTATTTTTTGCTGTAATCCCAGCTACTCGGAAGGCTGAGGCAGGAGAATCGCTTGTACCAGTCCGGAGGCTGCTGCCCTCTCACAGGGCTTCCTCCTCTTGCACAGACGCACCAGTGCCTTCAGCCCCACTGGTCTCCCTCTTCTCCTTTCCTGGCCCCTGCTGGCCCAGTAGATGGGCCACTGGAGGCCACTAGATGGGGACTGGGGAATGTGATGTTGGCGATCTGCGGTATCTTCAGGGTGACAGCCATACCCAACGCGTGGGACCTGGCTTCCACATCTATAGACCTGACCTAAGGAAATATGTGGGCGTGTGCATAAGGATGCCATCTCAGAACTGCATATTAATAAAAAGCTGAATCAAACAGTGTCCAACAAGGGTGGCTGTTCCAGCTGGTCATCTACAATCTCAGCTCACTGCAACCTCCGCCTCCTGGGTTCAAGCAATTCTGCCTTAGCCTCCCGAGTAGCTGGGACTACAGGCACACACCGCCACACCCGGCTAATTTTTTGTATTTTAGTAGAGATGGGGTTTCACCATGTTGCCCATGCTGGTCTTGAACTCCTGAGCTCAGGCAGTCCTCCCACCTTGGCCTCCCAAAGTGCTGAGATTATAGGCGTGAGCCACCGCACCTAGCCTGTACTTTCATTTCTTAATAACTGCATGACTGTAGTGGTTGGCTTTCATTATTGTTTCCTAGGGGCAAGGTCAATGTTAGAAAAATTGTGGAATTTTCCCTTGGCATTGCTGTGGTGAGTAGACAGCTACTATTTATAGAGACTTATACTTCGTTGAAAAAATGAGATACCATGCTTGGCTTACCATAAAAACACAGATGTTTCTGGATTCCAGTAGGGAGGCCTTTTGTTCACAGCATCTGTTTTGGTTGGCCAGCCAGATGACTTCTGTGGATTTTTTCACTCCTTTTGAAGGACACTTGACAAATAAACAAGTTTATAAATGAAAGAGTTAACAGCATTTTGTAAATTTATTTTATTACTTTAGCTATATCGTTCTGTATATTTTGAACTATCAGATCATTTTAGCTCAATTTTATCACTTCCTAAATAACCTTGAGACGATCAGTCCTTTGTTACATGTTCTTTGGATTGTTTATTCTGCAGTTGAGACAGATTTTTATTGATCTATAAATTTTTGTGTTCAACAAACATTTAATGAGTATTCACTGTGTACTAGGCCCTGTACTAACACTGGGAACTACATATGTGAGCAAGATATAGTCTCAGTCTTTGAGAAGTTTAGTGTCTTATATGCAGTGCAAACATGTAGACAGAATAAAATTATAGTTGAGTGCTTCCATTTGAAGTTTATTTCATCAGTTTAGTGGGGAGGGGTAGGTGTCTAGGAATGCCTTCCAGAAAAAGTAGTGTCTAAGTGGAGAATTGTAGAATGAGTGGGAGTTGTCCAGGGATGGAACAGGGGTTAGTGGCGGAGATTATATAAAAGAAAGAAGCTTGCAGGTGAAAATGACCCTGGGAAAGTGGGAAACTGAAAAAGTTCAGTACATTTCTGTCATATGGCTGATCAAGCTGTGACTGGGCAAAATGCTGTCAGCATTTGTTGAACACATAAATGCTGTCTCATTCACAAAGGAGACTTGTGACCTAGACTTTATTCATCTTGTGCTAAATTAGTGATTTCCAAACATTTGATCATGAATCTCATAAGTAAAAAATGTTTTGATTATGTATCCTCATATATTGATTATATGCCAATATTTGTTTATAGATGATATGTAGTACTAAAAGTTATATACGCAGTAGAACATGTATAGAAAACAAAAAAAATTAAAAGGATGAGCTAAAGATGGCATGTACAATATTCTCACAGTGTTAATTTTACTGAAAATACGGAAAGTAGGCTGGGTGCAGTGGCTCACGCCTGTAATCCCAGCACTTTGGGAGGCTGAGGGAGGCAGATCACTTGAGGTCAGGAGTTTGAGACAAGCCTGACCAATATAGCGAAATCCCATCTCTACTAAAAAATACAAAAATTAGCTGGGCATGGTGGCACACGCCCGTAATCCCAGCTACTCGGGAGGGTAAGGCAGGAGAATTGCTTGAACCCGGGAGGCGGAGGTTACAATGAGCCGAGATCATGCCACTGTACTCCATCCTGGGCGACAGAGCAAGACTCCATCTAAAAAAAAAAAAAAAAAAAAAAAACCCAGAAAGTAAAGTGGTACATCATTATTTAAAATCTTCGTTTAATATTATGTGATACAGCTGCTCAGAGGGCTGTTTCTAAATTCAGTTTATTTTGATACTTTAATGGCAGTCAAAGCCTGGATCAAAATGGAAGAATTTGGCTGCACTTTCTAAATCATATTCTTTCTTTCTCCAAACTTATTCACTATTTATGGAAATGCTTTATTGAAATGTGGCTGGTAAATATCCATCTATTAGTTTTTCTTGCAGATTAATAAAAATATATTATACTTTTATTGTGTTAATAAATGGGTTCCAAAAATCACTGTTAAGTCTTCATTTGGAAGATATTTTAAAAAGTTTTAGAATATTCTGTTTCTGACTTTATAAAGCATGAAGATACGAGTTTTTGGTGTCTTTATTTTTTAGATTTTGTATATATTGTTTCAACAGCAGAATAACTTAGCAATGGAAATGTTTCCAATTATCCAATTTTGAAATGCTCTATTAGGAAAGATTTTTTTTTCTCTCGCTCTCTTTTTTTTTTTTTTTTTTTTTTTTTTTAAAGATGAAGCCTCTCTCTTGTCCCCAAGGCTGGAGTACAATGGTGCCATCTTGGCTCACTGTAACCTCCGCCTACTGGGTTCAAGCGATTCTCCTGCCTCAGCCTCCCGAGTAGCTGGGATTACAGGTGCCCGCCACCACGCCCGGCTAATTTTTGTATTTTAAGTAGAGATGGGGTTTCACCATGTTGGCCAGGCTAGTCTCAAACTCCTGACCTTAGGTGATCCGCCTGCCTCATTCTCCCAGAGTGCTGGGATTACAGGCGTGAGCCACTGCACCCGGCCGATTTTTTTCTCTTTTTCTTTTTTCTGGAAAAGCTGAAAATAATTCTGACATGTTGCTAAACATTTTTATTTTGTAGGGGCAGAGTGAGTTTTTTTGTTTTTTTAATATCTTCTTGGTAGCATACTACTTATAACCTCCTCAGAAATATTTAGCAAGTTTGGAACTCTAGTCTTTTTATTTTAAAAAAATTGTGTAACTCATCTACATTTAACAAATCTTTTAAATACATTTCTTGTGGTAACTAGTGAATCTGTGTGGATTTAAAAACAAAAAAAAGATTATGAGGCCAAGGCAGGTGGATCACTTGAGGCCAGGAGTTTGAGACCAGCCTGGCCAACATGGTGAAACCCCATCTCTACTAAAAATACAAAAATTAGTCAGAAGTGGTGGTACACAACTGTAGTCCCAGCTACTCTGAGCTGAGAATGCGCCACTGCATTCAATTCTGGGCGACAGAGCAAGACTATCTCTCAAAAAAAAAAAAAAAAAAAAAATTCAGTGGCTACTCTCTATCTCCCAGAGTATAGGAAGATTCTATATTCATACAGTTAACCTCAGTGACATCTGAGGTACCTTGTTCTGACTTAATTGCAGCAATAGTTTACCTGTGAATGAAGCTGTTAAAGGCTTTTGTATCAGATGCTATCACTGTAACTTTGTTCTGGAATTTTTTTTTTTTTTGAGATAGGGTCTCGCTCTGTTGCCCAGACTGGAGTACAGTGACACGATCTCAGCTCACTGCAAGCTCCGCCTCCCGGGCTCACGCCTTTCTCCTGCCTCAGCCTCCCAAGTAGCTGGGACTACAGGTGCCCGCCACAACGCCTGGCTAATTTTTTGTTATTTTTTAGTAGAGACGGGGCTTCACCGTGTTAGCCAGCATGGTCTCGATCTCCTGACCTCATGATCCACCCACCTCGGCCTCCCAAAGTGCTGGGATTACAGGTGTGAGCCACCGCAGCTGGCCAGAATTCTTTTTTAAAATTCCAGTCAAAGCAGTCATTTCATCAGTGGTTACAGTTTTCCCATAAAGCACCTTGTTTCATTTACAGTTAAGAATACCTCCCTTTTAATACATTGTTCCTTGGTATCTTACAAAGTTGTATTTCCTGTATATTTCATAATTACCCAGCAAATACCCTAAGATGAAAGAATCATCTGTATTTTTATCCAATTGTATAGCAAACCCCACACACTGTATTTGTCCTGATATCTTCAAGTCTTTAGGGTTTTCTAAGAGCTTTTGACTATACTTACCAATAAAAGAATACATTTAGTTTGTCACCACTTTTATTTCTGTGTATAATTTCAGCTATGGTCCTTGGCTTTTTTTAGGGAAACCTTAGCAGTTTCGACACTAACTTTCGTACAATTTTGTGAAGTGTCACATTAAATAGCCTGTGACTTTAGACATAGGTGGAAAAATTATAGACGTTTAACTCTTGCAGTGAACACTTAAAAGCCTGGTGGATTATGAGGACTTTGTTCGTGCCATCAGATTATATCTTAAGGTAGAGTAGACATGTAGAGTGAGGTTCATCTTTAATAAAAAATGGGCTGGGTGCAGTGGCTCACACCTGTAATCTCAGCACTTTGGGAGACCGAGGTGGGTGGATCACAAGGTCAGGAGATCGAGACCATCCTGGCTAACACGGTGAAACCCTGTCTCTGATGAAAATACAAAAAAATTAGCCGGGCGTGGTGGTGGGTACCTGTAGTCCCAGCTACTTGGGAGGCTGAGGCAGGAGAATAGCGTGAACCCGGGAGGCGGAGCTTGCAGTAAGCCGATATCGCACCAGGGCAGTCCAGCCTGGGTGACAGAGTGAGACTCTGTCTCAAACAAATTAAAATAAATAAATAAATAAATAAATAAATAAATAAATGGTGTGGCTGGACGCAGTGGCTCACGCCTGTAATCCTAGCACTTTGGGAGGCCGAGGCGGGCGGATTGCCTGAGCTCAGGAGTTCGAGACCAGCCTGGGCAACGTGATGAAACCCCCGACTCTACCAAAAATTCAAAAATTAGCTGGAGCATGCCTGTAACCCAGCTACTTGGGATGCTGAGGCATGAGAATCGCTTGAACCAGGGAGGCAGAGATTGCAGTGAGCTGAGATCCACCATTGCACTCCAGCCTGGGCAACAGAGAGAGACTGTGTCAAAAAACAAAACAACACATAAATAAGAAATTGTGTGAAGTCAATATAAATACCAGTACTAATATTTTATTTTTATACCCCAAAGGATTATCGTATAATACAAACACCCTTCAAGTACACATATCCCACTTTGGAGACTAATGCCCTAAACAACAGGGATAATGATATTGAAACTGGCCTTTTAGTTAAAATAAAAGCAAAGCCAAAAATAATTCACTTTCCTCTATAAATTTATATTTGGGAGACACATTTAAGAATAATCGTCCTGGCCAGGTGCAGTGGTTCATGCCTGTAATCCCAGCACTTTGGGAGGCCAAGGTGGGCGGATCGTGAGGTCAGGAGATCAAGACCATCCTGGCTAACACGGTGAAACCCTGACTCTACTAAAAATACAAAAAATTAGCTGGGTATGGTGGCGGGCACCTGTAGTCCCAGCTACTCAGGAGGCTGAGGCAGGAGAATGACATGAACCCGGGAGGCGGAGCTTGCAGTGAGCCGAGATCACGCCACTGCACTCCAGCCTGGGTGACAGAGTGAGACTCCATCTCAAAAAAAAAAAAAAAAAAAAAATCAGCTTTGGCTTGAGGTTTGAAGAATGAACCCTTCAGTCATAGACTATGACTACCTGTCATAGCTCACTAGGAAACCCTAGGGAATCATGGAAGGGTTATTGGTTAAATATATTATATAAAGGAACATTTTGCTAGTTGCTATTGACCAAAAAGGCTGTTTTTTTTTTTTTAAATATAGTCTGTAATTATTTTTGTTGAAAGATATTTGGAAGATGGTTTTTCTCAATCTATAGGAGATACAGTTCGTAGCCACCTGGGATCTCTTATAAAAAGATACTTTTTCATAGTATACTCTTTATAATATGCATAACATTTCATAATATACTTTTGATAATATACATAAAATTTGATACATAAGTTTACCAAATTTATTGAATTTACTTCAGTGCATTTTTATTAGTCAAGATTCTTTGGAAGATATGGAAAGCTAATTCAAAAAAGCTTGAGCAAAAAAAATTTGTTGGCTCGTAACTAATGTTCAGGACTGGTCTCAAGAACTTGGTTGCCAGATCTGTGTTTCCAGGTTATCTATTAGCTTGTCTGTGTCTCTGTGATAGTTTTACCCTTTTAGAGTGGAAAATCTTCCTCCTTGTGGTGCTCTGGCTTGCAGAAGAATGCCTTTGGTCTAGCGCCAGCATATATAAAATCCTGTGGGTGGGATAGAGTAGATGTGGTTGCATGTGTGCTGACTGGCAGTCTCACTAAACCACATGGAATGGGAAAGGAACAGTTTCCCAAAGGAAGGGTTTGCTCTTAATGCAGAGGAAGGGATGCTGGGAGTCAAAAATAATAGATGTTCATTATAGCAATGAGTGATGAAGAGAGGACAGAAAGGCATAAAATATTCTTTAAGGGAATAGAACATGACTTAATTTGATTTTCCTAATCATTGATTCTTACAGAGCATGCAAGCGGCAAGATGTCCTACAGATGAATTATCTTTAACCAATTGTGCAGTTGTGAATGAAAAGGATTTCCAGTCTGGCCAGTGAGTATCTGACTTTGTTTTCTTTTAACCTGCTAAGTGGCATTCGGGAAACTTCCAGAGAGTCATTTTTAGGAAACGTTGGAAAATATTTTTAAAAAATTCTTGCTGAGTTGGAAAATGGAGAAGATGAGAAAAAGTTATGTATTTGAATCATTACTGTGTCAAACTTTGATAAATACTGTATAATGTTTTAAAAATGTTTTATGTATAAAACTCTAGTTTTCATCAGTTTTCTTAGTAGAGCTAAACATACTGGTTGTATGAATCATATATGGCAGAGTTGTTAGGTGTTTGGTTCTGGCAAACTCAGATTGTTTGAGTTTTCCTGGCTCTACCAATTACAAACTGTGTGACCATTTCTGTACCTCTATGTCCTGATCTGTAAAATGGAGATGATCTCTTCCTCAAGGTAGCTATGAAGATTGAGTTACATAAATAAAGCACTTAGAACAGTTCCCAACATGTTAACAATCCCTTAGTAAATATTAGCTGTTATGATTATTATTACCATGATAATCCAAGAGACATGAACATTGGAAGATGGGCTGGGTATGGAGGCTTACGCCTGTAATCCTAGTACTTTGGGATGCCAAGGCAGGCTGATTGCCTAAGCTCAGGAATTTGGGACCAACCTGGCCAACATGGTGAAACCCCATCTCTACTAAAAATAAAAATTAGCCAGGCATGGTGGTGTGCGCCTGTAGTCCCAGTTTCTCAGGAGACTGAGGCATGAGAATCACTTGAACCCAGGAGGCAGAGACTGTAGTGAGCCGAGATCGCGCCACTGCACTCCATCCTGGGTGACACAGCGAGACTCTGTCTCAAAAAAAAGTAAAGGAAAAAGAAAATTGGAAGCTGCAAAGCAAATGTAGAATCCTTAAAGGCATTTTGCACTGTAATTTATTTTAACTGATCCATATCACCGCACTGCCAGGACTTCTAAAGACCCTGCTGCAAGTTCAGTGCCATCCATATGCTTCTGAGATTGGTACAGATAAGGAGATGAAGGGGCTGTAGGGAAATAAGAGGCAAGGTGGTAGGGTTTTAACTGAGCATTTTTCTTAAAATGTTATCTGTGAAATACCTGAGTTTCACAGAGTTAGAAATGCTAATCATCTTTGGTTTCCAGCTTCAGAGTAAGAGGCTGTACTATATGGTGATATTAACATTGTTTCCAGTGCTAAACATTCTGTGATGCTAAATTGAGCACAGGATTTTCAACAGATAAACTGAAGTATAGATAATCAACGTGAGAATTTGTGGAATTCTTTTACATATGTTAAATGTTCACTGTACTCATGGTGGGGTTACTCAAAATGTAGTTGATATAAGGAACATGTGTTCTAGTGGCAAAAAAAATACGTATAGAAACATTAGCCATTGATGTGAAAAATTACAGCATTCTGAAAAGATAATGTTTAAAAAGATAGTGAGCTAGGCATGTTAGGGCATGCCTGTAGTCCCAACTACTTTAGAGACTGAAGCAGGAGAATCTCTTGAGCCCAGGAGTTTGAGGCCAGCCTGGTCAACATAGCAAGACCACATGTATTAAAAAAAAAAAAAAAAAAAAAAAAAAAGATACTGCTGCTGCATAACAGGATTTGAAGCTTCTATCTTACACATAGTACTTTTTAGTTACCTGGTATAGGAGATTATCATGAGAGGACTGTTTTTTTTTTTTTTACAGGTAATTTCTGAACAGGGAATTAGCACAAAATTTTTTAAAACAGTAAATATTGATATCTACATGAAAGCTGATGTATTTTGGGAATTTTTTAAATCTTTTTTTTTTTTATTTTGTAGGTTGTTTTTGTTTTAGCCTGTTGAGAGAGTCTGCAAATAAATTTAATGAGTAGTCTAAAAACTAACTTTTTTTTGATTGCTATATCCTAGCTCTTTTATCTTTGGCTCTCTTCTCCTTATTAGGATGTGAAGTAATTCTCAGGAGAGGAAATGCATCTAGTTTTTACTTGATATCAAGGACTCTAAATCACTGGCTTCAGTTTTATGTAAACTGGAAATGTAAGGAAGTTGGTATTTTGGATGGTATTTTGGCTGGATTCTACTTGATGAGTGTTTGACCCAAGGTGCTCCTTATATCTGGAAAACATTTGGGATTGCTGATAGTTTGGGAAACTAAATTTGTGGTTCTATTTCTTCAAGACACAGATAGTGTCGTTTCCACCTGATACTCATTAAATATCAGTTTGACAAGAAATACATTTTGAAATTATGTTCTTCATTTCCTTCAATGTGGAGTACTAACTGTGTTTCTGTCCTTTAGGCATGTGATTGTGAGGACCTCTCCCAATCACAGGTACACATTTACACTGAAGACACATCCATCGGTGGTTCCAGGGAGCATTGCATTCAGTTTACCTCAGGTAACTCAGATGTTAATTTGTTCTCTTCTGTTTTTGAAAGTCATAGAATATGAATAATCTGTTCATTTTAAGCAAGCATCACCCTGTGACTGTATTGATTCATATTGAAGAAAAATATCTAAGTATTATATAAGGAATTTAAAGATACAGTCTTCTTTTTTTTTTTTTCTTTTTTTTTTTTAAGACAGGGTCTCGTTCTGAGACCCAGGCTGGAGTGCAGTGGCACGATCATGGCTCCTGGTCTCAAGCAATTCTCATACCTCAGTCTCCCGAGTAGCTGAGACTACAGTCTTGTACCACTGTGCCTGACTAATTTTAAAATTTTTTGTAGAGATGGTGTCTTAACTGTGTTGCCCAAGCTGGTCTTTAACTCTTGGGCTCAAGTAATCCTCCCACCTTGGCCTCTCAAAGTGCTGGGATTATAGGGTGTGAATCATCATGCCCAACCTAAAGACAGATTCTTAATTGCCAGTTTTTGCTATGGCTGCCTTCTTTTGGCTTGATTTTTTTTCCCTAATTTTTAAAGATTTTGCAGTAAAATCAGTCAGCTATCACATAAAGCGTCAAGTTATTTTAATGTTAACTGCCAGGGTAATAGAAAAGTAGAAAACATTTTATTTGTGAAGTTGATATCTAAGAATGGTGATTTTATAATGTGATGGCGTTATACTAAAGAATTTGGAAAGAGTCTCAAATTACAACATAATTTGCTAGGCTCCCATAACAACTGGATGGGTTGTGATTACAGTTACAACTGTTGATGGATTCTGTGGAATCCAGAGAATTAGATTGCTTAGTGCTGTCCCAGGCACATCATACATAATATAAAGCACCAAGAATACTAGTCTGTATCCTCTTCTCCCTTATCATTTTACTCAGGCTGCTGACTGTCCCCAGTCCTAAGTAATGTAAATGGAATTCCTACCTCCTCCTAGTATGCTAATGAGCATTGGTTGACTTCCCTGAAGGTTTAGAGAAAGAGCTCAAACACTCATTTAAGAACTATTAGGCTGGGTGCAATGACTCATGCTGGTAATCCCAGCACTTTGGGAGGCCAAAGCTGGTGGATCACTTGAGTCCAGGAGTTCAAGACCAGTGGGCAACGTGGCGAAACCCCACCTCTACTAAAAATATAAAAATTAGCTGAGTGTGGTGGTGCATGCCTGTAGTCCTAACTTCTTGAGGGGCTGAGGCAGGAGGATCACTTGAGCCCGGGAAGTTGAGGCTGCAGTGAGGCGAGATAGTGCCACTGTACTCTAGCCTAGGTGACAAAGTGAGACCCTGTTTAAAAAAGAAAAAAACAAAAACAAAAACTATTAGATGGGCCAGGTACCTCACGCTTGTAATCCTAGTGCTTTGGGAGGTGGAGGAGGATCGCTTGAGACCAAGAATTCCAGATCAGCATAGCGAGACCCTTGTCCCCCGCACTAGTCTCTACAAAAAAAAAATTTTTTTTAATTAGCTGGGCATGGTGGCACATGCCTGTAGTCCAGGCTACCTGGGAGGCTGAGGTTGGGAGGATCACTTGAGCCTAGGAAGTCGAGGCTGTAGTGAGCTATGATTGTGCCACCATGCTCCAGCCTTTGCTCCAGAGTGAGATTCTGTCTCTTAAAAAAAAGGGAAAAAAAAGGAACTATTGAAGATCTCTTGAAGCCCTCAAAAATTACAGGAAATTTTCACTTACTATTCCACCTGTCTGTTTGATGCCTCTTCATTATCCAGACCACTTTCACGTTTGTTTCTATAGATTAAAAGTTTGGGATATTCCAGGGTTCTCCAGCTTTTACAGAGTTCCATTTGGGATTCTGATTGTTAGCAATAGCTTGAGGTGTGACAGTTTCTCCTTGTCTCTGTTTTGTAAAAAAAAAAAAAAAAATTTCCCCGACATTCACTGTAGGCCAGCCTCTATTCTAGGTACTTTGGCATGTGTTAGCTCATTTAATTCTCCAAACAACCTTATACAATAGCTACTGTTGTTATCCCTAAGGACTGTTGTATTAGTCCATTTTCATACTGCTATGAAGAAATTCTGGAGACTGGATAATTTATAAGGAAAAATGAGATTTCATGGACTCACAGTTCCACATGGCTGCAGAGGCCTCACAATCATGGTGGAAGGCGAAGGAGGAGCAAAGTCATGTCTTACATGGCGGCAGACAAGAGAGCGTGTGCAGGGGAACTGCCCTTTATAAAACCATCAGATCTTCTGAGACTTACTCACTATCATGAAAACAGCATGGGAAAACCCACACCCATGATTCAGTTACCTCCCACTGGGTCTCTCCCATAACACATAGGGATTATGGAAACTACAATTTAAGATGAGATTTGGGTGGGGGCAAAGCCAAACCATATCAGCTGTCTTTGGGATTGAAGTACAGAACCTAAATGTGGCTTCCTTGTGACTTAAAGTCTAAGCTTAACGAGCATGGTGCTAAATTTCAGGTTGGCCAGAAGTGGGATGGGGTTTTACAGAAGAGGTCTTCTGGGGGAGGTGAAGGGCAGAGTGGAGGGAAACAGGATGTGGTAAGAAAGCCACAAGGGAGAGCACTTGTTGCACATATTCACAGTTCAGTGTCTTCTAAATTACCCGCCACAAAGTCTGCAGTGTTTGGATGGGCAGGTGAACTACTGATTTTCAACCAAAAATTGTTTTTCTCATTGTTCTTTGGAGTGTTATCAGTAATTACTAATTTTGAATCTATACCAAGCAAACCCCAGATTCCTGCCTAAACACAATCTGGCCTGCCTTCATACTTCTTGCCATTGTAAACAGTAGGGATTTGGGAAAGCCTGAAATCTAGCTGTAAATGTCTAAAAATCTTCTGGCTAGTATACAAAGAGTAGCCATGACCATCTAATGATTTCAGTCCCTGACTGGGTTTCAAAATAGATTTTCTGACCAGTTTTAATTTAGTCTTCATGAATTGAATGTCTTCCTTTTTGAGATACTGTAACAAACAGTAAAACTAACTGCAGCAGTACATTTAGAACACTGAAGTGTGATCTGATACAGTGAAGACCTTCTGTAGCATCATATTGTGCAAAGGAACATCCTCCTCAGTGGTGCCAGCTTTACTGCAAAAGGCAAGCTTTGCACGTTTTGAAACAGATGTTCAGATGTAAACTGTAGCACATGCTTTACTTTCCTAGGGTAAGTAACAAAGAACCATTACTGGGTAGCTTAAAACAACAGAGATTTATTCTGTCACCGTTGTGGAGGCCGGAAGTCTGAAATCAAGCTGTCAGTAGAGCTATTCCCTCTCTGAAGGCTCTAGGGAAGAACCTGTTCTGTGCTTAGCTTCTGGTGTTGCCGGCAATCCTTTGGTGTTCCTTGGCTGTAGCTGCATCATTTCAATTTCTGCCTCTGCTATCACATGATGGCATTCTGTCTGTGTGTCTATGTCTCTTTCTTAGAAGGACACCAGTCATATCGGCTTAGGGTTCACCCTAATTCATTATGACCTCATGTTAACTTGATACATTTGCAGAGATTGTATTTCTAAATAAAGTCACATCCACAGGTGTTGGGGGCTAAGACTTCAACATACTTTGGAGGGGGAGAGCACAGTTCAACCATAATAGCATACCATGTTTTGATCTTTGAGTGTATTCCTAAAATTCATTAAAATTCCTCTTTTTCTCTTGTCTAATTTTGATGGCTTTGGTTTTAAGTATCTTTTTTTCTCCTTTACAGAGAAAATGGGCTGGGCTTTCTATTGGGCAAGAAATAGAAGGTAGGTATATTTTTTAGCCACCTGATAAAGATTTTCTATGTGATTTTCTCACAGTTATTGAGATCTGTACAATTTTCTATTACTAGTGGTCAGATCTTAAACATTCATTGTATCAGAAGACTGGTTACATCTATGAGAATGGGAAGGAAATAGTTATGGTACCTCTGTTCCTATATCTTTTATGAAGTGTGTGATAAGGTCGTCATAGTTCAAGGCAAGGAAAGCAATTTGTGACTTCCAGTTGGGGGCGTGGCGGGGTGGAAAGACTAAGCTGCTAATAGATAATAAGCCAAAGAACTAATAAGCAAAAAGTGGCATTGTCTCAGGCAATGTGGCAAAGTTAGGAAATGGAGTATGAGTCGTCTTTAGTCAGATGATTTTATGTCAACTTCATGGATACAGTAGGGGAAGGAAAGAAAATGCAAGTGTAATTAAACCAGCTTTTCTTCTGCTTGTCTTTAAAACTTAAAAAAAAATTGTATTTATAGAAAGGTTGCAAAAATAATACGAAGAATTTCTGTATACTGCCTTTACCCAGCTTTACCAATTGTCATATTTTCTTTATCATTCTGGCTCCCTGTCTTCCTCTCTGGGTCTCTGTCTCTCTCTGTACACACACACACACACACACACACACACACACACACACACATCTTTTATCCTACTCCTCATTTAGGAACCTGACAACTTGTAATTTTTTCTAAGTTAGATGGAATTTAAACATTGGGGTTATTTTATTTTATTTTATTTTTGAGATGGAGTCTCGCTCTGTTGCCAGGCTGGAGTGCAGTGGCGCAATCTCGGCTCACTGCAACCTCTGCCTCCAGGGTTCAAGCGATTCTCCTGCCTCAGCCTTGCAAGTAACTGGGACTACAAGCACTTGCCACCACACCCGGCTAATTTTTGTATTTTTAGAAGAGATGGGGTTTCACCATGTTGGCCAGGCTGGTCTCGATCTCTTGACCTCGTGATCCACCTGCCTTGACCTCCCAGAGTGGTGGGATTACAGATGTGAGCCACCACGCCCAGCCAACATTGGTGTTATTTTTAGTTAGCTTTTTCTTTGTGGAAGTATGAACACTTGTTAAATTTAATGAGAAAGTGGGGTAGTATGTAGCTTAGGTTTCTAATTTTCATAAATTAATTTTTCTAAATATGAGGCTAAGAGTACTTAAAACTTTGAATCTAGATATTTTCTATTGTGACAAGATACAGAAATTCAAGATTATAAATTTTGATGAGTTGAGAAATGTGTTTTGCGGTTTAAGTTATAAAAGCATTCTTCTGCTAACAGAAATGCTTATCTGGATTGTAAAGTCAGATCTTTAAAGAAGTGGCTCAAACAGACTTAATAAGCAAAATTGTAAAACCCAGTGATAGGTGGGACTAAAGTGGAGTAAGCTTGAGGGAAGGTAGGGTTTTGGGGCCCAAGTGATGTGGATGATGTAGCCATAAAGATAGAAAACTGGTTTGGTTTAAGTAGTGATGTAGACCAAGATAGGATAGGAGGTGTGGTTTGAAGGAGTGCTCAAGTATTCTGGAATGGGAGTTCCGTAAGGTGAAACATTTTAGTCAAATCAGTGATTTTAGTCTGAGGGAATCTTCTGGAGGAATCATTTAGTCGGTCTTCTTTCCATCTGGCAATGCCATATTTTAAGTGTTACAGGCTAATGTTTTGACCACTATATATACACCTATTATTGTAAAGTCCAAGTTTATTCAAAGAACTGGATACACTTATTTTTTGCTTATAAAATCTTTCTTATTAGTCTTTTATATTAAATTACTATTAGCCGTAAAATAAGAAAACATTCTCAATCTTCTTTGATCCAGGATGAAATCTTCAGGACTCTTGTCCCTTTGGGACTGACCATGGTGCTGACTGTGGTGCTGCCTGGGATACTGTCCATGGTGCTGCCCATAGCACTTGAAATTGTAACAGTTTGGTCTTTTCTATTTAGGAACATTGGCCTTAAATTAAAATGCATTTGAAAACTACAGTCAGTGCATTACTACAGTCAGTAGTAATTATATTTTTATTTATTTATTTTTGAGATGGAATCTCGCTCTGTCGCTGAGGCTGGGGTGCAGTGGCATGATCTCAGCTCCCTGCAACCTCCTCCTCCCCAGTTCAAGCAATTCTGCTGCCTCAGCCTACTGAGTAGCTGGGATTAGAGGCATGTGCCACCACACCTGGCTAATTTTTGTATTTTTAGTAGAGAAGGGGTTTTGCCATGTTGGCCAGGCTGGTATCGAACTCCTGACCTCAAATGATCCACCTACCTCAGCCTTCCAAAATGCTGGGATTACAGGCATGAGCCACCACGCCTGGCCAATATTTTAAATATACTTATTCAAATTTCTCAGTATGAAGATGACATGAATATATGTATATACACACATATATATGCATTATGACATTATGATATTGTTTTGGTGTCTTTAATGCACAAAATGGTATTATACTGTACAAACCTTTCTGCAGTAGACTTTTGTCACTCAATATTATGTTTTCAAGGGCCATCCACCTTTTTTTGAGATGGAGTTTTGCTCTTGTTGCCCAGGCTGGAGTACAGTGGTGTGATCTTGGCTCACTACAACCTCTCCTCCCAGGTTCAAGCAATTCTCCTGCCTCAGCCATCTGAGTAGCTGGGATTACAAGCACTCACCCCCACGCTGGCTAATATTTTCTATTTTTATTAGAGATGGGGTTTCACCATGTTGACCAGGCTGGTCTTGAACTCCTGACCTCTGGTGATCCACCCACCTCAGCCTCCCAAAGTACTGGGATTACAGGTGTGAGCCACCACGCCTGGCCAGGCCGTCCATCTTTAATAAATATACATAAAGTTGGTTTTTGTTTTTTTGTTTTTTTTTTGTTTTTTTGACAGGGTCTCACTTGGCTGGAGTGCAGTGGTGCAGTCGTGGCTCACTGCAGCCTCAGTACCTGGCTAATTTTTTAATTTTGTGTAGAGATAGGGTTTCACTGTGTTGCCCAGTCTGGTCTCTAAATCTTGGACTTAAGTGATCTTCCCTCCTTAGCCTCCCAAAGTGCTGGGATTGCAGGTGTGAGCCACCGTGCCTGGCCAAGTTTTAATTTCAATAAAAATTGCTGTAAAGTATTCTACATTATGAATATACTACATTTTATTCATTGTTCTCCTACTGATAAACATTTTTCAATGTTTAAGTACTATAAATAATGCTGCAATGAACCTCCCTGTAGATGTGTTGTTAGACAAATGTTCTAGCATCTTTCTGGGACAGACATCTAGAAATGGAATTGCTGAATCATCATATTCATTTTTACATTAATATTTCAACCTATAAATGTTTTCAAACTACATGAGGGAAACAACTAAGCTCTTTTGCCTATCAAAGTTACTCAGCATATAACCTGTACTTTCTAGGATTTTTTTTTTTTTTTTTTTTTGAGACAGAGTTTCACTCTTGTTGCCCAGGCTGGAGTGCAATGGTGCGATCTTGGCTCACTGCAGCCTCGCCTCCCAGGTTCAAGCGATTCTCCTGCCTCAGCCTCCTGAGTAGCTGGGATTACAGGCATGCACCACTGCGCCCGGCTAATTTTGTAGTTTTTAGTAGAGACGGGGTTTCTCCACGTTTGTCAGGCTGGTCTCGAACTCCCGACCTCAGGTGATCCGCCCAACTCAGCCTCCCAAAGTGCTGGGATTACAGGCATGAGCCACCGTGCCTGGCCATTCTAGGAAATGTTAAGAAGGAGCAAGCCATCCAGAATTGGAGACAGGAGAGTATTCTGAAACTTTTAGCCAAAATTTGAACTTATTATTTGATCTTCAGTGAGTTTTATGTTCCTTCCTCAGGCTTTGTTATTTTGCTTTTGAAGTAGTTAAAATATGTATATGTCCCCCTTTAAATACAGAAATCTGATTATACAAACAATTTCATTTAAAGAGTTTACAGAAAATCGGCCGTTCGTGGTGGCTCACGCCTGTAATCCCAGCACTTTGGGAGGCCAAGGCAGGCAGATCACTTGAGGTCAGGAGTTCGAGACCAGCCTGGCCAACATAGTGAAATCCTGTCTCTACTAAAAATGCAAAAATTCGCTGGGCATGGTGGTGTGCGTCCGTAATCCCAGCTACTTGAGAATCTGAGGCACGAGAATCACTTGAACCCGGGAGGTGGAGGTTGCGGTGAGTTGAGATCGTGCCACTGCACTCCAGCCTGGGTGACAGAGCAAGACTCTGTCTCAAATATAAAATAAGAGTTTACAGAAAATCCTTGTACATAACTCAAGGGTCTAGAATTTAAGAAATAAGTTTAGAACAGAATTTAGAGTGTGAAACGACCATAAAGACTTATCTAGTTCAGTCTTGATTTATAGATGTGACAAATCAAGGCACAGACAACTTAAATTATTTACTTGGATTCTTCTGATTGCTAGCAGAATCTGTTGAAACACACATACTCAAAGTCCCTTTGAAGAAAACAGCTTTGTTTGTAAACCACTAGAATCTTTGCAACAGACATTTAATACTGCACAGTGACTTCTTTTGTTTACCTCTTGCTATTTGACCTCAGTAACTCACAGAAATGCCATGCCTGTTGTTCAAAGCAAGTGTGAAAAAACAGTCTTTGTTTATAACCTGCTTTTGTGGTGAGAACTGTAGAAGCTCACTTACCCAATGTGACTTGGACTGGTAATTAAGTGAAAAGTTGGTTAAAGGCTTTTTCTTGGAGGTGTGGTCCATGGATTGGAGTTCTGTATTATCTTTTGTGCATACACTTTACCCGTAATTTCCAGGTGGATTTCTTTGAAATGGCTGGAGAACTTAGACTTTGTAGAGCATCTGAGAGTGCCAAAACCTCTTGGATTTTTGTAGAGTTCACTCCCAACCTTTTCTAATTTTAATGCTTATACCTAGTTAGCAGTATTTTTTTTTTCTAGAAGAAACACTTCATTTAAAAAATTTTCCCAAAGCTTTCAACTTATAATATCTATTCTAGAATGTCAAAGTCATTGTAATAACAGTTCAACAACCAGGCCTTCAGAAGTTTTTATACTATTTAATTATATTTCATAATTAACTGTAACAAGTGTAACTAGCACAGACAGATACCAGAATGAACTTGGTTGACCCATGATGTGTAGCAACTCCTGTCTACAAGCTCTGAGCGTTAGGCAAACCATAGGCTGATGGGTATATGTTGGAGGGATAAAAGTTGGTCAGCTTTCTGATGACTCAGCTCAGTGGAGGTTGCTTAAGAGAGCTGCTACTGTATCCTTAAGGGGCCATTGGTAAATTTTAGGACAAGTATCTTCAGGGAACCTAAAGGGAAAATAAATTGTGTGTGTGTGTGTGTGTGTTTGTGTGTGTGTGTGTGTGTGCGCGCGCGCGTGTGTGAAGCCTTATTGAAGAGTAGCAATAGACTCTTTCTTACTAGGCGTAATCAAGTTGCCCTCCTGGGGAAACTCAAATGCAAAAATCCTCTTGAACTTTTCTGGGTAGCCTACTCTACTCTTTCCTAATAGTACCACTACAGTATACAGCACTGTAAAATTTTTTGCTTTAAAAGTTTGTTTATAAACTGGCATTTATAAGTATACTTTTTGAGCTGATTTAAGAATCAAGTTTTTTTTTCTAGGGAAATGCTTCTTTGTAATTATCTGTCACTAGCAAAATTTGTTTTAACATATATTTTTCTAAAAATATGATATGTAAACTGTGTTGTAGTTGTACAATTAAAGGTTTTTGGTCGAACAGTTATTACATGATGTAAAATCATGTGTAACACTTTAATATTAATTACATTGTAACCTAAAATTCATTTTAAAACTTTTTATGTGGCTTGAACAGGAATTTTCTTATCCAAAGCTTTGTATGTATGCTTTATTGCCTCCTTTGTTATTAGCATGGAGACCATGGGTTTTCTGTTATTGTTGTTTCATTTAAACAGTTCATGAATATATTAAGCACCTGAAAGAAACTGTTAGATGCTGTTAATAGGAAGAGGAGTTAAAAACCTCGTCCTTGCCCTTATCTACATGTGTACATGTAGAACTTACTGTAGTTCCCTAGATGTAGCAGGTGCTCAGGAAACATTTTTGTAGTAGTAAAAAAGAAATGTCAAACTCTAACTTGCTCTGGAGCAAATTCCGCTAGTAAACATTGTTTTTCAAGCTTCTTTTTTTTGCCTTGCGTCCTACTTTCTTAGGCCAAAATAATTCATCCACATCCCACCTTAGCTGTTTTTTTGTGTCAAACAAAAATCTTATTTGGAAATAGCATGTTACGCCAACTGTGTTGGGGCATCCCATACTGTATTGCATTAAATGAGGAGAAAGATGCAGAGGCCATGTGGGGAGGATTGTGATCCTGATAAGAGTGGGATGAGGGATAACAACAGAGAGACTGCCGTTCAATATTTCTTTCTTTCTTTTTTTTTGAGACGGAGTCTGGCTCTGTTGCCCTAGGCTGGAGTGCAGTGGCGTGATCTTGGCTCACTGCAAGCTCCGCCTGCCAGGTTCACGCCATTCTTCTGCCTCAGCCTCCCAAGAAGCTGGGACTACAGGCGCCCGCCACCACGCCCGGCTAATTTTTTGTATTTTTAGTAGAGACGGGGTTTCACTGTGTTAGCCAGGATGGTCTCAATCTCCTGACCTCGTGATCCGCCCGCCTCGGCCTCCCAGCGTGCTGGGATTACAGGAGTGAGCCACCGCGCCCGGCCTGCCATTCAGTATTTCTAATTAATTCAGATGGGGAAGAAAATCTCTAGTGACTATTATTTTTTAAACCTGTACCTGTGTGTCCCTCCAGTGAAGGCCATTTAAACCCCATTTTTGGTGAAGTAGTTTATGATTCATTTATGTGAAACTTTTAGTTACTAGAAACACTACAGGTATTTTGTACTCCTGTGATTTTTAAAAAAATGCTTCTTTTTTTCCCCTAGTCTCCTTATATACATTTGACAAAGCCAAACAGTGTATTGGCACAATGACCATCGAGATTGATTTCCTGCAGAAAAAAAGCATTGACTCCAACCCTTATGACACCGACAAGATGGCAGCAGAATTTATTCAGCAATTCAACAACCAGGCCTTCTCAGTGGGACAACAGGTAGTTTTTAATTTTCTTTCATTCCTTTAACTTTATAGGTATTCTAATTTCTGCAGTTTTCCAAAATTAATTCCACCTTTTAAAAAGTGAGAGGGGCTTTGCGTATCAACTCGTATATCCAAGGTGAGTGATAAAAGTGAGGGAGATGTATTTACTGAACTTCAAGGAGTCTGTTCAGAAAAATTCTAAAGTAGCTTTTAGATTAAAATGTCATGTATAATTATAGCAGCTTTTCCCTCAGCAAATTTGGGAACCCTGTGGACATATATATCTGAAATTCCTTTTTATATCATAGGACATTTGTTTTGCCTCTGGAATGTCTGTCTCTTTCACTAATATAGTTCTGTAGAAAATGTAGCTCTTGGCCAGACATGGTGGCTCATGCCTGTAATCCCAACACTTTGGGAGACTGAGTTGGGAGGATCGTTTGAGCCCAGGAGCTCAAGATCAGCTTGGGCAACAAAGTGAGACCCTGTCTCTACAAAAATTTTTTTAAAAGTAGCTGCGTGTAGTGGTCTCAACTACTCAAGAGGCTGAGGTGGGAGGACGGCTTGAGCCTGGGAGGTTGAGGCTGCAGTGAGCCATGATTGTGCCACGGCACTCCAGCCTGGGTGACAGATCGAGATTGTCTCAAAAAAAAAAAAAAAGTTCTTATTTTGGTTATGGGCTTATTTGAGAATCTTAAAAAACTGAATTCCTGCTAGATAGGAAAAGGATATAGTACATTATTTTAAAAAGAGTACTAGAATTGGAATGAACCTCAAGAGATTACCTTATGTAACTCCACATATACAAATGAGGAATTTTATTTTTTTATTTTTTAAAATTTTATTTATTTATTCATTTATTTTTTGAGATGGTGTGTTACCCTGTCATCCAGGCTGGAGTGCAGCGGCACCATCTCAGCTCACTGCAACCTCCGCTTTCTGGGTTCAAGTGATTTTCCTGCCTCTGCCTCCCGAGTAACTGGGATAACAGGCATGCGCCACCACACCCGACTAATTTTGTACTTTTAGTAGAGATGGGGTTTCACCATGTTAATCAGGCTAGTCTCGAACTCATGAGCTCAGGTGATCCATCCGCCTTGACCTCCCAAAGTGCTGAGATTACAGGCATGAGCCACCATGCCCAACCATTTTTTTTTTTGTATTTTTAGTAGAGATGGGGTTTTGCCATGTTGGCCAGGCTGGTCCTGACCTCAAGTGATCCTCCCACCTCGGCCTCCCAAAGTGCTGGGATTACAGGTGTGAGCCATCACGCCTGGCCAAATGAGGAATTTAAGATCTAAAGAAGGTAAATGGTATGCCCATGGCTACACAGCTAAGGGACATAGTTGAGATAAGAATTAATTAAACACATATTTGATAGTACCTAGTGCCTAGTACCAGTCACTGTTTTAGACACTGCAGATCGGCAGTGAACAAAATAGATATGATCCCTGCTGTCATAGAACTTACTTTCTAGTTGAAGAAAACAGAAAATAAGACAGGAATACCATGTACAGTTAGGTCTCTGATGAAAGTAGATCAGGACAATTCACCAGAGAGCTATTGC
The DNA here is from genome assembly GCF_000001405.40 of Homo sapiens. NCBI lineage: Eukaryota > Metazoa > Chordata > Mammalia > Primates > Hominidae > Homo > Homo sapiens. The sequence continues at coordinate 46,421,519 of NC_000017.11, forward strand.
GGTGCTGTTGTGTATTGGATGACCAAAATTGTGCTCAGATTGCCTAGCTAAACTTGATGGTTTTTACCTTTGCTTTTAGTTTTAGTATCCTAATAGAAAATGTTTAGGAGAATGTTTAATAGAAAATGCTTTGGTATTTATAATAATTTAAAACTCAGTAGCATGTAGAAGTCAGTAAATCCATGAAAGAGAATCTTTCGTAATTCAGAGAAGAAGTAAATATCTTACTCCAGATCACTGTCCTTAACTGTTTCTTCTCATTTGTGGTATCTCGTAGTAGCAGAATGGACAGACAGCCCAACCTGTAATATTTACCATTATACCCCAGCACATAGAAGAAGACCAAACTTTTAGAAGGGACTCAGCAAAGATTTGGTGAATGAGTAATTGAGCATTCAGAAGCTGTCTCTGCACTTGTAGGGCAAGCATTTTGTACTAGTGATAGAAAAGCAGGAATTGTAGAGTCACAGACCCAGGGTTGACTTCTGGCGCTCTCATTTACTGTGACTTTGAGCCTTGTTGCATAGCCTGTTTCTGCATCTCAGCTTCCTCACTAGTAAAATGGAGTCGTAGTTTCTGCTTCCAAGAGTGTTTGTGAATATTATATAACTGGCTGTAGTGTTTGAATAAAATACTAAGAAACTTTATTCTTTGTTAGAAATAGTAAATGTGGTACTCTTGAATTACTTTAGGTGGCACTCTGACATTTAAATTAGATATTTTTTATCCATGTGGAAGAAATTTTAAACATGAGTTTTGCAGTCATTTTGTAAACACTGATCGTAAGTGCTAATTCCCTTTTCTTCATTGGCTGTGAGTAGTTTGTTTGAGGAGCAGATTGGAGAGGAGTATATAAGATAAACTGGTTTTCTGCATTTGAAAAACATTGGTGATGATCTGAGGATCAAACTATTATATTATGAAGTGATTTTTCTCCCCTTACCTCTTTTCTACATAGCTTGTCTTTAGCTTCAATGAAAAGCTTTTTGGCTTACTGGTGAAGGACATTGAAGCCATGGATCCTAGCATCCTGAAGGGAGAGCCTGCGACAGGGAAAAGGCAGAAGGTAGCTTTTATTTCTGATCATCTTTACTAGATCATCTTTATAATGTAATTTGTGCAGATTGATTATAATTTTCCTATCTGTTGCTTAGTGATTTTTTTCATATTGTGTACCCTTTTAAGATAGTAGGGAGAAAAAATTGCTTTCATAGCCATCATTGTTATTAAAATATAGCTTAAAATGTATTTATTTGCAGACCTAATATTAATGTAAAATGTAGACATATATGTACATATAATTTGCTTGAATGCAGATATTTATTGTAAATAAATAATAAGAAACGCATTATTGGAAAGATATAGGCATGGAAATAAGGCATGTAAGAATTGTAGAAGAAAGTTATGAGAAAAGTAAAAGTAGCTCAGATGATAGTCTGGAAGGTTTGCTTTGCCCAGAGAGACCTCATTTCCCCCTCACTTTTGGCCTTGCTTTGAGAAGTCCAGAAGTTTGCTATTAGACTACTAATTATTGTCTTTCTCTACAGATTGAAGTAGGACTGGTTGTTGGAAACAGTCAAGTTGCATTTGAAAAAGCAGAAAATTCGTCACTTAATCTTATTGGTAAGATTTACAGTTTTTAGAAGATTTGAAATGAAGTGGGCCTATTTCTATATGTAACTCAACTACAGTGATTTCCAAATGGGGAAAGGAAAGAGGGGCATCTCTCTTGAGAGAGTTTATCACAGAAGCATGGGGTATTTCCTGTTGGTCAGTTTGCTGATGAAAACGTTTAAAACCTTCATCTGGATCAACTTTGTCCAATAGAAATAGAGTGTGAGCCACATGTGTAATTTTTAATTTCCTAGAAATTGCACTAAAATAAGAAACAAATTAATTTTTTAACTTTTAATTTTGAGATAATTTTAGGTTCACAGATTTGCAGAAATAGCTCAGAGAATTTCTGTATGCCCTTTACCAGCTTACCCTGATGTTAATGTCTTATTTGACATTTTCAAAAGTACAATGATAAGAAATGAACATGGTTTCATTTCTGCTAACTAAACTACAGATTTTATTGAGATTTCACCAGTTTTTCCATTGTGTCCTTTTCTGTTCCAAGATCTAATTTAGGATCCCATATTGCATTTAGTTGTTCTGTCTTTTGAGTTTTCTTCAGTCACTGACAGTTCCTCAGACTTTGTCTTTTATGACTTTGAGAACTGGTCAGTTATTTTGTAGAATGCCCCTCACTTGGTTTTGTGTTAAATGAGATAGCATCATCATTTCTTTTAGTGATTAAGTGATGAATGTGCAGGTCAAGTCTTCCCAGCAGATTCATGGTTCAGTCCTACTCTTGTACTCTAGCACAATTTTTGTCATATTAAAACAATTGCAGCTTATTCTCTGAGAATAGTAACTCACCAGAATAATGTGACATTAACTGGGCATTAATTCTTATTTTTGGTTGATTTAACTATGTTGATGTCTACCCTACTAGAGAGTAGAGGGTTTTCATTGGTTGCACATCATCATGTCCAGGGTCACTTAACAGTCTTTGAGTGCGTGGCCTTTATTTCCTGGTCCACAAATTACCATTCCCCCTTATTGTTTTTTGTTAATTATAAAATATTTTATTTATAAAATATGGATAGGCATTCGAAAACAATTCACACACTGTAAAATTTGGTTCTGTTTTCATAGTTTTGTAATTTGCTTTTTTTGCTTAGCATGTTTCAAACATCTTAAATATACACCTATAACATGATTTTTAATGCCTGTATGTCATTTTATGAAGGTAGGATGTATTTTCCTGTTATTGATCTAGTACATTTATGAAGTGATTTCTTTGTATTTTATTTTTGTGTACCTTTTGTTAAGATATCCCAAGGGAGTTGCATAACTTTCATAGGTATTTCTAAGTAATCCATGGGAAAAAAATTGTGTAGTTAATTGGCATTCAGTAAATTTTGCCCACAAGAGGGCAGTAGAGTGTAAGAAAAAAATATTTTTCATCGCTTTCCAAAGGAAATCTTAAGGCCTCAAAACTCTAACCATAAAATTATCATCTAGTATAAACTTTTAAAAAGCGTTACTTTATTTTTAATTGACAGATAATAATTGTATATATTTATAGGGTACAATTTGATATTTTAATACATGTATACATTGTAGAATGATCAAATCAGGCTAATTAACATATCACCTCAAATATTTAGCATTTCTTAGGATAAACTTTTTTTAATGTGACATTTTCTTCCCTGGTTTTATAAAAACCATATTATTACTTTATTTTTTGTTTATAATAGAGCATACTAAGGTACTTAATTTATTCTTTGTTTGAAATAGTAAATGTGGTTCTCTTGAGTTGCTTTAGGTGGCACTCTGACATTTAAGTTAGATAATTTTTGTCCTCTTGAGAATTTTTAAACATGAGTTTTGTAATCATTGAAGTCTTTAGGATGATTTCAGACTTTTGTGTCCAAGTGAAGAGAAAGCAAAGAAGACATCAAACTTGTTCAGTATATTTCCTTAGGCTGAGGGGTTATATGCCCAATTACCTGTATAAGCTTAATCTGGATAAATATATGTATTTTAAAATAAACTTGCGTTAGGAGACTTCAGTGACTGCGAGATTTCAGTTGCATTTCTGCCAGCTAGTGTTGTCTTCATCAGATATGGCATTTCTTCTGATCAACCGAGTTAGTTAATTTAGTTAGATTGAAGGTTAATAAAACTAAGTTTTATGGACTGATACAAATAGACTACAGCATAAGTTTAGCTAGTCATTTTGACAGTGTGTTACCATATATGGAGATCAGACAAAGTAGATAGCATAGCAAAACTTACCCTTCTGACTGTAAAATCAGCTAAGATTATATTGTTCGTTTTGTATATGTAAGGGTAGCTTTTCTTTATTCATTTAGGATGCTCAGGGAGTTCTGTCTGTCTTTTTAGACTTAGTGATAAAGTCCTTGTTTCACATTTGATAATATTCGTTTGACATAGGCAAAGCTAAAACCAAGGAAAATCGCCAATCAATTATCAATCCTGACTGGAACTTTGAAAAAATGGGAATAGGAGGTCTAGACAAGGAATTTTCAGATATTTTCCGACGAGCATTTGCTTCCCGAGTATTTCCTCCAGAGATTGTGGAGCAGATGGGTAAGTTTAAAAAGGAAAATGTTATAAAATCTTGTGTTGTTAAAAAAATTAATGCAATGAAGAATCTCTTTTCAATAGTTTTGAAATTATTTTTCAGACCCATTATTTTTGTCTTTTTCTTTAAAAATGAACAGATAAATTTTCTGAAAAACTTTATAATACCAGAACTTTTAAAATTACATTTTAATTTTATGGGGAAATCATAGAAATAAGACTTGTGGTGGCTCCATTTTGTTTATTTATTTATTGAAGAATGCTTTTCTATGGGGCATATTTAGAAACTTCCCCTGACAGTAATAATACTAGTAGTGACTCCATTTTATTTATTTATTTGCGTAAGAATGTTTTTCTATAGGGCATATTTAGAAAGTTCACCTGACTCTAAAGATCACTATGGGTCAGATGTACCCTGCTGAATAATAACTATCTATTAGGCTGTGTGCATTGTTCTGACATTAGCTGCCGTTCCTTTTTATTGTACTGTTGCATTACCCAGTTAGTACATCTTCATACCTAATAAATGGGTACTTGCATATTTTTAAATTAAATAAGTTTGATCCAAAAAGACAAATGCAGGATATACATTGGAGTTTCTATATTGCATACAAAGAAGTGCACTATTCGTTTACCACTTTCTTCTTGAAGGTTTATTTAATTTATCTGTGTGAAGTGACTTTATTTGCCCAGTGGAAATGCTGTCATGACTGTTTTCATGTCCATATCATTCGTTGGATTGGAATGTGAGCAACAGAATATCTGAGAAAGGAATGTATAACATAACAGCTTCTGGCAGACTATTAGTGTAAAAACAGCATCCAAAAAAAAATGGAAGGAATATGAATATATTACTCCGCTCATCCCCATCATTCTTTATCTTTAAATTGCTACTGGAAGATAAAAGTATATTTATTATAGTGGGGATAAGAACTGCTTTCTAGGCACTAAGTGCTTGGATTGTATTAGCCTTCTATTGTTGGTAGCCTTTCTGCCTGGTCGCTCACTCTGATAAATTACAGGCACGGCACACACCTGTTCACTGAGTAAAGGTCGAGTTTGGAATTGGATTAAGAGAAAATGACAGAGACCCTCATCACCTGAGTTTTATACACCTTGAAATGGCAATAGCATACTTTTTATCTCAAAGATACAAAGGCCACGTCCATTAAAAGCAGAATTTTAATTGGGAAAATATTTTAAAATGTGGTAGTTCACTATCTTGGTAATGTGTATTTTCGATCAAGACATGAAAATATTGTTTAAGTGTATTTTGGGTAAAAGCAGGGATAAAAAGATGATTCCAAATGTTGTAAGTTATTCTTGTGGAATGTTTTTACTGGTTTTCAGAACTGAGATCTAGTGCAGGAAGAGTCTAATGATTCTGTTTCTTAGAACATTTATACTGTTTAGCCAAAAAGTAGAAAAATAACTGCATTGGTAGTAAGCCGTCTCTTTTAATTATAAATGTTTTCTCACTGTTTGGAAGCTATTGAAGATAACAGTTATTCAGATACTAGTTTGCTATTTGTGCATTATCTAGATCCTGCACTTGAAGCTACGCGCAACGTCAGTATGCGTTGGGTAGATAATGCGTAAAGGAGTTGGTCTCACATTGGTCAGTTTGTGACCTTGCCAGCTGTTGGAGAGTTTTAAATTAAATCAGAACAGATTTGGAATTTGTTAGTGAATTTCATCTGTTTCTGATATCCGTATTGAAATGAGCTGAATTACAGTAGTGTGCTTTTTGTTGTTTTTGATGTGTTTTTTGACTAAGCACTATGGATTTGAATTTTGTGAGTGCCACTGTCCAGAACCTTTTTTATGGATTTATTTTTCTAATATTTTTACACTAATTTAATTAGACAAAAAATGAATTCTATCCTTTTGGAAAAGTTTTTTTTTTTTTTCTCTTTATGGCTTTTTGCCATCAGGAAGCATTTGTTACCAATTTCATTGAAAAGACAAACTAGTATAAAGCTGTCCTGGCTTTTGAGCTGAATTGAAAAACTTATTTTCTTTATTCTGGATGAAGTTTCTGGGTATCTAAAAAAAAGTAAAGCTTCTTCTTTTTTTTTTTTTTAATGGTTAAATGGCTGAGAAATAATTCTTTTGTAATGCATGTATAATTCCCTGTCTTCCAATAGAGGCTTCTTTTTTCCTTTGAATTTTGGGGGAATTATATAGTAAAATCCTTTCTTGCACTCCAATTACAGTGTGGTTATAAAGTTCTCCTTAGGCTTTGGTAAAGGTATATAAATAAAAATGGTTATATTTTGACAGAATATAAATAAAATTATACAAATTATTTTTATGCATATTCTGTGTTGTTTTTTTTTTTGACATGTCAGGTGGGAACAACATGGATTTTTTTCCCCCACTCTTTGTTAACTAAATAGACAGATCTATATGGTTTGGGGATTCAGCTGGACACTGAGTATGACTGGTTAAATCAGTTCTAATTTTTAAAAAAGATTAGAAAAGAATAATTTATGTAGGTTATGGGGCTTTTTTGTTTTAAGCAGAAAACTTTACTTTTGGCTTGAGACCAAATTACTGTCTTTACCATGGAGTCTAAAGTGATGTCTACTTCGTAAACAGGAATCTTAACTAAGTGGATTTTTTGCCTATATATCAATTTTCAAATTTACAAAGTGATAAATTTAGAATATTCTTCTCTTCTGTCATTATGTTCATCAGACTGATAATTATGCTTCTAGGTAACAGAGTTCTTTCTTTTTGTCTATAAAACTTCATGTTGCCTTTTCAAAATTGAAAAATATAGTTTAGCTACGAACAGAATGTTGCTGATGAGATATAGGAGGACTAAAGGACTTAACGAGAGGCACACAATTAAGCAGTAAAATTAGGGAACCAATGAGGTAATATACTTGAAAATAACTGTCATGGAGTTTCCAATCTGTTAGTTTCTCTCTTGAAGGTCTTTCAAATAGGTAGTGTATACCTTAGGCCGGGTGCGGTGGCTCACTCCTGTAATCCCAGCACTTAGGGAAGCCGAGGTGGGCGGATCATGAGGTCAGGAGATCGAGACCATCCTGGCTAACACGGTGAAACCCTGTCTCTACTAAAAACAGAAAAAATTAGCCGGGCGTGGTCGCGGGCGCTTGTAGTCCCGGCTCCTCGGGAGGCTGAGGCAGGAGGATGTGTGAACCCGGGAGGCGGAGCTTGCAGTGAGCCGAGATCGCACCACTGCACTCCAGCCTGGGCGACAGAGCGAGACTCCATCTCAAAAAAAAAAAAAAAAAAAAAAAAAAAAAAAAAAAAAAGAAGAAGATAATGTATGCCTTTCTGCTTTTGTAGTTTTGTTATATTTTTGTAGAATTAAAATCAAGGAAACCCTTAAAGGAGAAAGGAAGTCACATAAAGCTCTCTAGACTGAGGGATAAAGGAAAAGGGATTATTTAGGGGAATATCAATTTAGACTTTTGTTTTTGTTATTGTTTTAATCAGAGTAACTGTTGAGTTTTCCCCTTGTCTGAAGCAGTTGAGCTCACCCAAACCCAAGTGGGGCAGCCCTTCCTTGGAAGGATATGAGAGCAACGAGCGAAGAAAACTAAACCTATACCTTGCACTTAGTAAATACCAAATAGATATTTAGTTAGAATGCCTTCCAACCCCCCACAAAACAGATTTTTAATTAAGAATTACCTTAAATCCATAATTTTATGGGCTAATAGAAGCCACATTTGAGTCCCAGGGTAGAAATGTGAACATCAAAGCTGGTATCTGGAAGTATGGGTGAATAAATTCAACAGCTGATTGCTGTCTTTCAGCATATTCAGGTGTTAACTGAATAGATACTGAATACTTGTGTTCGGACATTTACCACACTTATTCCCCTGTATGCAGTTTTGTGGACAGTGTTCAGGATAAATAAATGATTGATTACCTCAGTTCTCACTGTAGCTATTTTGTTAGCAAAGATAGCGTTTCTGCCAAGAAACTTCATTTTTTCAGCATCCCTGGCAATTCTCTCTAAATTATAAATGTCAAAGCAAAAAAACACATCGTTTTCAATGAACAGTGGAATAATTGTTAAAGAATTAGTCAGCATCTCTTAATGTAATCCTGGGAATAGGTTCACATCTACCCAAGGAAAGACCTAGAAGGAAAAGGATGTAAAGAGGGAAGACCTCAGCCTCACACTGTCTTTCAGTGGATCTGTGGGGTGTAGATGTTCAGGCCACCTAGTGGGGAGGAAAGCCACTTGTTATGGTCTTGTGCCCCCATTCTTTGAAACTGACACTGTGTTCTTTTTGGTCTCCTTTCCCCAGTGTCTCCCTCTGTAAGCCCATTTTCAATCGTATTTTTAAGGTTTCTTTTGAAATTCAAGAGGAAAGCAACTCTTTTCTGATATCATAAGTGAAATTGTAGTTACTCTATGAAACAGAACTGCTGAGAAGATAAGGAACCTTTCAATCACACAGACATCTTTCACATACTAAAAACAGTGCAAATAAAACATAGTGGAAGAAAGGGCACTAAGGTTTTGTGCATGCCATATTTTGGAGAGAGGGAGTTCTTGCTAAGATTAACATAAACACTGACACTCTTAAAATGCATTTTCACACCCCCACTCATGAGGAGAGATTGCATTTTAAATGGGGGTTAAGACATCCAGGCGAACTCCAGGGCTCTGTAAAAGGAACCCTAAGGCTAAAGAGCTTATCTGAAATTTGAAAAAAAGAAAAAAAAATGAAGCCTTCTGACATTCATCTTTTTTTCTTGTATTAGTCATAACTTGCTTTTCAGCTATATTTTAGGTTTTGAATGCCAACCTGACATCTGTTCAAGTCTGCCTGTAATTTATTAGCAGAGGAAAAGACAGCAGTTGCTCACTAGTTAGAGATGCAAAATTTCTGCCTTCCTGTTCTCCACTAAGTACTTATAGATGATACCTGGATACGAAGAATGTAATAATTTACTGAAAACTTCAGGTCAGGAAATTTATAAAGATTTTTTTTTAATTAGAAGAATAAAATGGCTTAAGACCATGTGATTTCAAAAATCTCTAGATCAGGATTTAGAGACAAAACATAGACCCTAAAAAATACTTTAGATAACTTTCTATAAATTGTAATTTTTTTAACCTTGAATTAATTTTTCCATTGGTTTTAAATTTTTAAGTTAAATGTATATTTGAACAGCAGTTGTGCTTATATCTGAAAGTCAAACTGTATGTAAATTCACCTGGCATTTTGCATTTATAGACAGACTTTAAGAAACAAATCTTTTGGAGAGGTAGTGCTGTCTACAGAGTCACCAAATGGATTAGATTTCCTGGCAACTACAGTTGAGTTACTTACAGATCAACAGTTGGGTCACTACAAAGTTGAGATCTAAGTGTTAACCTGAGTGCCCACCAGTAAGAAACCGGTTAGAGGCAATCTTAAAATGATATAGCTCCAAATGTAGAGACATGTTTGTGTTAATAAAAAATATATAAAAGCAAATGCATTCTAAAAATCTCTAAGGACATACATTAAATTGAAAAAAGGTTTATGGCTGAATGTGGTGGCTCACACCTGTAATCCTAGCACTTTGGGAGGCTGAGATGGGAGGATCACTTGAGCTCAGGAGTTCAAGACCAGTCTGGGCAGCATAGTGAGACCTTGTCTCATTTATTTATTTTTTTAATTTAAAAATTTAATTTAAAAATTAAAAAAAGTGTTTACTTCCATGGAAGGGAAGCTAAGATGGGGAATAAAGGGAAAGTTTTGTTCTTTTACTCAATTTTACCTTTATGTCTGAATGTTTTATTGTATTTCTAATGTGTGATTTTAAAAGCCAACAGACAAAAGATAATATCACAGTATGTTTCTTGGGGTGACTCTACCATCAGCATGGAAAGTCAGCAGGAAACAGGTACATCCTTCCGCCTTCATGAAGTTTTCTGTGGAGGAGGAGAGTGCAGGGTAAAAGGCCTGGATTCCAAGGGCTTTGCTGGCAGCCCCTTAGAGGGTAGACAGAACACCTATCCTATTTGGTCAAGAAGAGAAAAAGTTTCTCCATATATAACAAACTGCTTTCCCCCAGAATGTTCTGCATTATAGTAATGGTGTAAGTAGTCTGCCCTTCAAACATGAGAACATTTGCATCCAGGCCTTTAGGCAGCCAAGGCAGCATTAAAGAAGAAAGAGTGGGAGCAGAGCAAGCTGAGGGAGAGCAGAGCTTCTGACATTTGAGGAACTGGGCGTGAATTTGTTTTTAGTCTTCAAAAACCATTCTCTTGAGGAATCGAATTCCCATGACTCCTGAAGTGAAGCGGTTGGTGTTTTCTCCCGCGTTACTCCCATACGTAAGTTGGTGATTATAATGAGGGTGGTGGCTAATACTTATATAATGCCAGACGCTGTTCTGTGTGCTTTATTATTGTGTTTATTAATCCTCACAACAACCTTCAGAAGTAGACACTGTATTGTCTCCATATTATGGAGCAGGAATCTCTGTCTCAAAAAGGTGAAGTAATGGGTCCAAGACACACAGCTAGTAAGTAGTAGAGTCAGATTTGAACCCAGGCAGTCGAGCCCCAGATTTCATTTCCTTAACCATTACATGTTATTCTCCCATGAAAGCCCATCGTGTAAAACCATTTTAATGGGCTTTCTAGCTTCACTTTTTTGGGGACCTTTGAAGCAATCATTGAGGCAGCCTTTGTTCTAGCCAAGGGCCAACCATGGCACCATTGAGATTTTGAGCTGTATAATTATTTGGTCTGGGGACTGGGTGTCCTTTGCATTGTAAATAACTAACTTTTCTAGTAATCTGATGTGTTCAAATTGTCATGAGCTCAAGAGACATGAAGATTTGGTGGTAGGCTGTAATACCTAATGCCACTTTTTTCATGTGTTTTTTGTCACGTGTTGTAGCAGAATACAGGAAGGAAGGAACTGGAATGGGTGTGTCAGAGAAGCTGTCTTAAACTGTCAACCTGGAGAGGGAACATAAATGTTAAAATTAAATAATCATTAAAAAATTAAGCAACGTAACAAGTGATATCAAAGGCCAGTATTTGATTAAGTGCCAGATGAGCAGTACAATTGATAAGCCCTACAGGAACTGAAAGGGAATCACATCGAGAAGACTTCATAGAAGAGGCAGAGCTTGAGTAAGGCCTTAAATGCTGAGCGGTTTTGGATAGGAGGAGGGAAGGGGATAGTTGTCCATATCCTGGGAAGAGTGACAGACTAAACACGGTATAGACTTCATGACTTAGACCAGTCTAACAGAGCTGTTGTTTGGAAGAAACAGGAAATAGGATTAAAAAGTTAGTTTTGGGTTGGGTTGTGGAAATCTGTGAGGAGATGTGGACTCTTTTTAAAGTACTGTCCCTGTTTAAGCTTCCAGACAGACTCAGAACCTTCCAGACAGACTCAGGTGCTTCTCCTGTGTTTCCCTGCACCTTGTATATACTTAGAATCCAGCTGTGTTCTTAATGTAATTATTCATTTGCATTACACTCCTAAGGCAGAATTTCTTAACCTTGGCACTATTGACATTTTAGGCTGGATAATTCTTAGTTGTAGGGCGCCTGACCTGTGCATCATAGGATGTTAAGCGCCATCCCTGGCCTCTACTTGATGTCAGTACTTCCCTTCCTCACCACTCCGAGCCCCAGTGACGATTAAAAGAAATGTGATGAAACTGTCCTGTGTTGAGAACCATTGCTCAAAGGCCTTTGAAGGCACAACTGTAATGTCTTCTTATCCATGTATTATCAACATCAGGGGTGTTGGGATGTAGGTTGCAGGTCATTGTTGGACCATGAACCACTGTTACCAGTCCACAATAAGACAAATATTGGAAATTAAGAATAAGTAATTACAAATGTTTATAGCAATTTGACATTATCACAATTTTTTTAAAATTATATTTTACAAAAATGTTGGTCTGCAATGGATTGGAAATTTAAAAGGAAAAAAAATACAGCTGGACCTTAGCATACATAGTTTGAGAAGCACTGGCCTATGTAAATATTTGCAAAATGAATGAAATTTTTTGAACAGATGCCTTAGAGAAAAGGTGAGGCGAATAGTCTTAGAGACCAGTAGACTATTGCTGTCCAGTGTGTGGTACTTAGAATCTGGATTGGGGTGAAGGCAACAGGAATGGAATGGGAAGAAAATACATGAAAAAATTGCAGACATGAAACTGGCAGAATTTGGCAATAGTTATTGTGGGTGACAGAATTGGAGGTGAGACTCAGGTCTTGTGAGAAAATGTTGGAAATGAGAAACTCAGGAGAACATAGTTTTGGAAAAGTAGAGAATATCATTGCACATATTTTCAATATCGTGAAAGGAAACTGGAAGCTGAACTGAAGAGAGGAAGAATTACTGGCATTTCAATTTATTGAAGCCTAGCTTCAATCAGTCTGCACGTGTTTAGGAAACACACTGTTGACTACTTTTGCTTGAAATACCCTCTTTACTTGGCTTTTCTCACTCCAAGCATTTCTGGTTTTCCTTTTACCTCTCTGGCTGTCTCTTTTCAACCTCTTTTGTGTCCCTTAAAATGTTGGGGTTCCTCAGGAGTCTGTCTTTGACCTATTATTTTTCTCTAATTATTCTCCTCCAAATTAATCACATCTGTTTCATAGCTTCAATTAGTATCTTTATGCTGCTAACTCTCAAATATGCATATGCCACCTCGGTCTCAGTTTAGAACTCTGGATTTGTACCAGCATAATGTGTTGGGTATTTCATGATCACATAGTAAGCTTGAAATTAAACACATTCAGTTGCCCCCTCAGTCCTCTCTAAACATGCATCTATATCTGTGTTTTCTATCTCTGGCAATACTCTAGCCAAAAATCTGGACACCTTTAACTCCTCTCTTTCCCTCACCTCCCACTTCCAGTAAGTCGCAGAATAGACCGTCAATTCTGCAATCTCCGCAATCTCTCTGAAATCCCTCCAGTTCTCTCTACCTCGCCCTGCCACTCTTCCTTCAGGACACCATTATCTCTTGCCTGAATTGCTCCATAAGCCCTCAGCCTTGCCCTTCTCTAATCCATTCTCCACACTGTAACTGGAGTGATTTTTATAAAAAGGCAAGTCTGATCCTGTCACTGCACTGGTTCAAACTCTTTAGCAGCCCGCCTTAACTCCTTACATGGTTTACAAGCCCTGTGTGATCTGGCTCCTGCTAAACTTTCTTGCTTCGCCTCTCAGCCCGTGCCCCTCCCCCATACTCTGGGTTCCAGCCAGCCTGTGCTATTTTCAGTTCCTCTAATTTGCCATGCTACTTTCTCTTACCTCTATATCCTAGGGTTATTTTTTTTTGCTTTTTTTTTTTCTTAACCATCTTTTCATCCAATTCCTGTTCACTCTTCAGGCCAAAGCTTTGAACTCACTGTTTCTAGAATGAGTAGGCTTTAATGTTCCTCATGTGTGTTCTAATAGCTCCATGTTATTTTATGCATTATTACATTGTATTATAATTGCTTATTACATGTCTGTATTCCAAGTCCTCTCTCCATGTCCCTGCCCTCACAAACATAGTATACCTTCAGTAAGGAATAGGCCTTGTTTATTTTGGTCACTGTCGTATTCTCTCCTCCCGGCATGGTGTCTGGCTTATAAGTTTTCAGGAAATAAATAAATGCCAGGAACTTGATTAATCTTGATTAATTAAATAGAACACTTAGACAGTTTGATCCAAGCCCTGCCCTCATGATACTTACAGTCTGTGTGGGAGTAACACTGTATTTGCACATCCCAAAGCAGTACTGTGTAAAACATAAGGTGCATTGTGAACCAGATTAGCAAAGTAGGCCACATGGAGAAGCAGCAGATGCATTTAAAGAGCAAGACTGAGCCATATCTTTAAAAGTCAAAGCAGATATGATGTTTATAATTCATTACTAAATCCATGTAGATCCTCTTAGATTCTGAATTTAGGAAAGACCTCTTGGATTGGTCCTGAATGGCACTAGGCTCCAGAAATAAGAAAAGGAAGAGTATTTTCTTGGGTACTTGTGAGCTACCATTTGCTTCATTGGGAACTGCCATTCTTATGTAAGGGCACTATAACAAGAGTGTTCACATTTAAGGGCATCAGGTCAATATTGCGTCTGTGTGAGTTTGTGTGCATGTGAATGCACACATGTATTTTCTATTTTTAAATAGAAACACATTATAAAAATAATGCATCCTCATAAAACAGCACAGATAGAGTAAAAAGTGAAATCTCCCTTCATTCTACCCACTCCAGTTTTACTCCCTCTCTTAGAGGTAGACACTGTAAAGAGATTGGTATGAATTTTTCAAACCCTTTCCTAAGTATTTATACAATAATATATAATCAATCCATTCATTCATTTATTGAGACAGGGTCTTGCTCTGTTGCCCAGGCTGGAGTGCAGTGGTGCAATCATACTCCGTTGCAGCCTCGCACTCCTGGGCTCAAGTAGTCCTCCCACCTCCACCTGCCAAGTAGCTGGGACTACACCCAGCTAATTTGTGTGTGTGTGTGTGTGTGTGTGTGTGTGTGTGTGTGTGTGTTTGTGTAGAATTGGAGTCTCACTATGTTGCTCAGGCTGGTCTCAGACTCCTGGCCTCAAGCAGTCCTCCCGCCTCAGCCTCCCAAAATGCTGGGATAACAGGCATCAGCCACTGTGCCTGACTTTTTTTTTTTTTTCAACCTAGTAGTGTATCTTGGGTTTTTTTCTGTGATAAAGCACACAGATAACATTTTATTTTTTAAAAAGTTAAATAGTATTAGCAGATCTGCATCCACACAAGTCCCGTCATGGTAAGTTAGCGTCTCTTCCTCAGCAGTAAGAAGGCTCCTAGGCACACACCAGAACAAGGTTGGCATTGCGTCTCCTTTCTACTCACTTGTATGGCCCTAGGCTTCTCAATGCGGCAGGGCCCTGGGCGCTCAGCTACTTGAGCCTTGGTACCCTTGCCTGAAAAATTGTTTATTGGTAGGTAACATTAATGTGTGTAAGTTTTCTAACACAGTACCTGGCTGACTGTCAAACACTCCATGGATGATAGTTACTTGGTATGATTATATTGCCAAGAGGCACTTTTGGAGCTCTGTAAAAGGCAAAAATTTATAACCCAATCCCTTTAATCTAATGTTAAGATGTGTTTTCTTCTTATCTTAAATTTTGTTGCTGTTGAAAATAGTTAACACCTGAGATTTTCCTCCTATGCTGTTTTATAATTACCCATTTTGAACAGTGTTTGTTGATAAGGTAGTCAAGGGGACACTTCGAAATATTTTTTCTTTATTTGTGAAGTCATACTTTGGCTGATTTATATTTAATTTTTATCACATTACATCGGAGAGGAGCAGATAAATTTTCTATCACCTCTATAAATTTTCTATCACATATAAGAAAGTGTATCTTATATGTGATACACTAACTTGGAAAAACAACAGCTATCTTGATAGACACAATAGAGAATAGGATGTCAGAGGAAGAGAAGAATTAGAATGTTAACAATAATGCTAGTAAAAAGCTACCCAGGACTTAAATGGTATTATTTGAGAGTACTTCTACCATGATTCAAATAAGACTTGCCTTGGAATTCCATATGATTTGTTACTTAGAGCAGTCTACCTTTAATATGTTTAATATGGTCATACTTTAAAAAAAAAAACCTGCAAGAAACTTGGGTTTCACGTTTTTGCTTTTTAAAGAATTAACATAATGTTATTTCAGGTTTGTAAAGGAAGTTACAGAAGATAGCAATAAATCCCTTCCATATACCATTTTAGTCATAGTGCAAAATTAGGCATTGAAAATTATTATGGGTACTGTATTAGATATTCAAAGATTTATTTGTGGCTTTGACTTCTTTACCAACACCTCTGGCTTTAATACAGTATCTTTTATCAGAGCAAGTAATAGTTTGAATCCTTTTCTTACAAATCCTCTTTTTACTCAAGTGACTGCAAACTTATAAAGATGCACACATCTGTAGCTTGAACGTCTATGCTATTTGCTCAAGTATTTACTTGAATTTATCCTCGATGATATGATTTTTTTAAGTGCTTTGATTTTAAATTCTATCTAGAATCCCATCATGAGGGAGAAATCTTAGCAAGACTTAAGCACCTTTTCATAATGACTGGTTACTGTAGGATAAACCTATAATTAGTATATTGCTAATCCACACGTTAGATATATCCCATCAAATTTCAAATATACACAGGAGAATTATCCACATTGAAGGTTATTAGTGCATTCCAGGGACATTTCCATGTTGATTCACAACTACCCCTTTACCTTACACTTTCCTGTGTTACTAGACGTCTCTTTCTGTAAAACTTCTCTTTGTTGTTACTTTTTACTTTTGTATGTGTTACCTGATTACTTTGGCTTCCTCTGTGACTACTGAGGGAGCCAATTGTGGCTGTGATGAGCTTAGAGAAAGGGAGATGGGGAAGACTCGCTTAAATGAGTTACAAATTCTCTGTAGTCTGATCTTTATCTGGCTATTGCAGTATGACCATGGGTGATACTAAATGAAATAGAACTCAACTCCCCAAAATTTGGATTTGTCTTATAAGTCGTAATGGCTCCAGGTGGGATACTGTGTCAGACCAAGGATAGGCAGATGATAGTTTATTGCCACAGTCAAAAGATCGAACCCTTTTTTTTCATGTTATCTAGAAATGAATCTTTAAAAAAAAAAAAAAGGAATGGGTTGAACTTATAATATTTTAGCAACTCATAAAATAACTTGAAGAAAAAGATCATTTGGAAGGAGAGACAAAACAGACTGAAAGACATTGTTTAAATTTATGACTTTTATTATCTTACTTGAATGCTATTTTTGCCCCTCTCGCTATTATTAAACCCTTTGCTTCCTGTTTTCAGTTGCTCCTGTCAAGGTATGAATTTTTCTTTGGATGATTGTCATCTATTTCATATTATCTAGTATTCCTCTCTATTATGAGAAAATCAAAAGTAGACAGTGTATCTATAGCTATAGATTTAAATGCACTAAGGTAATTATATATTTGAATCAGAGACCTAAGGAATAATCTAGTGTAGCATTTACCAAATTTATTTAAACTTAACATGCTTACATGAAGACAGACCTATTTATGTTTCCAAGGAACACCAGTTTGAGAAATGCTGATCTTACCTGTGTCATTCTTATTTTGTAGATGAGGACATTGGGACCTCAGAAGAATAAGGCAACTTATTTAGGCTAAAGTCACTGCTTGTCTACTGGGGCTGGAATCCAGGTTGCTTAGTCTGGTGCCCTTTAGGCTTCATGATTCAGCCACTTAAGACAATTTGATTTATTGTTGGGCTTTTTAATTCTAGATTTCATAACTTGGATATGAAACTGTACTTCCCAGTCTCCAAAATAAGCTTCACTGTTTTCTGGAACGTGAATTAGATTCAGAAAGCCCCTTACTGCCTTTAGATTATTGCAGCCTCCCCAGTGGGCCCCAGGGATCCAGGAAAAATATCTTTGTTTTTCACCTAGTCCTCTCCTCAGCTTTTAGAGGGACTCTTAGATCTATGTTTATGAAAAGACTTTTATTAGTTCTTATAGTTGTAGTAATGCATGTTTATTGTAGAAAATTTCAAAAATGTAGATGAATAAGAAGAATAAAACAATCACTCAGTGTAAAAAACAAAAAACCCTGAAAAAGTACCATTAATATTCTGGAGTATATCATCCAGCTAGTTTTAGCTGTATATACATAGAGCCAAAAAAAAAAAAAAAAGCATTTTGCTGTTTTATAACTGGTTTTCTCCCCACTCAGTAAGTTAACAGTTTTTCTTAAATATTCTCTACAACATTCTTTATTTTGTAGAATGATAATGCTGTGGTTTGTTTAATCAATCCCCTCTAGTTAGAAATTGTATTCAGTTTTTTACTATTATACACTATGTTTAACAAGCACCTTAGAAACTAAATATTTCTACACATTCATATTTCTTTAAGATAAATTCCTGGAAGTAGAATTGCTGAATCAAAAAGGATTCACAAGTGTAAATGTTTTTGACATGCACTGCCAAATTTAGACTTCCTTTTTGAAAAGTCAAATGTTAAGGAGATCAAAGCAATCACTAAGCAGGTACTCTGGAAGAGAAATAGAAATATAAAAAATATAATGGTTTCATGAGAAACTAATAGACAAGGTTCAAGAGACTTGGAGTCTAGTTTTGGATTTGTCATTGAATGGCTGTGACTTTTGGGTCTTAGTTTCCTCATTATAAAAATGGGAAGATAGACTAGAAATAGAAACTTTTTCAGAATAGTCACCTTATGAATGTTGTTTCAGTGAAATATAAAGGTCTGTACATAAGTTCTGCAGGGAAGATGCCATGTATTTGCTCATTCTTCAAGTTTCAGCTTGATTGCCTTTGGAAGGTCTGTCACACTTAACGTCCTCCTAATAGAAGTAATTGTTTTACTTTTTGGCTCCTCATAGCCCTTTTTAAATGTTGGTTCTGTATAGTTGTATCTTTGATTTTTAATATTGAGGTATTTGTAACAGAGGTTATCTTACTCATCTCCTGAAAGCACTTGGCTTAGCATAGTTCTTGGGTATATAATAGAGACTCAGTAAGTATCTGTGGAAGTTGAGAGTGATACCTTGTTCCCCAGTGTATAACAGCAAAGCCTAGCCTCCTCCTGTTGAGCATTGTCTGTTCTCGCTTTGAAGAGCTCACCACATTTCTTCAGTTTGTTTTTGTTTTTATTTTATTTTATTTTATTTTTTTTTTTTTTGGCGGGGTGGGGTCTTTCCTATTCAGTAACACAGTGGTTCTCAGTCTTTGGTGTGTATCAGAATTTTTTTTTTTTTTTAGAGTTTTGCTCTGTTACCCAGGCTGGAGTGCAGTCGTGTGATCTCAGCTCACTGCAACCTCTGCCTCCCAGGTTCAAGCGATTCTTGTGCCTCAGCCTCCCGAGTAGTTGGGATTACAGGCACATGCCACCATGCCTGGCTAATTTTTGTATTTTTAGTAGAGACAGGGTTTCATCATGTTAGCCAGGCTGCCCTTGAACTCCTGACCTTAAGCGATCCACCCACCTTTTCTGGTATTACAGGTGTGAGCCACCCTGCCTGGCCCAGAATTTTTAATGTTAAAAAAAATACAGATTTCCAGGCTCTCAAGTACACTGAATGTGAGTGTCAGGCACAAAGCCGAGACACAGCGCTGTCAATAGCTGAGCTCTCCTTGGGGTTTTAGCTTTGTCAGGCAAATTGATATTCAAGTTCCAGGTCTGCCACTTACCAGATGTGTCTTCCCCTTACCAGGGGAAGGTCACTTTACCACTGTAAGCCTCAGTACCTCTTCCTTAAAAAGAGGGTAAAAATAATACCTTAGCTCATAGTTTTAAAAATGATTACGTAAGAGAACATATTAAAACACGTAGTATAGCCCTTCCCATATCTGCAGTTCTGGCCTTGATCTGTAACTTCTTGGATCTTATATGCATTTATTATTTATTTGTTTCTTTTTAAAATAACATTTATATTTTTTCAACTTTTAGAGGTTAATATGTTCATTATAGAAAACTGAAAAACACAAGAGGCATATAACTAAAAAATCATCCATAACAGAATCAGTTTACATTCTGATGTATCTTTCCAGTCCTTGTATGTGTATACATATATACATAACTGAGTATACCTTTTTACATGGTTACACTTATATAGTATGTGCCATGCTTTCTTGCATATCATGAGTACTTGAGTATCAAAATACTCAGGGCTTTAGGATTCAGACATTGGTAAATATTCACGATACATTTTCTTATCTTTTGTGGGGACAAAAATATCTTAAAAAACAAAATGGCAACAGGTCTCTGGAAATGCATATTGGCAGGTTTATAGTTAAATACTGTGTTCACTTAATACCCAATATAAAATGAGATACAAAGCAGTCAAGTAAGTATAATGCTTCTTAGATAGTTCAGTATGAGATCTGCACTATTAAAATATTACCAGAAATGATGTTTCTACTTAATTATTTAACAATTCATATAGTATTCACAAAGTATACCAAGAAAAAAGCACACATATGTCAGTGGTTATAATCAGATTGTAAATATGGACATATCTATATATATCTCTTCCCTTACCTTTCTTTCTGCCCCTTCCTTAGCAATCCAGTACGTACTGATGTATACTGCTCATAGGTGGTTTAACATTGCCATTTCCAAGATGCTTCTTTTCTAATGAAATTAATTTACTATCTAGTTAATTCACTAGCTCTATTTTATACATTGTCACCTCATAACATCTAGAAAGCTTAGTGTTGTGAAGTAAGGACTGATAAACAGAGGCACTTTACTAAAAAATCACTTCCTAGAACTGCGGCTACAATATGAAACTATCTTCTAGATATGAACATACTTGCAAAGAACCTTCCTTTTGCCTTTCTTCTTCCTTCTTCAGCTCAATGAATAAGTACAGAAATGCATATAGCTCTACGAGATGGGTTAACAACAGTCACTCCCAGACAACAAGCCTTGCTAAAAACTCTAACAAGAGGACATTTATCAAAGAATTATTTTACTTCTTAAACTTTCAGCATACTTTGGGCACTTCTCAGCATTGGGGCCTTGTTTGTCCTTTGCATACTCAACAATGCTAAGTAAATGCACTTGCAGAACGACGAGTAGATAATCTGCATTTATCTCAAAACACACTGGCACAGAACTCTTCCACCGTCACTTCCTGTCTCTCCCACCTCCTTTACTACCCAATGAGCAAAGAATATGTAGCTCAAAGAGATAAAAGTTTAACAGTTCCATTCTAAAGACAGTCATTCCTGTTAATTGACATAAACTTACTTAAAGTGTGTTATTTTGTGAAGACTACATGTTTCAAACGTCTACTGTATAATGATAGCATTGATTAAATTGTGTGCATATAACAAAGGCTATAATCTGAAAGTATCTTCGAAATATGAATATTATAGCCAAGTACACTTCACCTTCTCACTTCCTTCTTATCATTATCAGCCCAAAGGACAATATCAGCGTTCCAAAAGTTGTTTTCAGAAGATAGTCTTACCTATGAAGTTTTCGGGCATACAAGAAAAGTATATAATATGTTTTAGTTCATCATCTCTTCTTTTGTCAAACATTAGCAACCTCTTTATCATCTAGACAACAAGATGTAAAATTAGGACTTGCTTGTTCATTGTACAGATAACCCTCAATGGGTTATGTCTCAGCAAACCCATCGTAAGTTGAAAATATCCTAAGTTGAGAGTGCATTTTTGACTTACAGTATTTTCAGTTGACTATGGGTTTATCTTGTCGTAACTGATTGTAAATCGAAGAGCATTACCAAATGCATATTGCTTTTATACCATCATAAAGTAAAAAAAATTGTTAAAAGTCAAACCAGTTTAAGTCGGGGACCATGTGTATACACTATGTGCACAGCAAAGTAAAATAAAATGCACAGAACATGCAGGTAATCTTGCCTAACTACAAACACATGGTATAGAACCCTTTATTCCTTCCTACACTTCCTTTGCCTTCCTCCTCCCTCAGTCCACAAGCACAGATCTGTACCACTCAAAGAGGAGGTCTAATAATCCCATTTCCGAAAGACAGTATTTCATTAAATTTATTAATTCCTTTTATCCAGGCATTTAGTGGTCATTTTTAGATGACCTTTACCACATATCTTCAGATGCTTTCACCGTCCGCCATAAGAATTTTTACTGAAATGAATTCTTGAAATGTTTAAAACTTTGTTACATTCTTTCTCGTTCCACAAGTAGTTATCCCTTCCCAGTTACCTTTCTTTTTTAGGTCTGTGGAGTCATGATACATCTATCCCCTTTTCCTTTGTTTTTCATGCATTTGTCAAATTTATTATTGAATACTCCTAAATTTTTTCTGCCTTTATCATTTGTTTTTTCTTTTTCATTGCTTTAGTCAGTTACCCTTGCACTACAGCAGTAGCCTCTTTATTATCTTCCTTGCCTTTAGTCTTCTTCCTTTCCATCCTGGAATATTTATTTCAGAGCTTACTGTACAAAAATACCAGATTCTATCAGAGAACATTAAAGGAATCACAGAATCTCAGTATTGCAAAGGATCTTAGCCATCTAGTGCACACACCTGTTTTTTATTTGAATCTCTTCTACATTTCTTTTTATTATTATTATTATTATTATTATTATTATTTTTGAGATGGAGTCTCACTCTAATGCCCAGGCTGGAGTGCAGTGGTATGATCTTGGCTCACCGCAACCTCTGCCCCCCTGGTTCAAGAGATTCTCCTGCCTCAGCCTCCCAAGTAGCTAGGATTACAGGCGTGCACCACCATGCCTAGCTAATTTTTTGTTTGTTTGATTGTTTGTTTGTTTGTTTTGAGATGGAGTCTGGCTCTGTCGCCCAGGCCGGAGTGCAGTGGCATGATCTCGGCTCACTGCAAGCTCCGCCTCCCGGGTTCACGCCATTCTCCTGCTTCAGCCTCCCTAGTAGCTGGGACTACAGGCGCCCGCCACTATGCCTGGCTAATTTTTTGTATTTTTAGTAGAGACGGGGTTTCACTGTATTAGCCAGGATGGTTTTGATCTCCTGACCTTGTGATCCGCCCGCCTTGGCCTCCCAAAGTGTTGGGATTACAGGTGTGAGCCACCGTGCCTGGCCTTTTGTATTTTTAGTAGAGACGAGGTTTCACCATGTTGCCCAGGCTGGTCTCGAACTCCTGAGGTCAGGTGATCCACCCGCCTCAGCCTCCCAAAGTGTTGGGATTACAGGCATGAGCCACCGTGCCTGGCCTTTTGTATTTTTAGTAGAGATGAGGTTTCACCATGTTGCCCAGGCTGGTCTCGAACTCCTGAGGTCAGGTGATCCACCCGCCTCGGCCTCCCAAAGTGTTGGGATTACAGGCGTGAGCCACCGTGCCTAGCCTTTTGTATTTTTAGTAGAGACGAGGTTTCACCACGTTGCCCAGGCTGGTCTCGAACTCCTGACGTCAGGCGATGCACCCGCTTCGGCCTCCCAAAGTGCTGGGATTACTCATGCCTGGCCCTCTTCTGCATTTCTGCTGAGTAACTTCTGCCAGGTTCCTTAGGCTAAGCTTAAGTTCCTCCAGTGACAGGAATCTCACTCCCTCCTAAGGCTACATTCCTCTTTTGGACAACTATAGGTTTAAGTTTAGTCTTCCTTATGTTAAGGTAAGATGTATTTGCTTGTATCTTCTCCTACAAGCTCTGGTTCTTCCCCTGAAACTACACAGAACAAGCATGATACTACTTCTTTATGAACACTCTTTAGGTATGAAGAAAGCTATTGTCCAGACTTCCCTGCAGATTCCTCTTTTCTCTAAGCTAATTCTCCTAAGCTTGGTTGGTTTTTTCTAGCCAGTCTTTTTAGCCCTTTACCATCCTATTCACGTTTCTGTGAACTTTAACATTTATGTATATTAATGTTAAGCTGTGAAACCTAGAATTTAGTGGAGTAATGCAAATGTGGTCTCTGTTGTAAAATAGATCAGAACTATTTATTCTTTATTTAAAACACTAGTCCTTTAATGTAGGCCGAAATTGTGCTAACATTTTTGACATCGACATTCTATCTTAATGCTTATCTAATTTACTAATGAATGAAATTCCCAGTCATCTCTCACAAAACTGTATCTCCCCCAGCTGTACTCAAGTACAGAAAACATCTATTCTTGATAACTTTTATCTTGTTAGAATAGCTCTTTTCTCTTCTATAGCTACAACTTGTCAGTGTGTCCTTATCAGCTTATGATTTAATTGAGGCTATAGAACATATACACTTAAAAAAAATAAGCTAAGAACTCTTAGAATAAAACAACATAATGTATTGTCAGTTGTAACCATGAATGATGTTTTTCAAAGTGTGTCCTCTGGCCTACATTAGAGTTACTTAGGGCGCTTGTTAAATATTCAGTTTCACTCCAGACTTAATGAATTCAGATTTCTAGGAGTGATGTCTGGAAATCTGCATTTTAACAAGCTCCATTGGACATTGGTGCATATTAAAGGTTGACAGCTGCTACTCTAAGTACTGAAGGATTGAGCCCAAAGATATGATCAGAATTAGGTGGCATTAATAAAGGAGGTGATTTCTGGGGACAGAAGAACATGAACTGTTAGAGTAGGTAGAAATTCCAGGTGTAGTAAAGAAGAAATAAATTGTCTGCTAGGGAAGATATTTGCTAGGCTGAATTAGGGGCCCAATAGAACAGCACATAAAAGGAGTTAAAAGCTAAGGGACGGAAGGAAAAAAAACAAAGAAAGAAAAAACTATAAAATTCTGAAACCAGTAAAGATACATGCTGCCATTTGGCAGCAAGGCAGACCTGCTATAGAAGAAGCATGATCTTTGTCATCAAGAATTCATGAAATACCAGGCAACACCCTATGAGGGAATGTAAAAGGGTGGGGGTGTCAGCAAAGATTAGTTTGGAGCATTGCTACACACATCTCATCTTTAGTTCTAGGCTATCTAATGAGAAAATCTATATTAAATCTAAGTTGACTGATTTGGATATAGACCAGTCGGATGGTAGACAGCTTGCACAGCTGCTTGGTGCTCAGGAAATAGGCTGTTTTCACTAGCATAGCAAAACTCAGAGTGCTCTTGGCATTTTGAAGTTGGTGGGACAACAGCAAGTCTCTACCAGACAGAATAGTGCCACGAAAATGGATGGTCAAAGTCCCGACTGCCCAGATGGTATCAGGAGTAGTGGTCTTGGTCTTAAGTATTTCCATTTCTTAAAGATTTCATAAGTGCACAGATAAACAAGTGTAGATGACAACCTATTTTAGATGTTGATTGAGAGTCTTAAGGCCAGGCGTGGTGGCTCACACCTGTAATCCCAGCACTTTGGAGGTCGAGGAGGCTGATCACTTGAGCCCAGGAGTTTGAGACCAGCCTGGGCAACATGGTGAAACCCCATCTCTACAAAAGAATACAAAATCAGCCAGGCATGGTGGCATGCACCTGTGATCCCAGCTACTCGGGAGGCTGAGGCGGCAGGATGGCTTGAGCCTGGGAAATGGAGATTGCAGTGAGCTGAGATAGTGCCACTGCCCTCCAAAGCCTGGGCAACAGAGTGAGACCCTGTCTCAAAAAAAAAAAAGGTTTTTGAAACAAAAGGCCCTCCTATATAATGAGTCAATGAAAGTTATGCTCTTAGAGTAAATAATTATATTGTACTACTGAAATGGTAAGTCAAGTAGAACTAAGAAAATACTCATGACTCTAGTTCCAATTTACAATTTTCAACAGAACCATAAGAGAAGTTGTAATTATGGAAACTTAAATGATCAAATATTAATTTGTGTCCAGGCGCAGTGGTTCACACCTGTAATCCCAGCACTTTGGGAGGCTGAAATGGGTGGATCACCTAAGGTCAGGAGTTCAAGACTAGCCTGGCCAACATGGTGAAACCCCATCTCTACTAAAAATACAAAAATTAGCTGGGCATGGTGGCACCTGTAATCCCAGCTACTCAGGAGGCTGAGGCAGGAGAATTGCTAGAACCTGGGAGACGGAGGTTGCAGTGAGCCGAGATTGTGCCACTGCACTCCAGCCTGAGCAAGACTCTGTCTGAAAAAAATATAATAATAATAATTATGATTATATTTAAAAGATCAAATATTAATTTGTGATTATATTTTCTACAAGGGCATGCACTATTTAAAATTGAGCACTCAAATCTGGTTTGCACAACTGCACAGAGAAGCTTGCAAGACTGCCGAATATGTCCTGACTTGCTACTAGTCTTTTGATAGCCTCCTTCTTTGGCAAACATGGCTAGTCTGCATTTGTACTGGAAGCCACTTGGGATTCCTCTTTAAACATCAGTCATTGTTCAAAACCCACTTCGCACTTCTTTCTCTCTTTATAGATCATGTTGCCCCCAAAATGAACTGAACACTCTTATCTTAATGCTAATTTGACAGAGACCACTTCTAATTTATTATCATCCTGCTTACTCTTATATAAAATTAGTGTTTGCTATAGTTTTTTCTCCCTTTGAATACCTCAAAGTTGACTGACAGTTTTTCCTCAACGCAGCTTGCCTCTGATAACATCCAGAAAAAATGAAGAAAATATACTGCTTTGTAAAATAGAAGAGCTTAACAAGTACAAATTTGTCACTTTTTTCGGGTGTTTCGAAAGAGTGTAAACAGTAAACATTGCTGTTTATTTCTTGTGTTTCAGAAGTAAGGCTATGTATTTTTATCGAGCTATTTACAATTTACATATAAGATGTAAGTATTTTCATGAATCATTTTCATCAGTGGGGTGGATATACCTATCATAGCGGATACGGTCCTATTCTGACTTTTAGATCAGAAATCACTTTCAGTTATTTGTAGCACACACCTTAAAGCCTATTAAAGTTCTCCCCACCAAAATTTGTATTATTATAATCACTGGATGTCAACACCTGTGGCTCAAACAGTATCCAAATTTTGTATATTGTTGGAGGATTGCTGATTTAACTGAGAGTTGTAGCTAGAAATAAGGTGAGAAAGAATATACAGGTAATACTAATCCACCTCAAACTAAGAAGCAAAGGATGGTGGATGGGCTATGTTGATCTAGCGTTGCAAAAACACTTTTGGATGAAGTGCCCAGAAATAGCCCCAGTTCCTTTCACTAGAATCAGCTTGTCCCAGGTGAATGCCGGCAGAGCAGGGTGTGTGCTCCCCAAGAAAGGGCAGTGACCGCTTTCCAATGTCTGGCAGTTAGGGGCCATGAGAGTAGTTGCAATTGGCAAGATAAAGGGGAACTTTGGAAAATAAATATACTTATGATAGAGGAGGCAGGAGAAAAGGTCAAGGGCTGTACACATGTGGAACTGATAATCATGGTAGCTTGGCTTCTATGAATGGGTACATGTTGACCCTTAAGTGAGCTTAGAAAGCTTGAGAAATCAGTATGCGTGAACTGTTTGAGGCATAAGAAAGGCAGGATTTTAAAACTTTTTTTTTAATTTGTGCAAATTTATGGGATACATGAGAAATTTTTTACATGTATGTAATATGTAGTGATCAAGTCATGGTATTCAAGGGATCTGTCACCCCAGTACAATATATTCTTATTAAGTATAGTCATCCTACCCTGCTATCAAACATTGAATTTATTCCTCCTATCTTACTGTACGTTTGTACCTTTAGCCTACTTCTCCTTAGCCTCCCTTCATCCCCAGTCACCCTCCCCAGTCTCTGTTGTCTACTTTTCCACTCTCTACCTCCATGTGTTCAAATTTTTTACCTCCTACATATACGTGAGAACATCTGATTTTTGTATTTTTGTGTTTGGCTTATTTCATGTAAGATAATGATCTCCACTTCCATCCATGTAGCTGCAAATGACATAATTTCATTGTTTTTATGGATGAATTGTATTCCATTGTGTAGAAGCAGGCAGAATTGACTCTGATAGTAGTCTAGCTGGAAGAGAGGCTATAGCTACAAAGAATCTTGACTTACCAAAACACTAGTAACATGTCTGTGAAACTGCTGTAGTCTAACTCATTTACTACTATGTTAATTTGGAGCGTGAAGTTCATCAGTGGAATGGGTACTATAATTTGCGAAGTTCAAGTGACAATTCTGGTAGATAAAGTTTTAAGGAGCAGATGGTCACAACTGTCAGTCTCAGAAGTAATTTGGTAAGTAAAATAGTCATTTATTTGGAAGTTTTTTGGTAACCTAATTGTGATCTAATTGTCACCAGTTGGGAGTCTAATTCCATTTTCATCACTCATCTGCAGAAAGGTGAGAGAAATAAGCTATTAATTAATAGCCAATATTTACGAGCTCTTACTATCCACCATAAAGTATGCTAAGTGCTTTATGTGCATTATACTTAATTATAGTAACTTTCTGAGGTAGTTACTATTATTATTTCCAGCTAGTTAGTGGAAGAACCAGGATTTGAATCCAGGCAAACTGACTGCAGAGCCCTCACTTTTAACACTACACATAAAACTGAGTTTATTTAACAGAAAACACTGTCCTTTAACCTGAGATTGTGTCTACCTTTCAATACTAAAATGTACTTTTTATATGAAATGGTGGTGATAGATGATGTCAGGTTTGATTTTCTTTTTTTTTTTTTTTTTTAAGAAATCTTTACCTTGCAAAACTAAAACTAAAACAACCCAATGACAGCACTGCTCTCCAGTTTAAAGAAAACAAACGTTCTTTTGCTAGTTGTGAAATCTAAATTTGAGAACCACTGACTAGAAAAGTGGGACTCTTAGTAATTTTTAAAGTTCTTTAGAGATTTTTCACCTGATTTATTTTCTGATTTCAACCTCCTTGTTTTCATTAACCTTTTCCTTAAGTCCACCTCAGCCACTCATTCTTCGATTATACACAAGACTTTGTTTGCCATTACCAGCAACCACACCACTTTGGGGATCTCAGATGTAAGCATCTTGCTCTCGCGCTGCCTCCCATTTTTCCTTGCTTACTCCTAGCATTTCTCCTGTTACCAACTCCAGCAACTTGGACCCCACTGGAACCTCCAGTATAATTTATTCTATCAGTTCCCAATCTTTTTGTTCTCTCTCTCCTCTTTCCCCAGCTTAACCTCCATGGTCTATCACATATATCCTCTTTGTATACACCCTTAGCAGCCTTGCTCCTCATCTTCTGTTGTCAAATCCACAAGTGTTTCTCAGCTACCTGCCTACTCTGTGCCAGTATTCTCGCTGTTAAGCATGGCTTAAGAAAAACACAAAACCACAGTGTCTGATCTCACTTTAAATTTATGAACCAAATCTCAAGTGAGCCCTCAGTATTTCTTGGAACAGATATTCCTAGTATTCCTTCTGTATTTCCCTAGTCCAATCCATTTATTCTCCTATTCTCTGAGATGACTAGTTCTTCTTCTCTATTTGGCTCAACCCCCAAGCACCACCTCTTCCATCTTTACCAGCAGCTGATGACCTGGAATCTTTACTTCACGGAGGAAATAGAGGCAAACAGAAGAGAACTTCTTCATCTTCTTCATCTTCCCACCACAAGATGTATGATTGGTTGAATGAGAGAAAGACTGTGATGTCCTAGAACTTCAGTTGCTCCTATATCCAATGTAATTAGCAACTTAAATTCCAAAACCATATATAAAAATCGATTTTTGGCCATTTGAGATTATACTCTTTACTACCACTTTCCTTTCTCTTATTATAACCAAGAGTTGTTACTATGTTTGTGCCTCATCCAAATAAAAAGTAGGTATTTTTTAGAAAATGATTAACGGGAGCAATTAGTAAAACAAGCAGTAAAATACCCGGATACAGGAAATTGAGCCAGGCTTGCTGGTATGTGCTTGTCCCAGCTACTCGGGAGGCTGAGTTGGAAGGATCGCTTGAGCCCAGGAGTTCCAGGTTATAGTGAGCTGTGTCACACCACTGAACTCTGGCCTGAGTGACAGAGTGAAACCCTGTTTCTAAAAAAGTACTTGACATAGGATATTGAGAGAAGAAATGCTTTGGAACTATGTTTGATTATACCCTTAGCCCACCTTAGTTCTTACTTAAGTAAGTTATAGATGAAGGAGAAAAGATGGGAATCACTTTGAAGATTAAGGCCTCAAACTTTGTGGAAAATGGAGGAAAAAATGTTGAAAACAGTCATGTGATAGTTTTTACCTTACACTTTTGATGGGAAAATTAGATAATAGAATTGAGCTATACGTATGTTGACTGCACATTACATTAATTTAATCCTGTTATTTACCTCATATTGCTAACCTTTAAAATTAAGATTTGAAAAAAAAGAGATGGGTAAAACCAAAAAGGTCAAAATTTGTATGCCAGCTTAGATGAAATTTGTATTTATAGAACTGAATAAGAATCTACACCTTACCTAATACTGTGAATTGCTTATGTAAATACAACAAAGGATGGTCCCTCGATGACCTGAATCTCATATGCTGAGTTCACTTAGTAACAGCGTCCGTCTGCTCAGACACATTTTCCCAACTCCCCATGTGCTTTCCAAACCTTTACCATGTTTCCCAGTATCCTCTCTTCATCCCTCATTTTGTTGATGACCTAGTTCCTGCTTCACATAGTCAACAGAACCCAACAGGAATAACCTCAGCTTTCTTCCTCCTTGTCCCTTTATTTAACTGGTCTCAGAAGGAGAGGTGTCTTTACAAGCTCTCCCTCTCCATTCCTCCTCTGTTGCCAAAGTTCCTGAAAGTGTGGTCTCCATATCTGCTTATGCTACTTAGTTTTCTTCTAAGTGAAAGGTAGGGACTCAACCCCAAATGCTCTGACCCTGTTCGAAGACCCTGTGGCCTAGAGCGGCATGTATTTCCTGATTTCTAAACCTAGTGCCCTTTTTCCAGGCCTCATCCTCTATCACTGCAGCATTTATCTCTGTTGTCACATTCTTCTGCTTAAAACTTTTCACAGCTTTTCACGTACCCAGGGCAGGCATTCAAAAATATTGAAGCAGTAGTTTTGATGTCTTTTCTGAGCTTTCACCAGTATTTTTAATAGGCACTACTGCCTAAATGTCAAATGCCTTATAGCCAAAAACAAGTAATGATTTCCTGTAATCTCCAAACTGATTCCTCTTCCTCTTGCTATGTCTTGGTATCCCTGAGGTTACCATCATTTTATCCATGTACCCATGCTAGATGCCTCAAGGTCATCCTTGACTCCTCTTCCTTCTCTGGTTTCCATTTGGTTTCTAAGCTTTGATGAGTATCTCCCGCATCTTCTTTTCTTTTTCTACTATTTCCTATGACTCTTGCCTCTTTCTGTTTATTGTCTTTTGTCTGGATTATTTCAGTAATATGTTCAGGAGTTTCTAATTTGGATTCCATGGATGGACCTCAAAGGATTAAAGAACTCTCTCAAATTTGTATGCAAATTTTTTGTGCATGTGCATTTTCCTGGGGAGGTCCATTAGACTGTTCTGTGGGAAAGAGAGGAATAGAATGAGAGACAATGACAATTTAAATCAGGTCCACTGATTTCTCGTTCTATACCTGGCCTTTGTTATTTAGGTCACTAACCTAAGGCACTTATCTCTGAGGAGTGAGGTGGCATGTAAGATATTAAGAATAAAACAGCAGCATTAGTCAGTCCAGCTGGGCAGTCAGTCCAGCAGCCAGAGATCAGAGGCTCCTCAATATCAGATCCAGGCTTTAATATCCTAGAGAAGCTCAGGAGAAAGCTGGGGCATCAGCAGGAGCAGAGGGTGTCCTCCCGAGGCCCCTGGACCCATTTGTTCCTGTGCTTCCAAAGGACTTAGAGGGATATGAAAACTTAACTGGCAAGAATCCAGAGTGAGTTGGTATCCCCAGAAAAAGGTTCAGAACATTCCCCCAGCTAGCCTCCCCTCCTTTGCCTGTTTGGTCTCTCGTTCTTTCTCCACTCTGCCAACACAGTTAGCTTTTAAATACATATCTCCTGGTGTGCCTTCCGTGATTGTCACTTACACCTAAGGGTGATTAGACTAATCACCCAAAAATGTGGGGTTTTAATCACCTATGAAACAAGTTAAAAAATCATGGTCATGGTTTCAAGGCCTGCCAGTTAGGAGCCTGCCAGCCTCGTCGCCAGGCACTGCCCTCTCCTCACTTCCAGGGCTCTGGCTACAGCAGGTTACTACTGGCTGTTTCGAGAGAACAGTGTCTGTGTCCATATCCCTATGCCTTTGATCATGCTAGTCTCTCTCTTTGGGGTGGCATTTCCTCTCCATTGCCTGTGAACCTCCTACTCATTCTTCCAGGCCCACAATGGATGTTAGCTCTTCACCTGAGTCCATTCTTAATTTTCTGCCATCACTCTGGCAGAATCAGTATCTCTTGGCTAGAGTCCAAAAACATTTCATACATATCTCTGATAATGTCATATTATATTGTAGATAGCCTATTTTTATTTCTGTCTTTCCTACTAAGCCAGAAATGCCCTACAGCTAGGGACTGTCTTTTTCATGTTTGTATCCCTAACAGCTACCTTTGCATCTAGTCTAAACATGAGCTTAGTACACTTTTGTTGAATGGAATTAGTTATAAAGAGTTTTTATGACTCATTTAAAATTAGAGACCAATGCTTACTTAATAAGTCAGAATAGGCTGTAATAATAATAGTAATAATAAAGTCCCATTTCCACTGCTTATTCAAGTAACAGCTTCCTTTGTGGAAGTACATTTTGAAAGACTTCACATGTCAGTGTATATTTTTGATGTGCTCATTTGAGATCCTAAAAGAATTATAGTTCTAAAGCAGACTAGAGCTTCTATTACATTCCTGTTGAAGTTATATTAAATATATTCTATCGTTTCACATATCTGTATTATATATAATAAGTTGCATGGGTAAACATTTTATCTCTTTTAAACTTCATGGTAATAATTTGTGAATTGTTTATTTTATAATATCTGAGTAAATTTAGTTCAAAACACATTAATTTGAGCATTTTCTGTGTACAGAAGCATAGTTGCAAAGTTAAGATTCTTGTGTTTATGTTGTTTTGTTAAATTCGGAAAGTCTCAGTCATTGCAAATGTATTTTTTTTTTAAGTATTTAAATTAGCTCAGCTATGAGAATAAGCACAGTCCATAAATTAAGAGCTTCAAATAATTTTTTAAAATCCTTCATATTCTTTGAGTTTTGTAGGAAAAGAATCAACAGTTTACTTATTCAGCCTTTCCTGAAGTCCATAGTAGGTGCTGGGCATCATGCTGGGTGAATGAGATAGTACTTGCATTTGAATAGTTTACAGTCTTATAGCGAAGAAGCCATGTAAACAGAGAATTGCAATATAAACCTTGGAGGAGAGGAAGGAAGACTACTTTGAGAACCGAGATTAGGTTGAGAATGGATGAGTCTGCTGATCAATTTATAGATAAAGAAGCAGAGAGGTGAAGTCTTTTTTTTTTTTTTTTTTTGATATGTGAAATAGGAACCTAGGTTATCTCTAAGAATTCA
This sequence comes from Homo sapiens, assembly GCF_000001405.40. Lineage (NCBI taxonomy): Eukaryota > Metazoa > Chordata > Mammalia > Primates > Hominidae > Homo > Homo sapiens. The sequence continues at coordinate 46,454,609 of NC_000017.11, forward strand.
TAGCAGGGGGTAGCTCTTGAGAAGAACAGTGAAGATCTGGATAATTAATAAGGAGAATTAGAGATGAGCTAACAAAGACAAGTAAAGAGTGGCATGAGAAAGCAGTGAGCATAGAACTGAAACTGGATAGCATGAAATTCTGGAGGTATCAGTCAGTAGCACAGTGGTATAATTTTCTCCAGCTGTGCTATGGAGAAATTATACACATTGTGGCCAATGTGTAGTGAATAAAGCCATATTGTATTCAGGGACTATGGGGTGGTTATAACAGAAATTTACAAAGAATAAATAGTTAAAAGTCCTTCAAAGAAAGCATGGCTTACTAGGGAAGGCAGTATGGTTAAGAGGAAGTTGATAAACTTGGAGAAAATGTAGAAGTCAAGAAGTTGGAGATCAGAAGGGCTGGTGCTTTGTAGGAACTCAGAAAATCTTCATTTTCTTCTTTCTGGATGTCCTCTCCCTATGAATGTTTCACCACCACCACCTGCCTCAGCTACAGTTTATACATATGAATAGTTTCAAATCATGATGGTAACAGTTGGCTCAGAGGGCAAGATTAGGAGCCAGACTTCAACGTGCTGCTAATCCAGCGTGTCCCTGTAACTTAGATGCTGGTAGTGCTTGGTGGTATTGGCCTCTAGGAGAAGCTCAAGGCTTCTCCTGTTATCTCCCTACCACTCATACTTGGAGGGTGAGTCAAAGGCCAAAAAGCATTTTATTGGGCAGTGGTTCTTAGGGAAGGGATTTACTCTGTGATGCAGAGGGTTAAGACTGTAAGCCATCAAGTGTTTCCCCTCCCTCTCCATGTTCAACCAAAGGCACAGTTCTTATTACTTTCAAGGATTTAAAAAGGAGTCTTTTCTCAGCATAAAGGAGGAAGTGAAGACCAATTTTGACAGCCCAAAGGGTCTTCCTCCTCAGAATCTAAAATTTCTAATAGAGTTGTTTGCATCTTGTGATTTTACTTGAGTCATCAAATGTATTGTACTTTTTTTCTTAAAGATATACTTTTTAATGCTTTCATTTCAGATAAGGACAAACCATTTTCCATGGCGACACACTATTTATATTGCATTTTCAGAAATTTCCCTTTTTACCCATACTTAGGAGTGTGACACTGAAACCTGATAATCTATTATTTCACAGAGTGCTTTTTTGGGTGTAATATAAAGATATTATATAATTTTAATAACCTTTGAGGTACAAGTGGTTTTTGGTTACATGGATGAATTATATAGTAGTGAAGTCTGAGATTTTAGTGCAGGACCCATTGTCCAAGTAGTGTAAACTGTACCCAATATTAGTTTTTTATTCCTCACTCCCCTCTCACTTTCCCCACTTCTTAATTTTCTGCCATCACAATGTGTTGCCCAGGCTGGTTTCATGCCCTCACTTTCCCCACTTCTGAGTTTCCAAAGTCTATTACTCTGTACACCTTTGTGTACCCATAACTTACCTCCCTCTTGTAAGTGAAAACATATGGTATTTGATTTTCCATTCTTGAGTTACTTCACTTAGAAAAATGGCCTCCAGCTCCATCCATGTTGTAGCAAAAGATGTGACTTCGTTCTTTGTTATGGCTGAATAGTATTCCATGGGATATGTGTGTGTGTGTGTGTGTGTGTGTGTGTGTGTGTGTATACACATATATGATATATAATAATTATATATAATTTATCGTTATATGTAAAACAAAGCAAATTTTTTATTTTTATAGAGACAGGGTCACAAAGTATTGCCCAGGCTGGTTTCATGCTCCTGGGCTCAAGTGAGCCACCACACCCAGCCAAAAATAAGTAATATTTCCCAGTTAGACATTTTCAGAGTAAAAAGTATTTGTTCAAAATCATAGCATGAATGGACTCTTCCAGAGACCTTTAACTGGCAGCATTTCCCCCTCAAACTTTAGTACAGTTATAGGAATTGTTTCTGGATTTTTGGCTGTATATTCTTGTTCATGGCTCATGGACATTAACATATGTGAATGGCATCACTGTGTTTTTCCTAAAGTGCATACGAAGAAGAAAGAACACTTTCCTTTAGAGTCTTACTTAGATTCTAGTTAGCTGATATAAGACTGTTTTCTTTTCCTTTTCAGGTTGTAAACATGTTAAAGGCATCCTGTTATATGGACCCCCAGGTTGTGGTAAGACTCTCTTGGCTCGACAGATTGGCAAGATGTTGAATGCAAGAGAGCCCAAAGTGGTCAATGGGCCAGAAATCCTTAACAAATATGTGGGAGAATCAGAGGCTAACATTCGCAAACTTTTTGCTGATGCTGAAGAGGAGCAAAGGAGGGTAATGTGAACATAAGTGTGATTTAGTAAAAGTTTATCACTCGCTATACGATGAATGAGACCCAGAGTTATGGAGACAAACTTGTTGCTTTGATTTATATTTTGAAGCAACTTACAGGTAAATTTACCTAGTACCTAGGTTATATATGGCACTGCACCAGGGACTGTGGAAGATTTACGTGATGAGCAGATGTTGTTGCCCACATATTCCTATAAACAAAGGTAGGTGATTGTGTAAGCCAGAGGTTTTGCAAAAATAGGTCATGAATATATTTTCAGGTGACACTTTTATTCCATATTGCTTCCAGAGACTTGTGCTCATTTATCCTTTGGAAGAAAAGGGGAAATTAAATCCATAAATAGACTTATGAAATCGTATTATGTAAGGTTCATATGCAAAAAGCTATCTTACTTAACACTGAGTCTTGCTCAGTTATAGAGTGACAGGATTGAGTTGTCAGAGCTCAAAGGAAAGCTTGATTTGCGTCTCAGAAATGAAATTATTTAAAAATCAAGCTAGAATTTACTAATTCTGATAGTTTTACATGTCAACTTGACTAGGACATAAAGTGCCTAAATATTTGGTAAAACATTTCGGTTGTGTCTGTGAGGATGTTTCTGGATGAAATTAGCGTTTGAGTTGATAGACTGAATAAAGCAGATTGCCCTCCCTAATGTGGGCAGGCCCCATTCAATCAGTTTAAGGCCTGAACAGAACAAAAAGGCTTACTTTCCTGCAAGTAAGAGGGAATTTCGACTTGCCTGGTTGCCCTGAGTTGGGACATTGGTTTGGATGCACACCGAAACATCAGCTCTTCCTGGCTTGGAGGCCTTTGGGCTGGAACTAAATAATGCGTATTAGCTCTCCTGGGTCACCAGGTTGCTGACAGCAGATCTTGGGACTTGTCAGCCTCTGAAATTGTAGATTTATCCCAAGGAATTGGCTAAAACGATTATGGAGGCTGACATATATATGTGGGTGTATATGCATACATACATATTCATAGAGATTTATCATAAGGAAAACACACACACACACACACACACACACACGAACATTCTATTGGTTCTGTTTGTCTGTTCTGATTAATTATCCTAATACTAACATATTTTTTTCATTGACAGTTTAAGAACAATGCCATGAGATTTCTGGTTCTAGCAATACAGTAGACTAGGTAACCAGAAAACCTTCCTTCTATAAACACCTTCAAATGCTAGGTATACACTGTACCCCTTAAATATGCACAGTTATGTGCCAATTAAACACAAAATAAAACTTTTAAAAGTTCTGGGTAAAACATAACTGAAATCATTTTAAATGCATAATTGAGCTCTTCAGAAAGAAAACTGGATCTCCAGGAAATTAGAGTCGTAAGATACGGGCTGCAGCTTTTGGTTTCATAATATATGGGTTTGGGTTTTAGTACCCACTAGGGAACAGAACATGAGTCCTTGAATCCATTTACAGTGTGGACTAGGAACTGGTACCTTCAAAGGGGTTGTGTCTATGAAAAGAGTGGACTAGAAAATATCTGCTGCCACCACAGGGAAATTAACAAAAAATATTTAACTGCCTGGGTTCTGGAATGGAAGCTGGGAAATCTCCTATGGGAATTCTTCTTCTTCTTTTTTTTTTTTTTTTTTTTTTTTTTTGAGATGGAGTTTTGCTCTTGTTGCCCAGGCTGGAGTGCAATGGCGTGATCTCGGCTCACCACAACCTCCGCCTCCCAGGTTCAAGCAATTCTCCTGCCTCAGCCTCCCCAGTAGCTGGGATTACAGGCATGCACCACCACGCCCAGCTAATTTTGTATTTTTACTAGAGATGGAGTTTCTCCATGTTGGTCAGGCTGGTCTCGAGCTCCCAACCTCAGGTGATCTGCCCGCCTTGGCCTCCCAAAGTGCTGAGATTATAGGCGTGACCCACCGTGCCCGGCCTCCCATGGGAATTGTAAACCATGGATCCTTGTTCATGCTGGTTTAGAATTTGAATGAATGTATGCTACCTATGTGGCTTGAAACCCGAAGCTGAGAAATTAGTTAAAAAAATTATTCAGGTGCAGTGGCTCATGCCTGTAGTCTCAGCTACTTGGAAGGCTGAGATGGAAGGGTCACTAGAACCCAGGAGTTCTAGGCTGCAGTGAGCTCTCATTGTGCCATTGCACTCCAACCTGGGTGACAGTGCAAGACCCTATGTTAAGGAAGAAAAAAATTAGTCCTGGGCTAGTGATAGCATAAGTTGTCAGATATAAGCAAACCCCAGGGGGTGCTCCAACAACCTAGGCTGAAAGGAATAGAAAAAGTAGTCATGAAAATTTAAAACTCAGCAACCAAGTTTAAGATAAGACAACAAATTTCAGCTGAAGAGAGAAGTGGTAAACAGAAGAATAAACCTAAAGAAATCACCCAGAATGTAGCACAGAGAGATAAAGGGATGGAGAAGATGAAAGTTGAGATGAGAGAGTTAAAACAAGAAGTCCAGATAGAATAGTGTAGAGGCATTATTCAAAAAGAGAATGACTAAGAATATTCTAGAATTAATAAAGACATAAGTACTCAGATTCAGGTAGCACCATGAGCCTATATGGGATAAATGAAAATTAACTTATTTCTAGACTTGTTATAGGAGAATGCCAAAGAAAAAAAATCTTAGTAACAAAAGAAAGACATGGAGATGACTTACAAAGGGGTATCCATTATGTTGATAGCAAACTTTTCCATGACAGAAAGAGAGAACAAAAAACAGTAGAATAATATCTTCAGAGAGCTAAGTGAAAATAACTGTCAACTTAAAAGTTAATACCCAGCTTAATTCTCATTCAGGAATGAGGGTGAAATAAAGACTTTTTTTCTTCAGGCAAAGGATAATAGAATTAACTAGTTGCAGAAGCTTGTTGGAAGATTATGAAGCAAGATGTACTGAGACTGAAGGAAGTTGAACCCAGAAGGAAACAGTAGAGCCAAGAAACAATGATGAGCAATGAAATTGGTGAAAATATAGATAAAGTCTGGGAGTTCTACTTCTAGTAGTGGCAAATTAGGTCATTTGAGTCATGTGTTCCACTGAAGACTACCAGAAAAGCTCAACACAATATTTAAACATGTTTTGCTTGAAGGTATCAAAGAAGAAAAATGGAGGCCTAGAACAAAGGTCCTCCTGGTATACTGGGTCACTGTTCCTCTCGAGATATTAGCCAGTTCTGCAGGAAGCTGCTAAAACCTAAGCAGCCCTTTTGACAGGCTAGTGGGAGTAATGGGGGCAGAGATTAGTGCCCATGGCCCCTAAGGAGGGGACACCTGATGAACATAACTCATTTTGAGTCAAGACCCTGAAGGGCTACACCATAGGAGCAAGGGTTAACCAGGAGTAGACATACTCTCACTGGGGCTGCAGATCAGCTTTGAATCATGTCAGTCCCTAAAATTAGATTGAGGGTTCCTAAATTGCTAGTGCCCCTAGGCATCTGGCAGAATTGTAAATCCTTCCTGGAAGAAAGTGGTATCATGTAAGGTCACAAATTGTTTCTAGTTTGCAAATGCAATGTCTGGCTTATAATCAAAAGCAACTGGAAACAGATACACAAACAACATCAAGAAAAAGAAAAGATGGTTCAAACAGCCTCTAGATATTGGAATTCTCAGATACAGACTTTTGAAATAATTATACTTACCACATTCAAGGGGATAAAAGACAAGACAGATTTTTGGCAGAGAACTGGAAACTAAAAATAAACAAATATAAATTCTAGAACTGAGAAAATCAGTAAGTAAAATTAACTCAAGTGAATGAGTTTAAATAGCAGGTTAGACACATCTGAAGAGAGAATTAGTGTACTGAAAGATATAAGATGAAAATAACCAGAGACAAAGAATGAAAGGAATTAAGAGAGAGTAAGAGAGAGAGAGAGAGAATACCGTTTAAAGGTCTGGTGCGTGTATTTAAAGTTCCAGAAAGGCAAGAGAAAGAGGATGAATCAAAATCAGGATTTGAAGAGAAAATGGTTTAGAACTTTCTAAAACTGATGGAAAACATTAGTCCATAAATTGCAGAAATGATATGAACCCTGAGCAGGAGAAATACCAAAGAACTCTACATATATAGGCATTATTGTTAAATTGCTGAAAACCAAAAATGAGAAAAATCTTAAAAGGAGCTAGAGAGCAAAGGAAAATTACCTTCAAATAAGCAACAACTAGCTAGTAGCTGTCTTCTCAATAGAAATGATGGAAACAAAAAGTCAATCAAAGGCCATTTTTAAAGAGCTGAAAGAAAATAACTGTCAACTTAGAATTTTATATCCAGTAAATGGATGAATGATCATAGAAATATATAATGGAATACAAGGCAGTAATGAAAATAAATAGCCTACAGCTATATACAGTTGTGAATCTCACAAATAAATTATTGAGCAAAAGAAACCAGATTTCAAAAAGAACACATACTGTGTGATTCCATTTATAGAGAGCTTACCTAAAGTATAGTGTTTAACAACACATGCTTGGGTGGTAAAACTATAAAGGAAAATGAATTATTACCATAAAAATCAGATTGTGGTTACCTATGGGGAAAGGTCAGGGAGGAGTGCTTGGGAGGGGTTGTGAGGAGGTGCTCCCAGGATGCTAGCAGTATTCTGTTTCTTATGATTACGTAGGCGTTCATTTTGTGACAGTTCATTGAGGCATATATTCACATTTTGTAACTTTTCTCTATGTGTGATGTATTTTGCAATTAAAAGTTTTAAAAATAAATTTTAATAGCATTCACTGAGAAAAACAATAATGATATGAATATTTTTAAAGGATAGAACTAAAATATGGAAAAAAACGTTTGGGAAGTAGATTAAATTCATGTAAGCTCCTTATATTATTGGGGAAGATGGTAGGGAGTTTGAGACCAGCCTGGTCAACATGGTGTAACCCCATCTCTACTAAAAAAATACAAAAATTAGTTGGGCTTGGTGGCGCACAGCTGTAATCCCAGCTACTCAGGAGGCTGAGGCAGGAGAATTGCTTGAACCCGGGAGGCGGAGATTGCAGTGAGCCAAGATCGTGCCACTGGATTCCAGCCTGGGTAACAAAAGTGAAACTCCATGTCAAAAAAAAAAAAAGAAGCCAATAATGTTAGTTAACATTAAGTCAAATGTGCATGTGAAAGTTGTACATTGTGCCCAAACTTTTCCAAAGCATAGGGAGGAGCTGGGAAAGAAACAATGGAAACTCAAATACTTTAGAAGGCAAGAAAGAAATAACAAGACTCAAAGACAATGTGATGATAATAAAAAGGTAATTTTAAAAACAATTTCATTTATAGCAGAAATCAGAATGTAAAGTGCCTAGGATTCGATCTAGCAGGAAATGTGCAAGACCTTTAAGGAGAAAATTCTAAACATTTTTGAAAATCTTTTTTTAAGCAGCTAATAAATGGTAAGATATAACATGTTCATGTATGGGAGAACTGACAATGTCATAAAAATGAGTTCTGCCCATCTTGGTCTGTAAGTTGAGTGTATTTCCAGTGAAGCCTAATAGGAATTTTTTAACATTTGACAACTTGATTCTAATTTTTTTTGAGGCTTGAAGAGTTATGAGAATTTTGAAGAATAATGAAGATTTACTTTTATCACATATCAAGACTTACTAGAAAGCAATAGTAATTGAAACAATGTTATATATTCATGTAAAAACAGACCAAGGAAACAATAGAACACAGGAAGGAAGAGCCTGCTCTATGACAAGTGATGATACAGATCAGAGGGGAGTAATAGGCTGGCTGTGCCTTAAACGGAGCTGAGATAATTGACTACCTATTTGGAAAAAGATAAAATGCAATTCCTACCTCACAGCATACAAAATTGCAAATGGATTTACAAAAAAACAAAAACATAAAAGCCTACTAAAATTTATAGGAGGAAAACTTATTTAGAAGAAAAATAGGCAAAAATGTTTTAAGATTTGAGGCTAGGGAAGAATTGATACAGAAAGTAAATCCATTGGAAGTGTTAATTTGGCTACATTAATATAAAGAAAATTCTGTATGACAAATTACACTGAATACAAATGTCTCAAACTGGGAGAAGATATTTGCAGTGTATATAATCTACAAAGAATTGGCATCCTCTATAATAAATTCTCTATAAAAAGTCTTGTATAATAAGAAAAATATAAATACCACAATTTAAAAAAACTGTCGAAGGATTTAACACGTAGTTCTCAGAGAAAGAACACAATTGAAGAAAAGCAAATGAAAAGATATTCAGGAAAATGTATAATAAAAGAGGGATTATTTCTTAAACAACCTGGCAAAATTTACAACAGCTGGTAAAACCAAGAGTTTGTGGGGTTATGGAGAAACAAGGTCTCATATACATTGCTAGTTGGAGTATAAACTAGAAGAATATACCAAGTGGGTAGTATCTTGCAAATAAATTTGACATCTTACAAAAATGAAAATGCACAAACCCCATGAGTTCTACTTCAAGACCACTACCTATGATAAACAACATGACATGTACCAGGATGTTGATTGTCATGCTATTTGTAATAGAGGGAAAAGAAACATCATTACTCTTCCTTAGTAGGAAATGGAATAGCATACAGATATTAAAATGAATATGCTGAGCACAGTGGCCCACGCCTGTAATCCCAGCACTTCAGGATGCCAAGGCAGAGGATCATTTGAGCCCAGGAGTTGAAGACCATCATGGGCAACATAGTGAGACCCCACCTCTACAAAAATTAAAAATTAGCCAGGCATGGTGGCACATTCCTGTGGTCCCAGCCACTTAGGAGGCTGAGGTGGGATGGTCACTTGTGCCGGGGAGGTCAAGGCTGCAGTGAGCTGTGATAGTGCCACTGCACTCCCGCTTGGGCAACAGAATGAGACCCTGTCTCAAAAAAATAAAATGAATAATAGATTTACATAGATCGACATGAATAACACTCAGAAATATAACATCCCGTCTTCAAAAAAAAAAAAAACCTAGTAAGCTGTACTGAATTAATCTATCCTACCATTTAAAATTTTTGTTGAGGGTAAAATAATATTAAATATTCCCTTTATAGCAATCCTCTTAGTGCTTTAAGTCTGCTTGTTGGGTCCTTAATTGTTTCAATTTTATACAAGGTCGTTTCCTTTCCTGCTTTCCAGCATTTCATTAAGTTCTTGTTCAGGTCTCCAGCTAGATCAGTCTCATTGGTTCTAGCAGGTGTGGGTCTTGGTGGGTTGGTGCAAGTCCATTCACTATTTCAACTCTTCAGAAAGTCCCGGAACCAGTCAGTTTTGCAGTTCATTCCTAATACTAAGATTGTTTCTGCTTCACTTATCTTTTTAACTTACCTCAGTGTACCAAGAAAAACAGTCATCACCATATACTATCTAGGTTGAATAAACTCCGCTTAAAAATTATTTTAGATTATTTTCCAAATAATTTACAAAATACAAGAATAAAGAGATAAAAAACTATTAAAAATTAAATAAGAACTTAAATATATAAATAAAATTTTTATGCCATGTTTCCCTGGTCTTGAGGTGTTTTGGATTTTGGTTTTTGGAATATTTGCATATACATTAAGATATCTTGGCGTTGGGACTCTGGTCTAAACATGAAATCCATTTATGTTTTGTATATACCTTGTACACACAGCCTGAAGGTAATCCTGTACAATATTTTAAATAATTTTGTTACTGAAACAAAGTCTGTGTACATTGAACCATCAGAAAGCTAAGGCATCACTATCTCAGCCACTAGATGTGGATGGTCTGTGGTTGGTTGGCATCACCATTGTTTCTGAGTGTAAATTTATATGCCTGATAAATAATCGTTTTCATACATGTATTGAGACACAAGTACTTAACAGTAAAAAATATGACACACCATTAATACAGTGAAAAAATAGTGAGTTTAGGGTAACTAAGCAGCACAATGGCATCACCAGAATACCTGGATAAGCTGTTAAACAACAGCAACACCAAACAGCAACAGTTTCAGTCACCACCTACGATGTTGTGGGGGGCTTTTGTTTTGGTTTGGTTTTTTGAGATGGGGTCTCACTCCATCGCCTAGGCTGGCATGCAGTGGCACCATCATGGCTCACCGCAGCCTCAAACTCCTGGGCTCAAGCCGTCCTCCTACCTCAGCCTCCCGAGTAGCTGGGACTACAGGTGTGCACCACCATACCTGGCTAATTTTAAAAATCTTTTTGTAGAGACAAGGTCTCCCTAGGTTGCCCAGGCTGGTCTCAAACTCCTGGGCTCAAGCGATCCTCCTGCCTGAGCCTCCCAAAGTGCTGAAATGACAGGTGTGAGCTACCATGCCCAGCTGATGTTGTGTTTTGATTAAAAGATTATCATACAGTAACCCCCTGTGTGTGGTGCACCTTTCAGATTTTGGAACATTTTGGATTTTGAATTTTTGGATTAGGGATACTCAACCTGTATACCCCAAATGGGCAGGAGCCTCTGAATGCAGTAACTGTTCATCAGCTGTCCTGCATGAACTTACAAATACTGATTCTAAGTTTCAAATACATCTTTGTTGGCTTCTAAATTATTATTACTTCTGGTTCTTCTTGCACTTACAGCATCAAAACATAATGCTTTAAGAATTTTTTTGAGATCTTTGGCTCCTAATTTTGTTGAAGAGAGGATGACCATTATATGTTCCACAGTTGCAAAACATTTTTATTTTTAGATTTGTAGATACCTTTCAGAATGATCAATTCTGTTTTTTATGGTCAATCCAATTTTTTAATGTCTACTTCATCTATTTCTTCTGGCTATCTCTCTGTAATACCTGCCTTCAGCATCTGTCTACTTTTAAACTATATCAAGAAAATTTGGTGCACAAATGAAATAAAAGATGAAAGAATACTGTCATGTGTCCTTTTAGCAAAATGGGATGGCCTCATTTCTTGTCACAAGATATTCCACAAAGAAGACTTTCTATTGAATAAGTAACTGAATGAAAATGCTTTGTCCTTAGATTAAAAGTATATTATTCACTCATTGATTCTTGAGTTTGAGAAAATGTATGTAGGGCATCATCATCTGAAGACACATAGACTGAGATTTTACTTATAATCATCAATTTCAGCATCTTTATTAGAGTCCTAAGTGCTCCTATCTTATTCTTTGTGTTCAACTTCTGACTCATCTAATAATTCTAAAACAGTTTCCTCAGATTTTCTTCGTCATTCTGGCTAGAGAACTTACAAATGTTAATGCTTAATCGTATTCAATAAAATGTAGAATGAGGTCACAAAAGATGTTAGCTCCAGACTTCTTTTATGCCTTCTTGAAAGATAACACATATCTTGCACAACACAGTAAGAAAACTGAAGAGTGATGTCATAGTGATACTTGTTTCACTGTTTCTAAGTAATTTAGTCATTTTTTATTATACTTTAAGTTCTGGGATACATGTGCAGAACTTGCAGGTTTGTTACATAGGTATACACATGCCATGGTGACTGGCTGCACCCATCAACCCGTCATCTACATTAGGTATTTCTCCTAATGCTATCCCTCCCCTAGCCCCCCCACCCACTGACAGGCCCCAGTGTATGATGTTCCCCTCCCTGTGACCATGTGTTCTCATTGTTCATTTCCCACTTATGAGTGAGAACATGTGGTGTTTGGTTTTCTGGTCCTGTGTTGGTTTGCTGAGAATGATGGTTTCCAGCTTCATCCATGTCCCTGCCAAGGACATGAACTCATCTGTTTTTATGGCTGCATGGTATTCCATGTGCCACGTTTTCTTTATCTAGTCTATCGTTGATGGGCATTTGGGTTGGTTCCAAGTCTTTGCTATTGTGAACAGTGCCTCAATAAACATGTGTGCATGTGTCTTTATAGTAGAATGATTGTAATGGGATTGCTGGGTCAAATGGTATTTCTGGTTCTGGATCCTTCAGGAATCACCACACTGTTGAAACAGCATGGTACTGGTACCAAAACAGATATATAGACCAAAGGAACAGAACAGAGGCCTCAGAAATAATGCCACACATCTACAACTATCTGATCTTTGACAAACCTGACAAAAACAAGCAATGGGGAAAGGATTCCCTATTTAATAAATGGTGTTGGGAAAACTGGCTAGCCATATGCAGAAAATTATACAAAAATTAACTCAAGATGGTTTAAAGATTTAAATGTAAGACCTAAAACCGTAAAAATCCTAAAAAAAACCGTAGGCAATACCTTTCAGGACATAGGCATGGGCAAAGACTTCATTCTTCTATTTTCTTATTTTAATCCTTTTTAAGCATAGTTGAGAATAATTGATGAGTAATGATGTAATTTCTAGTGTGATGAAATAGCATAATGTGTCTTAGATTCATAAAAAGATCTAGTAGATCCAAATGGCAATTGTAAGATAGAATTTTATTCTATTTTTTTAAATATTGGGTTTTTTGTTTTGTTTGTTTGCTCTTTGGAAAAAGGAAAAAAGTCATGAGATATCAATTTTTATAAATAGTACTACTTAAAACAGAAACTCAGAAACTGAGATTGGGTCTAACGGACCCTAATGAGATACTGAGGATTAAACACTAGGCAGAAGTGAGTTAAAATGCCATATGGAGAAGCATTTTATAACATCTCAGTTGTGATAGTTACCACATGGCTACATAGGTAACTTTGGTGCTGTTTTTAAAGTTGCAAGCAATTTAAATATTAAACTACTGATGATAAAATTGAGTTAGCAAAGAATTTCCAGTTCGATATTAATTATAGCCAGCCTTTTCAGTTATACCTTTCTCACATCCAGAAATGGCTTGATGTACTCAGCTAATGACCTCATGCAGGATATATATGTGTGTTACATGATAAAGAAAAACATCACTTCTGTAATTTTGGACAGTCCACACTGACGGAGATGAACACTTGCATATAGGTCAAACTAGTTAAATACAGAACAGCCGCTTTTGAAAGCTGTTGCCAGGGCTCAACAGCGTCAGCTCTGTTTCTATGGAGAAAGACTTTGCAGATGTTAAAAACAGAGCTAGAAGCCAATGAATGGAAGAGGATTGTGCTGTGGAAATTTAATTTTTTTGATAAAGGGTTTATTGATGAATCAGCTATATTAGTCTGTGAACGTTAATCTTGACATCTTCTTTACCCAATTCCCAATTTCTTGGAATAAGATCTTGCTTTTATTTAAGTAACACACAATGTAAAATTTGATGTTATTGTACTGACTAGGTGGGGTAAGGGACCTGATGACAGGTAACAAGATTAGTAAGGTTCTGAAAAGGTCAGAATTGTACTGAATTATGTTTAGAACAGATTGCCTCCATGATCATTTAATCAAACAGTGTTCGTATTGTCTTTGTCCTTGTCCACATACGTGATTTTTGAGGTTGGGCTGAGAAGGAAATCATGATTCCATCAACAACATAAGGCACATTGACAGTAAAACTCATATATTATAGCAGCTTTTTGTTTCATGCTGTATAGGGCAGACAACCTTGAAGAAAAAAAAAACTTTAAAAAATAATGTAAAATTTCACAGTTTTTCAGTCACAAACAGAAGTATCCTTGTTGTCACTGAAGATGACAAGAATTAATATCCTGCTGTATAGAAGTACTTTGGCAAAGTTAAGGTTGTAGTTCCAATTCCTCATTTCCAATTTTTTCTCCAGATGGAAAGATGAACAGTTTTTGGTATTGAATTTTTTTTTAGGAAGCAAGTTATTTATCATTAGATATCTATTCAGTAAATGCAATGATACAGAAAAATGAAGTTTTTTTCCCTCAGATTTGAAATTAGGTTTTAAAATATGGAGGGAGAACAATTTGTAAGTAATGTTCAGGAACAAAAATAAAACCTAATGAAACTTTAGAAACTTTGATGGACATCTGTCATCCTACATACAATTGCATTAAAGAATAGAATTTATTATTATTTTATCTGGTTTATTATGCTGTAAAATGAATTTTTCTCTTTTTGTATGTAGTTTTATGAAATTTCATACATGTATAGATTCATGGAACCACTGTAAAAATCAGGATGTAGAACATTTGCATCACCCCCAAAAACTCCTTCATGCAGTCCCTTACTGGTCACCCTTTCTTTTTAGTAACCCTGGTAACTACCAATGTGTTCTCCATCCCTGTAGTTTTATCTTTTCAAGAATGTCATATAAATGGCGTCATACACTATGTAACCTTTGGGGACTGGCTGTCTTCAGCATAATGCCTTTGAGATTCATCCAAGTTGTTGCATGTGTCAAACATCCCTTTTTATTGTTGAATAGTATTTAATTGTGTGGGTGTACTATCATTTGTTTATCTCTTGACCCACTGAAGGCCAATTGGGTTGTTTTCTAGTTTGGGGCAATTATGAGCAGAGCTGCTATAAACCAAGTAGTGGAATTTTTAGGTCATATAGCATTTTATCTATTTTTTATTTAAAAATATATATTCAGGGTTTGTTTTTGACCCAGTTGAATTTCCTTCAGGTCATTTTTGGAACTCTTTCTTCCTATGTCTGATGTAACATTTCATCTTTCATCTTTGTCATTTTTTTATTCCCCCTTTTCTTCAGATTACTATAGGTATATTCTGGTATTGTAGCCCAGAATCTGTCCTGCTTTTATATTCCTCCAGCTTAATTATATGATCCATCTTCTTACGGTATCTACGGCTTGCTACAAGACTATTCTTTACTATTTGCAGAAGACGTTCAGATGTATCTTGCTATCCTTTTTTATTCAGTTGTGTATATCTTGTTCTCTATTTGGAGGCCTTTCCAAATAGATGTCTTGTTAACTCTTTAATCTTATCATGCTAGAAACAAACAAACAAAAAAAATTCCCTTGTATCTTTTCCCTTCTGCAGCTTCCTTATCATACTACAGGGTAATTTCTTTTCTTCACTGTCAGTCTTCCACCCTACATGCAAGCAATAATCAAATCTAGCATTTGCTGTTTGGTCATCACCACTCCTGTCACCAAAATTCTCATTCTGTTTAGATTCTGCTTGCCTCATTTATGTACCATTATTTGTTTCTCACTGACCTTCCAAGTGCATACTTCTTTTCATCCTAAAGCCAAGAATAAAATCATTTTATATAAAGAGCATTCTACTTTGCAGTTCATTTACTGATGTCCTCTGTTTCAGTAGGAAGGCCTAATTCTAGATTTCAGTCTGTCATGATAGTACTATAACTTCTGCTTCTCACATTAGGTAAATTTTATTATCCCTTTTATAGGACCTTGACTGCCTCTGGGCCTTCTGTTCAGTTGAACCCACATGCTTCTAACTTCTTAGCTATTAGACCCTCTCTTTCCCCTTTTATATGTCTTTGTTTTGGTACAGCTTCTCATACCCAAAAGCAGGTATACCTGTTAGTAAGGAGGATACAAGTTGTATTTGTAGGTGGTATGATTGTCTACCTAGGAAATTCAAAAGAGTCAGATTTTTTTAAAAACTTAGATATTATAAATAAGAGTAAAGTAGCCATATATAAAATAAATACATAAAAATATATTTCCTTCATACTTCTATACTGTTTCTGAAATATAATAGAAAAATCCCATCACAATTGCCACCAAAAAACATAGCTAGGAATCTTTATGAAGGAATGAAGGAATTTAAACAACAAAAACTATAAAACTTTATTGGGAAGCTGGGCCCAATGGCTCATGCCTGTAATCCTAGCACTTTGGGAAGCCAAGGTGGGAGGATCACTTAAGTCTAGGAGTTGAAGACCAGCCTGGGCAACATAGTGAGACCTTATCTCTAAAAATAAAAATAAAAATAAATTTTAAAACTTTACTGAGAGACGTAAAAGTGTTGAATAATTGGAGAGGCATTATTCTTCTAAAAAACCAAATATGCTATACAGATTTTAGTATTTCCTAAACTTAGATATTTAACCTAATTTCAGTCAGAGCTTGGGTTTTTGTCTGTTCTTTATTTTTTTATTTTTAATTGGTGGAGGTTATTCCCCCTCATAAGAATGATTCTGATGTTCATTTGGAAATACACATGGTTGGAAATAGCCAAGATAGTTATGAAAAAGAAGAATGTATAGAGGAGAAGAGCTTCTTCAATGTACTACTGTAAAGTTATGGAGATAAAAACATGAATGAATCCATTGAGCAGAGTAGACAGGCTGGTAATAACCTAGCATACATCAAAGTCCAAACCTTGGTATGATGGCAGCTCAGTCAACGAAGAAAGGAGGGATAATTTAGGGAACAATGCTGGGTCGGTTATTTGAAGAAGAATTAGTTGGCTTCTCACTTTACTTGTACCATACACAAAAATAAAACACCAGATAAAGAATTATATGTAAAGCAAAAATTTAAGAAAAGAAAATATGTGACCATCAGTGTCTGTAATGGGGAACAATTTTAAGGATAAAACTAATGAAAATACCATAAAAATAAAAATTGTGCTGGCTGTTTAGTAGAAACAGAAAACGCCTTCCACTTACCGAAAATATACCATAAATAGGCTGGGCACAGTGGCTCTCGCCTGTAATCTCAGCACTTTGGGAGGCCGAGGTGGGCAAATACCTGAGGTCTGGAGTTTGAGACCAGCCTGGCCAACGTGGTGAAACCCTGTCTCTACTAAAAATACAAAATTAGCCAGACTTGATGGTGCACGTCTGTAATCCCAGATGTGAGAGGCTGAGGCACGAGAATCGCTTGAACCTGGGAGGCGGAGGTTGCATGAGCAGAGATCATACCACTGCACTCCAGCCTGAACGACAGAGCGAAAGTCCATCTCAAAAAAATATATATACTTATATATATGCACACATGCCATAAAGAAAAGACAACTGGCAAACTAGAATAAAGTAGTTACAAGTATAATAATGGCCCTAATGTATAAATCATTTTTTAATCAATAGGAAAAGCTCTTGAATTTCAACAGAAAAGGGTATAGAAGACATATCAAATACTAATAAAATTACCAATGGTAAAAACATGATTTTTTAACAGCACCAGCCCCTTCAGTAATTAGATAAATGTGATTTAAAAACAACAGAAAGATACTATTGTCCATCTATCAAATTGAGAATTACTTTTAAAGTGTTTCTAATATTCATTACTTGTGGGAATATACCAAGATAGGCACTATCAGGTACTGTGCTGGGATTATAGATTGATAAAACCTTTCTGGAAAAGTGTTTCTACTTTTTCAAGTGTTCCTATTTCAAGGGCCTTAAAATACTTAACACACCTTTTAACCTAACAATTTGCCTTTAGCAAGTATTCATCTATATTGTCAAGCGTTTAAGTATAAAAATGTTCATTGTAGGCTGGGTACAGTGGCTCACATTTGTAATCGCAGCACTTTGGGAGGTTGAGGCAGGAGGATCACTTGAGTCCTGGAGTTCAAGACCAGCCTGAGCAACATGGCAAAACCCCATCTCTACAAAAAAAAATAAAATATTTTCCAGGCGTGGTAGCACGCATCTGTAGTCCCAGCCACTCGGGAGGCTGAGGTGGGGGATTGCTTGAGCCCAGGAGTTTGAGGCTGCAGTGAGCTTTGATCGCACCACTGCACTCCAGCCTGGGCAACAGAGTGAGATCCTGTCTCTACAAAGAATGAAAAAAGAAAATGTTTATTGCAGCAACATATATAATACTAAAAACTTAGAAATAATTAAATATCTAACAGTAAGGAATGAATATGGAGTAGGAGAGTTAAACTGTGAAACCATTCATATGATTAAATATTATAGAGCTATTAAAAATCATATCATCGGCCAGGCGCGGTGGCTCACTCCTGTAATCCCAGCACTTTGGGAGGGCAAGGCAGGCGGATCACAAGGTCAGGAGATCGAGACCATCCTGGCTAACACGGTGAAACCCATCTCTACTAAAAAAAAAATACAAAAAAAAAATTAGCCGGGCATGGTGGTGGGCGCCTGTAGTCCCAGCTACTCGGGAGTCTGAGGCAGGAGAATGGCGTGAACCCGGGAGGCGGAGCTTGCAGTGAGCCAAGATCACGCCACTGCACTCCAGCCTGGGCAACAGAGTGAGACTCCGTCTCAAAAAAAAAATATATATATATATATATATTGTATAGGGATGGGAAAGGGTTTAAAATAATACCTGTACTGAAAAACAGGATGCAAGGTATTACATAGCTCCATTTTGGCTGAGTTTGAGATGATTGTGATTTCTTTATTTTTTGCTATTTTCCCACATTTTTTATAATTATATATTTTGCAATTGGAAGCAAAAATAACCATTGAAAATCGTTTTCAAAGAATAATATTCAAGAGAATACAAGGTGCAGTAAGTTCTTAATATTTAGTTAAAATATAGAAATCTGTGGACCATTAACAGCACTTATCTTTAGGTAATGTAATGATGTTTTATAGATGGGTCTTTATTGATGGGATGTCACTATGTTGCCCAGGCTGGTCTTGAACTCCTGGCCTGAAGCAGTCTTCCCACCTCTGCTTTCCAAGTAGCTGGGATTACAGGCACAAGCCATGGCAAATGTAGTATATTTTAATTTATGTTTTTAGTGATGGAATCTCACTGTGTTGCCCAGGCTGGACTCCAGCTCCTGGGCTCAAGGATTCCTCCAGCCTCAGCCTCCAGAGTAGCTGGGACTATAGGCACGTACCACTCTGCCCAGCTTTATTTTTACACTTTATTTGTTTTACAACTTTTGCTCTGTTAACAAATCTACTACTCCTTTAAAAAGTTAAAAAACATTCTCTTATTAAAACAAAGATTAGGCTGGGCATGGTGGCTCACGCCTGTAATCCCAGCACTTTGGGAGGCTGCGCTGAGTGAATCACCTGAGGTCAGGAGTTCGAGACCAGCCTGGCAAACATGGTGAAACCCCGTCTCTACTAAAAATACAAAAATTAGCCAGGAGTGGTAGCACATGCCTACAATCCCAGCTACTCAGGAAGCTGAGACAGGAGAATCACTTGAACCCGGGAGGCAGAGGTTGCAGTGAGCTAAGATTGCGTCATTGCACTCCAGCCTGGGCAGCAGAGCAAGACTTCATCTCAAACAAACAAACAAAACAACGATTATATCCTTATCAGAGATTTAATGGATACTAACCATATTTAATCCTCAGTCTCATTATGCTCATTTAATTTTTATTATCCGTATGTTGTCATATTTAGGTTATGTTCATTTTTTACCAGTTTTGTTAATCCCTAGTGTTTTTTGTTTTTGAGACGGAGTCTCACTCTGTCGCCCAGGCTGGAGTGCAGTGGTGCAGTCTCGGCTCACTGCAACCTCTGCCTCCTGGGTTCAGGTGATTTTCCTGCCTCAGCCTCCAGAGTAGCTGGGATTACAGGCACCTGCCACCACACCCAGCTAACTTTTGTATTTTTAGTAGAGATAGGGTTTCACCATGTTGGCCAGGCTGGTCTCGAACTCCTGACCTAAGTTGATCCATCCTCCTCTGCCTCCCAAAGTGCTGGGATTACAGGCAGGAGCCACCGCACCCGGCCGTGTTTTTTGTTTATAAAAGAAAAAATTTCCAGAGTGCACTTTACTCCCTGATAGGAGACTAAATTACTTAAATATAAATTTTAGAAGGTACGTGTTAAATTAACCTAATGAATTAGTAGCATTCAGAAGTGTTTGTATCTGTTAAAGATTCAAAATATACAAACTAATTTCTTTTAATGGTGATTCTATTTCTAGTAAACTAAGGCAGAAATCATTATGCAGAAGAAACAGCACCCTGTTAACCATGTTCTTTTTATAAACCGTCTCTGTTCTCACTTTATTGTTAGGAAGGCGTAATCTGTTTTCATGTAATATAAGTACATGTGAGTCATGTTGAGTTTCTTCACTCATTTGTCCAATTCCCAGTCAACCTGTAGGTGGAGTTAACCTTTAGTTACATAATATAACGAAACAAACATTAAACCTACTGCTTCTGGGACAGTCTTCTCACCAAAATTCAGGGAAAATGGGAGGGTGTTGCCACTGACTGACTTAATGAAAGTATCTGACAAATGTAAGGTCTTTCAAATAGTGAGATAAGAAATGTATATAAATTATTTGATCGACTACTTACTTTCTATCTATACACACACACTATCAGTATATAATGTGTATTTTCATTTTATAGCTATTAAATATGAGGTTCTAGAATGAGTTTTCAGTTTGCAGAATTCTGAGAATCTAGTTCCAACACCTTTGAGAGGACAACAACCACAATTGCACTTGCCATATTTATTAGTCAAAATGAAGCGAAGTCAATCTGTTGAAAGCTTTGTTTTGTTTTTCTGATTAGTTTGTTTAATAAGACATTCAAATTATGATCTTTAATATAATTTCTTCCCCTAATAGCTTGGTGCTAACAGTGGTTTGCACATCATCATCTTTGATGAAATTGATGCCATCTGCAAGCAGAGAGGGAGCATGGCTGGTAGCACGGGAGTTCATGACACTGTTGTCAACCAGTTGCTGTCCAAAATTGATGGCATGGAGCAGCTAAACAACATCCTAGTCATTGGTATGTTTACTTTTTAAAAAAGTACTATTCATTCAAAAACGTTAGCCATAAGTTCTGAATTAAGATGTGTGTAGGTTGTGATTAAACTGTTTTGCCAGTGTTTCCAAATTAGAATCCAGTGATATTGAAGAATCTATTGTAATGCCTAGGCTTAATAGGAAAAATAAAAGATGGATTTCAGTCACTTGTAGGTTTAAGCTTATAGCTCACCCACAGGTGAAAAAGATGTAGGTTGAAGCTTATAGCTCACCCAAAAATGAAAAATACACATGAAACAATGGAATGCAGTGGTTTTCAAACTGGGTCTTGCAGGCCTTCAGGGGTCCTCAGAGGTGCTTTCAGGGTCAGTGAGGGCCAGGGAGTGCGTTTCAGATCCTACATCACTATTATAACTTCCTCTTTTAGCTGTTTTATGTACTGAGGTGCTTCTGAAGATGACTTCTGGGGAAAAAAAAAAAAAAACACCCTGCTGTTTTATGAAGTCTGAAAACCACTGGCCTGTAAAAAAGAGAAGGAACTTTGGAGTCAGAGAGATCGTGTCACATTGCCCCTCTGTCACTTTGACAGATTATTTACCCTTTGAATCTTAAATTTTCTTTTTAAATACTGGAAGTTTTCATAACATTTATATTCCATTGGCTTATACAGTAGTGAAATAGTAAAGCAAAGTCTCCTTAGCTTGTTAGGGAAATTACTATTCTTACATATACTAAAAGGACATTTGATTTTATTTTTGAACTCTGATCATTTGTTGTTTTGTTTTAACATCTGTGTTCAGGAATGACCAATAGACCAGATCTGATAGATGAGGCTCTTCTTAGACCTGGAAGACTGGAAGTTAAAATGGAGATAGGTAAGGAGATCTGTCACTGATTGGGTGTGTGGTGGGGGGAGTGGAGGCATTTAGAGTTCATTAACAGGAACAATGTCATATGGTGTAGTATTTTTTAGAAAAGGTTTATATCATGAGAAGTAGATGTTTACATGCTTGAGTACCTATAAGGAAAACATTAGGATCATAATAATCTCCTCTAGGCTGGGCGCAGTGGCTCACACCTGTAATCCCAGCACTTTGGGAGGCTGAGGCAGGTGGATCACTTGAGGCCAGTTGTTCGAGACCAGCCTGGCCAACATGGTGAAACCCCTTCTCTACTAAAAATACAAAAAACTTAGCCGAGTGTGGTGGTGTGCACCTGTAATCCCAGCTACTCGGAAGGCTGAGATAGGAGAATCGCCTGAATCCAGGAGGCAGAGGTTGCAGTGAGCTGAGATCGTACCACTGCACTCCAGCCTGGGAAACAGAGCGAGACTCTGTCTCAAAATAATAATAATAATAATAATGATAATCTCCTCTGATGGTGCTTTCGAGACTAGGAAAATGCCTATTTTATTTTTAATTTCATCAGGCTTGCCAGATGAGAAAGGCCGACTACAGATTCTTCACATCCACACAGCAAGAATGAGAGGGCATCAGTTACTCTCTGCTGATGTAGACATTAAAGAACTGGCCGTGGAGACCAAGAATTTCAGTGGTGCTGAATTGGAGGGTCTGGTGCGAGCAGCCCAGTCCACTGCTATGAATAGACACATAAAGGTCAGGAAAATCAGCTAAACAGATTATAAACATTATGCCGGTATTCTTTCTCTTTCCTTTCAAGCATATCAAGGGGTAGGGAAATGCTGACTTTTGGTGGAGAAGAGATGGTAAAAGGAATAAGAATTAATTGTCAACTGCTAAATCTTCAGAGTAGCAGGAAGGAAGATAATGTTTGCATCTGCCCTGTAGTAACCACTGACTCATCTACCTTAGGTCATCACCATCTGACACAGACACGTAAAGTGAAAATTTTGAAGAAGTGTTTTTAAATCTTTGTATTGTATTAAAAGTTGTAATATGGCCAGGCATGGTGGCTCATGCCTGTAATCCCAGCACTTTGGGAGGCTGAGGCGGGCGGATCACAAGGTCAGGAGATCGAGACCATCCTGGCTAACACGGTGAAACCCCGTCTCCACTAAAAATACAAAAAATTAGCCGGGCATGGTGGCGGGCACCTGTAGTCCCGGCTACTCGGGAGGCTGAGGCAAGAGAATGGTGTGAACCCAGGAGGCAGAGCTTGAAGTGAGCTGAGATTGCGCCACTGCACTCCAGCCTGGGTGACAGAGCGAGATTCCGTCTCCAAAAAAAAAAAAAAAAGTTGTAATATGTCAGAGGAAGTGGGAGTTTCCACGTACTAGAATTTTGGGGGCTGCTTTATTCAGCAAATATATTGAATAGTTGATGTGTTCAAGCTATTGGGCTGGAGACATAAAGATAATTGTGAACTCTTCCCTCAAGGAGTTCAGAGTCAGGAAAATGGACATATTTTCAAATTAGTACAATAATATTGTAGTTACCATGGTAGAAATACGTACTAGGATACTTTTATTTTGATAAAGTGCTCTTGATCTTCCATCTCTTCTCTCCTTTAGGTTTTAGTTACCACCTGTAGACAGATTTACTGAACATATCTGTCTCCTACTTTCAGATTTGTACTAAATACCCTCACCTAGATGTTTTATCAGGTCTCAGATTTAATATTGCAAAACCAAATTTATTGTCTTTTTTACTACTTTCCTTTCTGCTCGCATTTCCCTGTTTATCCCAATTTCCCAGGCTTAAAACATCAGGATTATCTTTGATTCCTGACACTCTACTGTGCCCTAGGTCAAGTCACTTGCCAAATTTTTTCAGTTCTGTCTTGGCAGTGCCTTTTAGTTCTCACTGCCACTACCCACCTTCTCTTTGATTAACCTTCCTGTATCATATCATTCAACCATTCAGACACTTTCAGTGATTCCCCATCATTTACAAAACAAAGTACAGGCTTCTTTTGGGTCTTTTGGGTCCTCTAGATCTGACCCTAACTGGCCTTTCCAAATGTGCTCCTGATTATTCTCCACATACTTCAGCCAAACTTAAATAATCACCGGTCATCAGACATTAATTTATTTTTCAACATCTCTGCTTTGGTTTTGTTTTTTTTGCATCACTGAGGATCTTCATCCTCTACGTTTACCTGTCTTTTCAAAACCTGGCTCATATGCTACCACTGTCCTCACACCTTTTCACATTTTCCCTTTCAAGAATGTTATACCCGTTTCCTTCTTGAAATAGTAATGTATCATTTATGGTACTGTCAGTTGACTTTGGTTCACAGTAGATTTATTCGGCATCTACTGCATGCTAGACCCTGTGCTAGGAGTTAATACCCCAACTGCAAAGAAGTAAAGTACCTACCATTAAGCTGCCCTCAGTCTAACCCTCCACGTGCAGTAACAGAAAGTACATGCAAGGCAAGAGAGTGAACGCATGTCAGATATGGTCAACTTGTGGGGTGAGAGAAACCTTCATATGCATGTCTGTTGGTAGAGCAGGGCCTTTTAGGTAGAGGGAACAACATATGCAAAGAAGCAGAGACACAGAATAGCATAGTGCGTTGGAGTAGTTTAGTATTGCTTCAGCATGGAAGTTAGGGGAGGGATGGTAGAGAGATTGTGGGGGATAAGTCAGGAGACTAAAGTAGGGATGGAGCACAAAGAGCCTTTTATACTCTGCTAAGAAGTATGGACTTTTTTTCTGTGAGTAGTGCTAAGCCATTGAGTTTTAAGAATAGCAGTGACATAGTGTTAAAACATAAGATCACTCTGGCAGCTCTGTCGAGTGGAGTAGTTAGAGGAGTGGAGTTGGCGACACAGGACAAGAGGGGGAGCTTTTATAACAGTTCAGGCAAGAAATAAAAGCCTGAACAGTTAGGTTGAGTATGTAGATATTTGGGTATATCCTATCACTGGTTCTAGACCAGGAATCCAGCCAACTACCAGTTTTTATAAATAAAGGGCTTTTTTGGAACAGTACACATTAATTTGTGTACTGTCTATGGCTGCCTGCATGCTACAGTGGCAGAGTTGAGTATTTGCAATAGGGGCTGCATGGCCCACAAAGCCTATTTTAGTGCTTTTATTTTAGGTACTATCTGCCACTTTACAGAAGTTTGCTGGCCCTTGTTCTAGACTTTAAATCCTTATCTTATTCACCTCAGAGTCTCCCATAGTACCCCAAATAGATCTAAATAATGAGCACATGGTAGGTGTCCAGTAAATTATTTTTCTTTTTTTTTTTTGAAACAGAGTCTTACTCTGTCGCCCAGGCTGGAGTGCAGTGGCACAGTCTTCGCTCACTGCAACCTCTGCCTCCTGGGTTCAAGTGATTCTCCTGCCTCAGCCTCCCAAGTAGCTGGGACTACAGGCATGTGCCACCACGCCCAGCTAATTTTTTGTATCTTTAGTAGAGATGGGGTTTCACCATGTTGGCCAGGCTGGTCTCAAACCCCTGACCTCGTGATCCGCCCGCCTCAGCCTCCCAAAATGTTGGGATTACAGGTGTGAGCCACCATGCCCAGCCAATATTTTTTAAATGAGTAAACTTACGTAACTATTCTGAATCACGCTCTATCCATAAGTCATAATTTCCCTACATAATAGAGGTGGATTTGTTCTAGCTCAAGAATGCCAAAGGTTTGGATGGTGTGGGAATATTGTATTGGGTCTTTATATAATGGATCCATTCAGGGACTATGTTTTTATTCTTCCTTGTTTGTTTGTTTTGAGACGGAGTCTCACTCTGTCGCCCGGGCTGGAGTGCAGTGGTGCAATCTCGGCTCACTGCAAGCTCCACCTTCCAGGTTCAGCCATTCTCCTGCCTCAGCCTCCCAAGTAGCTGGGACTACAGGCACCCACCATCACGCCTGGCTAAGTTTTTGTATTTTTAGTTGAGATGGGATCACCGTGTTAGCCAGGATGGTCTCGATCTCCTGACCTCGTGATCCGCCTGCCTCGGCCTCCCAAAGTTTTGGGATTACAGGCGTGAGCCACCATGCCCGGCCATGCTATACTGTTTTAATAAGAAGAGATGGCAACTTCAAGAAAAATGATGTAAACAGTGTGAAAACTGGTCCCTACCATACTGATCTTTCATCTCAGACCACATGGGTGCATCTTGATGTAATCCACAGTAACTAGTTTACTAGTTGTCATATTTTTCATATGTGTTGGCCATGGAATTTTTCTCTTATTTAGTCATCTGTCATTTTAACTACAATAATCCTATCCCAAAATTTCACTTTAAGCCGTTGTCTCAGTAAGAAACATGCTTTCTTCAAGCATATATTGGGTTTATCTACATATGAGGCAATGAGGGATGGTGGGAAGATCGCAGATATCGTAGTCAGAAGGTGTGGTTATGCATTATATTTCTTCCACCTTTTTGTTTCTGACCTGTCAAGGGGAGACACTACCTATCTAATCAGATTTTTATGAGAATGAAAGCAAATACTTTATATAAAAGTGCCTTGTAAACTCTATAAATGCTAGTTATCTCCATTTTTTTAATTGGCTGATTTGAGAGGATATCAGTACTTTTCAATATATGAATTTCTGATTTTTATTGACTCTTTGTAGTTACACATTTTCTAATTGTAAAGCTAAAATGTTTGTCACCCTTGTACATAATATATTATCCTTCTGATTTGCAAGTAAGCAGTAGTGCAAATAGTTCATGTTTCCATCACTTTTTTCCACATGATAGAATTATCTGTAAGCTTCAGGTGATATGTATTGACTTGCGATCATTGCTCCTTGTACCAAACAGCTCCTAACTTTTCACCATATCAATGGAATAACTATGTAGGCACTTTAGGGATGAGAAAGCTATGTAAGACACTAACCTTACCCCCAAAAAGAAATATTACTAACATTTCATCTTCTGCATTTTAAAAAATCTGCATTGTCAGAAGGTCTTTAAAGACTATTTTTCCAATGACTCGTCCTTGGCTAAACAAAAGAAGTACAGTTTTAGTCTTCCATTGCTATAGATGTTTGTAGCTTTAATAGTGATTGATGAATAAATATTTAAATTGAAACTTATAAAGTTGTTACTGAACTTTAAAACATTCAAAACGTACAAGTGTTATGATGTTCTTTCTTTGTATTTTAAAAATCCATTATTGGTGTTATTTTGCTTCCTTTTCAAAAGATTGAGGCCTAAAGAAAGATTTAGTCAGGTGGACTAAACAGGTCTTTCCTGTTAAACTGTTTTTTCAGGTTTTCTGAGACAAGTGGAAAATCTGGTCAGAAACACCTGTTGTTCATGTCATTTATACTTGAACCTATGATTGCGGTCAACTAAAATTCATGTGACATTTGGTTGTTTTTATCTTGAAAGGAATTTCTGCTTCAGGTTGAGAAGATTCATAACCCAAATTTTTTCTCTAATCTGTTGTGAGGAAATAAACTGAGGACACACACACACACACACACACACACTTTCTCTCACATACACTTTCCACCGGAGTCAAAGCTCTAAGTTATGTTTACAGAATTTCATAAAATTATTTCTTATTTTTTTGCAGAATTTTTGATTGATTAAGGTCATTCTACCCTTAATTTAAGAGGAATGATAAGAACTTTGAAAGGTCAGATTTAAAAGGTTATGAAATTTAAGGGTGACCACTTGATATTTGCTAGTGTTGAAATACAAGTTTATTAGTTTCTGCAGGTATAAGCTGAAAGATGCTGCCTCTTCTATATTGATTAGCTGTTATAAATAAAATGCAGGAAAAATGTTGCTAATTCAAACAAATGAGAAAAGGTTTTCTGAAAAAGTAAAAATTCAGAATTATAGACTTTTTAAAATTTTACAAATTTTGATAAAATGCTAAAAGTCAGCTAAGAGCAGTCCTTAGAAAATTTATTTTAATGAGCAGGTAGGAATAATTGACAATTGGAATATTGATGGCTTACAATTATGTAACTTACAGAATTCCTTATGTGCCTGAAAACAGTTTGTTTTGAAATACTTCTTCCCCACACCCATCTTAATTCACTTTTAAGAAAGGACTCAGCAATTAATTGGGTGAGTCTTTTCTTAATAATTAGCAAAATGACAAGTTTTATACCAGCTTCAGTCCTAAAATCTATCGTATTTTTTGGCAAATTTTGAAAGATGGGCAAGATTTTTCTTTCATACTGCTGTATGTATCTATCATTTGAATTCGGTTTTACTGTAAGAGAATCAGAATGCAAAATATTATGGTAAAAACCTAGGCCTGTGTAGGAAAGAGGTGTTTAAAGTGAGGCTGGTAGCTTTGTTGAGATTTTAATGTTTCGGTCAGAGCTCTTGTCTTCCCTTTGGCCTGAGAGTTTGTATCTTGTAGAATCCTTTCAGATGTATCAAAAAGTTTGAATCAGAGTTAAAACTTTTATATAAGGGTATCTAGGAAGGAAGTCCTGTATCTGCCTTTTATAACTTATGGAAACCCCCAGGTTTGTATAAGTATAAAATGAGATAATGTGATATGGTGAAATGAGATAGTGTGTATGAACATACTTTATAAACTATAAAGAACTGTAGACATTTGTATATTATTAATTATCATAATTCTTTCACGGATATGCTTGTTTCCTGTGACACCATTTTTCTTTTTTTCTTTTTTTTTTTTTTGGAGATGGAGTTTTCTTCTTGTTGCCTAGGCTAGAGTGCAATGGCGTGATCTCGGCTCACCACAACCTCCGCCTCTCGAGTTCAAGCGATTCCCCTGCCTCAGCCTCCAGAGTAGCTGGGATTACAGGTGTCCACCACCATGCCTGGCTAATTTTGTATTTTTAGTAGAGACAGGGTTTCGCCATGTAGGTCAGGCTGGTCTCGAACTCCCGACCTCAGGTGATCCGCCTGCCTCGGCCTCCCAAAGTGCTGGGATTATAGGTGTGAGCCACCGTGCCAGGCCCATTTTTCTTTTTTTAAACTTAGAAATGCCAAATAAATGCGATTAATATTTATCAAACCTCATATGTGCCAATATAAGCCCTATTAATAATTTAAATGTTTATGTTTTTTTGTTTGTTTGTTTTTGTTTTTGAGACGGAGTCTCACTCTGTCGCCCAGGCTGGAGTGCAGTGGCGCCATCAC
Source organism: Homo sapiens (assembly GCF_000001405.40). Lineage (NCBI taxonomy): Eukaryota > Metazoa > Chordata > Mammalia > Primates > Hominidae > Homo > Homo sapiens. Next base: position 46,483,368 of record NC_000017.11, read on the forward strand.
AACTCACTGCAAGCTCTGCCTCCCGGGTTCACGCCATTCTCCTGCCTCAGCCTCCTGAGTACCTGGGGCTACAGGTGTCTGCCACCACGCCTGGCTACTTTTTTGTATTTTTAGTAAAGACAGGGTTTCACTGTGTTAGCCAGTATGGTCTCGATCTCCTGACCTGGTGATCCTATTGCCTCAGCCTCCCAAAGTGCTGGGATTACAGGCGTGAGCCACCATGCCCAGCCCAATAATTTAAATGTTAATTGTTCTATTGAAGTAAAATATTTGTCTCTTTGTTACTTTTTACTTTATTTTTAAAAGTATAGAAGTTATAGATGATGGCTTTCTTTTTGTAAAAGATTCAAGAATGTCAAAGCATATAGGGAAAAATGAGAAAGGCCATCTCTAACACCACTTTCCTTTCCCTCTCCAGAGTTAGCCAAAATTTGGGATATATCTTTGAAGTTTGTTTTCTTTATATAATATTTACATTCATATACGTATGTGCTTTTTTAAAAAAATGAACATTAATGGAATTATACTGCAGTTTACATTTTTCACTTGCAAATATTCCTTGGATAGCTTTCTGTGTCAGTGTATGTAAGTCCCCTTCATTATTTTGGACAAATGCAGAGTATTCTAGAATATTGCCACATAATGGAAAATATAAGATCCATGAACACAGGGACCTTTTCTGTTTTATTTACTGCTATGACTCCAGTTCCTCAGATAGTGCTTGGTGTCTGGTAGGTATTCAGTAAATAGAATTAATGAATAATTTATTTAACATATGGATTATTTCTGGTTGTGGCTGTTGAAAAAATACTGTTGTGAAAATGCTTACTTGCCTCCCTGTGCACACAAGGAATCATTTTCTAGGGTAGCCATCCAAATGTCTTTTCAAAGACATGGTTTCATTGTCTTCTAGTTTCTAGTGTTGCCAGTGAGAGTTATCATACCAATCTCGTTCTGGTTTCTTTGCAGGAAACCTGTTTTGTCCCTCAGAAAGGTTCTAGGACTTTCTCTTCACCTTTGGTGCTCTGAAAGTTTACAGCAGTGGGTCTGGACAGATGTGTGCTTCTTTTCATTTATCCCGATCATCACTCACTGAACCCTTTAAACTGCAGAGGCACACCTTTCTTCAGCTATAGGAAATTTTTTTCTCTTCTGTCTTTTATTGTTTCTTCTCTATGACTCTTTCTGTTCTCTCCTTCTGAGACTCCTGTTAGATCACAGTTAAAACTTATGGATATTTCTTTCATGCTTTGTAGCCTTTCTGTCTCACTTTCTGTCATTTTGTGGGATTTGGGGCGGAAGGGAAGATAAATAACTGTGTTCTGTTTGCCATCTTCACCCAGCTTCCTGCCATAGTTCTTTTTATCCCACAAGGATGACTTTTTTTTATATCTGTCACTTCATTTGTCTCACAGTCTCTTCCTAAAAAAAATATGACTCATATTTCATAATAATTGATGGAAGGTTGATATTTATTTAACATGCGTTTGTTTTATAGTCAGCTTTTTTTGAAAATGCTTTTTTTTTCAAAGCCATGATACCAATTTAAAAATTAGGCTGTGTTGTTTTGTGCTATTGGTAGTGAGCCCAGTCGCTTTAAAACACGTGTTGGTATCTTAATCACTCATCTGGTCCAGGCAGCTCCAAGTGCTGATAAAGGCCTTGATGCTTCTCCAGATGTCTAAATGCTAGCTCCAGGTGCAGTAAGCAGACTATTTGGAGCTGGCACATAGATTCTGAAGCACAATGTATTAATACAAATGAAAGTTTTAGGTTCTTGGTCTCCTAGAGTAATGGTTCTTAAGCCTGGTTCAGTACCAGAATCACCTGTGGTACTTGGTAAAACTATAAAGACCCTCTAATAGGCCTGTTAAATCAAAATCCCGTGGGGAATGGGACTGAGCGCCTGTATATCTCTGAAGGCTCTGGAGGTTATTCTGATATGCAGCCAAGTATGGCTGTGTTTTCATTTCTGTATATATTTTCTTTTTGTATGGATTTTTCACTGTTCTTACTCTCTGTATGTATTTTTTCTTACTCATGCCTCATGAGTTAAAATGGCTATACAGTGTCCCTTGGTACAGATGTGTTCTAATTTACATAACTGATCCCCTCTTGGTAGACATTATTAATATGCTTCCCATCTTTTTTCATAACAAGTTACTTTAGTAGATATACTTGTACATATAACTTTGTACACATTTGTGAATATATTTAGGGGATAAATTACTAGAAGTGGACTTGTTCAGAGGATATATATATTTGTGAATTTGAGAGATGTGTTTTCTTTGATTCCAATTTTTAAAATTGTTTTAAAATGCCCATAAAATTGTCCGGGCGTGGTGGCTCACGCCTGTAATCCCAGCACTTTGAGAGGCCGAGGCGGGTGGTCACAAGGTCAGGAGATCAAGACCATCCTAGCTAATATGGTGAAACCCTGTCTCTAGTAAAAATACAAAAAATTAGCCGGGCGTGGTGGTGGGCACCTGTAGTCCCAGCTACTCGGGAGGCTGAGGCAGGAGAATGGCGTGAACCTGGGAGGTGGAGCTTGCAGCGTCCGAGATCGCGCCACTGCACTCCAGCCTGGGGGACAGAGTGAGACTCCGTCTCAAAAAAAAAAAAAAAAAAAACAGAAAACCATAAAATTTACCGTGTAACCATTTTAAATGTACAATTCAGTGGCATTAAATACATTCTTAATGTTGTGCAACCATCACTACCATTCATCTCCAGACCTCTTTTCATCTTGTAAAACTAAAACTCCATACCCATAAACAGTAACTCCCCATTCCTTCCTCTCCCTATCCCCTGGCAGCCACCATTTTACTTTCTGTCTCTTGGATATCAGCTACTCCAGGAACCTCATATAAGTGGATTGTACAGTATTTGCTTATTTAACTTAGCGTATGGTCCTCAAGGTTCGTCATGTTGCAGGATATCAGAATTTTCTTTCTTTTTAATGCTGAATAATATTCCATTGTATGTACGTAACACATTTTGTTTATCCATTCCTCTGTCAATGGTCATATGGATTTCTTCCACATTTTAGCTATTGTGGGTAATGCTGTCATGAACAAGGCTGTACAGATATCTCTTCAAGACCCTGTTTTCAGTTCTTTGGGGGTATATACCCAGAAGTGGAATTGCTGGATCATATGATAATTCTATTTTTAATTTTATGAGGAACCACCATATTTTTGTTTTCCACAGTGACTCAACCATTTTACTTATGTTCCCACCAACAGTGCATAAGGGTTCTGATTTCTCCGCATCCTCACCAACACTTCTTATTTTCTGCATTTTTGTGGTAGTAGCCATCCTAATGAGTATGAAGTGAAATCTCTTTGTAGTTTGGATTTGCATTTCCCTAATGATTAGTGAGGTTGAACATCTTTTCATGTGCTTATTTAAGGCCATTTGTATATCTTCTTTGGAGAAATGTTTGTTTAAGTTCTTTGCCCATTTTTTATTTAGTTTTTTGTTGTTCAATTTTGGCAGTTCTCTATGTATTCTGGATATTAATCCCTTATCACATATATGGTTTGCAAATATTTCAGATTTTTTTATGTGTGAAAATATGCTTTTAAATCCTCAAGAGTTACGTTCTTAAATTGAATATATTCTTAACTATTCTTAAATCTTGGAAGTCCTTACATTTTGTTTTTATCTCTTCTTAGGCCAGTACTAAAGTGGAAGTGGACATGGAGAAAGCAGAAAGCCTGCAAGTGATGAGAGGAGACTTCCTTGCTTCTTTGGAGAATGATATCAAACCAGTGAGTATGCCCATTGAGTGATATATAGGCCAAAAAGTAATGATAATAATAACTCAGGCGAAACGTAAGTGCCATTTACTCAGTATTATGGAAGGTTATAGCATATGCAGTTTCATAAAATGAGAAAATTTTAGTATTGGAAATGTTCAGTATGAGAAACATCTGTACAATAATCCTAGTGGCTGGTGATATTATTTACTGAAATATTTTCATGATAGGAAGCTTACCATCTTGTAAGGCAGGCCATTCAATTTTGAGACTTTCCAGTTATTGTTTTACTTTATATTGAACTAGAACTAATTTTCTTATTGGTTCTTATACAATCCCAAGCTACAGAAACCTAACTTCAGTCCATCTTCCATATGTCAGTTATTAGGATATTTAAAATTAACTCTCATATCCTCCTCTGTCTCTCTCTCTCTCTCTCTTTCTCTTCCTTTCCTCAGCCTCTTCCAAGGCATCCCTTTTTCTTGCTCAGTACATTTAGTTTCTCTGACTACTATAGTTTCTAAGACTTAAAAAGTGTCAGTTTTCTTAAAACGCATTCAAAATGGTCATAGTTGGAGCTTTAGAATACAGTTTAAGGTTATTAACCCATTTTCCTATAAAACAACTACTAACATTTGAGTAACTTTTGTTTAGAGTCCTGTGTTAATACAAAAACAAATTGTAGAAAGTCCCAGTTCTTAAAGAAGTGTGTGCTTTTCTTTCTTAAATGGACCTCAGGTCCATTAAGATTAATCTTAATCTTTATGACACACTGTTATTAGTCTGTATTTTCATGGCGTGTAAAATAACATATGGTATATGTAGTTTTCTGGGACTTGCTATTTATTAAATATTTTATTACCAAGAGTCATCTATATCAGGGATCCCCAACCCTCAGTACTGGTCCATGGCCCGTTAGGAACTGGGCCACACAGCAGGAGGTGAGCAGCAAGTGAGTGAGCCTCATCTGTATTTACAGCCACTCCCTATTGCTCGTGTTACCACCTGAGCTCCACCTCCTGTCAGATCTGTGGTGACATTAGATTCTCATATGAGTATGAACCCTATTGTGAACTGCATATCTGAGGGATCTAGATTGCACACTCCTTATGAGAATCTAATGCCTGATGATCTGTCACTGTCTCCCATCACCCCCAGATGGGACCATATAGTTGCAGGAAAACAAGCTCAGGGCTCCCACTGATGCTACATTATGGTGAGTTGTATAATTAGTTCATTATATATTACAATGTAATAATAATAGAAATAAAGTGCACAATAAATGTAATGTGCTTGGGCTGGGCATGGTGGCTCGTGTCTGTAATCCTAGCACTTTGGGAGGCTGAGGCGGGCGGATCACGAGGTCAGGAGTTCGAGACCAGCCTGACCAACATGGTGAAACCCCATCTCTACTAAAAATACAAAAATTAGCTGGATGTAGTGGTACGTGCCTGTAATCCCAGCTACTCACGAGGCTGAGGCAGGAGAATCGCTTGAACCCAGGAGGCAGAGGTTGCAGTGAGCCAAGATCGCACCACTGCACTCCAGCCTGGGTGACAGAACGAGACTCTGTCTCAAAAAAAAAAAAAATGTAACGCACTTGAAACATCCCGAAACCACCTCCTCCCCCAATGGAAAAATTATCTTCTATAAAACTGGTCCCCGATGCCACAAAGGTTGGGGACTGCTGATGTATATGATTTCTTGTAGCTAGACATCATTCATTTTCATGCTGAATAGCATTCCATTGTGTGAGTACCACAATTTATCTATTTTCCTGTCAATTGTGAATGTTACCAGTTTTTTGTTATTAAAAAAAGATTTGTCGTAAGAATTCTTGAATGAATTTCTCTTATTTAGGAATAAAATTATTAGGTTGTTGGATATATGAATGTCCCGCTTTAAAAAAACATTTCCCAGTGGTTGAACCAACACTGCCCCCAATACTGTGAAACATATCCTCTTGTTCTGTATCCTCTCCAACACTTGGTATTATCAGATTTATTTTTTATTTATTTATTTTTTTTGAGATGGAGTCTCACTCTGTCGCCCAGGTTGGAGTGCAGTGGTGTGATCTCAGCTCACTGCAACCTCCATCTCCCGGGTTCAAGCAATTATCCTGCCTCAGCCTCCCGAGTAGCTGGGATTACAGGTGCTTGCCACCATGCTTGGCCGATTTTTGTATTTTTAGTAGAGACGGGGTTTCACCATGTTGGCTAGGCTGGTCTCGAACTCCTGACCTCAGGTGATCTGCCTGCCTCGGCTTTCCAAAGTACTGGGATCTCAGCATCTGTTTGTTTTTAAACCTTCCCTAGTCTGTGCTTATGTGTTTTGCTTGTTTGTTTTTTGTTTGTTTGTTTGTTTGTTTGTTTTTTGAGATGGAGTCTCCCTCTGTCACCCAGGCGGGAATACAGTGGTGTGATCTCGGCTCACTGCAACTTCCACCTCCCTGGTTCAAGCAGTTCTCCTGCCTCAGCCTTTCAGGTAGCTGGGATTACAGTCACATGCCACCATACCCGGCTTATTTTTTTGTATTTTTAGTAGAGACAGGGTTTCACCATGTTGGCCAGACTGGTCTCAAACTCCTGACCTCAGGCAATCCGCCCGCCTGGGCCTCCCAAAGTGCTGGGATTACAGGCGTGAGCCACTGCGCCTGGCCTGTGTGGTTTTTAAATTAACTTTTTCTAGTCTACTAAGGTTTACTCAGACCTTTAGCAGTTGTTCTTGGATACTGACTAGGCCCAAAGTCCTCTTCTCATCAATGTATTGGCAAATACACTCACTTGCGATGTGATATGAGACCCTGAGGTTTACCTCCCAAACAGCAGGATGTCTGTTTTGAGAGTTTCCTGGCCAAGTGGTGGAAAGTACCATGGAAATGGAGTCTTCCTTGCTTCTTACTTAACTTGAGTTTGGACCATAGAGAAGTCATTCTTGTGTGGACCTCAGTTTACTCACCTGTACAGTATAGGATGGACTAGATGATCTAATGATCAGGGGATTGGCAAACTTGTTCTTAGGGCACCAATTAGTAAATATTTTAGGTTTTGCAGGCCACCTGGCTATGTCACAGCTGCTCAGCTCGGCCCTGGTAGGATGAAAGCAGCCATAGACAATAAGTAAACAAATGAGTGTGGCTGTGTTCCAATAAAACTTTATTTACAAAAACAGGCTGTGGCCGGCCATAGTTTGTTCACCCCATTTTTGAGCTCTTGACATTCTTTAGTCTGTGATTTCGATAATTAGTTTAGGAAAAAAGCTTTGACTTTCATAAATAATGCTTCTGGAAATCTAGTAAAACCTTTAAATTTTGGCCAGGCATGGTGGCTCACACCTGTAATCCCAGCACTTTGGGAGGCCGAGGCGGGTGGATTGCCTGAGCTCGAGAGTTGGAGACCAGCCTGGCCAACATGGCGAAACCTCGTCTCTACTAAAAATACAAAAAATTAGCCGGGCGTGGTGGTAGGCGCCTGTAGTCCCAGCTACTTGGGAGGCTGAGGCAGGAGAATCGCTTAAACTCAGGAGGCGGAGGTTGCAGTGAGCCGATATCATGCCACTGCACTTCAGCCTGGGTGACAGAGTGAGACTTCATCTCAAAAAAAAAAAAAAAACCTTTACATTTTATTTTTGCTTTTTCCCTTTATCAGGAAAGTAATGTAGAAAATTTAGAAAACCCAGAACATTAATATTTTGGTTCCTCTCATTAGGTAACCATCTTTGGGTGGACATGTGTACATACATACATACTTTTTTTTTTTTCTTTTGAGCAAAAAAGTACATACTTTTTCTTTTTTTCTCTTCTGTCACCCAGGCTGGAGTGCAGTGGCGCGATCTCGGCTCACTGCAACCTCCACCTCCCGGGTTCAAGCGATTCTCCTGCCTCAGCCTCCTGAGTAGCTGGGACTACAGGTGCTCGCTGCCACACCCAGCTAATTTTTTGTATTTTTTAGTAGAGATGGAGTTTCACCGTGTTGCCCAGGCTGGTGTCGAACTCCTGAGCTCAGGCGATCCGCCCGCCTCAGCTTCCCAAAGTGTTGGGATTATAGGCGTGAGCCACTGCACCTGGCACATGTATATGTATGTATTTTTTACAAAATTGGATGAAGTATAATTTATTTGCTAAATATTTTCACTTATGCCATGATATCTTATTTAATCTTTAATTTGTCTATGAAAATACCTGCTCTGCTAGGGGACTTCTAGTTGAAAACTCATTAATTTAAAAAATTAATTTTGAATTCAGCCACCTATTCTTTTTTCTAATTGTTTCTTGTAGCTTTTGCTTTGATTGGAGTAACTTTATTCTAGGAATAAAGTTGTGTCATCTGCAAACATGAATCATGTACACATCTGATTTTCTTATATTTATGTCTCCTTTTTCTCTTCAAATTACATTGCCTTTACCATTGATGGGAACCTGGGTAATAAAGAAAAAAGAAAAAAATTGCATTCCCTACCACCTCCTCCAAAACAATGTCAAATGTTAGTTATAATGATAGGCATCTTAGTATGCTATCCCAATTTAATGGAACTGTTGCAGATATTTAATGGTTAACTGTTGGTTTGAGACCTTTAATGTGTTGAGTATATTCACCTATTTCAATTTTTTTTCTGTTTAAGTTTTTTTTTTTAAAATCAGATATGGCTATTATATTTTGTTAAATGACATCTTAGCATCTTTTAAGATGATCATATAGTTTTCCTCCTGCATGCTACATATTAATTACAGTAGTGTATATTCATAGAATTATATTAGTAGATCTTATATTGATTCACCCTTACATTCTTGCAGTGAACCTCTCTTGATCATATTATTTTTTCATGTACTGTTTGACTTTATTTATTTAGTTTTGAGACAGAGTTTCGCTCTTGTTGCCCAGGGTGGAGTGCAGTGGCGCGATCTCAGCTCACCACAACCTCCGCTTCCCAGGTTCAAGCGATTCTCCTGTCTCAGCCTCCTGAGTGGCTGGGATTACAGGCGCCCGCCACTACGCCTGGCTAATTTTTGGTATTTTCAGTAGAGACAGGGTTTCACCATGTTGGCCAGGCTGGTCTTGAACTCCTGACCTCAGGTAATCCGCCGGCCTCGGCCTCCCATGGTGCCGGGATTACAGGTGTGAGCCATCGCGCCCGGCCCGTTTGACTTTTAAATAGGTATTTTAATTTTTTAGTTTATACGTGTACAGTGCATAATGTATTTAAGATTCATCTGTGTTGTTGTATCAGTAGTTTCTTTATTGCTGAGTAGCAGTCCTTTATATGAGTGTATCACAGTGCATTTATCTGTTCAATAGTTGAATATTTCAATTATTTCTAGTTTGTGGCAGCTATGAATAAAGCTGCCGTAAACATTTCCATAATGTTTTTTGTCTGAACACAATTCTTGTTTCTCTTGAGTAAATACCTAGGAGTATGATTTCTGGGTTGTATGTTTATAAGAAACTGCCAAAACTGTTTTCCAAAGTAGCTGTACCATTTTGCATTCTTACCTGCAAATGTATGAAGAGTTCCGGTTGCTCTGTATCCTCCCTAGCACTTGATATTTTCAGGGTTTTGTTTTGTTTTTTTTTTTTTTTTTTTTTTGAGATGGAGTCTGGCTCTGTCACCCAGGCTGGAGTGCAGTGGCGCGATCTCGGCTCACTGCAAGCTCCGCCTCCCGGGTTCATGCCATTCTCCTGCCTCAGCCTCCCGTGTAGCTGGGACTACAGGCGTCTACCACCACGCCCGGCTAATTTTTTTGTATATTTAGTAGAGACGGGGTTTCACCATGTTAGCGAGGATGGTCTCGATATCCTGACCTCGTGATCCGCCCGCCTCGGCCTCCCAAAGTGCTGGGATTACAGACGTGAGCCACTGCGCCTGGCCTCAAGTTTTTTTTTTTTTTTTTTGGCCACCTTAATAAGTATATGGTGGTAGCTTCTTCTGGTTTTAATTTCCTTGTCCCTAATGACTAATGGTTCTGAGCCTCTTTTTATGTGCATCTTTTGATTTGCCATCTGTATATCATTGTTTATGGAAAAATACTAAAATCTTTTTTTTTTTTTTTTGAGACAGAGTCTTGCTCTGTTGCCCAGGCTGGAGAGCAGTGGCACAGTCACCACTCACTGCAGCCGCCACCTTCTGGGTTCAAGCCATCCTCCCACCTCTCGGCCTCCCAAGTAACTGGGATTGCAAGTGCGCACCACCACACCTGGCTAGTTTTTTTTTTTTTTTTAATAGAGATGGGGTTTTGATATGTTGCCCAGACTGATTTCGAATCCTGGGCTCAAGCGATCTGCCTGCCTCGGCCTCCCAAAGTGCTGAGATTACAGGCATGAGCCACCATGCCTGGCCAAGATACCAAAATCTTTATTTAAGATGTTTAATTGGGTTGCTTTCTTTATTGTTATTCTTCTTTTATTTTATTTTATTTATTTATTTATTTATTTGAGACGGAGTCTCGCTGTGTCGCCAGGCTGGAGTGCAGTGGCGCGATCTTGACTCACTGCAAGCTCCCCCTCCCGGGTTCACACCATTCTCCTGCCTCAGCCTCCCAAGTAGCTGGGACTACAGGCACCCGCCCCCACGCCCAGCTAATTTTTTGTATTTTTAGTAGAGACGGGGTTTCACCATGTTAGCCAGGATGGTCTTGATCTCCTGACCTTGTGATCCTCCTGCCTCGGCCTCCCAAAGTGCTGGGATTACAGGCGTGAGCCACCACACCAGGCCTCTTTTATTTTTTTAGACAGAGTCTCGTTCTTTCACCCACGCTGGAGTGCAGTGGCATGATCTTGGCTCACTGCAGCCTGTCATTCCCCTCGACTCCAGGTTCAAGGTGATCCTCCCACCACCTCAGCCTCCGAAGTAGTTAGGACCACAGATGCATGCCACCATGTGTGGCTAATTTTTGTATTTTTAATAGAGATGGGGTTTCGCTATGTTGCCCAGGCTGGTCTTGAACTCCTGAGCTCAAGCAATCTGCCTACCTTGGCCTCCCAAAGTGCTGGGATTACAGGCATGAGCCACCATGCCTGGCCAATTTCTTACTGTTGGGTAGTAAGAGTTCTTTATATATTTTGGATATAAGTGCTTTGTTAGGCTGTGTGATGTTCATACATTTTCCCCATCTGTGCCTTGTGTTTCATTGTCTTAGCGGTGTCTTTTTCCCAGAGCATAAGTTTTAAATTTTGATGAAGTCTGATTAACCACATTTTTTCTTTTACACATTTGGTGTTCATCTAACAGCTCTACCTAACCCAGACCTTGCCAGACTTTTTCTGTAAAAGGTCAGATAGTAAATATTTCAGCCTTGCTGTCCCTGTTGCAGCTCTGCCATTGTAGCAATGAAAGCAGTCATAGACAATATGTAAATGAATGATAATGGCTGTTCCAATAAAACTTTATGAACACTGCAGTTTGAATTTCACATAATTTACAAATTATCAATTATATTGTTTCGATTATTAGAAAAACAGGTAGTGGATTGGCCATGGTTTGCTGATTCCTGGCCTGACAAACCCAAGTTCACAAAGATTTTCCTCTTTGATTTTGTTGTGGTCGTTGTTCCACACCTTCTTTTTTCACTGTTTCCTTAAGGTAGAGTGTACATATTTATAAGGGTACATGTAATATTTTGATAGATTGATACAGTGTGTAATGATCAAATCAGGTTAATTAGGGTATCCATCATCTCAGATGTTTATCCTTTTTTTTGTATTGGGAAGATAACAAATGTTCTAGCTATTTTAAAATATACACTAAGTTATTGTTGACTCTAGTCACCCTACTGTGCAAATAAAAACTGAAACGTATTCCTTCTATCTTGCTGAGTTTTTATGCCCATGAATCAACTTGTCTTCATCCCTACCTGCTTCCCAGCCCCCGGTAACCATCATTCTACTGCCTATCTCCATGAAATCAACTTCTTAATCTCTCATATATGAATGAGAATATGTGATACTTGTCTTTCTGCCCTTGGCCTATTTCACTTAACATAATGTCCTCCAGTTCTATCCATGTTGCTGCAAACAGATTTTATTTTCCAAACCTTAAGCTTTATAGATGACTTCACTTTTTAAATGGCTGAATAATATCCTCTTGTGCATGTATACCTCATTTTCTTTGATTTTTCTTTCTTTCTTTTTAAATAGAGATGAGTTCTCACTATACTGCCCAGGCTGGTCTTGAATTTTTTTGCTCAAGCAATCCTCCTGCCTTGGCCTCCCAAAGTGCTGGGATTCCAGGCTAAACCACTGTGCTCCTTTATGCGTTTTTTTGTTTTTGTTTTTGTTTTTAGAGACAAAATCTTGCTCTGTTGCCCAGGCTGGAGTGCAGTGGTGCGATCTTGGCTCACTGAAGCCTCCACCTCCCAGGTTGAAATTATTCTCGTGCCTCAGCCTCCCAAGTAGCTGGGATTACAGGCACCCACCACCACGCCCAGCTAATTTTTGTATTTTTAGTAGAGATGAGGTTTCACCATGTTGGCCAGGCTGGTCTCGAACTCCTGACCTCAGGTGATTCGTCTGCCTTGGCCTCCCAAAGTGATGGGACTACAGGCATGAGCCACTGCGCCCAGCCCCTTTGTGCACTTTTAAAAACATATCTTAGAATTTGTGATACATGTTTTATTTTCATTTTCATTTGGTTCACAATATTGTAAAATTTCTACTATGACTTACTCTTTGACCCATGATTTGTTTTAAAACGTATTGTTTAATTTTCAAACATTTAGGGATTTCCCAGACATCTTTGTTGTTGGTTTCTAATTTAATTCCATTATGGTTAGGGAACATACTCGTTATGATGAATTAAAAAAAAATGTAGAGGTTTGTATATGGCCTGAAACATTGTTTGTTTAGGTCAATGTTCAGTTTGTAATAGGAAAGATGTGTTCTGCTGCCGTTAGGTAAAGTGTTTCATAAATAATAATTAGGTCAAGTTGGTTGATCGTGTTAAGGTCTTCCCTATCCTTGCTGATTTCCTGTCTGCTTGTTCTAGTGATTACTGAGAAAGGAGTGTTGAAGTCTGCAATGATTGTTATGGGTTTGTTCTCTTTCTCCTTAAAATTCTGTCTGTTTATGCTTCCTGTATTTTGAGGCACTGTTATTAGATGCAGAAACATTTACAGTTTTGTCCTCTTGATTATTTGACCCCTTTATCATTCTGAAATAACCTTTATTTCTGGTAATAATCATTATATTAAAAACCATTATTTGGCCAGACATGGTGGCTCATGCCTGTAATCCCAGCACTTTGGGAGGCCGAGGCGGGTGGATCACCTGAGGTCAGGAGTTCGAGTCCAGACTGGACAACATGGCGAAACCCCATCTCTACTAAAAAGAGAAAAATAGCCTAGTGTGGTGGCACACGTCTGTAGTCCCAGCTACTCAGAAGGTTAAGTCAAGATAATCACTTGAATCCGGGAGTTGGATATTGCAGTGAGCCGAGATCACGCCACTGCACCCCAGCCTGGGAAGCAGAGCAAGACTCCATCTCAAAAGAAAAAAAAAAAAACAAAACAAAACAGGCCTGGTGCAGTGGCTCATGCCTGTAAACCCAGCACTTTGGAAGGCCGAGGCAGGTGAATCACCTGAGGTCGGGAGTTCGAGACCAGCCTGGCTAAGATGGTGAAACCCCGTCTCTACTAAAAATACAAAAATTAGCCAGGCACGGTGGCAGCTGCCTGTAATCCCAAGTACTTGGGAGGCTGAGGCCAGAGAATTGCTTGAAGCTGGGAGGCAGAGGCTGCAGTAAGCCAAGATCATGCCATTGCACTCTAGCCTGGGTAACAGAGCAAGACTCCATCTCGGGGAAAAAAAAAAAAATTACTTAATATTAATATAAAATTAGTGTTTTATATTAGTAGTATAATACTGTTTTTGACTAGTGTTAAAATGACATATCTTTCTCTACCCTTTTGCTTTTAATCTAGATATCATGATATTCATTTATTTTTTAATTTGTAAAAATAGAGATGGGGTTTTGCCATGTTGCCCAGGCTGGTCTTGAATTCCTGGGCTCAAGCCACCTGCCCACCTCAACCTCCCAAAACGCTGGGATTATAGGCGTGAGCCACCATACTTGGCCATATCATTATATTTTCAAATGGTTTCTTGTTTTTTCGTTTTTCTTTTAAATGTAATCTGACAGCGTCTTTTAATTAATGTGTTTTGGACCATTTACATTTAATATGATTGATGATGATTGGATTTAGGTTTCCTTTTTATTATTTGTTTTCTGGTTATTTCTTTTTTGGGGGGTTTCTTCTGTTTCTTTTTTCTGCCTATTTTTGGATTAACTGAATATTTTTTAGTGTTATGTTTTATTAATTGGCTTTTGGTTATATCTGTGCTGTGTTTTTGCTGTAGGAATTACAAAATATATACCTAACCTACCTACTTAGAGTTAGCATTTTACCTCTAAATAAAATGTAAAAGTATTGCAAACATATAGGTTTCTTTATTCTAGCCCCCCCTTATAATTGTATATATGTGTGTGTGTATGTGTGTATATATCTATATACACTTTCAATGTATGTAGATATGTATCTATACTTTCAGTGTATATTATATCTACATGCATACATTGTGTATGTATGTAGATGTATATCTACATACATTGAAAGATATATATCTACATACATATACAATGCATGTATGATACCTTTGGCTACTACATCCTTCTTAAATTTCCTGTTGCCACTTATGACCTGATTTCCTTGACCAGTTATTCCTCCTTCAAACATCCCTCTTACATGTGATAGTCCTCAGCATTTAGTTTCCCCAACTTTCCCCTAATTATCAGTTGACTCAATTACCACCAAAATATCAATGACTTTTTTGAGACAGAGTCTCACTCTGTCACCAGGCTGGAGTGCAGTGGCACGATCTTGGCTCAGTGCAACCTCTGCCTCCTGAGTCCAAGTGATTCTCCTCCCTCAGCCTCCCGAGTAGCTGGGAATACAGGTGTGTGCCAACACACCCAGCTAATTTTTGTATTTTTAGTAGAGACGGGGTTTCACCATGTTGGCCAGGATGGTTTCAATCTCTTGACCTTGTGATCAGCCTGCCTCAACCTCCCAAAGTGCTGGGATTACAGGCATGAGCCACCGCGCCCGGCCAAAATATCAATGACTTCTAGATCCATTTTCCTACCTAGACCTCTTTTCTAAACTCCAGATATATATTTCCAACTGCCTGTGCTGTCCGCCATAAACTCCACATTGTAGGAAATAGAAAGGAGTTATAAAAGTTTAGGTTCAAAGCAAAATTTAAAAACTCATAAATGAGACAAAATTTTGTGATGATAAAGGCTATGGTCCACAATGAAGATATGAAAGTAATGAACCTTTCTATAAAATGTATAGGTGATAGAGCTGGTCCCCAACTTTAAGCCTTTCAGCGATTCAAGTAACTACAGAACATCGTTAAAGTACTGAGAGAAATGTCAATCCAGAATTCTATATCCAGCAAAAATACCCTTCAACAATTAAGGCAAAAAGAAAAAGAAGAAAGACATTTTGGATGAAGAAAATCTAAGAGAATGTGTTGGCGGAAGTTCTGCTCTAAAATAAAAGTAAAAGAAGGTCTTTAGGCCAAAGGAAAATTATACCAGTGGTAATACTAGAACTTCAGAGATAAAGAGCAGCAGAAATGGTATCTGGGAAAATTTAAAAATGCAAACGGTTGTTTCTCCTCTTAAGCTCTTTAAAATATGTATAGTGGTTGAAAGCAAAAGTTAAAACACTGCTGAGACTTTCAATGTATGTAGATATACGTATATATATCTACATATATATACATATATATGTATATACATGTAGAGGTAATAATGGTAGCTATTTTATGGAGCTGATCTGAGGATAAAATGAAAGAATGCATTTTAAAGTGCTTAGCACAATGTCTGGCAAATAGAAAGCACTCTATAGGCCAGGCATGGTGGCTCACGCCTGTAATCCCAGCACTTTGGGAGGCCTAGGCAGGTGGATCACTTGAGGTCAGGTATTTGAGACCAGCCTGGCCAACATGGTGAGACCCCGTCTCTACTAAAAATATAAAAATTAGCCGGGTGTGGTGGTGGGCTCCTGTAATCCCAGCTACTTGAAGTGAGGCAGGCGAGTGGCTTGAACCTGGGAGGTGGAGGTTGCAGGGAGCCAAGATTGCACCACTGCACTCCAGCCTGGTCGACAGAGCAAGACTCCAGCTCAAAAAAAAAAAAAAAAAAAAAAAAGGTGGGGGGACAATGTTACTCTTCTTCCTTCTAGAAACATACATTTTATAGAAGTTGTTTTTTGAAGTCTAGAAGTCTGAAAACGCAGGAGTCAACTCTGAAAAATCTACAGTGGTTTCTGGGGTTCAATCTTGGCATGACTTTACCCCTGCATCTCTGCCCTCAGCAGGTAGTTTTGTTTATGGGTGTCATTGGTTGAACAGATAATTGTTTTAGTTGCTACAATAAATAAAACATGATCTGTGCTCTAAAGGAGTCAACAGATGAGCCAGGGGGGCATGAGTAATTGCCTGTAATATAATTGTGCTCACGCTGTCATGGAGGACCGTACAAAGTGTCAGAAGCACAGTGCCAGGAGGCACAGCAAAGGGTAGTAGAGGTGACATTTGAGCCCAGCCTTGAAAACTGTCTAGGATTTCTCAGCATTTCAGCAAAGTAAGGCAATTTCTGTCTAAAATATATAGGCAAAGTTTTTATAAAAATACGAGAAATTAATTAAATAACAGATTATGACCACAATGCAGATTTAAAAACTAAGGTATGATGAGTGCCGTTGACCGGTTCATCCAGACAGTTCAGAGAACAGAACATCCATGTAGATCCTTCTTGTATTACAGAATACAAAGGAGCGGAAAATTTTGCCTCAGTAACTGCCAGGTCATTCTAATTAAAGTACCTATACATTGTAATATAATTCCTCCATTAAGGTAACAGCCAATCAGGTGGTACAGAGTCTGTGCCATTCAGTCAAGAAATTCACTCCCTTAACCTAGACTGTGCTGGAAGTTCATTGACAAATTTTGTTCTTTGGTTCTCCATTTTTCTTCAGAATTCATGCAGACCACTTGACTTCCTTAGCATTTTCTTTTGTGGGCGTATATTAATGTCTTTGGTTAAGCTTCAGCTTCCGTTTGCATCAATCCTGTTGTAATCGTGCCTCCTGAGGCATCTTTTTGCTTCCCTTGCATCAGTTTCCAAAATCCTACTTTCTGCTTGGTAAGGGGAGTATCCATTTTCTTTAAAGCAGTGGTTTTCAAACTTGCCTGCACATCAGAATTATTTGGGGAGAAGGATAAAAATACAGATTACTGAGCTTCACCTGGGATTCTGTAGATTTGAGTTGCATTTGGGATTACTTTAAACAATTTACCAGATGATTTTTGTGGCACCTCCACTTCAGTTTTAGGAAGGACTGTTTCGAGGCAGCTTTTCAAACTTTAATGACCATAGAAATCACCTGAAGATTGTGAGAAACTGCAGATCCTGATTTAGTAGGCCTGGGTTTAGGCCTGAGGTTCTGAATTTCTCTGAAATGTGATAATAGCAAATCCCTTGTTGAGTAGCAAGGTTGTTTTTTGTTTTTTTCTTTTTTTTCCAATATCTTCATGACATTCAATGAGTAGCAAAGTTTGAAGATAACTTCTGGAATTTCATCTAATGTGTATTAATTTTTACTCATCTGGATCTTAGGGGAAATAACCTATCAGATTATAGGGAAGTGTTTCTCAAAGTATGGTTCCCCAAACAGCACAACCTGGGAATTGTTAGAAATGCAAGTTCTGGGCCGGGCACTGTGGCTCATGCCTGTAATCCCAGCACTTTGGGAGGCTGAAGCGGGTGGATCACCTGAGGTGAGGAGTTTGAGACCAGCCTGGCTAACATGGTGAGACCCCGTCTCTACTAAAAATACAAAAAAAATTAGCTGGGCATGGTGGTGGTACTTTTTAAAATTTTTTTAGAGACAGAATATCCCTGTGTTGCCCAGGCTGGTCTGTAAATCCTGACCTCAAGCAATCCTCCTGCCTCAGCCTCTTAAGTAGCTAGGTACAAGCCACCATGCCCAGCTATATTGACTTGTTTTTGAGACGGAGTCTCTGTTGCCTAGGCTGGAGGGCAGTGGTGCGATCTTGGCTCACTGCGACCTCCGCCTCCCGGGTTCACGCGATTCTCCTGCCTCAGCCTCCTGAGTAGCTGGGACCACAGGCATGCACCACCATGCCTGGCTAATTTTTGTATTTTAGTAGAGATAGAGTTTCACCATGTTGGCCAGACTGGTCTTGAACTCCTGACCTCAAATGATCCACCCGCCTTCGCCTCCCAAAGTGCTGAGACTACAGGTGTGGGCCACCACGCCTGACCATATATTTACCTTTATGTGAATTTAAAATGTGTGGGCGTGACCAAGTCGTCTGCCGGCTGTTATATAAAGGAGACTTTATCATCAACATGCTCATCATCAGTCACAAACTGCCTATTTGGAACTCCCTTCAGTTCTCAGAGGATGGAAACATTCTTTAAGCGGCCTTGTAGAAATCCTATTCCATGTTAACATGCCAACCAATTTTACTTTCCCAGAGCCACAGAATGATATCTCATTGTATGCCTCAATTCAATCACCTTTCCATTTTCAAGGACCGATTTCAATTCCTGATTGGCTACTTGATCTGACTGCTTCCTGCTAATCTTGTTGCCTATTGTCTATATTCCATTTCTCATTGAATTAACCTTGATCAAATCTGAGAACTCTGCTTAGTAATGACTCCAGGTATACTATACCCACTTTTGTAGCTTATTCAACACCCTCTTCAATCCTGGTTCCACTTCCTGTGACTGAAATGATTACCTGTGAAATATTATTTAACTTTTGGACGATGATGTGTTTCTAACCTGTGACCATTTCACATAGCCACTCAAATATGGTAAAGGTATGGTAAAGATGATGAAACAGTTACTTGGCATCATTTTGTAAGTAATGAGTTTTTAGTGCGCTTTGGACCTTGAGACCACTTCATAAGCTTTAGATTTTGAGAATTTCACAGCATAAAGCTCATCGCTGATGCAGTAATGAAGGAAATGTTCTACAAGTTAATAGATGAGTGAGAGGAGAGGGCATTCATATTAGATTTATTTACTTACTGAACTCAGAGCCTTGGGTTACTACTTGACCCCCACTGTTATCTAGTTTAAGGGTCCTTTTATTTTTTGTTTTTTCGAGGTGGAGTTTCACTCTTGTTCCCCAGGCTAGAGTGCAATGGCCCGGTCTCTGCTCACTGCAATCTCTGCCTCCCAGATTCTCCTGTCTCAGCCTCCCAAGTAGCTGGGATTATAGGTACCCACCACCACGCCCTGCTAGTTTTTGTATTTTTAGTAGAGACAGGGTTTCACCATATTGGTCAGGCTGGTCTCGAACTCCTGACCTCAGGCAGTCTGCCCACCTCAGCCTCCCAAAGTGCTGGGATTACAGGCATGAGCCACTGCTCCTGGCCTTAAGTGTTCTTTTCTACTTTAGCACATACACCTAGTTGCTGTCTTTTTTGCTTTTTATAAATACAGAAAAGAGAATAATGTTTTAAAATCAAGGAAAGGCCTAAGGCACCTGTGAGGGTTTTTTGTTTTTGTTTTTGTTTCAGTGAAATGAAGGGAAATGGTCACCAGCAAGAACTGTGGCAATGTTATCCAAGGTGACAACTGTCTGTACCACCCAGGGGCTCAGAGCCCTTCTGAAGTTTCCTAGATGTTCCGAAAGTCTCCACTGTGACTCATGTTACAGGCTGGTCTCCGTGGTAGCACTCAACGTTTAAAAATTAGTCTTCATTGCCAGGCGTGGTGGCTCACGCCTGTAATCCCAGCACTTTGGGAGGCTGAGGTGGGTGGATCCCGATGTCAGGAGATGGAGATCATCCTGGCTAACACGGTGAAACCCCATCTCTACTAAAAATACAGAAAATTAGCCGGCAGTGGTGGGGGGCGCCTGTAGTCCCAGCTACTCTGGAGGCTGAGGCAGGAGAATGGCGTGAACCCGGGAGGCGGAGCTTGCAGTGAGCCGAGATCATGCCACTGCACTCCAGCCTGGGCGACAGAGGGAGACTCCGTCTCAAAAAAAAAAAAAAATAGTCTTCATTTCTCCTTCCCAACAAGCGTTTCTCTTTCTCTTCAGTGGGAAAAAGTAATTTCATTTTTTACTTGCTCATTGTTTTATTCATTCACTCAATCAACAGACCATCTATCCTGTATTGTATGCCAAGAACTGTGCTTTGTTCTGGGAATGAAAAAAGAATAAGATATGTTTTCCTCTGGCACTTATGGAGCTTATAAACCAGTGACAGAGGAAGGTGCATAAACAAATCAACAAAGAATTAACTTTACTATTCTTATTAATTTCTAATACAATAAATTTGACTATTTGTATCATTTGAGTTTCATGAATATAATCATATTCTACACTTACAAAATGAAATAGACATAAGAAAGAACTGGTGATGTAAGAAATTCACAGAAATGTGTAAAATATTTCAAGAATTAACACTCAGTAGATATTTGCATTGTCAAAGAAGCTTATACATGCAGATGAACCTCTAGTTGTTTTAGTTGCTTGTAAAATGTATAGAGGTATGTGTATTTCCTCTTTAAGCAGGGGTAACTTGGGGTGGGGGATGGGTGGGTTCATCTTATCTATTCTTCAGGTCATGTTCTCAAGAAGGAGCTACTGAATGGGAAGACTGAAACAATTTCTTTTCTTTGCACAGTTGGTATTGATAAATCTCAGGTGTATCCAAAATAAAATCTCTGGCAGGCTGTGATATTTGTGGGTCTGTCTCTTGTGACTTTAGGTTCCTCTTGGCAGCAGACATAAGGCAGTTGCACATCAGGCCCTTGCCTGAAACAGCTCCTGATGCCAAGAACTGGTGAATTACTACTTTGGTTTCAATGGATGGTCAGAAAGGATCATCAGGATAAACTTTGTGGATTTTCTCTCACTAACCACGCTCTCCTTTCAACATTGAAATTCTAGACTTTAGACAGAAGTATTGAACTGGGTTACAGGGAGGGGATGTGAGAGGCCCCCTGCCATTGAGGATAAGTGGACATGTCTGAATTGGCCTGCTACCTAAAATTAATAATCTCAATCACTTGGATGGTGGTGTCCATAATTTTCTCCACTGTTTGTGTGGCATATAATAAGTAATGGTTGCACCTAGCAATTCATTTACAAATCTTACTTGATTTTGAAGCCATAGAACACCTCAACTGTTAGCTTGAATGACTGGAGTTTAGTTTTTATTTCTCAGAACAAAACAGTTTGAAGCCTAATTAACATCCTCGGAAGGAACTTAACACTAAAACTCCTAACAGCTTCAGTTTTCTGACCTTGAAGAAAGGGAAAATGAAGAGACCATGGTGCCACTTCCGAAGCAAAGCCTGAAGTTCTGTGCTTTAGAGGTGGTGTTGCCATCCTATGATTGCAGGAGTCTGGCCTTGGCTTGGTGGAGGAGCCTGTGGATAAGGCGAAGGAAGGTCTGTTTTCATTGGGGGTAGAGGAGGGTAAGGAGTTGAAATGGGAAGGATCTCTTTTTTCTTGCTGTCTAAAACTTGTCTTTTCAGACACATATCAAGCCTTTCCCTCTCTGAGCTACTGAAGTCCTGGGCAGAGGTTTTCTGTCTTACAATACAGACTTTTACCTTAGGCAATACCTGACAGAGCCTTTAAATAAGTAAATAAATTGCTTTAATAAATTGATTTAATACATTGATTTATTAATTAATAAATTGATTTAATACATTGATTTATTAATTAATAAATTTATTTAATAAATTGATTTATTAATTAACTAATTTTGAGAGAGAGTCTTGCTCTGTCACCAGGCTGGAGTGCAGTGGCGTGATCTCGGCTCACTGCAACCTCCGCCTCCCGGGTTCAAGGCATTCTCCTGCCTCAGCCTCCTGAGTAGCTGGGATTACAGGCGCCCACCACCACACCCAGCTAATTTTTGTATTTTTAGTAGAGATGGGGTTTCACCATGTTGGCCAGGATGGTCTCGATCTCCTGACCTCGTGATCTGCCTGCCTTGGCCTCCCAAAGTGCTGGGATTACAAGTGTGAGCCACCCCACCCGGCCAGAACCTTTAAATTTAAAATTGTACAGTGTACTTCCTGCCAAGAAGCGTAGGAGGAAGAAGGAAGTAATGTTTTTCCAGTTTTCGGTTAAGAACTTGCTTTGTATTAAAATAGTCCTTCAAGTCTACAGCCATACCACCCTGAACGCACCCAATCTCGTCTAAAATAGTCCTTCAAATATGTATCTCTTATAGCCTTCAGTTATCCCAACAAAATTATCTAAAGATTTGTTTATCTATTTATTATTATTTTTTAGAGACAGGGTCTTGCTCTGTTGCCCAGGCTAGAGTGCAGTAGCATGCTCATAGCTCATTGCAACCTCAAACTGCTGGGCTCAAGGGATCCTCCCACCTTAGCCTCCTGACTAGCCAGGACTACAGGCGTGTGCCACCACATGTGGCTAATTATTTTTTCTGGAGATGGGGTCTTGCTGTGTTGTCCTGCCTGGTCTCAAACTCCTGGCCTCAAGTGATCCTCTTCCCCCAGGATCCCAAGGTGCTGGAGTTATAGGCATGAGCCACCCACCATGCCAAGTCATCATGTAAAGATTTACAGAAAGTTTTGTGTAAACATTGTCTTTTTTTTTTTTTTGAAGCAGAGTCTTGCCCTGTCGCGCAGGCTGGAGTGCAGTGGTGTGATCTCGGCTCACTGCAACCTCCACCTCCCAGGTTCAAGTGATTCTCCTGCCTGACACTCCTGGGTAGCTGGGATTACAGGCATGCACCACCATGCCTGGCTAATCTTTGTATTTTTAGTAGAGATGGGGTTTCATTGTGTTGGTCAGGCCGGTCTCAAACTCCTGACCTCGTGATCCATCTGCCTTGGCCTCTGAAAGTGCTAGGATTACAGGCATGAGCAACCGCGCCCGGCCCATTCAGCCTTTTTTTTACTCGTAGAAGGGCTTCAGTGGAACAAGAGTCTACTAGAGATACTAGAAAGGGTACTCAATTGATAACTGACGTTGAGATTTTTTTCTAGTATTCATGGCCCTCAGGCTTAGGGTTTGAAGTCAGAGGCAGGGCTGTAGGCTAATGGAGGGGAGTAGGCTTTCATGGATGATGCCCAGGGAGGAGCCAGATTATCTGTACCAAACCTTTTTTGTTTTTTTGAGACAGAGTCTTGCTCTGTCGCCCAGGCTGGAGTGCACCGGTGTGATCTCGGCTCACTGCAACCTCCACCTCCCAGGTTCAAGCAGTTCACCTCCCTCCTGCCCACCACCACACTCAGCCAATTTTTAATTTTTAAAAAATTTTTTAGTAGAGACAGGGTTTCATCATGTTGCTCAGGCTGGTCTCAAACTCCTGACCTCAAGTGATCTGCCCATCTTGGCCTCTCAAAGTACTGGGATTACAGATATGAGCCACTGTGCCTGGCCTCTTTTTGAAAATAGTCTTACTCTGTCACCCAGGCTGGAGTGCAGTGGAATGATCTCGGCTCACTGCAACCTCCGCCTCCTGGTTCAAGCTATTCTTGTGCCTCAGACTCCCAGGTAGCTGGGATTACAGGTGTGTGCCACCACACTCGGCTAATTTTTGTATTTTTAGGAGAGATGGGGTTTCACCACGTTGGCTAGGCTGTTCTTGAACTCCTGGCCTCAACCCGCCTTGGCATCCTAAAGTGCTGGGATTACAGGCATGGGCCACCGTGTCCAGCCAACAAAGCTTTTTTTCAGTGAGTGATTCCAGCCCTTGATGCATAGGAGGGTGGGGTCCATAGGAGTGTAGCCTTAACTGATGAATTAAATCTCTGGGTGATGTGAGATATGTGCCAGGTTCTTGGCTTATGTCTCCCTCTAGTACTTTAGGAACTTCCCAACTAGATGGAGGCAGTAAAAATGGGCCCTGCCAGGATGTACCTATAACAGAGACGTTCAACCATACCCTTGTGCTGTCTGCCTTTAATCACGAAGATTATGAGCTAAGATTCGTGGATGCATTTTTATTTTTTAACCAACATGTAGCAATGATCACTCAGATAGGCATCTTAAATCCATTAGTTTGGGTTGGATTTAAGACCGTTGTCATTCCTATGAAAGGGAAGATAGCCCAGATTGCTATTGAGAAGGCTTTGTCAGATGCATTCCAGAAACTGTTGATTGTGGTTCTAGGTAAAACTTTCTTAATCGTCGTTGAAGTACTTCAGTTTCAGTGAGCAAATAAACTCATTTTGAAAAGTTAATTGGATAAAAATATCGATATCTAAAACACTCCCTAGGATGCTTTCATTTGCTAAGTTCTTTCACAGCGACAGGCTCAAATTTGTTCTTTGTGACATTTGTAGAAAAAATGACAGCAAATATTGTCCCTAGTTTATAGCTATAAAAGGACTTGCCTCAGGTCACACAGAAAATGTTTGAGGCAGGTCTTCTTTAATTGCATGCCTATCGTACAGAATAGTGATTATAAGCCCTGGACACATGGATTTGAGTCCTAACTCTGTCTCTTAGATTTTTGTATGCAGTTTTAGGTCTTATGGCCAGAGAGATTTGAAGATATTTAATATCTCTAAGCTGCAATCTTTATCTGCAAACTGGGGTTAGTAATCCAATCAACCTTATTGCTGATATTGTAAGAAAAAATGAGATGACAAGTGTAAAAACTCAGAACTATACTTACAAGGTAAGCAGACAAAATATGCTATTGTTGTGATTGTTTTCTCTCTGAATAAATAAACTCTGCTGAAGAATTTATTAGATTATGTTTCTCGAATCGAGAATTCAGTTCCAGCTCTCATTTCTGGCACTGACATATTGGCCAAATATGATTCTTATACAATAATCAGCTGCTTTGCTGTGAGCCTTGGAAGTGGTCATGCTGTTGAATGGCACTGCTTGTATTTCCTATTCAGTTCTACAGTGGCACAAATGTCATAGCCTGTGCCCAAAGGAAACCTGGTGTTTAACGAGTCCCTGAACAGAGTTGCCTTTCTGCTTCACAACCCTGAAGGCTTAGAGACTGAGATTGTAATTAAGTTACTACAGACCTTTATTTGCTTGTAAGAGGTGGCCCTGATTGCTCTCAGCTTTCCAACCTGGGCAGCCCTTCTAGTGAAAGTCTTACTTCCTTGGTCATCAACTGTCAAGTCTGAGTAATGACATTTAATAACCAAGCTAAATGTGTGGGTTGTCTACCCCTCCCTAGTATGCAAAGGTATCCCTTGCACACACTCACTTCTTAGACCAAAAGCCTTATAGTTCTAGTTTGCCTTGAAGGAAATTGTATTGTCTATAGAGTATGTGGGCCATTTTCTGCCCGTAAAATGTTCAAATGTTTTCTCTCTCTAAAGCTTTGTTCATTGTATCTGGTGGAATTTTGGTTCTCAGGGAGTAGACACCTAGCCATGCTTCTAATGTGAAGTGTCTACTAGCCCAGTGGTCTCTATTTTGGATTTGAACTTACTTCGACCCCCCACCTGGTGCCTTACCTTTTAATCATGTTATGATTGAACATTTTTATTTCCACATTTTTTATTTCTTACGTTATTATTCCTTAGTTCCTATCTGTAAGATCATAAAGTCCTTTGAACCAAACACAGTTGATATTTCATACATATGTTAAAAACTGAGCTGTGAGACCAGACATGATGACTCACGCTTGAAATCTCAGCATTTCGGGAGGCCAAGACAGAAGGATCACTTCAAGCCAGGAGTTCGAGACCAGCCTGGAAAACAAAGCGGGACCATGTCTCTAAAAAAGAGAATTAGACGGGCACAGTGATATAGTGCCTGCTACTCTGGAGGCTGAAGCAGGAGGATGACTTGAGCCCAGGAATTCCAGGCTACAGTGAGCTATGATAGTGCCACTGTACTCCAGCCTGGGTGACAGAGTGAGACCCTGTCTAAAAGAAAAAAGAAAAACAAAAATCGAAGTGTATGATGAAGAGATGAGGAAACTTTCAGGAAAATGCTTATTTCCTGCTTTTAGAAACTAAAAGAATGTCTCATTGTGGGTTGCTACCATTATATGCAGGAAGTTTTGGAATGAAAAAGATTCTGAATTCATCCTTGCTAACTTTATTTCAGAAAGTGGTAAAATAGCTATGGAGTACAGACCCAGTGAAGAGATTGTAGATGTCAGATGGGAAGAAGAACTACACGGTTTAATATAAGTATGTGGAGATAAAAACTCAAAGGTAACAGGGCCGGGCACAGTGGCTCACACCTGTAATGCCAGTGCTTTGGGAGGCTGAGGCGGGTGGATCACCTGAGGTCAGGAGTTCAAGATCAGACTGACCAACATGGAGAAATGGTGGCACATGCCTGTAATCCCAGCTACTCGGGAGGCTGAGGCAGGAGAATCGCTTGGACCCGGGAAGCGGAGGTTCCGGTAAGCCAAGATCACACCATTGCACTCCAGCCTGGGCAACAAGAGTGAAACTCTATCTCAAAAAACAAACAGGCCAGGCGCTGTGGCTCACACCTGTAATCCCAGCACTTTGGGAGGCCGAGGTGGGTGGATCATGAGGTCAGGAGTTCAAGACCAGCCTGGCCAATATGGTGAAACCCTGTCTCTACTAAAAATACAAAAATTGGCTGGGTGTGGTGGTGGGCACCTGTAATCCCAGCTACTTGGGAAACTGAGGCATGAAAACCACTAGAACCCAGGAGGCGGAGGTTGCAGTGAGCCGAGATCATGCCACTGCATTCCAGCCTGGGTGACAGAGCAAGACACTCTCTCGAGGAAAAAAAAAAAAAGAAAAGAAAAACAACTCAAGGGTTTGATAACATTGCCAGTATAACCATAATTCAAAACAAGCAGCAGAATTTGGAGGATAATTTGTTTAATTCTCAGGAAAATGTGAAACTCTGAAACTGCTTTTTGAGTGCAGGGTATTTCCGGGGCTTTTCCTAAAGTCTTAACCCTTGGCTCTGACCCCTTATTTGAAGTTTGGAGAGCAGAACCGAGGATTGTATTACTACAGTTGTGGACACAGGAGAGGGGTTAGTCTCCCCCCGCTCCAGGAGTAAGGGATGCTGGGCTGCTCGAACACAGGCCTTGTTAGAACTCCCTTCAAACAGGATCCCAGAGATGTGGGGAGAAGGTAACTGGCCTTAAGAATGATTGCGCTACAGCTTTTGAAAACTATAATGCCTTTCAAATATGGCTTATTGCTTGGATCTCAATATCTCCCACGTATCTTGGGTGGAATATTTTGCTGAAGATCTTTCTGTCAATCATTTACAATCATGTGCTGCAAAATGAAGTTTGCGTCAACAGTAGACCACATATATGATGGTGGTTCCGTAAGCGTATAATGGAGCTATCCCTATATAGGTATACCATTTTTATCTTTTTTTTTTTTTTTTTTTTTTTTTTTTTTTGAGATGGAGTCTCACTCTGTTGTCCAGGCTGGAGTGCGGTGGTATGATCCCAGCTCATTGCAACCTCCACCTCCCAGGTTCAAGTGATTCTCCTACCTCAGCCTCCTGAGTAGCTGGGATTATAGACACGCGTCACCACACTCAGCTAATTTTTGTATTTTTAGTAGAGATGGGGTTTCATCATGTTGGCCAGGCTGGTCTTGAACTCCTGAGCTCAAGTGATCCACCCACCTTGGCGTCCCAAAGTGCTGGGATTACAGGCATGAGCCACTGTGCCCAGGCCCCATTTTTATCTTTTACACAGTATTTTAACTATATATTTTCCATGTTTACATACACAAATACCTGCCATTCTGTGACAGTTGCCTTTAGTATTCAGTACAGTAACATACAGTACAGGTTTGTAGCCTAGGAGTCCTAAGCCATACCGTGTACCCTAGGTATGGTGGCTACACCACCTAGGTTTGTGTAAGTATACGCTATGATATTAGCACAATGGTGAAATCACCTAGTGACCCATTTCTCAAGCTCCTCACGTGGCAAGCAATGCATGACTGCATATGAAAGCTCTTAAATAGGGATTGTTTCTAAATTAATCTCAAAACAGTCATTATTTACTATTTATGGAATTTTTTTTAAAAAAAGGAGCAAAAGTATCATTTCAGTGGGAACTTAACTTGGGGCTACAGTGTTTTATTTAACTTTTACCCCAAAGTTGCAAAGTGTTTTGAAATTTTTCCCTGTAAAATAATTATTTTAATTCAATTTAAATAAAACCCACCAAGGAGACTTCAAGCTTTAAGAAGTCTAGCTTCCTGTGAAATGTGAGAGGAAGTCAGCACTCATTTCAGAAATCTGATTATAACAATAGCTCCATCCCTAAATGAGGTGAATCTTGGAATCTCTTCCATTTTATTTTATTTTATTTTTTTGAGATGGAGTTTCTCTCTTGTTGCCCAGGCTGAAGTGCAATGTTGTGATCTCGGCTCACTGCAACCTCTGCCTCCCAGGTTCAAGCGATTCTCCTGCTTTGGCCTCCTGAGTAGCTGGGATTGCAGGTATGCACCATCACACCTGGCTAATTTTGTATTTTTAGTAGAGACGGAGTTTCACCATGTTGGTTAGGCTGGTCTCGAACTTCTGACCTCAGTGATCCCCCCACCTCGGCCTCCCAAAGTTCTGGGATTATGGGTGTGAGCCACCACACCCGGCCCCCCTTCAATTTTAAAGCCATCACTATGCACCCTATGTCTATGCCAGGCACTAAAATAAGATGAAGCACCTTCTTGGAGTTTACATGCTGGTAATTATGCCAGACAGTAATAAAATAGGTAAGAACGGCTGTGGGGGAAGTCAGCTGGGTTCTAGTTACAGTCGCATTTCAGGAAATGATTTAACATGCTGACTTTAACAACCTAAGCCTCTTCTCCATGTGTGCACACAGGGTAGATCTCTGAACACAGGTGACCCTAGAAGTGCTGTAACTTCTAGGGGAATGGCTGTGTTGAGTCAAGGCAGGATGACAGTTCAGCCTCCTCCCAGGCTAGTGCAAAGGGCTCTTCACTCGGATTAAAACCTTCTCTCCCAGACCGAATTGCCAACTCCCAACACCCCTCCTACAGAAAATGTGGAGTCCTCGCTTATTCCCTGGCAGCCCCTACCTAATAGGGTGGTGAATTAATTATCAAACATGCGACAGTTTAGCGAAAATGGCAACACTTTGGAATAAGTGACTGTAATGTGCATCCTGGCGCCCATTTTGCAGGTCAGTTGCTCTCCCTGGAAGGAAGAGTGTTCTCGGATTTCACCTTAAAGGAGGAAGGCTGCCAGAACTGAACTAGCACTTCTGAATATCCTGAGGCGAGGTCCGGTGACTTCCTTGGGAAGCTCTGCCGCGCCCCCACCCCACCCTACCCCACCCTACCCCACCACAGCAGGCGCTGGAGTCCTGGGACCACCAGGGTCTGAGGCCCAAATCCTTCCTCACTAAGGGGAGGAGAGGGGTGTTCCGGCAGGGCAGGATGGGAAGGCGTGCTTGGGCGGGATTGTGACATAAGAGTGCCCTGGTGACATGGAGCAGATCTGTGACATAAATAAAGGTGTCATAAAGACAGGGCGGGGCTCACGCTTAGAAGGGGCACGAGCGTCTCGGAGCTGCCAGAATGTCTTCTGCTCAGTGCCCGGCACTAGTGTGTGTCATGTCCCGGCTGCGTTTCTGGGGCCCATGGCCCCTCCTTATGTGGCAACTATTGTGGCTACTAGTTAAGGAGGCTCAGCCTCTGGAGTGGGTCAAGGACCCGCTCCAGCTCACCTCTAATCCCCTGGGGCCGCCTGACTCCTGGTCTTCCCACTCCTCCCATTTCCCACGGGAATCTCCCCATGCGCCTACTCTCCCAGCAGACCCGTGGGACTTTGATCACCTGGGGCCCTCTGCTTCCTCAGAGATGCCAGCCCCACCCCAGGAATCGACTGAAAATTTGGTTCCATTCCTGGACACCTGGGATTCAGCTGGAGAGCAGCCCCTGGAGCCAGAGCAGTTCTTGGCTTCACAGCAGGATTTAAAGGACAAGCTGAGTCCACAGGAAAGACTCCCTGTTTCGCCCAAGAAGCTGAAGAAAGATCCAGCTCAGCGTTGGAGCCTTGCTGAGATTATTGGAATTACACGCCAATTATCCACACCTCAGAGTCAGAAACAGACTTTGCAGAATGAATATTCCAGTACAGATACACCGTATCCCGGTAGCCTGCCTCCAGAACTCCGGGTGAAGTCAGATGAGCCTCCAGGGCCCTCTGAGCAAGTTGGACCTTCTCAATTCCATCTAGAGCCCGAAACTCAAAATCCAGAGACCCTTGAAGACATCCAGTCCTCTTCACTCCAGCAAGAAGCCCCAGCACAGCTTCCACAGCTCCTTGAGGAAGAACCTTCTTCAATGCAGCAGGAGGCCCCAGCTCTGCCTCCAGAGTCCTCTATGGAGAGTCTAACTCTACCGAATCATGAGGTGTCAGTTCAACCTCCAGGTGAGGATCAAGCTTATTATCACTTGCCCAACATTACAGTTAAACCTGCAGATGTGGAGGTTACCATAACTTCAGAGCCTACCAATGAGACAGAATCTTCCCAAGCCCAGCAGGAGACCCCAATTCAGTTTCCAGAGGAGGTGGAACCTTCTGCAACCCAACAGGAGGCCCCAATTGAGCCTCCAGTTCCTCCTATGGAGCATGAACTTTCCATCAGTGAGCAGCAGCAGCCAGTTCAGCCTTCTGAGTCTCCTAGGGAGGTCGAATCTTCTCCGACCCAGCAGGAGACCCCAGGTCAGCCTCCAGAACATCATGAAGTCACAGTTTCACCTCCAGGTCACCATCAAACTCATCATTTAGCTTCACCCAGTGTCTCTGTGAAGCCTCCAGACGTGCAGCTCACCATAGCAGCAGAGCCTAGTGCAGAGGTGGGAACTTCTCTAGTCCACCAGGAGGCTACAACTCGGCTCTCAGGGTCAGGTAATGATGTAGAACCTCCCGCCATCCAGCACGGGGGCCCACCTCTGCTTCCAGAGTCATCAGAAGAAGCTGGACCTTTAGCAGTTCAACAGGAGACTTCATTTCAATCTCCGGAACCTATTAATAATGAGAACCCCTCTCCAACCCAGCAGGAGGCTGCAGCTGAGCATCCACAGACCGCTGAGGAGGGTGAGTCTTCCCTAACCCATCAGGAGGCCCCAGCTCAGACTCCAGAGTTCCCTAATGTAGTTGTAGCTCAACCTCCAGAGCATTCACACCTGACTCAAGCCACAGTTCAACCTTTGGATCTGGGGTTTACCATCACTCCAGAATCCAAGACAGAGGTTGAACTTTCTCCAACCATGAAGGAGACCCCAACTCAGCCTCCTAAGAAAGTTGTACCCCAACTTCGAGTATATCAAGGGGTAACAAATCCAACACCAGGTCAGGATCAAGCTCAGCATCCAGTGTCACCCAGCGTTACAGTTCAACTTTTGGACCTGGGACTTACCATCACTCCAGAACCTACTACGGAGGTTGGACATTCTACACCCCCGAAGAGGACTATAGTTTCTCCAAAGCATCCTGAGGTGACACTTCCACATCCAGACCAGGTTCAGACTCAGCATTCACACCTGACTCGAGCCACAGTTCAACCTTTGGACCTGGGGTTTACCATCACTCCAAAATCCATGACAGAGGTTGAACCTTCTACAGCCCTGATGACTACAGCTCCTCCTCCAGGACACCCTGAGGTGACACTTCCACCTTCAGACAAGGGTCAGGCTCAGCATTCACACCTGACTCAAGCCACCGTTCAACCTCTGGACCTGGAGCTTACCATAACTACAAAACCTACTACA
This sequence comes from Homo sapiens, assembly GCF_000001405.40. Classification (NCBI taxonomy): domain Eukaryota; kingdom Metazoa; phylum Chordata; class Mammalia; order Primates; family Hominidae; genus Homo; species Homo sapiens. Next base: position 46,514,912 of record NC_000017.11, read on the forward strand.
GAGGTTAAACCATCTCCAACCACGGAGGAGACCTCAACTCAGCCTCCAGACCTGGGACTTGCCATCATTCCAGAACCCACTACAGAGACTAGACATTCTACAGCCCTGGAGAAGACTACAGCTCCTCGTCCAGACCGGGTTCAGACTCTGCATCGAAGCCTGACTGAAGTCACAGGTCCACCTACTGAACTAGAACCTGCTCAGGATTCACTGGTGCAGTCTGAAAGTTACACCCAAAATAAGGCTTTAACTGCACCAGAGGAACACAAGGCCTCCACAAGCACCAACATATGTGAGCTCTGTACCTGCGGAGATGAGATGTTGTCATGTATTGATCTCAACCCAGAGCAGAGGCTCCGCCAAGTGCCTGTGCCAGAGCCCAACACCCACAATGGCACCTTCACCATCTTGTAAGAATCACTTTTCCTCAATTGTCCTCTGTGTCCTGCCTGACATGGCAGCCTTTTCCTGGAGGCCTTCCTGGGCCTTCTTTATCTCCCCAAGCCATATGGACAACTGACTTTCTGCTTTCACCTTTGCTTGTCAACTCTCCCTTCTCCTCATTCTCTTTTAATGTTAGGCCCCTTCTCCAGTCTTTTCCTTTTACTCTGGTCTTTTACTCGTTTTTGTATCCATTTTTATTTAGCCCCATCACATCATTGCTTAACCGCTGCTCTCCTCCCATTTTCGCTTCACCCTCTTTACAGCAGCCTGTCCCTCTCCCGATCTCAGTGATGATGCTCTAAGTGGTTAAGAGTTGATTCCGGAGCCAGGCTGCCTGGGTTTGAACCCAGATCTATTTATTAGCTTGGTGACCCAGAGCAAGTTATTCTGCCTGTGACTCAATTTCCTCACCTTTAAACTGGGGATCATGCTAGTTAGCATTTCATAGGATTGTTGTGAAATTTAGGTGAGTGAATATATGAAACACTTCATCAGTGCTTAGCATATGTAGGAGAGTTGGCTGTTCACATGATTATTCAGTCCTTTAGTTTTGTCCAGAACTCATTTTTGTCCCTAGCTTTCTATATGTAGAACTAGTTTTATGTCAAACCCAGGGCCAAGTATGCTACTGTCTCCAGAACACGAAAATGATAGGAGGGAAGAGGCTGGGTGTGGTGGCTCACGCCTGTAATCCCAGCACTTTGGGAGGCCGAGGCGGGCGGATCATGAGGTCAGGAGATCAAGACCATCCTGGCTAACATGGTGAAACCCCATCTCTACTAAAAATACAGAAAAAAATTAGCCAGGCATGGTGGTGGGTGCCTGGAGTCCCAGCTACTCGGGAGGCTGAGGCAGGAGAATGGCATGAACCTGGGAGGCAGAGCTTGCAGTGAGCCGAGATTGCACCACTGCACTCCAGCCTGGGCGACAGAGCAAGACTCCATCTCAAAAAAAAAAATGATAGGAGGGAAGAAAGAGAATAGGCATAAAAAGGGAGGTATATATAATTAAGTACTAAAAGATAATGCAGACCATTGGTGCTAGAATTTGCCAGAATCTGTGATCCTTGAGGTGTGGAGATGCTACATGGGTAAGCTAAAACTTTACTTGGGTCTTAAAGAGTAGCCATAATTTGTTAAATAGGAGAAAAATGGGAGTACAGTCTAGGCAAACGCATGGCTACAGGTATGGTTGGAATTTAGTAGACCAATGTGGCTACAAAGAATTAGGTGAGGGAGCAATGAAGATACGATTCTGTAAAACCTTGATTATCAGCTACAGGAGTTTGAAAGTTACACAATGAGGTATGGAAAGCCATTGAAAGTTTCCAAGCAAGAGAGATTACATGATCAAAACAGGAAGATTATTTTATTTTGTTTTTTGCATTATGTGCAAGTGTAGACATGCAGAGGATTGTTTTAGAATCCATATGTAAAGTGTCCAAAAGGAAAAGCTTAATTCAGGGAGACAAAATAGAAAGGTCTAGCAAAATCTAGGAGTGAGGTGTGAAGGGGCCAAATCAGATCAGTTGTAATAGGAGTGGAAAGAAAAAGCCTAGGATGTTTCAACAGAGGGCACTGGGCCAAAGCTTTGGTGTTACCTGGCATAGGGTTTCTTTCTTCTCATTTGTTGATAATGATAAGCTTTTGCCCATATTTCTGTGGAATTATTTACCATTTTGGTACTGATTTGTAGAAGTCTGTTTAGACACATAAGTGCTTTTAGATAAAATACTTACATTCAAAGTAATTAACTGGCATCATCTGTCCAAGAGATGGGATGGATAAGAAGTTAAGCTTCCAGGAGATGCCTCATCATTTGTGCCGGTGACCCCGCATAATTTCTTGATGAATTGTGCAAACTGGGAAGCTGATAGCTCTGGAAATGAGAAAGCAGGTGTTATTTTCTGTTTCTGAATATCCCCAACAAGATTGCAATGATTCTTTTACTTATCGTGTTCATTGTTTTCCTACCTATTCAAGGATATAAACTGTGTTTCTTCACAGAAATTTCCAAGGAAACTATATTTCTTACATTGATGGAAATGTATGGAAAGCATACAGTTGGACCGAGAAACTGTGAGTATATTCTCTCCAAATATGACAAAAAGCTAACTGCATTGTAAGATCCTTCTTGGTCCAGAATTTTGAGGTCGGTACCTCTGAGGAAAGATATTTCTCCTCCACGCCCCAAATCAACCACTGTTGATTGCAATTGTATGGTTATTTTAAAATTAAATTTGGTAGGCTCTCTTTAAAATAAGAGGCAATTTAAATTTATTTTTTATCATACAAATAGTACATGGTTATATTCCTTTTTGTTCTCTTTTTTTTTTTTTTTTTTTTTTTTTCAGAGACAGGGTCTTACTTTGTCCTCTGGGCTGCAGTGCAGTGGCACAATCACAGCTCACTGCAGCCTTCACCTCCCAGGCCCAAGTGATCCTCTCACCTCAGCCTCCCCAGTAGCTGGGACCACAGGTGCATGCCACCACACCCACCTAATTTTGTATTTTTTGTAGAGACAGGGTCTTCCTATGCTGCTTAGGCTGGTCTTGAACTCCTGGGCTCAAGTGATCCTCCCACCTTGGCCTCTTAAAGTGTTCATATTACAGGCATGAGCCACCACCCGCAGCCCATGATTCCATTTTTAATATATAAAAATGCAATAACAGATATAACAAAAACTCTCCTTGTGCCCTACTCCCTCATCCCTGAAGTAATGCTACTCTGCATTTAGTATACATGCTTCCAGACTTTTCCTCATTTACCTACATACATATTTACATAAAGCAAAATAGATTTGTTTTGTGGTTTTAAAATTTTTTCTTCGCATAAAGGGTAACATCTTGCAACTTGATTCTTTCACTTCATGATATGCCTTAGATTTCTTTCCTTCCCAGTACTGAGAGGGTCACCCCATTCATTTAAACTCCTGCATAATCCATAGTATGGATGCATCATGGTTTATTTAATAATTCCCCCATTGATGAATGTTTAGATTATGCTTAGTTTTCTTGTTACATGCATTGCTGCAATGAAATCCCTGTACATGCTTCTTTGTGAACATGTGCAAGTATTCCTGTAGCATAGATATCTGGAAATGGAATTCTTGGGGTGAAGACTATGTAGATATAAAATTTTAATTGCCTTCAAAAATTTTGTGCCAACTTACTCTATTGTCAGCAGAATATGACAGCATTCATTTCCCAACACCTTTTCACCGCTGGGTATTCTCCAACTTTTTGCTGAAGTTATGGATGAATAAAAGGGATTCCATCTAAATGTGAATTTTTCTGATTACTCATGAATTTAATTTAGTATCTTTATATGTTTATTGAACATTTGTGTTTCTTCTCTGAGTTTTCTGGCCTTTGTTCATTTTCCTGTTGAATTGTTTTATCATTTTCTTACTGATTTATAGAAGGAATTGGTTTAGACACATAAGTGATTTTGGAAAAAATGCTTACATTCAAAGTAACTGACATTTTTCACAACAGTTTGTGTGTCACATCATTATTCCAATGTATATAGACAAGCCACGATGAGTTCTAAATTAAAAATAAACATATGCTAGGCGCGGTGGCTCACGCCTTTAATCCCAGCACCTTGGGAGGTAGGCGGATCACCTGAGGTCAGGAGTTTGAGACCAGCCTGGCCGATAGGGCGAAACCCCATCTCTACTAAAAATACAAAAAGTAGCCAGGCGTGGTGGTGGGTGCCTGTAATCCCATCTACTTGGGAAGCTGAGGCAGGAGAATTGCTTTATTTATTTTTTCAGATGGAATTTTGTTCTTGTTGCCCAGGCTGGAGTGCAATGGTGCGATCTTGGCTCACTGCAACCTCCACCTCCCGGGTTCAAGGGATTCTCCTGCCTCAGCCTCCTGGGTAGCTGGAATTACAGGTGCCCTCCATCACACCCAGCTAATTTTTATATTTTTAGTAGAGACAGGGTTTCACCATGTTGGCCAGGCTGGTCTCAAACTCATGACCGTGGGTGATTCACCCACCTTGGCTTTCCAGAGTGCTGGGATTACAGGCATGAGCCACCACGCCAGGCCAGAACTACATTTTAAAAACAAGAAAATTATTACAAAGGTCAGGATAGTGGTTACCTATTAGGGTTAGAGAGAGGGATATGATTGGAAAGGGGCACACTGGGGCTTCTGGCATGCTAGCAATGATCTTTTGTAACGATGTTTACATGGGTATCTGCTTCATAATTATTAAACTGAATATTTTGGCCAGGTGAGGTGGCTCATGTCTGCAGTCACAGCACTTTGGGAAGCAGACACAGGAGGATCACTTGAGCCAGGAGTTTGAGACCAGTCTGGGAACAGAGTGAGACCCTGTCTCAAAAATTAAATTAAATTAAATATAAACAACATTTATGTTATGTGCACTTTATGCACATTATAGTTCTCCAGTTTTTTTGATGGGGGGAAAAAGGTTGAATGGCTTCACTTGCAGCCCTGACATGGTTCCATGTGGGGCTTTCATAATAAGGTTTGGGAAAAGAGAGGAGGAAATGGAGGTTCTGCTGATCTTGGTGCCACCCAGAGTTGGATTCTAAAAGGGATTTTGTGATCTAGAGAGGAGGCATGAAATAACAGAATTTGGTGGGAAGAAACCCACTCTTCAAGGGGTGTGCTTGAGTGTGTGTGTGTGTGTTTGTGGTGGTGGTGGAGAGAGATGGACACAAAAAGGAAAATATAAGAAAAGGTTTGAATGAAAGCAGAGCAGATCCCACCATCTTGAAGTGACCATGACCCAGCTTTCCTCCACATGCAGGAGATGGTTCTGTGTAGCAAATAGTTGTAGTTTGCATTTTAATCTAGAAATAACTTCTTCATTTTCCAGAATTCTCAGAGAAAATAACTTGACTGAATTACACAAGGATTCATTTGAAGGCCTGCTATCCCTCCAGTATTTGTAAGTTAGTTAATTATATTTATGAGTTTTTAGTCATATTATCTGTAAAATGAATAAGGGGTTCAAATTAGATAATCTCTCAGATTTCTTTGAGCAATAAAATTCTGCAATTCTGTAAGTTTGTATAGGGTCTCAGCCCATCTCTAGCACTAGCTACCTCCTGTGCATTTTCAGTTTTTAAGTTGTATAGACAAAATACAGACAAAAACATTTCACATGGTAAGAAAATCTGAGCAGTGACTGACACCCATATGAACCTTGTTTTATAAGGGTTCACATATCATTCTTTTTCTATTCAGTCTACAACCAATAGATCCAATCTAATTTATGGTCTATTTTTAAATAGCCCATTAAGTTAAGAATGGGTTTTGCATTTTTAAAGGGACTGTGAAAGAAAAAGAAAAGAAACAAAGAAATATGCGAGAGATCATATGTGGCCCATAAAACCTAAAATATTTACTGTCTGACCTTCACCAAAAAAAATTTCAAAAAGTTGGTTTAGTAGGATGAAAGGAACTAAAGTTAACTTCAGATGGTTGCCTAAAGGAGAAGAAAATGGAGACCACCTGCATTCATTTGAACATCATTAATCCAGAATTTTTTGGTAATTTAATCGGAATTAAATTAACATTTAAATATTAAAAATAGCTGAATTATATCAATATTATCATCAAGAATATTAAGCTACCAAGAGAATAGACTGGTATTAAGGATTTCATTTCAGGAATTGTTATATTAAAACAGATGTTTAAAATGATGGTTAACTGGTAGAGCTAGAAATGTTTACACTAAGAAGCACATCAGAAATGCCCCTAACTCTTCACTAATTACAAAATAACGATCGCCCCAGCCCTGTTACCAAGAAAGGGATCCCTGTATTTCTGTCTGTTTAGAGACAAGAAGATACTATGTTCATTGCTATGAATGCTTGATTCTTACCCTTTGTCCATAGAGGTGTGTATGTCATTAATCCTTATTAAGCTCATTAGTGATGCTCTTTTGCAAACAGATTCTCTCAAATATAGAAGGCTTAAGGAAAGTGGGTGTAAAGACCCTCAGGTGGATGCCAAAGTGCTACAGAGACCATGAAATAATAAAACTACGTTTCCTTTAAAATAGTTATTTTCCTTCTACTCACTCCCCCCTATTCATTTATTTTACAAATATTTGAGTTTGCTTTATTTCCATGTGTCAGTTTTAAACATGGTGGGCAATGCAGATGAGCAAGACCTAGTCCATGCTTTCAGGGACCTGTTTATGCTCAGAAGAAATGGGATACAAAATAACTACATTAAGAAGAAGAAATGGATGTGGGCACTAGGAGGGATAAATTGTTTCTCGAACATAGAAGAGGAAAAAATGCCTTCAATTTGGACCCAGGAGGATGTTACTAGAACAATGCCATTTGAATAGGACTTTAAAGGGCCATTGTGTAACACCAGACAGACATCTTGGGGAAAATACTCTAAACTTGCAAAAGGAAAATGGGAGGGCAAAACACAGGAAAGTATTCAAGGAATGCCATGAGTACCCGTAGAGTACAAGAAGGGAGAGTAGGAAAATGGAGCCAGATCTTCTAGAGCTTTGAATGCCAAGCTGAGGAGCCAACATGGGGAACCGTGTTACCACAGCAGCGCTGTAAGGTAGATCTGCATCACAGTCATTGAGAGGGCACGTTAGAACTCAGTTCTGGACTCCACCCTCGTAGTTACTGATTCAGTTGGTCTAGAGTGGGACCAAGAATTTGCATCTTCAGTAATTTCCCAGGAGATGCTGGTCTTTGCAAGCCACTTCTGGAGAGTTTATATGATGACTGTGTGCAGGATAGTTTAGGTAGGGAGAGACTAGAGATGGAGACATCAGCCAGACAACGTTACACCATCCAGGTAAAGAGGGAGGGACAAACTCCATCACTGTATAACTGAAGAAATTTTTTTTTATGAAATATTAAAGCAATACAAAACCAAAAATGAATTTCTATTAATATGATAGAAATTAATTCTATTAATATGATTTGAATTAGTTCAAAGTTATGTATTAGGTAAAGGGGTAGCTTCCTTTCAAATGATGTGAAAGGATGTCTTTTATTTCTTCTGATATTGAAGTGGCTTAGGAAAACAGACCTAAACTAAGAAGGTGTAGAAATGTGAGACTTGTTTGTTTGTTTGTTTGTTTGTTTGAGACGGAATCTCGCTCTGTCGCCCAGGCTGGAGTGCAGTGGTGCAATCTTGGCTCACTGCAAGGTCCGCCTCCTGGGTTCATGCCATTCTCCTGCCTCAGCCTCCTGAGCAGCTAGGACTACAGGCACGTGCCACTAGGCCCGGCTAATTTTTTATTTTTTTTGTAGAGACAGGGTTTCACCGTGTTAGCCAGGATGGTCTCGATATCCTGACCTCAGGATCTGCCAGCCTCGGCCTCCGAAAGTGCTGGATTACAGGCCTGAGCCACCGCACCCGGCCCGACTATTTTTTTTAATATTAGAAATTGTGTATATAGAGATAAAATCTTTGAGCTCATAATCTAAGATTTGATGACACTACAAAAGGGCATCTAATCAAGTCTACTGCTCTCAGGAAAAATTAATTCCAAAGTCTATTATGTTGTATATTTATTAAAACCATGAAGGTGAGACTCTAGGAGAGGTATGGGCAGGGTTAGGGGCTCTGGAATGTTCAAATACAAGTCCAAACGTTTAGAGTTGAGATGAAAAACAGGTATTCAGTATTATTCTAAACTCTTGCTGTTATTCATACCAATTGACATTTAATAACTAATCAAGGCAATATTTTCGTTTTCCTAGAGATTTATCCTGCAATAAAATACAGTCTATTGAAAGACATACATTTGAACCACTACCATTTTTGAAGTTTATGTAAGTTACAAATATAACTTGATTACATTTGGAATTTTTATAAAACTTAATTATAAACCTTTTTGCTATTCTTGAAATATGATTAAAATTTTACCAGTAGAAAGCTACTAAAATTATACAGCAAATCCTTTTTGTCTCTAGCAAGGATTATTGTGAGAATTATTACACAGATCTTAGTGAATCATCAGAGAGCAGTGGTTCTCAGGTGGTGTGATTTTGCACTCAGGTGGCATTTGGTAATGTCCGGAGACAGTTTTGGTTGACAAAACTGTGAGTGTGCTCCTGGCATCTGGTGGGCAAAGGCCAGAGATGCTGCTAAACATCCTTCAAGGTATAAGACAAACCCCCATGGCAAAGAGTTATATAGTCCAAAATGTTGATGGCACTGAAGTTGTGAAATCCTGTTCTAGAGAAATAAAGATCACTTAACACAGGTATTTACTGAGCATTCACTGTTTTGTATCTAATGCACCACATGTGCAGTGTTAAAGTATAAATCATAAGCCAGTATCTTCCACAGTCAGATTTCCTTAGTGCATAGAGAAAGGATTGAGGTTATGTTCCATCCTATATAAATTAGAATCATGGCAAATGATAAATGTTCTGAAATAATTTTTTTTTTCTTTGGCTTGTGTCTTTTTTTTTTAGAAATCTTAGTTGCAATGTAATTACAGAACTCAGCTTTGGAACATTTCAGGCCTGGCACGGAATGCAGTTTTTACATAAGTTGTAAGTGAAATAGAAGATGAATACATGTAAACAACTATTTATGTACAAAAACTCATACAATTATTGGGTAGCTGGGTATAAGCCCATTATCAACTCTGAAAAGCATGTCTTAAGATCCATTCATTTTTCTCAAATGGGGAAGCTAAGGTACAAAGAGGCCAAGAGACTTACGTAGCTTATATATGACCTCCTCTGCTTGTCCTAGTTCTGACCTATAGCATGGGCAAGAAAAGGCATCAAAGAAGTGACCCTCAAATTAGCCTTGTTGCTGGGCGGGGTGGCTCAGACCTGTAATCCCAGAACTTTGGGAGCCGAGGTGGGTGGATCACCCGAGGTCAGGAATTCAACACCAGCCTGGCCAACATAGTGAAACCCTGTCCCTACTATAAATACAAAAAAAAAATCTGGGCGTGGTGGTGCAGTTTTTTGCTCCCTGGAGGACTTTGTGTTAAGCTTCCTTCCTTGCAGCTAAATGTTGCAGACATTTAAGCAGTTAGAAACTCTGCATATGAGCAGGAATCAAATCCAAAGTTGTAGGGCCAGAATGGTGGCTCATGCCTGTAATCCCAGCACCTTGGGAGGCCAAGGTGGGAGGATCACTGGAGGTCAGGAGTTTGAGACCAGCCTGGCCAACATGGCAAAACCTCATCTCTACTAAAAATACAAAAATTAGCAGGTCATGGTGGCGGGCACCTGTGATCCTAGCTATCGGGAGGCTGAGGCACGAGAATGGCTTGAACCCAGGAGGGGGAAGTTGCAGTGAGCCGAGATTGTGCCACTACCCTCCAACCTCCCCTCCAGGCTGGTCTCGAACTCCTGTGACCTCAGGTGATCCGCCCACCTCAGCCTCCCAAAGTGCTGGGGTTACAGGTGTGAGCCACCATGCCTGGCCAAGATGGTGTTTATGTTAAGCTATTGTGCAAAAAAAAACTTTTGTAAAGAAAATATATCGCTGTATCTTAATTCCATATACTTTCCTGACTACTCTTCTACCATAATTGCAAAAATTCTATGATTTCTCTGTATAACATACCCATCAAATCAGAGTGGGTATATTCAGTGGCCTGAAGGGGACTCAAGGTGAAGATTCTCCTCTACATCTGACTTTAGAAAAGACGTTCCACCTGCCTTGTGGTTCAGAAATCTAGTTTCACACAGTTCATTTCAAGTTAGAGGGAGGCATTCAGGATGTGTCTGGACTAGAGCAGCAGTTTCTGCACATGCTCCCCTCTGTCCTCATTAATTTGCTGATGCATAACTTAGGAAAAGTACACTAAAGGTCTGTTTTTCTTTTGCCCTCACACCAGAGAACAGGCTCATTAGGTCCCTCCACCAAGAGGTTTAGGTAGCATCAATACAAATGTTTTAAACTCACCATCTTTACTAAGCACTTTATACAACTGGGAGTCCCTCATAAAAATCTGGTGGCCGGGAGCGGTGGCTCATGCCTGTAATTCCAGCACTTTGCTGAGGTGGGTGGATCACCTGAGGTCAGGAGTTCAAGACCAGCCTGACCAACATGGTGAAACCTGTCTCTACTAAAAATACAAAAATTAGCTGGGCATGGTGGCAGGCAACTGTAATCCTAGGTACTCAGGAGGCTGAGGCAGGAGAATCACTTGAAACCAGGAGGCGGAGGTTGCAGTGAGCCGAGATGGCACCATTGCACTCCAGCCTGAGGGACAGAGTGAGACTCTGTCTCAAATAATAATAATAATATAATAATAATAATCATCATCATCATCATCATCATCATCATCATCTAGCCAGCTTCACTACAATTATGTAGGCAACACCAGGAAAACACTGGAATCACAGTTGATAAAAATTAATGAATTCACTCAAAAACATTCAGAGTGTCATGTCCATTTGTGCCAGGTACTGTACTAAGTGCTGGGGCTACAAAATCCATCTCAAAGACACACCAAGATGAGGACTTTGTCCCCAGGGGACTTTCATTCCTCAAGGAGGAAGCGGATGCTGATGGGAAAACATATGAGAGCCATGTGGGGATCTGTACGGCAGGGTGACAAGGAGAGGACAAAGCAGGAATGGGGGCTGGGTTAAGAAAGACTTGAGAGACACTAACTTGCTTATCTTGAGTTTCTGTGTTCATCTTAAACAACAGAAAAAGGCATTTGCTTCATGGTGATGAAAAAATCAGAGCTAGCTGATATTGGAAACTAGCACTCATTTCATATAAACAGAATAGAGCTGTACCCTTCAAACTAAGTCACAGTTACTTTCAAAGATTGGCACAAGGGTCTCAACACACCAAGTGTATGTTAGGGGCTGGGCCCTTTTGGAGTCAAATCTTCCTGGTAAACAAAGCTACACTGCAGTCATATTTGGCATATGTGACATATAGGCCCACTGCATTTCCTTCCAAAGGCAAGATGCCAAGGGAAGGTGCCAGTAATTTTATGACCAATATGACACCATTTTGTGGTGTTTGTAAGTTGAAACAATATATTTCCCTGCATTACACAAGTTTATAAAAAACAAACAAAAAAAGAGGCCCCAGCTGTGGTTGATCGATGATGAATAGAGCCTAACCTTCCAGGCTTCTCACTTGCACAGGCCCTTCCAAGGTCGTGGGAGGGCCCCTGGAAATTTTTGTATTCATAATTTTTTTAATGTTTTTACTAGATAAGGCTCAGGCCCCACAAAATCCTGAAATCATCCCTGGGTTCCAATAGTTACAACCCAGTAAATCTCTTGAATGAAGCCTCTATGTTATTGACAAATACTGACTGGCCAAGTTAGCAGGGTGATAGGGTCTGTCTATTTTGAATCTGAAATCCATCTCAAAGACAGGCCAAGAGCTTATTAGTGGACTTAACTGGATTCTGCTGGCCCAAGCGCAGTAAAGTCAAACAACCATATCGAGGTTTTGCATTGGGGAAAGGAGGACATTTATTTGCAGGGCATCCAAGCAAGAAGGACCAGGCGGCTAACTATCAAAGTCCCTCACTGAATGGGGGCAATAATCATATCTCTTACAGATGAAATCATGAATGAAATGGTTTATGGAAAAGCAGCAATGGTTGATAATCCTAAATGTTAAGTATGTTTATATTTTTTCCCTGACTTTAAAGTGCTTCTCCTTCATTCCTATACACAGGTCCAGACTGATGGCTTATTTTTTAAAATTCTCTTAGTCACTTCATTGGTTCTAACAATAATTTTAGAAACTGGATGACTTTGCAATGTAGAAAGGCTATACTTTATTCAGATAGAGTACACTCACATATTGGCTTGTCTATGGCACATCGATATCATGCCAAGAATGTAAGCACTAAGAGAGAATAAGAGGAAAATCCAGGCTTTATCCCTATTGAATTATTTATCCCACTATTAGAATACTAGTGAGGTAGGTGTGGCCACACTGTGATGGCAAATTGAGCTTCGGTCACAAACATGCCTTACTGTTCCCCCCAGTCTACTGACATCAGCTTCCTTTACATAGCGGTAGATGCACAAAAGTTTGCACAGTTGAGGGTATTGTCATCATGTTTTGGTATGTACTGGAATCCTGGCAGCTTCTTCTCTGATTCGGAGAGGCGCAAACATTAAAGACAAAAAGAACAACTCGAGTCTGTCCTTTGGGGTGATTTAGGGTGGCTGTTTAAATTTGTAGTGGTTGAAAAGTCTTGAGATTGTCACACCTAGCAACTCTTATACTTTTCTTCTCTCAGCTGCAGCTTGTTCTTTTCACCTGTGTAACAAGCTGTCTTCTCTTCTCACAGAAGCTTAGCATTTCTTCCTCTGCCCCATAGCATTTTTTCAATACTTAATTTACCAGGTGCTGTTTATGTTGTAGGCACCTAAGTACTTATACAAGTGAGATAACATGTCCGAAGTTCTTAGAACAGTGCTTGGCCTATGGTAAATGCTCCATACATGTTACCTCCTATGATACCTCATTTTCATTTTTCCAACAACTCTTGCGATGCGGTTATTATTATCATTTCTATTTTGTAGATGAGGAAGTTGAAACTCAGAGACGCTAGGTAATTTGCTAAGGTTCACACGGCTAATAAGTGGCAGAACCACTTACAAGCTTTGCAAATAATTTTCAATGCAGCTCTTAGTTCCCCTGTAATAGGAGCTGAATGATGACAATTTGGCTTTGTGTGCATTGTATCTTACTTTCTAACTTGAACAGGACCTGTAGAGCAGTGAGCTCCACTTCCCTCTGAGAATCCCACGCTTCTGGAGCTCCTGGCTGTACCAGCTCTGGGCATCCCCAGGGTTTATGCTCACCGGTCAGTGCTGGTGTGACATGATGGCTGAGCACCGGCACTGTGTCCAGCGCATTGCTAGGCACTAGACACGTGCTCTTTCATTTATTCCTCAAATTGCTTTGTGCTGTAAACGCTACCCAGAAAGGCTCATGTTCATTACTCAAGTCACTTCACCAGAAAGTGACAGAGCCAGAATTCAAACCCAGGTCTGCCAGATTCCAGGTCCCTTGCTTCTTCTGTTGTTGCTCATTGCAAGGGAGTCTTCTTCAAGGTTATTCTCAGGACTTTGATTAAGATACAGGCTCACAGCTGGGCATGGTGTCTCATGCTGTAATCTCAGCACTTTGGGAGGCCAAGGTGGGTGGATCACTTGAGCTCAGAAGTTCGAGACCAGCCTGGCCAACATGGTGAAACCCTGTCTCTACTAAAAATACAAAAATTAACCAGGCATGGGGACGGGCATCTATGATCCCAGCTACTCTGAAGGCTGAGGCAGGAGAATCACTTGACTCCAGGAGGTGGAGTTTGCAGTGAGCCAAGATCACACCACTGCACTGCACTCCAGCCTGGGCAACAGAGTGAGACTTCATCTCAAAAAAAAAAAAAAAAAGGAAAAAGGCTCACCATTTCAGATTCTCTAGATTTTGCCCCTGAAAAAGCATTTACGTGATGCAGTCCGAGGTCTTGTATGGAGGAGCTTGGTGTGGGGAGATGTGTGGCTCACGAACCTATGTAGGTGAATAAAGGAAAGAGGTTACTTTCTCCCCAAGTACATCGCGCATATTGGGTGAGGGTCTAGGTCATCTGCTTATTTCTTTGACTACCTTCTTCCATGGAACCAGTTTTCCCTGACAGCCTTGGGATTCTAGCATAGATCATTTTGGAGTTTGTCATTTAAATTTATTTTCACAGCCTGCTTTGGACATTTTTTCAGCTAGAGCTGTTAGGATTTCAGTACATTTAAGACAGTGATGACATGCTCCAGTCCTTTCATCTCTCTCTCCTCAGTTAATAGAAAGGAAACATAGCTCATCTATCTGGACCTGTACAGAAGAATTTGGAGGGAAAAAAAAGAACAAGCAAGAAATGTTCCCTTATTTTGTGAGCTACCTTTATTCTGTCCCATTGTTCTACAGCAAAAGGCTTGTATAAAAATATTTCAGTTTTCCTCATCTAATAAGGCATATTTAATAAAATTATTTAGAGCAGTACTTCTTAAACTTTTACTCTGAGACAGTCTTTGAGGCTGAAAAAAAGCTTGCCACATTTTACTTCCATAAAGATACCAAAAAGGCGATGGACTGGGAGTCAGTGCACCTTAGTTTAATGTATAAAATGAAGGACTTGAACCAGAAATGGAAATGGTCATCTACTGTGAATCTAAAAACACTCAAGGCTGGGCGCGCTGGCTCATGCCTGTAATCCCAGCACTTTAAGAGGCCAAGACAGGCAGATCGCTTGAGCCCCTGGAGTTCAAGTTCAGCCTGGGCAACAAAGTGAGACCCCAATCTCTACAAAAAGACTTTTAAAAAGTGGAAACATAAATATAAATAAATAAAAACACTCATATCATTTGGTTTGTGGAAAAGAGTTGCTGTAGAGTCCTCAAACTTGAGCCGTTGAGCCAGTTCCCACTCAGTCTCTCCATGGCCCAGGCACAACCTTAGTCAAGAAAAGAATGCCTTAGAACAGGAGGAAAAGAGGATAATATCGAATGGCCCTATATTTTGATTTCATTAGGGACAAATGCAAAGATCCTAATGTCAGCTGGAGAAGAGCTTCCTAGTTCAGAGGTAATGCTGAGCTCAAGGCTATGGATGAGCTATCAAGAAAGAGGGAAGGTTGGAGAGTGAGAGAATTTTGGAGGAAAGATAACAAACTTTGCCAAGTTGTTTGGCTACATACTGCCTTACAGTCATTATTTTTGGTGTTTAGAAAAAAATAGAAACAGGGTCTCACTTTGTTACCCAGGCTGGTCTCAAACTCCTGGGCTCAAGCTTTCCTTCTGCTTTGGCCTCCCAAAGTGCTGAGATTACAGGCTTGAGATGCTGTGCCCAGCCTACATTCATTTTTAATAGCTGGGAGGAAAGTGGGCAGAGGAAGATATAGAATGAAGGGGTAGCCGACTTTGTACAGAGCCCACCAGTGGTCTTACAAGTTTTCATGCCAAAAAAAATCACGAAGGATATTTAAAGCCCTAGTTTGAGAATCCATACTTAACCAGTCATGTGGCACTCACATTCTTTCTCTTTGTAACATCATCTTATTGAATATTAGTGTTACAAAACAAGTTAATGGCACTGAAAAACCATCTGGAATAGGAAAGAGGAGGGGGATCACAAGGCAGGACAAGCTGTGTGGCTCCCAGCCTCGCCACTGACTCACTCTGATCTTGGTCAAGGGAGAATGAATCTTCACTCCTCTTTTTTCCATCTGCCAGCATGTTTGGTCTTCTGGCACCTGGTGTTCTATACAGTACAACATGCTTCTTTGTGTTACATTGAGACTTGATCCACGTACCATCAACGCAGTATTATAAAGTGTACAATTCAGTGGTGGTTAGTATATTCTCAAGGTTGTATAGCAAACAATCACCATTATCTAACCCCAGAACATTTTCATCATCCCAAAAAGAAACATGGTACCCATTAGCCATCACTCCCCAGTGCTGTCTTCCCGCAGGCCCAGGTAACTACTAATCTACTTTGAGTCCCTATGGATTTGCCTATTCTAGATCTTTCATATAAACGAATCATACAGTATGTGGCCTTTTGTGTCTAGTTTCTTTTCACGAAGCATGTTGTTTCTAAGGTCCTCCCATGCTGCAGCATGGATCATTCCTTTGCAAGGCTGAGTGATATTCCATTGTATGGAGCCATCACTATATCCGTTCATCCATTCATCACTTAGTGGACATGTGGTTGTTTCTACTTTATTTTGGCTTTTATGAATAATGCTGCTATGGACATGCATGTACTACTTTTTGCGTGGACATGTTTTTAATTCTAGGGTGCATCCCTAGCAGAATTGCTAGATCGTATGGCAACTCTTATGTTTAACTTTTTGAGGACCTGTCAGGCTGATTTCCACAGTGGCTGCTCCATTTTACACTTCCATCTGCAATGTTTGAGGGTTTCAATTTCTCCGGGTCTTTGTCAACACTGTCGTTGTCTGTCTCTTCTCATAGCCATCCCAGTGAGTGTAAAGTAGTATCTCGCTGCAGTTTTTGATGGACATTTCCCTAATGATTTAAGACATTCAACATTTTTATGTGTATATGAGCCATTTATATATCTTCTTTGAAGAAATATTTATTCACATCCTCTGCCCATTTAAAAAATTGATTTGTCTTTTTATTGAATTATAGGAATTTCTCTATATCTTCTGGATACTCTGGATATTAGACCTTAACAGATAATTTGCCAATATTTTCTCTCATCCTGTGAGTTCTGTGACTTTCTTGCCAGTGTCCTTTGATGCACAAAAGTTTTTAATTTTGATAAAATCTAATGTATCTATTTTTCCTTTGGTTGTTTGTGCTTTTGGTGTCATGTGTGTGTATAAAATGTCTTATTCTTCTTTAAAAAGGTTCAGTGTTTGGTTTTAAATCAGGCTGTGTCCCTTTCATCTGTCTGACATTCTTGTCACCATGTCAGGCTGCCTTCAGCTAGTAATACTTCATTAAATTCAAAAGACAAAATTGTTTTAAAAGAAAAAAAATCCAGTTTGGAGAAGAAAAAACTGTTGTCTAATTTAAGGTCATGAAATTTACTCCCATGTTTTTGTGTAAGAGTCTTATCGTTTTGGCTCTTACATTTAGGTATTTGACATATTTTGCATCAATTCTTATAATCGTGTGAGATGTAGGGGGTCCACCTTCATTATTTTGCACATAGATGTTCAGGTGACGCCATTACACTCAAGCCTGGGCAACAGAGTGAGACTCCAATGGAGACGGGGTTTCAGCACGTTTATCAGGCTGCTCTCGAACTCCTAACCTCAGATGATCCACCTGCTTCAGCCTCCCAAAATGCTGGGATTACAGGCATGAGCTACCATGCCCAGCCAATAAATGAAAACTTTTTCACTCAAAAAAACAACAATTGTAGTGAAACCATAGATCAGTTTGGAGAATCATGCTATTATTATCTGCTTCATGTTTACAGAATACTCCGTTGAATTTGGTTTGCCAGATTTTGTCAAGCATTTTTCCATCTACATTCATAAGAAATACTGGTCTGTAATTTTTTGTGTGTGATGTCTTTAGTTTGGATACCAGGTTAATATCACCCTCATAGAATAAGTTAGGAAATGTTCTTTCCTCATCTGTATTTTGAAAGACTTTATGAAGGATTGGTGTTAATTCTTCTTTAAGTATTTGGTAGATTCACCAGTGAGGCTGCCTGCTGGTCTTCAGCTTTTCTTAGTGGAAAGTTTTTTGATTACTACCTCAATCTCTTTACTTGACATAGGTCTGTCTATTCAGATTTTCTGTTTTTTTCTCAAGTCAGATTCAGTAGTTCATATCTTTCTGGTAATGTGTCTTTCATCCAGCTTATCCAATTATTAGCATATATTGTTTATATGTATAATCCTTTTTATTCATATTATAATCCTTTTTATGTCTCTAAGAACAATAGTAATGTCCCCTCTCATTTCTAGTTTTAATAATTTGGTCTTCTGTATTTTTGCAGTGCAGTGGCTCACACCTGTCATCCTAGCACTTTGGGAGGCTGCGGTGGGAGGATTGCTTGACCCCAGGAGTTCGAGGCCAGCCAGGGCAACATACTGAGAGCTTATCTCTACAAAAAAAATGTAAAAGTTAGCTGAACGTGGTGGCACATGCCTGTAGTCACAGCTACTCAGGTGGCTAAGGCAGGAGGATCACTTGAGCCCGGGAGATCGGTGCTGCAGTGAGCCATGATTGTTCCACTGCACTCCAGCCTGGGAAACAGAGTGAAAACCTGTCTTGAAAAATGAACAGTAAGAAAACAAAATGTTTGTGGCCAGATGCAGTGGTGCATACCTATAATCCCTGTACTTTGGGAGGCCAAGGAAGGAGGATTGCTTGAGGCCAGGAGTTTGAGACCAGCCTGGGCAACATAGTGAGACCCTATCTCTAAAAATTTTTTTTAGTTAGCCGAGTGTGGTGGTGCGCACCTGTAGTCTCAGCTACATCTTAATTTTATAACGTTGTAGTTCAGATTAATTCCAACTTTGTTTCAATGGTATACAAAAACTTTGCTTCTCTAAAGCTCCACTCTCACCCCCTCCTTTATACTGTTATTGTCACACATTACATCTTTATATACCTTATGTTCATCAACTAGATTTATAATTATTGCATTATGTAAGTATCTTTTTCTTTTTTTTTTTTTTCTTTATTTTGGGACAGAGTCTCACTCTGTTGCCCAGGCTAGAGTGCAGTGGCACAATCTTTACTCGCCGCAACCTCTGCCTCCCAGGTTCAAGCGATTCTAGTGCCTCAGCCTCCTGAGTAGCTGGGACTGCAGGCACGTAACACCACACCCAGCTAATTTTTGTATTTTTAGTAGAGACAGGGTTTCACCATGTTTGCCAGGCTGGTCTCAACCTCTTGACCTCAAGTGATCCTCCAGCCTCAGCCTCCCAAAGTGCTGGGATTACAGGCCTGAGCCACTGCGCCCAGCCAGTGCTTTTTATTTCTTTGTGCAGATTCACGTTAGTACTCCTTATAGGGCAGGTCTTCTAGCAACAAAGTCTCTCAGTTTTTATTTATCTAGAATATCTTAATTTCTCTTCAATTTCAAAGGTAGTTTTGCCAGGTATAGAATTATTGGTTGACAGTTTCTTCAGCACTTTGAATATGCCATTTCATTGCCTTTTGTCCTCCAGTGTTGTGTGTGGTTGCTTTGTTTTTAGACAGGGTCTTGCTCTGTTACCCAGGCTGGAGTGCAGTGGTGCAACCACTCACAACGTTGCAGCCTCCACCTCCCAGGCTTAAGCAATGCTGTCACCTCAGCCTCCTGGGTAGCTGAGACTACAGGCATGCACCACCATGCCCAGTTTTTTTTGTTTTTGTTTTTGTTTTTTTTAATTTTTTTTTATTGATCATTCTTGGGTGTTTCTCGCAGAGGGGGATTTGGCAGGGTCATAGGACAATAGTGGAGGGAAGGTCAGCAGATAAACAAGTGAACAAAGGTCTCTGGTTTTCCTAGGCAGAGGACCCTGCGGCCTTCCACAGTGTTTGTGTCCCTGGGTACTTGAGATTAGGGAGTGGTGATGACTCTTAACGAGCATGCTGCTTTCAAGCATCTGTTTAACAAAGCACATCTTGCACCGCCCTTAATCCATTCAACCCTGAGTGGACACAGCACATGTTTCAGAGAGCACTGGGTTGGGGGTAAGGTCATAGATCAACAGCATCCCAAGGCAGAAGAATTTTTCTTAGTACAGAACAAAATGGAGTCTTCTATGTCTACTTCTTTCTACACAGACACAGCAACAATCTGATTTCTGTATCTTTTCCCCACATTTCCCCCTTTTCTATTCAACAAAACCACCATCGTCATCATGGCCCGTTCTCAATGAGCTGTTGGGTACACCTCCCAGACGGGGTGGCGGCCGGGCAGAGGGGCTCCTCACTTCCCAGAAGGGGCAGCCGGGCAGAGGCGCCCCCCCACCTCCCGGAGGGGGCGGCTGGCCAGGCGGGGGCTGGCCCCCACCTCCCTCCCAGACAGGGCGGCTGCCGGGCAGAGGGGCTCCTCACTTCTCAGACGGGGCGGCTGCTGGGCGGAGGGGCTCCTCACTTCTCAGATGGGGCGGCTGCCAGGCGTAGGGGCTCCTCACTTCTCAGACGGGGCGGCCAGGCAGAGATGCTCCTCACCTCCCAGACAGGGTCGCGGCCGGGCAGAGGCGCTCCTCACATCCCAGACGGGCATGCCCAGTTATTTTCAAATTTTTTGTAGAGACAGGGTTTTACTCTATTGCCAGTGCTGGTATCCAACTCCTGGCTTCAAGCAATTCTTGAGCCTCAAGCCTCCCAAGGTACTGGGAGTACAGGTGTGAGCAACCATGTCCAGCACCTGCATTGTTTTTGAAGAGAAATTAGCTATTAATCTTATTGAGGATCCCTTGTATGTGATGAGTTGCTTTTCTCTTGCTGCTTTCAAGATATTCTGTCTTTGGCTTCTGTCAGTTTGATTACAGTATGTTTAGATGTGGATCCCTCAGTTTTTCCTACTTGTAGTTCCTTGAGCTTCTTGAATATGCAGATTGTTTTTCATCATGTTTGGGAAGTTTGGGGCCATCATTTCTTCAAATATTCTTTCTCCTTTTTTCTGTTTTTCTTCTCCTGGGACGCTCATTATGTGTATGTTAGTAAGCTTGATGATGTGTTCCACAAACAGGTCTCTGAGATTCCATTCACTTTCATTCATTTTTATTTCTGTTCCTCAGAGTCAACAATCTCAATTAACCTTCAAGTTCCCCATTCTGTCTTCAGCCTGCTGTAATGTGCCATTGAGAACCTCTAATAATTTTTCCATTTCAGTTACCATACTTTTCAACTCTAGAATTTCTATTTGACTCCTTTTTATGGTTTCTATCTCTTTATTGATATTCTCTATTTGATGAGACATTGCTTTCATACTTTCCTTTAGTTCTCTAGTCTACAGAACTGAATCGTTTCTCTTATCTCTTTGAACATATTTTAAATAGCTGAATTAAATCCTTCTCTAGGCCAGGCATGGTCGCTCGTGCCTATAATCCCAGCACTTTGGGAGGCTGAGACTGAGGTTGAGGCTGAGGCCAGGAGTTCAAGACCACCCTGGGTAACTTCGCAAGACCCCACCTATAAAAAATAAAAAAATCTTTGTCTAGTAAGTCTAACATCTGGTCCTTCTCAGGGACAATTTCTGCTTATTTCTCCCCCAACCACGTGTTTGGGCCATACTTTGTTTCCTTGCATCTTTCATAAATGTTTGTTAAAAATTGAATATTTTAAATAATATAATGTAGCAATTCTGAAAATCAGATCCATGCTGCCAGGGTTTGGTGTTACTCCTGCTTGTGTTAGTAGTTGCTATTTATTTAGTGACTTTTCTGAACTTCTTCTGTAAAGTCTCGCATTATATGTCATGTGTTCCCACTAAAGTCCCTCCTCGGTTAGCTTACCGATCAGGTAATGATTAAATGAAGATTTACTTAAATTCTTGGAACTGATAAGTCTCCTAGTTTTTGCCAAGGGGCTCTGTGTACATGTTGGGGCATACCTTCAGCACTCAGCTAGACAATTTACAGCCATGCCTTAGCTTTCACTTCTTGCTTGTGCAGAACCTCAAGGTGTCAGCCAGGGGTGAGAGTTTATGAACTTAGTAGGTCTTTCCTGACCATGCTGACAGTCTGCCCTATGCATGCGCGTGACATTCCAAATTGCCAGGAATATGTCTTATGGACTTCTAGTTTCCCAAGCATATATCAGAGTGTTTCAAATTCCTGTGGACATCTTATTCCTCAGCTTTTCCTATTAAGCTTTTTGATTAGGCTTTTTTCCCCCAAACTGTTATTCATTGCCGAATACAGTTGCCATGTTAAAACACTTGTCTGTAATTGTTTTCCAAAAACACCCTCTGTGGAGAGGCTTTAGCACTAGACAGCTTTCATTCTGGTCAAATAAAGACAAACCTTTCAAATGAGGTCTTCCAGGGAACCACCAGACAGATGACATCATGACAGTTAACTGAGAATAAGGCTTTGAAGGAGCTCCAGCTCCATTCTGCTCCCTCTGGTTGGGGATGTGGGCTGTTTTCCAAGGCGACTACTGAGCTAGAGGGTGAGGAATGGTCTAAGGCAAGTTAACACAAATCTCACTGTTCTTACAGAAATTTTTTTTGAATAAATGCTCCTTGGGTTGCTGCAAGACTTTGGTTACATTTCTAGAGTTCTGAAAAAGTTTATTGTGGTCAATTTTTTTTTTTTTTTTTTTTTTTTTTTTTGCTATTTTTTTTGGTATTTGTTGCTTTTATGAAGGGATGAATTTTTGGATGTCTCTTTTTTTTTTTTTTTTTTTTTTTTTGAGACAGAGTCTCACTCTGTTGTCCAGGCTGGAGTGTAGTGGCATAATCTCATCTCACTGCAAGCTCCACCTCCCGGGTTCACACAATTCTCCTGCCTCAGCCTCCCGAGTAGCTGGGACTACAGGCGCCTGCCACCACGCCCAGCTAATTTTTGTATATTTAGTACAGACGGGGTTTCACTTTGTTAGCCAGGATGGTCTCGATCCCCTGACCTCGTGATCCGCCTGCCTCAGCCTCCCAAAGTGCTGGGATTACAGGTGTGAGCCACTGCGCCCAGCCTGCATGTCTTTATTCCACCATTTTCACTGATGTCACTTACGACATGATTTTAAATCTCTGAAGGCTCACTGGGCACATGCCTGTAGTCCCAGATACTCGGGAGGCAAAGGAAGAAGGATCCTTTGAGTCCAGGAATTCTGGGCTGTAGCATGCTATGCTGATTGGGTGTCCGCACTAAGTTCAGCATCAGTATGGTGACCTCCCGGGAAAAGGAGACCACCAGGTTGCCTAAAAAGGGGTGTACCAGCCCAGTTCAGGAATAGAGCAGGTCAAAACTCCCATGCTGATCACTAGTGGGATCATGGCTGTGAATAGCCACTGCTCTCCAGCCTGGGCAACACAGTGAGTGAGAATGTGTCTCTTAAAAAAAAAAAAAAAAGTCTCATTGACCATAGACTAATAAACTATTTAATCATGGGAAATGATTAGGGGAAAGACATAAAAAGAGAAACTGTAATCCACTTTTTTTTGCTCTGTCGCCCAGGCTGGAGTAGAGTGGCTTGATCTTGGCTCACTGCAACCTCCGCCTCCTGGGTTCAAGCAATTCTCCTGCCTCAGCCTCTGAAACAGCTGGAATTACAGGCAAGCACTGCCGTGCCCTGCTAATGAGAAATTGTAATTCTCATAGAGGTCCTCCCAGAGGAGTAGAAGAAGGTTGAAAGGCACTTCTGTATTTAGTCTTCTCACAATTAAGGCTGGGCCCAGTGGCTCACACCAGCACTTTGGGAGGCCAAGGCAGGCGGATCACTTGAGATCAGGAGTTCAAGACCAGCCTGGCAAACATGGTGAAACTCCCATCTCTACTAAAAACACAAAAAATAGCCAGGCGTGGTGGTGCGTGCCTATAGTCCCAGCTATTTGGGAGACTGAGGAAGGAGGATTACCTGAGCTTGGGAAGAGGACGTTGCAGTGAGCCAAGATCACGCCACTGCACTCCAGCCTGGTCAATGGAGCAAGACCCTGTTTGGGTGGGGAGGGGAGGGGAGTGGAGGGGAGAGGAGAAAGGAAAGAAAGGAAAGGAAAGAAAATAGAAAGAAGGAAGGGGGAGGGAAGGAAGGAAGGAAAAAGAGAGAGAAAAAGAATGAAGAACAAAAATGAAAATTTTTTAAAAACCTAAGGTTAAAATAAACCCTTTTTCTTCATACAGATTAAACACGAGTTCAAATTACAGCTTTGCTGCTTAATAGCTTGGTGACCTAGGACAAGTTATCTAACCTCTCTGTGCCTCAGTTTCCTCATTTAAAAATAGGGCAATAATAATATCTACCACATAAGGTATTTGCTGATCACAAATACCTGGCAACCCAGTAGATACTCACTGTAATAATTATTATTTTTATAATTTCTGCCTAAGTACAAAGATGATTCTTGGGTTAACCTAAAGGTAGATTTTCTTTTATTTCTTCCTGTTTCTTTTATTTTTCTTGTTCACCTTAAAGAATTAAAAAGAAAATCGATTCCAGCATTTTGGAATAAAAATTTGCATCAAAATCAATTTATTCATTTTATTGACATATGAACAAAATGTCATTTGTTTATTCAATAAACATTTGTTAAATGCCTAATACATTTCAGACATCATGCCAGGCACGGGGATGACAGGGCATGGTGGCAGGCACCTGTAATCCCAGCTACTTGGGAGGCTAAGGCAGGAGAATTGCTTGAACCTGGGAGGCGGAGATTGCAGTGAGCCAAGATTGCACCACTGCACTCCAGCCTGGGTGACAGAGTGAGACTCCATCTCAGAAAAAAAAAAAAAAAAAAAAAATGTGGTCTCTGCCCTCAAAGCGCTCATAGTCCAGGAGCCTGACAAGTGGACAGGTGATTACATGCAATGTAAGAAAGGCTGTGATGTCATACAAGAAGACAAGTGGGAGTATGGTTTTGACCAGTTCCTCCTCTTAGATTTATTCCTTCTTCTTTGGCTATAAAGCAAAAGAATTGGTCCTATTTTTTTTTAACTGTGCAAATTAAACCATAAATTTTAAAAACTTTATAAAGATAAAAGACAAGCAGCCAGCCGCAGTGGCTCATGCCAGTAATCCTATCAGTTTGGGAGGCTGAGGCAGGTAGATCACCTGAGGTCAAGAGTTCAAAACCAGCCTGACCAACATGGTAAAACCCCGACTCTACTAAAAATACAAAAATTAGCTGGGCGTGGTGGTGGGTGCCTGTAATCCCAGCTACTCGGAAGGCTGAGGCAGAACAGGAGAATCACTTGAACCTGGGAGGCGGAGGTTGCAGTGAGCCAAGATCGAGCCATTGCACTCCAGCCTGGGCAACAAGAGCGAGACTCCATCTCAAAAAAAAAAAAAAAAAAAAAATAGATGAACAACTTGAATTATGATGAGCAACTTGAATTATGGAGGATGCTAGAAATACTGTTTCCTCCACAGTCAGGGCTTCCTACCAACATAGTCACTTTTAGGGTTTTTGACCTGAAAAGTTCTGTGGCATATTTTTTCTTTGCTATCCACTTTTTTTTTCCTTGTAGTTCTTCCCCGCGTTCTATCCTTTATCTTCTAGAGACCTTGGTAGTTCCCATAGGAATAGTGCTTTACGGAGTCTAATGGTGATTTCTTAGGTAAAGACAGGAAACATTTTTTTCTTTTTTACCTACAAGTTCCATATCAAAAAATGAATGTAAACTTTTCATGCAGTTTTACACATTGAAAATGCAGGTTATTTTAATTCCATTCCATTTTTCAGAATTCTCAATCACAATCCTCTGACAACTGTTGAAGATCCGTATCTCTTTAAATTGCCAGCATTAAAATATCTGTAAGTACTATAGTACTCTCATGAGTCAAGAGATGATTTATGCTTTTTAAATTTTTCATCAAAGCTTAAGTATTTTGCATTTAGGCTAAAATGTCATAATTTAAATTTTAACTGGGTTATTGAAAAAAAGTTATTGGCGAAGAAAAAAACTAAGAGGATGTATAATGGTCAAGACAGCCAGCAGGGGAAGAGAACAGCATTGAAGAACCCATATAGATTTGGAACATGTAGACACATGGAGGAATATTATTTAACCAAGAAAGCAAAGGGGAAAAGGTGTTCATTATTCTAAAAATAAAGAAAAGAGTAAATAAGATGGTGAGTGCAATATGAAAATGAGAAGATAATGGTAAAAAAAAAAAGTGTCAGTTCTGCTCTTGAGTATCATTAATTTGATGATGCAAATCAACTTTTAATTTCTTTAATAAGAGCTCCCTGGAATTCTACAGCAAATAAAGTCTTGAGCTGGCTTGTTTAATAGAGAAGCCAAAATTGAATTGTTAAGTACAGAATTTTTTATTGGGGCTCATATCATGAATGTTTCGGCTTTCTTCTTCAGAGACATGGGAACAACGCTAGTCCCACTTACAACACTTAAGAACATTCTCATGATGACTGTTGAACTGGAAAAACTGTAAGTTATTTTTTTCTGAGATTTATTTTTACTTAGTTGGTTCTTTAGGTTTGTTTTATTATTTTCTTAAGTCAGGTTCATTGAGGTATAATTTTCATATAGTAACATTCACGCTTTTTAAGTGTACAGTTTGATGAGTCTGACAAATGTATAGTTACATAACCACCACCACATTCCCAATATAAAGCATTTCTGATGCCTCAAAAAGGCCCCTACTGTCCCTTTGTAGGCAATCCCATCCTCCCACCATCAGCCCCTGTTAGCTACTAATCTGATTTCTGTTCCTATACTTTTGCCTTTTCCAGAATGTCTTATAAATGAAATCATATAGCACATAGCCTCTTGTGTTTGGCTCCTTTCACAAAGCCTAATTTTTTTTTTTGTTTTTGAAATGGAATCTCACTCTGTCGCCCAGGCTGCAGTGCAGCGGCATGACCTAGGCTCACTGCAACCTCCACCTCCCAGGTTCAAGTGGTTCTCCTGCCTCAGCCTTCCGAGTAGCTGGGATTACAGGCGCATGCCACCACACCTGGCTAATTTTTGTATTTTTAGTAGAGACAAGGTTTCGCCATGTTGGCCAGGGTGGTTTCGAACTCCTGACCTCAAGTGATCCGCCTGCCTCAGCCTCCCAAAGTGCTAGGATTACAGATAAGATCCACCTTGCCTGGCCTCACTCAGCAGAATTTTTTTTGAGATTATGCTACCATCCATGTTGTTGCACCTATCACTACAGCTGGCCCTCCATATCTGCAGGTTCCTCATCCATAGATTCAACGAACCATGGATGGGGAATATTTGGAAAAAATAAAATATATAAAACAACAATACAACAATAAAAGCAGTAGAAAATTTAAAATACAGTATAATTATGTACATACCATTTACACTGTATTAGGTACTTAGAGTATACCTGAGGCTGTATACAAACATTATGTCATTTCATAAAAAAGAACTCAGCATCTGTGGACTTTGGTATCTGCAGGGGGTCCTGGAGCCAATCCCCTGCAGACACCGAGGGACAACTGTTCACTCCTTTTTATTGCTGAGTAGTATTCCGGTTGTGTGGAAATGCCATCTCTACTAAAAATGCACAAACTAGGCAGGTGTGGTGGCACATGCCTGTAATCCCAGCTACTCAGGAGGCTGAGGCACGAGAAGTGCTTGAACTTGAGAGGTGGAGGTTGCAATGAGCCGAGATTGCACCACTGCACTCTAACCTGGGCGACAGAGTGGGACTCTGTCTAAAAAAAAAAGTAAGAAATAAAAATGTTTTCTGAAGAGCAGAAGTTTTTAATTTTGACCAGCTTTAAGTTAGCATTTTTTTCTTAAATGGCTTGTGATTTTTTGTTTCTTACCTAAGAAATCTTTAAGAACCTGTTGTCTAATCCAGCGTCTAAAAGATTTTCTCCTATGTCTTCTCCCAGAAATGATACACATTTAGGTCTATGATCCATTTTGAGTTAATTTGCATATGTGATGTATCTTTTTTATTTTTTATTTTTTTGTAGAAATGAGGTCTCAGTATGTTCCCCAGGCTGGTCTCGGACTCCTGGTCTCAAGTGATCCTCCTGCCTCACCTCCCAGAGTGCTGAGATTACAGGCATGAGACACCGTGCCTGGCCTTCTTTGCAGGATATATATATAGATATAGATATATATATAAATCAGCCAGGTGTGGTGGCACACGCCTGTAGTCCCAGCTACTAGGGAACCTGAGTCAGGAGGATCACTTGAACCCAGGAGGTGGAGGTTGCAGTGAGCCAAGATGGCACCACTGCACTCCAGCTTGGGTGACAGAGCAAGACCCTGTCTAAAATATATATATATTTATATATATGTACGTGTATATATGTATATGTATGCCTGCGGGGCCCTATTGTGAGTTTGTTACACAATTTACTGCAACTTCAATTGTGCCACCAGCCCCCACAATATGGCAAGCTAAATAGAGACTCAGTTATGCTAGGGCTGGTTGAGGGCATTTTGCAAGATTAGCATGGAAAGGGCCCTTCATTTAGCACTCTGCTCCGTTCATTTTTGTCAGGTCACTTTCTTATCTTGACCAGGTTGTCAGATCTCTTTTACTGCTCTAGCCTCACTTTCCTCAGCCTCCTGCAGCATCTTCCCCATCAGCTGGATCCCTTCCTCTCTGGATGAAGTCCCCTTCATCGACCAGCTTTCTCACTTAGTTCTCTAAGATAGTGAGGATCTGTCTGCTTTTTTCTTGACCATTATTGGATAGGAAAAATGCTCTCATCCTCTGTAATGATTTGTCACCAAGGCCATAAAGACATTGAACTAAATGTCTTATGGGAGTTCATTATTGGAAGTCTTCAGGAGTTTACACATTTATGTACAAAGTAAGTAGGCCAGCTCATTTGAGTCTTGGCTCATGTGTAATGATCTTTCATGTGTATTGAAAAATTATTCTCAAGTATACCTCAGGTCATTTACAGTCTCAAAGATTTGTCAGTATACTTTAAAACAATCCTGGGAACAGTTCTAGATTGAAGGAGACTAAAGAATCATGTACTAAGTGTAATGTCTGATGTTTGATTGGATTGTGAATTTTTTAAGCCATGTTATGATTGGGACAATTGTGAAAATGTGTATACGGACCGCATAGTAGACAATGATAATATGAAGTTCCATTGAGTGATGATAGTCCTCTGGTTATGTCAGAGAATGCCTTGGTTCTTAGGGGCTGCACACTGAAGTCTTCAATGGTGAAGGGTCATTATGTCTGCAACTGACTCTCAAATGGTTTTGTCCAGAAAATGTATAGACATACACACACGGAAAGCTAATGTGGCAAAGTATTAGCAACTACTGATTCCAGATGAAAGTTATACAGGTGTTCATTATACCATTTGAAAATGTTTCCCAGCCATCCTAAGGCTTAAAGGAAAAAAAGAAAATGTTTAAAATAAAAACTTGGGGGCAGAAAAAGAATACCAAAAATTTTGGGCTCATGCCTGTAATCCCAGCACTTTGGGAGGCCAAAGAGAGAGGGTTGCTTGTGCCCAGGAGTTCGAGACCAGCCTGGACAACATGGTGAAACCCCATTTCTACAAAATATACAAAAATTAGCCAGGTGTGGTGGCACACACCTGTAGTTCTAGGTACTCAGGAGGCTGAGGTGGGAGGATCACTTGAGCACAGGAGACAGAGGCTGCAGTGAGCCAAGATTGCACCACTGCACTCAGCCTGTGTAACAGAGCGAGACCCGGCCTCAAAATAAACAAAAGAAACACCTTTGTGGCAGAGGTAAGGTTGCTATACAACAAAATGCTGGGTTACGGTTCCGGGTCCATTCCATATGAAGATCAGAGGCTTCCACTGGACCCAAAGGAATACTACTAGTCACTTGTGATTGTTCCTTTATAGGTTTGAAAGATGTCTCAGGCCAACTTATTGGATGCAGTTTTAATCTAAAACTCTATACATTGTACCCCCAACTCACAGACTTCTTGTATCCATGAAACCCTCTTCTGTTTTCATAGTCTTAATATGGCCCCAATAAAGCCATCCTTTTGGAGGACTCAGAAAAGGCCCCCCACAACCTCTGCAACACAATAATTATAGTTAACTCTTATTGAGCACTCACTGTGCACCAGGCATTTTTCAGGTATTGATTCATTTGATCCTCAAAATTCATTAGAGGTAGGTACTATTATAATGACAAGGCCAAGGAACAGAGATTAAACAATTTGCCCAAATTCACATTATTAGCAGAGCTGAGATTGAAGCATAGTCTGGCTATGGAATCTGTATTCTTAATGACCATGCTATACTGCCTAAGATTAACCTTTTACTTCAGTTACAGGGATTGTTTTTATCTCTCTGAAAGTGCCCCCAATAAGCCACAACAATAAATTAATCAATTGTCTCGGTCACCTCTTTTGCCCAAATTTACGTATTGGAAAAAATTCAAACAAGCCAGAAAGATGAAAGAATAGTACAGAATCCAATCAAAGATCAGGCACTGCATGTCATGTCTTCATTTCCTTTAATCTAAAACATGCCTCTACTTTCTTTGATCTTTCATGACACTGGCATTTTTTAAGAGTCAAAGATAGTTGTCTTGTAAATTGTCCCACAATCCAGATTTGTCTGTTTCCTCATGATGAAATTCAAGTTAAGCATTTTTGGGAAAAATACTGCATAGGTGA
Organism: Homo sapiens; assembly: GCF_000001405.40. NCBI lineage: Eukaryota > Metazoa > Chordata > Mammalia > Primates > Hominidae > Homo > Homo sapiens. The sequence goes on from NC_000017.11 coordinate 46,545,054, forward strand.
TGTATCCTTCCTGCCTCGTAACCGCAGATGGCCTGTAATACTAAGTTTGATCACTTGACTAAGGTGATCTTCCAGGTCTCTCCATTGTAATTATTTTGCTGGCTACAGTGGCTCCCACTTGTAATCCCAGCACTTTGGAAGGCCGAGGTGGGAGGATTGCTTGAGCCCAGGAGTTCTACACCAGCCTGAGCAACATGGGGAAACTCTGTCACTACTGAAAATACAAAAGTACAAAAAAAAAAAAAAAATTAGCTGGGCATGGTGGTGCAAGCCTATACTCCCAGCTACTCAGGAGGCTGAATTTGGAGGATCCCTTGAGCCCAGGGGGGTTGAGGCTGCATTGAGGTATAATTTTGCCACTGTATTTCAGCCTGGGTGACAAAATAAAAATAAAAATAAAAAATAATAATTTTCCCCTTGGTAATTAATAAATAATCTGTGGGTTGTTACTTTGAGTTCAGTGAAGATCCTGTTCTCAAATGTTTTTTCACCCAAATGTGCATCAATGATAATCCTTGTCTGAATGAATTTGTATTACACTGACGGTTGCAAAGTGACACTTTTAAAAATTCTGTCATTCCTTCTACATTTACTAGCTGGCATTATTTCATTGAAGAAGAACTCCTCCTCTTTCTTTTTCAATATCACTCTTCGTGGATTCTTCTTTATATTAAATATGTGGTAACTTATTGTTGTTATTCTTTTGAATGCTCAAATTGTCCAGATTTGACCAATGCAGTCTTTGTTATTTTTTAACTCCGCAATCCAGGTTAAACTAAGCTATTTTTAATGCCCAGAGTAATTTATAATATTTCCCACTCCCAACAGGAATTGAGAAAGGGACTCCAGAAGTTGGGGGCTTATTCAGACTTCTTAAAAGTCTACCTTCTTCCTCTGTACTTTCAGCCCAAAGTGAGACTTTTGAATTGGGAAGAGATACTTCTGAAACTACTAATCACTGTCACCCAATTCTAATCCCAACCATCTTTATTCTAGGCATACCATACTCACTGCCATGCTTACCCTTCAGTTGGGCACTTTTGTCCTCCTTCCTATTGGCCTTCTGGTTCCTACCCAACTGTCCAGTCCATAGGCTTCAATGACACCTTTTTCCCACACCTGTGGTAGCGTTGGCTGCCTCCTTTACCTACTCAAGTAACCGCTTTACCGCTAATTTATTGCTCTCTGTTTTCATCTATAGGATCTTACCTAGCCATATGGCCTGCTGCCTCTGCCAATTTAAAAACAGCATTGAGGCTGTCTGCAAGACAGTCAAGCTGCATTGCAACAGTGCATGTCTGACAAACACCACACATTGTCGTGAGTCCAAATTGCGCGGTGATAAATTGTTACATTAAGTATTTGTTTTTAAACTTTTTATTTTTAATGATGATAAAATTTTAAGCTAATGACATAATTGCTTTATTTTTATTTACTCATTCAGAGTTAAACTCCCTCAATTTCCGAACTACTCCCTTGCTGAAAGTCAGGTTCTCAGTTACTATTACAAAATTTAATAATAGAACTGTTCCATATGCAGAAAGGACCAAGACAAAGGAATGGGAAGGCTAGGGAATAACATTAACATCCACACACTGTATACTGTGCTCTCTGCTTGATGCTTTGCCCACAGTGATAATTTCTTCATATAGTGCAATGTAGTTTGTAAGCTGGTTTTAAATCCATGAGATCTCAAGTACTCTCTGCCTTATAGGACAGATGTAGATACGGTTTTGGTCTTTCTGTTTTTACAGTTTTATAAGAGTACAAGTGATGCTGTTTTATTTGAAGCCTGAGAGCTTCTGGTTCCATAACCAGAAATTGCTACCTGGCTCTTCTAATGGAATGGAGGGCTTTTCCATTCTTAGACCATCCAACTCTGAACTTGCTCCGAATCTCAAACCTTTCTGTTCACAGAACAAACGCTCAAGGGCTTTCAAGAGTGTTTCTGTAGATTAGGCTTATTAGCATCAACTTCATGACTTCTAAAATGTGACTGCTTTCATGTCCAGATAGCTTGAATACAGGTATCTACCAGTGATATGGGGTGGAGAATTAATAATGCTTGGTTACATAAAGTCAGTGTTGCTTATTTTTCAAAACTTTTTTTTTTTTTTTTTTTTTTTACCAATTATGTTATTCCCTTCTCCCCAAGAAGTGGGCAGAAAAGCTTTGTTAACCTCCTTTTACAGATGAGGAAAAACAAGATCAGAGGTGCTAAGTGCTGTAGCCTAGTGCCAGGTCTTCTGGCCCCAATTCTGGGTTCTCCCCAAGCCCATGTTTCTTCCCCTTTCTCACAATCTTTACTTCTTCCTCTGACCCTCACCACCACCCAAAGTACTTTTAATTCCAGAAAAGAAACCCAGCTGCACACTGGCACACCTGACCTTCATGCAGTCAGAAGCTTTGGATGATTCCCCATCCAAAATATTAGAGATGAAATGAAAGCAAAGTAGGCATCTGACAAAAGTTGCTTTTTCCCTTCTGCATTTTAGGACCTCAAGTAATGTTTATCCAGAAACTGCTATCATACCAGGGATTCATTGTGTATTTAACAACATAGGCATACAATCTGGCAAATTTGAAAAACTCTTAACATACACCCCAAATCCCTGCCCAAATTTAAGAACTAGGGTGGACACAGTGCGTTTTTCCATGTCGCATCTTCTGTGATGGGGCTACGATACGTGGGAGCAGAGAATGGGGAGGGTGGAGCGCATGCCAGATGAGGATCTATCAGCAATGGGACGGGGCCTCCACTTTAGCATCTCCACCCTGCTCCTCTCAGAGGACCGCCTTTCATTGCATTCAGCTGTGATGGTAGCACGAACACAGGTGCACCGAGGACGAGGAGAGCAGGAGCCTTGTGCTCTCTCTGCATCTGAGGCAGGACAGCACAGGGTACGGAGCAGTCTGCAGAGAGGCCAGCTCATCAGGGAAGCACTTGTCTTCCACCTTGGGCTTTGACTGAGCACTGGGCAATTGGCCTCTGGGGATCAACGAAATAATCCTAAACAGAGTTACTCTATGTCACACTATGGAATGTTCCAAGTAGGTGGCCGTGTTTTCAAAAGATGTATTTTCTCCTTTTGTTGTTGCCATTTCATAGGTTTAGGATTGGGTGTGTGTTTCTCCTCTCTGAATGGCACTCGAATGTTTGCTGACTCCTACTCTGTGTGACTGGGGTGTACAGCTATGGACTGATGCATCCCATCCCATCATCTTTCATGATCAAAGCAGTCTCTTCTTTTTTGACAGCTGAAGAAGCATCGGTAGGGAATCCAGAAGGAGCGTTCATGAAGGTGTTACAAGCCCGGAAGAACTACACAAGCACTGAGCTGATTGTTGAGCCAGAGGAGCCCTCAGACAGCAGTGGCATCAACTTGTCAGGCTTTGGGAGTGAGCAGCTAGACACCAATGACGAGAGTGATTTTATCAGTACACTAAGTTACATCTTGCCTTATTTCTCAGCGGTAAACCTAGATGTGAAATCACTGTTACTACCGTTCATTAAACTGCCAACCACAGGAAACAGCCTGGCAAAGATTCAAACTGTAGGCCAAAACCGGCAGAGAGTGAAGAGAGTCCTCATGGGCCCAAGGAGCATCCAGAAAAGGCACTTCAAAGAGGTAGGAAGGCAGAGCATCAGGAGGGAACAGGGTGCCCAGGCATCTGTGGAGAACGCTGCCGAAGAAAAAAGGCTCGGGAGTCCAGCCCCAAGGGAGGTGGAACAGCCCCACACACAGCAGGGGCCTGAGAAGTTAGCGGGAAACGCCGTCTACACCAAGCCTTCCTTCACCCAAGAGCATAAGGCAGCAGTCTCTGTGCTGAAACCCTTCTCCAAGGGCGCGCCTTCTACCTCCAGCCCTGCAAAAGCCCTACCACAGGTGAGAGACAGATGGAAAGACTTAACCCACGCTATTTCCATTTTAGAAAGTGCAAAGGCTAGAGTTACAAATACGAAGACGTCTAAACCAATCGTACATGCCAGAAAAAAATACCGCTTTCACAAAACTCGCTCCCACGTGACCCACAGAACACCCAAAGTCAAAAAGAGTCCAAAGGTCAGAAAGAAAAGTTATCTGAGTAGACTGATGCTCGCAAACAGGCTTCCATTCTCTGCAGCGAAGAGCCTCATAAATTCCCCTTCACAAGGGGCTTTTTCATCCTTAGGAGACCTGAGTCCTCAAGAAAACCCTTTTCTGGAAGTATCTGCTCCTTCAGAACATTTTATAGAAAACAATAATACAAAACACACAACTGCAAGAAATGCCTTTGAAGAAAATGATTTTATGGAAAACACTAACATGCCAGAAGGAACCATCTCTGAAAACACAAACTACAATCATCCTCATGAGGCAGATTCCGCTGGGACTGCATTCAACTTAGGGCCAACTGTTAAACAAACTGAGACAAAATGGGAATACAACAACGTGGGCACTGACCTGTCCCCCGAGCCCAAAAGCTTCAATTACCCATTGCTCTCGTCCCCAGGTGATCAGTTTGAAATTCAGCTAACCCAGCAGCTACAGTCCCTTATCCCCAACAACAATGTGAGAAGGCTCATTGCTCATGTTATCCGGACCTTGAAGATGGACTGCTCTGGGGCCCATGTGCAAGTGACCTGTGCCAAGCTCATCTCCAGGACAGGCCACCTGATGAAGCTTCTCAGTGGGCAGCAGGAAGTAAAGGCATCCAAGATAGAATGGGATACGGACCAATGGAAGATTGAGAACTACATTAATGAGAGCACAGAAGCCCAGAGTGAACAGAAAGAGAAGTCGCTTGAGGTGAGGACCACACAGAAACATGAGACCCAGATTTCCCATCATTTAGCATATCCCAGGAAAGTGCCCACACAGAAGAGTCTGGGACTCCCAGGCCATAGCTTATCTTGGCCATGTAACTTTGGTCATGACAGTGATCTCCCACTTTGCTCATGTAGAGAGAGAAATAGATTAGGGCACAAGATGAACTGTAGGCCGGGGGTGGTAGCTCACGCCTGTAATCTCAGCACTTTGGGAGGCGAAGGTGGGTGGATTACTTGAAGTCAGGAGTTTGAGACCAGCTTGGCCAACATAGTGAAAGCCTGTCTCCACAAAAAATAAGAAAATTAGCTGGGTTGATGACACGTGCCTGTAGTCCCAGCTACTTGGAAGGCTGAGGTGGGAGGATCACCTGAGCCCAGGGAGGTCGAGTCTAGTGAACGGTGATTGCACCACGGTACCCAAGCCTGGGTGACAGAGTGAGACCCTCTTTCAAAAAAATAAAAAAGAACCTGTCAGCTACTCACCTGGAATACTGGGGTTTTGAATAGTTAGCTCTCATTCTGGTTTTTTTTTTGTGTGTTTTTTTTTTTAGCTCAAAAAAGAAGTTCCAGGATATGGCTATACTGACAAACTCATCTTGGCATTAATTGTTACTGGAATACTAACGATTTTGATTATACTTTTCTGCCTCATTGTGGTAAGGACAATAATTAATTCAGGTTTTCAGAATGCAGTCCTGTCTTTGTGTGGATTCAGAGCTCACAAACTGAAAACCAAAGCCACTTTCCCACCTGCTGCTACTTGACATACTTCTTCAGTCATTTAAGGCTGAGGTGTATGCTTTGTTCTTTTACTGCAGTGTATATTTCAGGATTTTTAAAGGATCCTCGCTTTCAGATCTCTGTGAATTGAAACCATGTGAATCCCACTAGACTATTTTAAGAAGTCGAAAATTTCTCCCACCCAAAACTATGTCAACAATTGGATGTACTCATCAAGTCACCCTTACTCTGCCACTAATTTATTTCCTTGTTGCTGAAATGATGAGAGAGGTATAATCTCCACCCTCACGGAGTTGTCATCACCCTGGAGAGGAAGGAGAGAGCCAAAAGACATACGTATTGTCTTGTAGACTTATTAGATTTACACAGTATCGTCCTCCAGTGTGTAAGGCATTGTCTAAATAGGTCCAGTTAAAGCACTACAGAGTAGCCATCTTTTACAAAAATTTTTGGCCACATTTTTAAGTTCACTGGTGAGGGGGAACGTCTCATACTCTAGCCCTCCTGAGCCTAGACCCTCTGTGAGATGTGTCACCATTTCTTGGACACCATGTGAGACATTCCCCCTCAGATTAGAGATGCTCAGCTTGCATCAACTTACCTAAAGCCTACATCTGGCTACTCTGGGACAAGTCCTGTTTACAGTGCCCATTCCTGGAGCTTGCCTCTGTCTTTTGTTCGATTACATGATGTATTACTTTTCCCAACAGGCCAGTGCTAGCATATTGGAAGAGTGATTTAATAAAGCTGGCAACCTTGACGCTATGCCACCAGTCCAACCTTACTTGCCTCATTTACCATTTCCATTATTGTGGCAGCCCTCCATTCCAGCCACAGCAGCCCCTCACCAAACCCCAGTCACACCACCCACATTTCTGCTTTTGTCTGTGTGTTTGTCCATCTAAAATGCCCTTATTTCACTCTGCCTGTGGGAGTCCTATGCATCTCTCAAAAGCCAACTCAAGTTCATCTTTCTTCTTGACACCTTCCCTGAATATTCCAGCCCTGCTGAGCCTAGTCCCTTTGTGAGATTTGTCACCATTTCTTGGACACCATATGAGAGACTTCAGAGGCTGAAGTGGGAGGATCGCTTGAGCCTGGGAGGTCGAGGATGCAGTGAGCTGTGGTCGTACCACTGCACTCTAGCCTGGGCAACACAGCTAGGCCCTGTCTTAAAAACAGCCACCACCAAAAACTATCTTGGGATTTGAATAGGATTACGTTAAATTTGTAGATTAATTTGAGAATTTACATCTGTACGACATTCTAGGAACGTGCTATCTCATGTCATGTATTCATTTCTTGTTAATGTCTTTCAGAAGAGCTTTAGTGTTTCCATATATAGATCTTATACATCTTTTGTTAGATAAAAGATCTTTGTATTTTTGTTCCTAAATTCTTCATACATTTGTATTGCCATTGTAAATGGGATCTTTCTTCCATTTTCTAATTAGTTATTGGTGGTACATGGGAAAAGTATTTGAGGTTTGTGTGCTGATTTCTTGATTTTGTAGATAGCCACTGTATTGAATTCTCATTACTTCCAGTAAAATCTTAGTTGATTCTCTTAGGCTTCTTTGGCTAACATTTATCATTTAATATGCAAATAATGATAGTTTTGTCTCTTCCTTTCCAATACTTCTACTCTTTCCTTCCTTTCCCTTTTCCTTTTTCCTTTCCTTTCCTTTCCTTTTTTTTCCCTTCTCAGGGCCTTGTTGTCACCCAGGCTGGAGAGCAATGGTGTGACCTAGCTCACTGTAACATCAAACTCCTGGGCTTAAGGGATCCTCCTGCCTCAGCTTCCTGAGTGGCTGGGACTACAGGCAGGCAGCTAATTTAAAAAATGTGTTCGTAGAGACAAGGTCTTGCTATGTTGCCCAGGCTGGTTTTCCTGCCACTTCAGAGGAAGGACTCAGGTTTCCTTTTTCTCCTACTTTTAAGAGTTTTTATTAGGAATTATCTGTTGAATGTTATCTAAAACAGTCAATAAAATGTATTAAGTGCCAGCTGCATGCAAGACCCTAAGTTAGATACAGTCAGCCCTCTTCATCAGCAGGTCCACATCTTCAGATTCAACTAGATCAGGCTGAATATTTGAAGAAAAAAAAAACCAATAAAAATACAAACAGAAAGTACAATATAACAACTGTCAACAATGTACAATATGTATACATTTTATTAGTGATGACTTAAATTACATGGGGCCAGGCATGGTGGCTCACACTTGTAATCCCAACACATTGGGAGGCCAACCTGGGCAGCATAGTGAGACCTTGTCTTTATTAAAAATTAAAAAAAAAAATAGCCAGGTGTGGTAGTATGCACCTGTAGTCTCAGCTACTCAAGAGGCTGAGGTGGGCGGATCACTGGAGCCCAGGAGGTTGAGGCTACAGTGAGCTGTGATCGTGACACCGCACTCCATCCTGAGTAACAGAGGATGACACTGCACTCCAGCGTAAGCAACAGAGGGCAATCCTGTCGCTAAGTAAATAAAGTATAGGGGGGATGCGTGTTGGTTATAAGCAAATATTACACCATTATATGTAAGGGATTGAGCATCCACAGATTCTGGTATGGTGTGGGGGCGGTATCCTAGAACCAATCCCCCGCAAGATAGCAAGGATGACTGAACTATGGAAGAATCAAAGCAGTGTTACACAGCATACAATTCCTGTCTTCAAAAAAGTTACCTCATCAGGTAGATGAGACTTATAATGAATAAAAGGAATCAATACAGATTTGGAGACGGTGGTTGTTGTCATAGATAATCTTAATTGCGTTTTCTTCTAAAACAGATATGTTGTCACCGAAGGTCATTACAAGAAGATGAAGAAGGATTCTCAAGGTAAATATTAGTCTGGTGATTTTTTTTTTCTTCTCTTTTGAGACGGAGTTTCCCTCTTGTTGCCAGGCTGGAGTGCAATGACACGATCTCGGCTCACGGCAACCTCCACTTCCCAGGTTCAAGCGATTCTCCTGCCTCAGCCTCCCGAGTAGCTGGGATTACAGGCATGCACCACTAGTCTCGCGACGTTTTAATTAGAATTTTAGAATTAGAGGAGGGCTTAGAACTCTGCCCTCATTTTTCAGTGAGGAAACTGCCCAAGACAGGACAAATACTTACCCTAATGCTTAGCCTGGCTCCAGTGAAATTAGCTCCCCAGCCAAAGCTGAGCTGGATGGAACTAACAAGGACACACCTGCTGTCCCCAGCCCTTTCGGGAGGTGGGGAGGGATAGGAAGGAGAAAGGTTTTGGTGCCTATTGCTGCTGATGGTGGGCATCAGGCCAGGCCAGGGGCCTTCTTGGAGGCTCTGGGAAAGGGGAAGGGAAGGCCACCGGGTGTGAGAGAGAGGGCACTTGTCTCCTTCAAGGCTGATGGAAGGTAGGATATGTGAGTCCTTCCTCTTAAGTGGCAGGAAACAGTATTTTCTCTTTTATTTCTTTTTTTTTTCCCCTGGATCCTAGAACTGAGGAAACACTATTTTCTCATCTTACTGGTTTTTGGGCCCCTACTCTATTCCTTTTATGCAAACCTCACAGAATTTTAACCAGAAAGGCCAGGCAGGATGGCTCACGCCTGTAATCACAGCACTTTGGGATCACTTGAGGTTAGGAGCTCGTGACCAGCCTGACCAACATGGTGAAACCCCATCTCTACTAAAAATACTAAATTAGCTGGGTGTGGTGGCGCAGGCGTGTAATCCCAGCTACTTGGGAGGCTGAGGCAGGAGAACTGCTTGAGCCCAGGAGGCGCAGGTTGCAGGGAGCCAAGATAGCACCATTGCACTCCAGCCTGGGGAATGAGCCAAACTGTCTCAAATAAAAAAAAAACAACAAAAAAGAATTTTAACTACGGAGACCTTAGATAGTAGTTTGTCCTTTTATGACAGGAAAACTGAGAAGGAGAAAGGGAGAGTGTCTTACTTACCCCATGGTCACACAATGCACTCTGCCTTTTCCTATTTTATTCAAATTCAAAAATAACATGTTGTGCTTTAAGCTGATTTCGTAGCTCACTCACTCATCAGCGACAGCCAGCCATATGAAGACTGTGAGATAGAGAACTTGGCTAGCTGCACTCACGCATTTGCTTGAGGTGATCCAACTTATAGAATAAAGTATCTAGAAAACGAAGAACCACTTCATCTCCCATCCCCCATCAAATGATGCCTGTGAGACTAAGTCCGAAGGGGACTGATATAAAATGCTTCTGCCCAGCATGGTTGTGCAGTTTGTTCACTGCACAAGGGCACTTGGCCAAGGGAGTGAGTGGGACTGAAAATCCTGCCCCTGCTCCATGCTGAGCCACATACAAAGTCCCCCCAGTATATTGTGGGGCCCTTCTGGGCAGACATGGAGAGCTTCTGAAAGTCCCACATGCATGGAATTATTTTCAAGACCCCGGGTATGTGGTCTGTGGTGGTGGTTCTCCCTGTGATTATGGACTGAGATACTCATTTAGTCCTAATAAGACCAGAGAAGTACATTGTGAGATACGTGGGAAACGGCTGCATCACTCACTGTCTTGTGCATGTGTCTCCCCAGGGGCATTTTCAGATTTCTGCCATGGAGGGGATGCTCTTCGCGAAGGGAGAGTCAGGTACATTGGAGGATTCATTGCTGTGGCCAGGGAAAGCAGAGGACATGCAAAATTAATATTTCCCTTTCTATCTTCTAGGATGGACTTTCCTCATTTGGACAGCCGCTCTGGTTTAAAGATATGTACAAACCTCTCAGTGCCACAAGAATAAATAATCATGCATGGAAGCTGCACAAGAAGTCATCTAATGAGGACAAGATCCTCAACAGGGACCCTGGGTAAATGATGGGGCCCTCACAGTTCCCATCTAAAATGAGGAGGGGGTGAGAAGCTTAATTGCTCCTTTCAAGAATGAAAACCTTGGCATTGTTATTCTTATCCCAGGGACAGCGAAGCCCCAACGGAGGAGGAGGAGAGTGAAGCCCTGCCATAGGAGGAGAACACAGCCCACCTCAGGCCTCCTGCAAAAATACATAGAATAAACAACAACAGTTACTAAATGAATGAAAATTGTGATTCCGATGAAGCCTGCCAGAGAAACAAAGCATTTTTTAAAAGAGGAAATAAGGTGATATCTGATTAGGGCAAACATGATGCAGACAAGAAATGCACCGGTTCAGAGGAGGGAAGGTCAGGCCGCCTGGGGAGAGTCCATGAAAAAGATGGAACGTGCCAGATGCTGTACCTGGTGCTGGGAAAGAGTTGACTAGGCCAGCATCCCTTTCCTCAAAGGGGGGGCTCCTAGACTGGGGGGAGGGCTGGACATCTGAATACATCCTGAGGAGACAGTGTGGGACAGCATGGTGGCAGTGGAACCAGCCGTGGTTCTGCTCTTGGTCGGCTGGAAAGGAGTAGATGTAAGGGATGGTTTAGAAGAAGGGAAGTGGAAGAAAAGTTTTCTGAGCTGACAAGAGGAAGGAAAGGCCGCCTAGAAGGACACTAAAAAGGCAAGAGAAGCCCTAAGCAGAGTGAGCACCAGACTCCACAGGTTAAGGGCTCAGTCACACAGGACCATCCGCATGTCAGACCCCAGGTGCAAGGCCAAGCATCACCTATGCATCTGACCAACTGGCTGTAAATTGGAGGTCCCCACAACTCCCTCCTCAGGTTTGAACATTTGCTAGAACAGCTCATGGAACCCAGGAAAACAGTTTTCTTACTAGTGCTGATTTATTACAAAGGATATTTTAAAGGACACAAATGATGAAGCCAGTTGAAGAGATACACAGGGTGAGGTTTGGAAGGGTCCTTGTGGAGTTGGGGTGCACCACTCTCCTGGAACATGGATGTGTTCGCCAACCCGGAAGCTCTCCAAGTCCTGTCTTTTAAGGAGTTTTCTGGAGGCTTTATCACGTAGGCATGATTGAGCTCCAGCTCTACTCCCCACGCCAGAGGATGGGGAATGGGGCTGACAGCACAACGCTTCCAACCATAGGTCTTTTTGGTGACCAGTCCCCAAATAAGGAGCCCACCAAGAGTCACCTCATGAGAACAAAGGACGCTTCTATCACCCAGAAAATTCCAAGGGATTTAGGAGCTCTGTGTCAGGAACCAGGTTTAAGGACCAAATGTTAGAACAAAAGATGTGCAACCATAAAAAACAGCGAGATCATGTCTTTTGCAGGAACACAGATGGAGCTAGAGGCCATTATCCTCAGCAAACTAAGACAGGAACAGAAAACCAAATACTGTATGTTCTTTTAAGTGGGAGCAAAATGATGAGAACTCATAAACAACAGACACTGGGCCCTACCTGAGGGTGGAGGGTGGGAGGAGGGAGAGGAGCAGAAAAAACTATTGGGTACTAGGCTTGGTACCTGGGTGATGAAATAATCTGTACAACAAACCCCCATGACACAAGTTTAGCTATATAACGAACGTGCATATGTACCCCCTAACCTAAAAGAAAAGTTTAAAAAGGAAAAAACACCTAGGAGAAAAGAAAAATGATAAATTAACAAAGGACAATGCTCTTAGCACCGCCATCATTCAGGAATTTCCAAGGGTTTTAGGAGCTTTGTGTTAGGAACTGGGGGCAGAGACCAAATATATATTTCTTCTTATGTTACACTACCCCAGATAGGAAAACAGAAATTACTCTAGATATTTCAAACAAAAAAGGGTTGTATATAGGCAATTAGTGCTTATCACTGGAGGTGCTAGAGGTGGTGAAGGTTGTGGGGATGGGGTTGCACCACTGGCTTTCAGGCTACTTTACCACAGCTGATTTCCAGAGGATGGAAGAAGTCAGGAAACTTGGGAAACCGCTGCTGAGGTCCTTGCAGCCCCACGGTCCCCAGGCTGGTGACTGGTGGGGGAGTATGGAGTCCAGCTGACCACCAGAGCCTGCACACCTGCTGCTATGGGGGAGGAAAGGATGACTTCTACCTCCTTTCCACATTCCAAATTCCACGTGACTACATTTTATTGGCAGCACCCCGCTGGCAAGTGAGCCTTGATGTGTGCTTCCTGGGCTTCTGGCACCTGCACAGAAAGGGGTGAAATGAGTGTCACGAGCAGCCACCACTCTGCATCACACCTCCACATCCAGGTGTGCTGGAGAGCCCCACTTACACTTGGAGTGTCCTGGTGCCCTACCCACTTTTGGTAGGTGTTTGGGTGTCTGAGGCTTTGCAAAAGAAGAAGGTGGGGAGTCTATGGTGGAGTCACATGGTGGAGACCTAGCTAAGTCAGAGGCCTGGAGAGGTGTCACTGGCTGGGCAGCAGGTAACACACAATCATCCTGAGCTGATTGGAGAAACACCTGGGATTGATTCAGAGTTTTTTCTGGAATGTTTTCACTGGAATGAAAGCTGAGCGGTCTGCAGGCCATATAGTATTGGAGAAAACTTAGCCCTCATTGAAAAAGGCTGCCAGAGAAAAGATATCCACAGGGAAATTCAGGAGTTTTGTTTGTTTTTTTTTCTTTTAAGGTGGAGTTTTGCTCTTGTTGCTCAGTCTGGAATGCAATGGCACGATCTCAGCTCACTGCATCCTCCGCCTCCTGGGTTCAAGCAAGTCTCCTGCCTCAGCCTCCCTAGTAGCTGGGGTTACAGGCATGCACCACCATGCCCGGCTAATTTTTGTATTTTTAGTAGAGATGGGGTTTCACCATGTTGGTCAGGCTGGTCTCGAACTCCTGACCTCAGGTAATCCACCCGCCCTGGCCTCCCAAAGGGCTGAGATTACAGGTGCGAGCTACCGCGCCTGGCTTGTTTTGGGTTTTGGGGTTTTTTTTGTGTTTTGTTTGTTTGTTTGTTTTTGGAGACAGTCTCTGTCACCCAGGCTGGAGTGCAGCAGCGTGATCTCGGTTGACTGCAACCTCTGCCTTCCAGGTTCAAGTGATTCTCCTGCCTCAGCCTCCCGAATAGCTGGGATTACAGGCACCCACCACCATGCCCGGCCAATTTTTTTTTTTTTTTTTTTTCTAAAAACAGTTTCACCATGTTGGCCAGGCTAGTCTTGAACTCCTGACCTCAAGTGATCCGCTCACCTTGGCCTCCCAAAGTGCTGGGATTACAGGCATGAGTCACTGTGCCCCGCCAGGAAATTCAGTTTCTGAAAATACACCTGTGGATCTCTAGCCTTGAACACCCTTGGATGCTGCTTTAAATGACTGATCCTCGATGCCTCCCTTCTAACTCACACTCCCCTATATCAATCTCCCAGAAAAAGGGACCTCTTTTATTCTTTTTTTTTTTTTTTTTTTTTTTTCAGAGACGGGCCTCACTTTGTTGCCCAGGCTGGTTTTGAACTCCTGGCCTCAAGTGATCCTCCCGCCTTGGTCTCTCAACGTACTGGGATTACAGGTGGGAGTCCCCGCGCCCGGCAAAGCCTATATTAAACCCTTTTATGCACACTCGGCGGTACTGCAGAGAGGGCAGGGAGGAAGCAGAGGTGCCCTGGCATCTTCAGCTGGAGGTGAGCAGGGCGCTGAGGGTGGGAGAGGCCCGGCGCCTGGGGATGGGAGGCAGGACTGCACCTTCACAGGGACGCTTCCACCCTACCCCGGAGGTCAGGGCCTCTCGCCCAGCTCTGGCTCTGAGGTCCTGGAGGGAGGGAGATGCTGTTGCGACTCAGAAGATTGGGGGAGGGCCACCCCCATTCGAGAAGAGTGAAAATCCTGAGCCTGAAGAAGTGGAACCGGTTGGAGCCGAGGCTTTAGAGGATGGCGTTCGAAAGAGGGTCTGGCGCCGCCCTGTGGACCGTTCGGGCTCGCAGGGCCGAAGGCTCCGAAGACTGAGACCTGTGAACCATGGGGAGGCTCCATGCGGATGGGGGCCACAGCCCCCGCCGGAGCCCCCACACTAGCCCTGGACTTCTCCACTGGCTTACGACATGAGAGCTCAATATGCTCCTTATTTAACGCACTGTTGTATCAGGTCCCTGTGGGAGCCACTGGCTCTATAGCCTAATAAAGGAGCGGGTGCACGCACTGGATTGGTGAGCTACCGCCACTGCAACGCGTCCTAATCAACCATCCTAAACGGCGGCTGGAACAAGGTTCTCGCAGGCCTGTGCTTGGGCTTGAACGCTGGTCCAGCCGCTGCGCTCTGTGGCTCCCTGTAGGCCTGCGGATCGGCCAGGGGGCTCCGTTCCTTTTGGGCGGAGGCTGAAGAAGCAGCGGCTGCACCAGAGAAGGCCCTCTGGGTGAAGGTGGGAGCGCACGGGGCCCGCGGAACCACCTAAGGCGACTTCAGACGTGGGCTCGGAACTGGCAGCCTTTCGTTTCTGCTTCATTCCAAGGCCAGAGCAAGCCACGTGGGCAAACCCAAAGCCAGGGGACAGGAAAGTATCCTCCACCCACAACGAAACCATGGCAAGCGGTGGATGCAGGTACGGCCAATAGTCTATCTATCCCGGTGAGTGAGGAGACCTGCTTTGAGGGTTGCACAACCTGGATCTGCTTTTACAGTGGTGTCTGTCACTATGAAGACTCCACCATGGGTCGCCATCAGGTCAGGGACCCTGACAAGGCAAGAACTGCATCTTCCTCTGCACACAGCTCTGCTCCCTTCCCCGCCATGCCTAACACCAAGCCTAGCCCTGAGGGATGACTCAGGAATATTACTGAGAGCATTTTAGGCCATTCCTTCATTATCCCCATGTGACTTGTTATGAAATATAGACTGACTTCCTGAAGATCAGCACATAGTGCTAAGTATTTGGCTTGTAATCTGTAGAGACTCTGCCATTTGGAGCTGGGATCTGTCCCCAGAGCTGTCAGACACCAAATCCCGTATCTACTGCCACCCAAAGGGACCTCCAGAAGAAAGGGGTTATACAGGGTCAAACACCAAGGCAGGTTAGTGAAATTTCTCTAGAGGCCATTTAAAGCTGGAGTCTCACCACCTGAACTGCCCTCAGAGGAAGGCTGTCTAGGGCACAAACCTAGTCAGGGGTCCACATGGACTTAAGGACAATTTTTTTTTTTTTTTTTTTTTGAGACAGTCTCATTCTGTCATCAAGGCTCGAGTGCAGTGGTGTGAACTCAGCTCACTGCAAGTCTCAACCTCCTGGGCTCAGGTGATCCTCCCACCTCAGCCTCCCGAGTAGCGGGAACCACAGGCTCGTGCCATGATGCCCAATTAATTTTCTTTTAAATTTTTTGTAGAGATGAGGTCTCCCCGTGTTGCTCAGTCTAATCTTGAACTCCTGGACTCAAATGATCCTCCTGCCTCTGCTCCTCAAAGTCCTGGGACTACAGGTGTGAGCCAATGCACCTGGCCTCTTATGAATAATTTTAAAAACAATGAGGTTCACCGTCAGAGCCCCTGCTGCTCTACCAAGTCCCTTGGCCCCTCTCAACAGGGCAAAAGCAAGATGAGCCCCAGATGTTCTGCTTAATGACCACCTTTCCCAGGAGACTTTGCTCTTTAAAGGAGAACCACTTAGAGATATGAGCAACCTTAAAGAATGCCACCAGCACTAGTGAATGCCAGGCACGGGCCACGTGGGTGGAGAGTATACTTTAGGGCAGTCACTCATGGTAAATTATTTCCACCAGCCCCCAGAAGTGACTATTCAATGTCCAACTATGTCAGGCCCAGGCTAATAAAAGTAGAGGCATGAGGAACCTAGGGTTGTTCTGAAGTGCCTTGATTATGGTACATGTGGAAGATTTTAGAGCTTGTTGTAAAAAGTGATGACCCATGGCCCCCCAGGCTGGGTCTGGGATTCCCTTTGTGGATTACAAGAGGATATTATACAGCAGTTTTTAAAAATGAGGCAGACTGGGACAATCTATCTCCAAGATGCATAGGTGCTGTTAAGGGAACAAAGCAAGATTTAGTAGGGCGTGTATAGTATGCTACTGTGCGCTGTGCGTTATCTGTACAGAACTGTGAGGTCTGATACAGTAGCCACTAGCCACATATGGCTATTTACATATAAATTTAGGTTGGCCACAGTGGCTCATGCCTGTAATCCTAGCACTTTGGGAGGCCAAGTGGGAGGATAGCTTGAGGCCAATAGTTCAAGAACACCCTGGGCAACATAGTGAAGCCCCTTTTCTACAAAAAATTTATTTATTTATTTATTTTTATTTTTTTTGAGACGGGTCTCACTCTGTCACCCAGGCTGGAGTGCAGTGGCGCAGTCTCAGCTTATTACAACATCTGCCTCCTGGGTTCAAGCGATTATCGTGCCTCAGCCTCCAAGTAGCTGGGACTACAGGCACGCACCACCATACCCAGCAAATTTTTGTATTTTTGGTAGAGACAAGGTTTTGCCATGTTGGCCAGGCTGGTCTTGAACTCCTGACCTCAGGTGATCTGCCCGCCTCAGCCTCCCAAAGTGCTGAGATTACAGGCATGAGCCACTGCGCCCAGGCAAAAAATTTAAAATTGTAAAAATCAGCCAAACATGGTGGCATTCATCTGTAGTCCCAGCAACTTAGGAGGCTGAGGTGGGAGGATTTCTTGAGCCCAGGAGGTCAAGGTTGCAGTGACCTATGACTGCACCACTGCACTCCAGCCTGGACAACAGAGTGAGGCCCTGTCTCAAAAAATAAATAAATAGGAGTTTGAGGCCATGTTCACACATCACTGCAGTCCAGTCTGGTAAACAGAGCAAGACGCTGAGTCTTTAACAAAAAAAAAAAAAATTTTAAAGTCAGCTGCTAAGACACACTAGCCACATATCAAGTGCTCAACTGCCCCGTGTGGCTAATGGCTTCCAAACTGGCAGCACAGGCAACTGTTTTCATCACTGAAGTTCTGTTGGACAAGAATACCTCTGGAAGCACACACGAGAAACTGGTAATGGCGGTTGCCTTCCGGGAGGGAAACTGGGAGAGTGCAGGGCTGTATGCCCTTTTGTACCTCTTGAATTTCATATCATGCGTTTGTACTAGGTGTTTACAAATTATTTTAAAAACATACTGGGAATTAGGAATCCCCATATGGAATCACTGCAGTGGGACACTGATTCCCAAAAAATTACTTTGCAATTTGCCTAAAACAAATTAAGCTAATAGCTATCATGATTTCATATTTAATATTTTTTCACAGCTTAGAGTTTTTTTAGCTCCTGTTGCTATCTCTCTGCTCTTATGAGCTCACAGGGTGACAAAGTGAATTAGTAAGTAGCAGGAGAACATTAAAGGAAAAACTCCTGGGCAACAGGGCAAAACGCCGGCTCTACAGAAAATACAAAACATTAGCCAGGCATGGTGGCATGCACCTATGGTCTTAGCGACTTGGGAGGCTGAGGTGGGAGGATCGCTTGAGCCCGGAAGGCGGTAACTCAATCCCAGCAGAATCCCAGGGAGCGAAGGTGGCTCATCCCAAAAGAAAAACAAGAAGGAAATTCTATTACCAGAAGACAAAGGGATGAAATGAGGGATGGAGAATCAAAGACTGAAGCTACTAGGGTTTGTTTTTATTAATATTTAATTTTTTCAGAGGCGAGGGTCTCAGTATGTTGCCCAGGCTGGCCTTGAACTCCTGGCCTCAAGCAATCCTCCTGCCTGAGCCTTCCGAGTTGTTGGGATTACAGATATGAGCCACTGCATCCAACTTTGGTTCTTGTTTGTCTGTTTTGTTTTGTTTTGGTTTGTTTTTTTGACAGAGTTTTGCTGTGCCACCCAGGCAGTGACTCAGCCTCGGCTCACTGCAGCCTTGACCTTCTGGCCTCGAGTGATCCTCCCACCTCAGCGCCACCCCCCACTGCCCTCCAATATCTGGGACTACAGGTGCGCGTGACCGCACACAGCTAATTTTTAAATTTTTTGTAGAGATAGGGTTTCACTATGTGGCTCAGGCTGGTCTCCAACTCCTGGACTAAGCGATCTGCCTGCCTTGGCCACCTCCCAAAGTGTGAGCCACCATGCCCACCCATTGAACATTGAAGCTAGACTGGGCAAACCCTTAAGCCTAAACCAGTAACAGTTTTTCACAAGTTCATAGATGTTACTGTGGTTAATAACACACAAATTCATTTAAAAGCATGTGTGTCCACATAGTAATTTTTGGTCCTTATTTTTATTTTTATTTTTCAGTTAATGGATATTAAAGATACAACTTTATTTTGTTTTTTTTGAGACAGGGTCTCACTCTGTCACCCAGGCTGGAGTGCAGTGGCATGATCAGAGCTCATTGCAACCTCCACCTCCTGGGTTCAAGAGATTCTCCTCCCTCAGCTTCCTGAGTAGCTGGGATTGCAGGTACATGCAACCACACCTGGCTAATTTTTGTACTTTTTGTAGAGATAGGGTTTTACCATGTTGCTCAGGCTGGTTTTGAACTCCTGAGCTCAAGTGATCCACCTGCCTCGGCCTCCCAAACTGCTGGGATTACACAAGTGAGCCACCACACCCGGCCTAAAGATATAATTTCTATCATGAGGAGGTCCAAGAACTATTCTCTTTTTCTTTTTTTAATGTTAGAAAGGGATTAACTGGGTATGTGCTGCAGCAAAGGGAGGGGAAATTAAGCAAGAAGAGAAGGGAGCCAGGAAATAAAGGCCCCAACCCAGGAAGCAGTTAAGCAAAGTTCCAGGATGACCCATGTGACAAGTTTAGGGGATAACTTGAGCACATGGAGGACAGAACTTGGAGAGGGCACTGTGGGCCTGGGCGCCACCTGCTCCGCCAGAGCACTGGAAGAGAACGAGGGCACGATAATGGCAGATGGCACTGAAAGAAAAGGAGAGAGCTTGAGGCACCCTTGGGGGAAGCAGCCATCATCAGAGTGTATTTTATTTTTATTTTATTATATTTTGAGATAGAGTCTCACTCTGTTGCCCAGGCTGGAGTGCAGTGGCATGATCTCGGCTCACTGCAACCTCCACCTCCCAGGTTCAAGTGATTCTCTGCCTCAGCCTCCCAAGTAGCTGAGACTACAGGGGGGCACCACCACACCCGGCTAATTTTTGTATTTTTAGTAGAGATGGGGTTTCTCCATGTTGGCCAGGTTGGTCTTGAACTCCCGACCTCAGGTGATCCGCCCACCTTGGCCTCCCGAAGTGCTGGGATTACAGGCGTGAGCCACCATGCCTGACCTCACAGCACATTATTAAGCTCTGTGGTGAATAATATTTATATAGTCACAATTCTGTAAACACTGTTCATTTTCTACAAATTGTGGCAAACCCAAACCTCAAGAATGGACAGGGCTAGGGTGTAAAAGAGCTAAGTCCTTGCCAGGTTTACCAGGAAGGCAACAGACAGTGTCTAAAACTATGAGACAGCTGGGCGCGGTGGCTCACGCCTGTAATCCCAGCACTTTGGGAGGCCGAGGCGGGTGGATCACGTGAGGTCAGGAGTTTGAGATCAGCCTTGACAACATGGTGAAACCCCGCGTCTACTAAAAATATCAAATTAGCTGGGCATGGTGGCAGGTGCCTGTAATCCCAGCTATTAGGGAGGCTGAGGCAGGAGCATTGCTTGAACCCAGGAGGCGGAGGTTGCAGTGAGCCAAGATGGCACCATGCATAGGTTTTATGCCAATACTACACCATTTTATATCAAAGCCTTGAATATCCAAGGATTTTGGTATCTATGGGAGGTCCTGGAACTAATCCCCCACAGATACCAAAGGATGAGTATACACCTTTTCTTACTTTCGAATTTTGAACCAGACAGATACGCTGCAATTCAACAAATTAAAATAACTGAACCTACAATCAAGGAGAAAAATATTTATCCCTAATAACTAATGGACCATCTTACGCCGTCTATAAAAATATCAATTAAGAAATCACGGCCGGGCACAGTGGCTCACGTCTGTAATCCCAGCACTTTGGGAGGCCGAGGCGGGCAAATCACTTGAGGTCAGGAGTTTAAGACTAGCCTGGCAAACGTGGTGAAACCCCATCTCTACTGAAAATATAAACAAATTAGCCAGGCATGGTGACGGGCACCTGTAATCCCAGCTACTCGGGAGGCTGAGGCAGGAGAATTGCTTGACCCAGGAGGTGGAGGTTGCAGTGAGCCGAGATCACACCACTTCACTCCAGCCTGGGTGACAGCAAGACTCCGCCTCAAAAAACAACAACAACAACAAAAAACGCGGTGATACACGCCTATAATCCCAGCACTTTGGGAGGCCAAGGCGGGCGGATCACAAGGTCAAGAGATCCAAGACCATCCTGGCCAACATGGTAAAACCCCATCTCTACTAAAAATACAAAAATTAGCTGGGCATGGCGCGCACCTGTAGTCCCAGCTACTTGGGCGGCTGAAGCAGGAGAATCGCTTGAACCTGGGAGGTGGAGGTTGCAGCGAGCCGAGATTGTGCCACTGCACTCCAGCCTGGCGACAAAGCGAGACTCCGTCTCAAAAAAATAAAAAAGAAATCAGAAACTGTTCAAATTCCAATCTATACAAGTGAAACCTACACAGTTAAATGTCTTAATAGAGAGCTAAAAGCATTAAGTTCTGTCATACTCAACATACTGATGAAAAAAATTTGAACTAAAAGACAGCCTGATCTTTAGAAACTGGCAGAAAAAATAGGGGCTGCATCCAAGACCACTCACGGCACGTCCATTCTTCCAGCAGCTCCCAACTGCTATTTTATGAAAAGTCCAAATTTCCCACCCCAAGGTCCTAGAGTACAGCCAGCTCCCTACCATCAAAAACAATAGCTACCAAAACTCAGTAAAATTAGGCTTGTTATGAAGAGAAGATTGAAGAAATAAAGGTATTTATTTCATCTTGGTATTTGAATGTGGAAACTCCCAGTAGGGTAAGAAAAAAGAATTCTGCCAGAGAAATGATGAAGTGAAACCTCAAACAATTTGGGCTTTTGAGTGCCTACTGTCATCCAGCCACGAAATGAAGCATTTTACATAAGTAATTTAAGCCCAGTGATGCAGGCAGTAAGTATTATCTCCATTTTAAGATGAGGAAATTGAGACAGACGAGATTACCTAACTCTCTCAAGGTTTCACCACAGAGCTGTGGTTCAAACCCATGTGTTCTAGTTTTATTACAGTTAAGAAACTGCAAGAGTTTGCCAATTTGTCAAGTGCCAGTCCAAGATAAATGGACACTCTGAGTATCAAAAAAATACATAATCTGCAGATCAAAACACGAAGATACAAACATCTAAGAGTCACCATGGAAGTTGCGGGGCATCCAGTGGTTTTTCTGAAAATCCATGAAGGAAAAGAATAAAGCATTTTTCCAGCCTCTCTTCTACAAACTATATTTCAGGGAAACCAAATATTTGATGAGGGAATTCTTTGTTTAGAAGGATTTTAGCTAATAAATGCAGAGGAATAACAAGATTTAGGAGGGGGGAGAAATCACCATTTTGTGACTTCTAATAAAATAATGGGTCTAGGCAACAGTTTTCAATGGATGCTAAAACGATTAGGTGAAAAGTTGATGGAGAATTTTAATTCAGGGGAATTAGGCTGATACCATCTGAAACCATTTGGCATCATTAAAAATGTGACAACCTGGTGGCTGCCAGGGAGGAAGGGGAGAGGGTGGGGGAAGAACAGAAGTTATAGTTTATGGGCACAAAGTTTTGGTTTTACAAGATGAAAATAGTTACAGAAATGAATGGTGGTGATGGTTGCAGAATATTATGACTGACTATACACTTAAAAATGTTTAAGATAGAGCTGGGTGCAGTGTTGCACACCTGTAGTCCCAGTTATGCAGGAGGCTGAGGTAGGAGAACCACTTGAGCCCATGAGTTCGAGACCAGTCTGAGTAACATATAGAGACCTCATCTCACAAAAACATCACTACCACAAAACAAAACAAAACAAATTGTTAAGATGCTAAATTTTAAGTTATGTGTATTTTACCACAATAAAAAAAAATGAGGCCGGGTGCAGTGGCTCATGCCTGTAATCCCAGCACCTTGGGAGGCCGAGGCGGGTGGACCACAAGGTCAGGAGTTCGAGACTGGCCTGGTCAATATGGTGAAACCCTGTCTCTACTAAAAATACAAAAAAACTAGCCGGACGTGGTGGCTCACGCCTATAGTCCCAGCTACTCGGGAGGCTAAGGCAGGAGAATCACTTGAACCCAGGAGGCTGGGGTTGCAGTGAGCCGAGACTGCACCACTGCACTCCAGCCTGGCCAATAGAGGGAGACTCCGTCTCAAAAAAAAAAAAAAAAAGAAAAGAAAACATAGTTACCCAGCAATTCCACTTCTAGGCATATACCCAAAGAACTCAAAGCAGGGACTCAAACAGATACTTGGACATGAATCTTCATAGCAACACTATTCATAATAGACAAAAAGCAGAAGCAACTCAAGAGTCCATCGATAGATGAATGGATAAACAAAATGTGGTATATCCATAAAATAGAATATCATTCAGCCATAAAAGGAATTAAGTTCTGATACATACTACAGCATAGATGAACCTTGAAAACATTGTACTAAGTGAAAGAGGCCAGGCAGCTAAACTTCCAAAGACTAATATACAATTCCACTGAATAGGCAAATTCATAGACAGAGGATAGAATAAAGGCTAATGAGGGGTGGGGGAGAAGAGAATGGGCAGTTATTGCTAATGGATACAAAGTTTCTGTTGGGGATGATGAAAAAATTGTGGAACTGGACAGTGGTGATGGTTGTAAAACACGGTGAATGTACTTAATGCCACTGAATTGTACACTTAAGAATAAACTTGTAAATTTTATATTATATATACTTTGCCACAATAAAAATTTTTTTAAAAATGTCTAAGTGTGACAACCGAACTTCTGTGTTAGGATAGGAAGAATACTTATGAAGTATTCTTGCCCCTGAAATGAACCAAAATCTAATCAAGTCTCTAGAATAAACAACCAGTTCACAGGAAATCCACAGATAGCCAAGCAAGTTAGATGGCACTATAATAAAGTAATCAACCAAATCCAGAATGTGGAATAAGCAGTTAAAAAAAAAAAAAAAAAGAGGGGGGGAGGCCAGGCGAGGTGGCTCACACTATGGTCTCAGCACTTTGGGAGGCCAAGGTGGGCAGATGCTTGAGCCCAGGAGTTTGAGACCAGATTGGGCAACATGGTGAAAATCCATCTCTATAAAAAGTACAAAAAAATTTGCTAGGTGTGATGGTATGCACCTGTGGTCCCAGCTACCTGGGAGGCTGAAGTCAGACAATCGCTTGACTCCAGGAGGCAGAGGTTACAGTGAGCCAAGATTGTGCCACTGCACGAGACCCTGTCTCCAAAAAAAAAAAGGAAAAAAAAAGGCATAGAGAAAGAACAACTGCTGTAGAATAAAAGACTAAAGAGGCAAAACAACAAAATGCACTGTGCGAACTCTGATCCAGATGCAAACAAAGCAGATGTAGAAAAGATGTAGAAAGGATACTTTTTTTTTCTCTTTTTTTTTTTTTTTTTTGAGATGGAGTCTCGCCCTGTCGCCCAGGCTGGGGTGCAATGGCGCAATCTCGGCTCACTGCAACCTCCGCCTCCTGGGTTCAAGAGAATCTCCTGTCTCAGCCTCCCGAGTAGCTGGGATTACAGGCATGCACCACCAAGCCTGGCTAATTTTTTTTGCATATTTTTAGTAGAGACAGGGTTTCACCATGTTGGCCAGGCTGGTCTCCAACTCCTGACCTCAGGTGATCCACCAGCCTTGGCTTCCCAAAGTGCTGGGATTACAGGTGTAAGCCACCACACTCAGCCAGGATACATTTGATACAACTGGAGAAATTAGAATAAGGACTAGGTGCTAGATATTAAAGAATTATTATTAATTTTGGAGATGTTATAATAGCATGAAGATTTTATATATATATATATGCCTTATCAGTTGGAAATGAACACTAAAGGACATGTGAATAAAAGGCATCATGTCTGGGATGGGCAAAATGCTTATAACTGTTGAGGCTTGGTGATGGGTACATGGGGGTTCGTTATGTTATCCTCTCTGTCTTTGTATTTGTTTTAGATTTTCCACTAAAAAAGTTAAAAAAATAAATGCACTACTTTGAGAAAAAACATTCTAAAATCTATAGCCTGGAAAAGATAACTGCAAATAGAGTTAATTGCCAAAGGTAACAGCTAAAACAATGATATAAAATATAAAGGGACAGTCGACTTGGGTATTTCATCTGGAAAGACTGACGAATATGTAAGTCTTTACTATCAAGTACATGCAGGAGAATCTCCAAAACAAACAGACTCCAAATAAATTCTAAAATGAGAAATTTGTAGATTCCATATGGTTAATATTTTACATGAAAATCGGGGTGTAAAAACTATAGTCAGCCCTCTGTATCCACAGATTCAACCCACCTTGAACCAAAAATATTAAAAAGTAATAACGCAAGCCGGACACGGTGGCTCACGCCTATAATCCCAGAACTTTGGGAGGCCGAGGCGGGTGGATCACCTGAGGTCGGGAGTTCGAGACCAGCCTGACCAACATGGAGAAACCCCGTCTCTACTAAAAATACAAAATTAGCCGGGCGTGGTGGTGCATGCCTGTAATCCCAGCTACTCAGGAGGCTGAGGCAGGAGAACCACTTGAACCCGGGAGGCGGAGGTTGTGGTTAGCCGAGATCGCGCCATTGCACTCCAGCCTAGGCAACAAGAGTGAAACTCCGTCTCAAAAAATAAATAAATAAGTAAATAAATAAAAATAATAACGCAACAGTAAAAAAAAAAAATACAAATAATACAGTCTAACTATATAGCATTTACATGCTAGTAGACATAAGAAGTAATCTAGTAGTGATTTAAAGTAGACAGGGGGGCTGGGCACAGTGGCTCACGCCTATAAGCCCAGCACTTTGGGAGGCCAAGGTGAGCGAATCACCTGAGATCAGAAGTTCGAGACCAGCCTGACCAACATGGTGAAACCCCATCTCTACTAAAAATACAAAAATTGGCCAGGCGTGGTGGTGCATGCCTGTAACCCCAGCTACTTGGGAGGCTGAGGCAGAAGAACCACTTGAACCTGGGAGGCGGAGGTTGCAGGGAGGCAAGATCACACCACTGCACTCCAGCCTGGGCAACAGGGCAAGACTCTGTCTCACAAAAGAAACCTCCCCAGTAAGTATAAAGAGACCCTAAGAGAGGAAATGGCTGACAGTGTAAATAGAGCAGAGCACCAGAAGGTATCACTTCAAGCATCCGTCTTTAGAGACATTTCACAGAAACAGTATCGAGGCTACAAACCGAATAATCTTTACCTTTTGTGTTCTGGAAAAAATGCTGCCACAGAGGTCTGATTTTGAAGTGGCTGCCAACATCCCAGACAGCGAAGGTGTTATTTTTATATTCTACTGTCTCCACACAGAAACCTAAATGAAACATGGGGAAAACATTTAATTATGATTTGTGCTGGTTGAACAATTCAAAATAATTTCAACATGCGGACAGTACTTTTAATTTACAAAGCAGCCTGCTAGTCAAAGATCTATAGCCTTCAAACAGAATGTGCTGGCCCCCTCGCCCATTCATCAGGACAGGTGTCTCAAACCTTCTCTACTCTCCAATCTCTAGCCACGCACCTGCCCTTTCTCTCAGCAGGAGACTATCACAGTGTACTTCAGAGCAGAGAAGCCGCCGATGGGAATGACTTCCACTTCCACCATACAGTGTAAAAGCCAGTCTACATCTTTACCCATGCTTTTCTTCCTCCCTCTTGGAACAACAGAAGAAGGTAACTCTCTTCCACCAACTCCCTCCCTCTATGAGCCAGATCCACCCTACCCAGACTGTCTGGAACTTTTTACTATTCCTATTCTCTCCCATATCTGAATATCTCCAATCTGTTCACCTTGGCATGCTTAAGCCTTTTACATCTTTAAAAACAACAAAACAAACCTTTCCTTGATCCCCACATCTTCATCGCACTCTCTTCCTTCACATCTTCACCCTCTATTTGCTTTTTTTTTTTTTAAGAGACAGGGCCTTGCTGTGTTGGCCAGGCTGGAGCACAGAGGTACAATCATAGCTCACTGCAGCCTCAAACTCCTGTGCTCAAGGGATCCTCCTGCTTCAGCCTCCCAAGCAGCTAGAACTATAAGCATGAGCCACCATACCTAGCTAAATTTAAAAAATTTTTTGTAGACACAGGGTCTCACTATGTTGCTCAGATTGGTCTAAAACTCCTGAGGTCAAGCAACCTGTCCACTAAGCTTTCTTCGGTCCTCTCACGCAACAGCACCTTAGCTCTGCTCCACCATTGGGTAGCTGGTTTTCAGTAAGGTCAGCAGTGATCACCAGGTCAATAAATCTAACACAGGCCTTCTCAGTTCTTCCATAATTTGATCTTCTATCTGACGCTACTGCTCACTCCCTCCTTGACACCCTTCCCCAGCTTCCCTTTTCCTTCTATCTCTATGGCTGTACTGTCTCAGTCTCCTTAGTGAACTCAGCCACGTTTAACTGATCCTGCAATGATGGGAGTCGCCCTGGCTCTCACTGGCCCCATCCACTCTCCTCTTTCTGCACCCCTCCCTAGGCAATCTCACTCACTCCCACGACTTCATTCCTATCTCTGTACTAACTCTGAGATTTATATCCCCCAACCTAGCCCTCTCTCCTGAGCTTCAGGCTCATAATCTAACAGCTTTGGCAAATGTCTTCAAGGCCCCAAAACAAGGTGATCAGTCAAAAATGGAATTTAAGGTCCCTACCCCCAACCTCCTCCTCTGCTAGTTATCCCATCATTGACTTCGTTCCACAAGCTGATAGCCTGAGAGGTGCCCTGGAAACATCCGATGCTCGCACCCCTAGAACCCTACTACCACACCTTATCAATTCAACCCCTTCAACAACTAATAGTCACCCTAACCCAACAGACCATCATTTCTAGCCTCAATTCCTGAAACCATATAACTAATTTCACCTCAGCCACTCTCCCTCTCTCCATCCGGTCACCATCTTCTAAACAAAGCAATAGCTTAAAAACACATAGTGTGGTCACGTCATTTCTCTACACATTTATGTTTGATTGGAATATTTTCAAACTTAAAAAAGAAAGAATAATCGCCCCAAAAAATAAAATTAAAAATTAAAAAAAAAAGAAAGAATAAGCCGAGCACAGTAGCTCACACCTGTAACCCCAGCACTTTGGGAGGCTGAGGTGGGCAGATTGCTTTGAGCTCAGGAGTTTGAGACCAGCCTGGGCAACATGGTGAAACCCTGTCTCTACAAAAAAACACAAAGATTAGCCAGGCATTGGTGCCGTGTGCCTACAGTCCCAGCTACTTGGGAGGCTGAGACAGGAGAACTGCTTGAAGCAAACATTGCAGTGAGCTGAGATCACACCACCGCACCCCAGCCTGGATGACAGAATAACATCCAAGAAAGAAAAGAAAGAAAAGAGGAAGAGAGAGACAGAGAGAGAGAGACAGAGATGGGAGGGGAGGGGAGGGGAGGAAGGAAAGGACAGAAAAGGGAGGGAGGGAGGGAGGGAGGGAGGAAGGGAGGAAGGGAGGAAGGGAGGAAAGGAAAAGAAGGAAAGATGTCCCCTTAGCGGCTTCCCACACCCAAATCCCAAACATGACTGTCAAGACCCAAGCAAGCTGGGTCTGCTCACCTTCCAAACCTCAATTCTAGTCATGCCTTATTTTAGTGAGAGACACTCGTTACATTGCAACAATCTAAATTCTTGCTAAATAAATAAATACAATGCCATTCCAATCCTATAATGATGGTAGG
Organism: Homo sapiens; assembly: GCF_000001405.40. Classification (NCBI taxonomy): domain Eukaryota; kingdom Metazoa; phylum Chordata; class Mammalia; order Primates; family Hominidae; genus Homo; species Homo sapiens. The sequence continues at coordinate 46,573,238 of NC_000017.11, forward strand.
GGCAGGGGCAGGAAACTTAGCAAAATTATCTAAAATTTAACCTGGAGAAATAAACAAGTAAGCATAACCAGGAAATCTCTGAAAATGAGTAATGAATTATTTTTAAGGATATGCCAAGCCCTAGTAACACTTGAATAGAGTTCAAATATAAATGCAACAGGTACTTGCCCAAAAAAAGACACACATACCAGTGAGAATTTAGTATGTAACAAAGAAGGCATTTCAAATCAGCATGGAAAAATTATTCAATAAATGACATTGAACAACTGTCTACCCCAGCACCGTCCAATACATAGTCACTAGCCATTTGTGACTATTTGTTTATGTTTTTGTTTTATTTTGTTTTGTTTTTGAGACAGAGTCTCGCTCTTGTCACCCAGGCTGGAGTGTATGGTGCGATCTCGGCTCACTGAAACCTCCGCCTCCCGGATTCAAGTGATTCTGCTGCCTCAGCCTCCCAAGTAGCTGGGATTACAGGCGCCTGCCACCACGCCCATTTTGCAATTTTAGTAGAGACGGGGTTTCACCATGTTGGCCAGGCTGGTCTCGAACTCCTGACCTCAGGTAACCCGCCTGCCTCAGCCTCCCAAAGTGCTGAGATTACAGGCGTGAGCCACCATGCCCGGCCTATTTATTTATTTTTTGAGACACAGTCTTGCTCTGTAACCTAGGTTGAAGTGCAGTGGTGCAATATCAGCTCACTGCAACCTGTGCCTCCCGGGCTGAAGTGATTCTCCTGCCTTAACCTCCCGAGTAGCTGGGATTACAGGTGCATGCCACTACTAATTTTTGTATTTTTAGTAGATATGGGGTTTCACCACGTTGGCCACGCTGATCTCGAACTCCTGGTCTCAAGTGATCTTCCCACCTCAACCTCCCAAAGTGCTGGGATTATAGGCATAAGCCACTGCGCCTGGCAACGTGGCTATTTAAACTTAAAGTTAAAATCAAAAATCAATCAATAAATAAAAATAAATAAAAAATAAACTTAAAGTTAAATACAATTAAAAGTTCAGTTCCCGGCTGGACACAGTGGCTCATGCCTGTAATCCCAACACTCTGGGGGGCCAAGGTGGACGGATCACCCGAGGTCAGGAGTTCGAGACCAGCCTGGCCAACAGGGTAAAACTCCGTCTCCACTAATAATACAAAAATTAGCCGGGTGTGGTGGCGTGCACCTCTAATCCCAGCTTCTCAGGATGCTGAGGCAGAAGAATGACTTGAACCCAGGGGGCGGATGTTGCAGTGATCTGAGATCGCGCCACTGCACTCCAGCCTGGGTGACAGAGCAAGATTCCATCTCAAAAAACAAAAAAGTTCAGTTCCTCAGTTGCATTAGCCACATTTCAAGCACATGAACAGTCACATGGCTATTGGCTACGACACTAAACAGCACAGACACAGAACATTTTAATCACTGCAGAAAGTGCCTCCTGGGCAGCACTGGCTTATCCATTTGAAAAATTTAACCAAATTACTACCTTACACACAACCATCTCATAACTCGAACATTCTCCTCGGTTTCCCACTCCTCAATCGATGCAATCTCTGCAGCTACTGCCCAAGTTGAAAGTTGATCATTTGGAGACCAGGTGCGGTGGCTCACGCCTGTAATCCCAGCACTTAGCCGGGCAGATCATTTGAGGTCAGGAGTTCCAGACCAGCCTGCCCAACATGGTGAAACCCTGTCTCTACCACAAATACAAAAATTAGCCTTGCATGGTGGTGAACGTCTGTAATTCCACCTACTCAGGAGGCTGAGGCATGAGAATCGCCTGAACCCAGGAGGCGGAGGTTGTAGTGAGCCGAGATCGCGCCACTGTACTTCAGCCTGGGGTGACAGAGCGAGACTCTATCTCAAAAAAAAAAAAAAAGAAAGTTGATCATTTGAGTCCTGTGCCTAATTCAATATTCAGAACAGAACAGTAGTAATGTTCACATGCCACCTGTGGGGTGTATCCTCAGTCAGAAGTTTGGATCTAGAGGCAGTTCACAAGGCAAAGATTCAGTTCTGTCAAAACTCGCTTTGTAAATCTCTTAACAAGCCGGTAAAACACAGTGCTGGTTCACAGTAAGAGCAGTGCAGCCAGCTTGTCTATTTCTCTAGTTGGACATCATCTCAAGCAGTTGGTTTGAGCCAGAGTGAAGAAAAGAAATCACACTCCATCTCTAAGCACTGGGAGCGTACTTGGTGTAGAGATGAGATGCTGCCACTAAGGAAGGCCAGCTGGAACAGAGGCTGACTGAGGAGGCACCAGCAGATTCCCAGCTCCCACCTCAGCCTTCTGCTGGGACACTAGCTGCGAGGAATGAGGGGCAGAACTACCCTCCCTGTTTTGCCCATTATCTTTTTCTTTTTTGCCAAGCAAATGGGGTTAAATTTGCTTAGCCTCCATGTGTTCACATGTCTCCCTTGTGAACCTAAGAATGTGCAAGCCACTAGAAAAGGATACATAACCTGGCCAGGCGCGGAGGCTCATGCCTGTAATCCCAGCACTTTGGGAAACCATGGCGGGAGGATCGCTTGAGCCCAGGAGTTCAAGACCAGCCTAGGCAACATGGCAAAACCCCGTCTCTACTAAAAATACAAAAATTAGCTGGGCATGCTGGTGCACGCCTGTAGTTCCAGCTACTCAGGAGGGAGATGGAAGGATCACTTGAGCCCAGGAAGTTGAGACTGCAGTGAGCAGAGATGTACCACTGCACTCCAGCCTGGGTGACAGAGTCAAAAAAAAAAGAAAAGGATATATATAACCTGGTTTTTGGCCTCTAAAAATGTATGCTCATGGAGTAGACAAGATTTTTAAAAAGAATTATTCAATAACATAAGAAGCATGTAAAAATAAAACATATTTCTCTGGTGAAACAGAACCTAAAAAATATATATAACATACTAAATTGTAAACTGGAATTGCCACAGGTCTTTCATTAACTTACCTACTGTAGGGACGGCAGGCACAGTCTCCCCCAGCTTCAATTTATACAAGATGGTGGTTTTTCCAGCTGTATCCAAACTCAATATAAGAATCCGCATCTTTTTTTTCCCAAGTAGACTTTTAAAGAGCTTTTCAAAAATGTTTCCCATTGTAATTTAATCGAATTCTGTAACATGACAAGAAAAGCAAGCCAAATAATTGTTCTCTGCAGAGATATAGAAGCAACACGCAGAAAATACAAGTGTCAATTAGAAATGGCTCCCAGGAAAAATTCAACAATTTTAGGTACACTTTGGCCAATGAGTAGTGAGTCTTGTCTTCAAAGGGAAACTCAACTAAACCTTTCCATGCCTTACCAGAAAATTCTATTTTCCACTGCAGCATCCAAGAGGGATATGCAACATAGCCTCAGCACTGCTATGACAGTGGCAGCCTTTAGTCATTTAGTACAGAAGTACAAGGCCAGGTGCGGTAGCTCACGCCTGTAATCCCAGCACTTTGGGAGGCCAAGGTGGGTGGATCACCTGAGGTCATGGGTTCAAGACCAGCCTGGCCAACATGGTGAAACCCCGTCTCTACTAAAAACACAAAAATTAGCTGGGCACGGTGGTGCACGCCTGTAGTACCAGCTACTCAGGATGCTAAGGCATAGGAATCACTTGAACCTGGGGAGGCAGAGGTTGCAGTAAGCCAGGACCACGCCACTGCACTCTAGTCTGGGCAACAGAGCAAGACTGTCTCAAAAAATTAATTAATTAATTAATTTTTTTTAAAAAACAAGTACAGAAGCAATGATACAACAAATACAACTATACCTCATTCTAAATTCTACTGAAATGAGAATTTATGAAACAGAGAAGCTTTTTATTTTATGCAATATAAAACAAAGTCTTTAAGACAGGTTAAACAACAATATCCCTTGGAAACGTAGTAGTTCCTTATGGCTAGCAGACACCTTGGAAATAACCTAAGAAATTTCAGAGGCAAAGAAATTCAGCGTTGGGAAGCTTCACTGCCAAGAGAGATAACTTGGCAGAGTTGAGGAGGCACCACAGCATCCAGTTTTCGTTTGAGTTTTTTGTTTTGTTTTGAGACAGGGTCTCGCTCTGTCACCCAGGCTGGAGTGCAGTGGCACAATCACGGCTCACTGCAACCTCAACCTCCCCATCTCAAACAATCCTCCCACCTCAGCCTCTGGAGCAGCTGCGACCACAGGCATACGCCACCTCGCTCAGCTAATTTTTGTATTTTTTGTGGAAATGAGGTCTCACTATATTTCCCAGGCTAATCTCGAACCCCTGGGCTCAAGTGATCTTCCCACCTCAGCCTCCCAAAGTGCTGGGATTACAGGCGTGAGCTACCAGGCCCAGCCAGTATCCAGTGTTCTATTGCTGTAACTATCACCTTACTCTCAACCAGTTCTTAGAACTTTTTATTTAAGTATAATTTACATACAGATATAAACATACATGATAACTGTAAAGTTCAATACATTTTCATGAACCAAACACACCTATGTAACCAAATCAAGAAAAGATGATTTATCAGGCTGGGCACAGTGGCTCATGCCTGTAATCCCAACACTTTGGGAGACCAAGGTGGGTGGATCACCTGAGGTCAAGAGTTCGAGACCAGCCTGGCCAAAATGGTGAAACCCCGTCTCTACTAAAAATACAAAAATTAGCTAGGTGTAGTGGCACACACATGCAGTCCCAGCTACTCAGAAGGCTAAGGCACAAGAATCACTTGAACCTGGGAGGTGGAGGTTGAAGTGAGCCAAGATTGGGCCACTGAACTCCAGCCCAGGGCAACAGAGTGAGACTCCATCTCAAAAAAAAAAAAAAAAAAAAATGATTATCAGACCAATTCTCCTTGTGCCTCCTCCCAGTCATTACTCCATAAAAGGTAATCACTATATTGACTTCTAACAGCATAAATGTTCAATATTTTATTTTTCAGTAGAAATCATGGTAGGTTATATAAAGTAAGTCAATAGTAAAGTCAGACTAACTTACAGAAATTTACAGTCTCTTTGAGATCAGCCTACTTGAAATGTGAGCTTGACATTCTAAGTAAAGACTTACAAGCAGTGCTGGGTCTACACCTCTAACTAAGCTCTTGGAAGTCTGTAAAGATCTTCAGACCAGGCAGGGTGGCTTACCCCTGTAATTCCAGCACTTTGGGAGGCTGAGGCAAGAGGGTCACTTTAGTTTTTGCTTACTGAGATAACAGAAGACAAGGGAGGATTGCTTTAGGCCAGGAGTACAAGACCAGCCTGGGCAACATAGCGAGACCCTGCCTCTATTTTTAAAAATAATAAAACAAAAAAAAATTCAAAAAGAAAAAGACATACATCCTTGTTCCAGAGACTGTGATTTATTTTCTTTTTAAATTGCTAACCAAAGAAAGCTTTACTCCTGGGCAGGGGAGGAGGAAGACACAAGGAGGATAGCCAATCTCCCATTCATTCGGACTCTGGTAACCACAGAGCGGAGGTAACCAAATTCCACAGGCCTCACCGCTGAAATTCAACAGTGGCCAGCAGTAGCTTAATATCATGGATTACGCCCAAGTACACAACATTCCTTTCTAGGATGAGAGAAAGCGAGCACAGAATTTATCCTGTTCACAAATGTGGCGTAAGTGACCAAAGAATGATAAATGTTTTAATCATTCAAAGAAAGTCCATTATAGGTCTATAAAAGTCCAGTGCATTGCAGCACTCAAAATCTTGCCGGGCGACAAAACTAGAGATTCCTTTTCTTTGTTTCGAAAAACAAATCTCACAGATGAGGAGACTTTTCAGGAACATGCTGGGGGAGGGAAGGTACTTCCCGCTCAGATGCCCCTTGAGGCAGCTAGTCCCAATTCCCCCTGCCAACCGCACAGACACACCACCTTGACCTCCCTCTCCCTTCTCTTTCCTCTTATTGCTACTCATGTGCCCCAGGCGCCCGTGGTCCTGACACCCCTGCGCCGCTGGAGACCCCTCTAAGGTAAGATGGCTCCGACTACAGGGCCTTTTTGGCACGCTCAGTCTCCCAGCCCCAAGCGCCAAAAGTGCATTAGGGAGAAACGTCGGCACGACGTCAAGGGCGCGAACAAGCGTGGTGGCCCAGGTGAGCGTGCGCGGCAGCCAGGCACGCCCGGCTCCCGGGGAAAGACGCCCCTTTTTTGCCCCGGCTGCCAGGCCGCTCCTTCTCAACTTGTGCGCCCCTGGAAGAGCAAAGAGAGGGCCCTGCGTGGAACCTATGAAGCCTCCTTCGGTTCCTCGCTGCTCCGGCCCTAGAGAGGGCGAAGAAGGAACAGCGGAGCCCAATCCCTTTCCGAAAGCCACCGCCGCCCTCCAGTTTCTGGCCCGCAGACGAAGTGGAGATCCAGCCAGGTCTTGAGTGCTGCCGCCCCATCCCTGCAGCCGGAGACTCACCTGTTGCCACTCAAGGTACCGCTACCTACAACACCGCCGACTCCGCGGCCTTTAGGATTTCAGCTCAGTTCAGCTAAACCACGACAGGCGTGGGGGCAGGAACAGCAACCAACCAATCACCCACCGCCTCCTGGAGCTTTTGCACCAATGAGCTCGAAGTTTTGTGAGTGACGACATATCTGGCCAACGCAAAGAAGAGTAAGGGCCTGGGAGGGAGGGAGCGCCGTAGGCGACGCCATGAAGCTCTGGCAATACCATGTTCATCTTCAAATCACAGTTAAACGAATTCTGGCGAGACACGCCCACGTCCCCCACCCCCGATGCCATGTGCGACCAATCAGAAAAGCAAAAGGATTGTCTATTTGCACGGCCAATCAGCTGGGAAAATCGCCGAGGTTTGAGCTAACCTCGGAGCGTTCACACCAACCGGGAGGGGACATGTGGGCCGGGCCAAGTTAATAGTGCCATGGAAGGAAATTTACCGCGGTTGAGTTAAACGTAGACATTAGTTTGGGGCGGTGTTCCGCGTAGGAAATACCACACACTGACACTGAAATTAGGCATAAGGAAGTTTTCCTATTCCGCCTGAGGCTAGACTGCCCTCCCACCTCTACACAGATTTTCAAGTTGGGGAAAATACTGGCCACCCGCACCTCGTTAAGACGTCGCAGAACCAGTCCTCGTTTCCGAGAAATGCTTTCTATAGTCAGTTCCCTAAATGCCCAACTTGTTAGCTAAAAAGGTTACAAACGCCTGTAAATGGTACATAACTGAAATCATCAGAACAACAAACATCTATTAAACATATACTATGTGCCAGAAACTATATCAAGAACTTCAGCAGGCCCGGCGCGGTAGCTCACGCCTGGAAGGCCAAGGCTTTGAGCTAGGAGTTCGAGACCAGCCTGAGCAACATGGCAAAACCCCATCTCTGCAAAAAAAAACAAATTTAAAATTAGCCGGGCATGGTAGCGGCTGTAGTCCCAGCTACTCGGGAGGCTGAGGCAGGAGGATCACTTGAGCCCAGGAGGTAGAGGCTGCAGAGAGCCGTGATCACGCCACTGCACTCCAGCCTGGGTGACAAAGCGAGACCCTGTCTCAAAAAACACGAACAAAAAAAGTTAGAAGATACTGCTAGAATTGACTAAATAAATAAATAAATAAATAAGAAAAACAATGTTACCTGCAGGACCGTAACGCCCAGTGAATTACAAACTATTATCCCTGGCCAGACGTGGTGGCTCACACCTGTAATTCCAGCACACTGGGAGGCCGAGGCGAGCAGATCACCTGAGGTTGGGAGTTCGAGACCAGCCTGACCAACATGGAGAAACCCCATCTCTACTAAAAATATAAAATTAGCCGGGCGTGGTGGCACACGCCTGTAATCCCAGCTACTTGGGAGGCTGAGACAGGAGAATTGCCTGAACCTGAGAGGCAGAGGTTGCAGTGAGCCAACATCGTGCCACTGCACTCCAGCCTAGACGATAAAGCAAGACCCTGTCTCAAAAAAAAAGAAAGAAAAGAAACTATTATCCCTGCTGTTTTACAGAAAAATATTAAGTAGCCTGGGTCTGTCCCACTCCCACACCTTAATCTTTTTCTTTCTTTTTCCTTTTTTTTTTTTTTTTGAGACAGGGTCTCACTGTCGCCCAGGCTGGAGTGCAGTGGTGCGATCTCGGCTCGCTGCAACCTTTGCTTCCCAGGTTCAAGTGATCCTCCTGCCTCAGCCTCACAAGTAGCTGGCATTACAGGCATGTGCCACTGCGCCTGCCTAATTTTTGTATTTTTAGTAGAGACAGGGTTTCACCATGTTGGCCAGGCTGGTCTTGAACTCCTGGCTTCAAGTGATCCACCCACCTCAGCCTCGCAAAGTGCTGGGATTACAGGCATGAGCCACCGAGCCTGGCCACCTTAATCTTTTTAAGCAAATACAGAATGGAAACTGCCCTCACAGGATTAAGGAGAGTTACAAGCCAGGCTTTAGGCAGCATTATATATAGTTAGCTGTTATCCAGGGTGCACAAGTGTACTTTGACCCACTTCCCTGCAGCTGCTAACTCACTGAACATCACTCCACGTGCTAGACCACCTCCTACCTGTTTCTCCATGGTTCTTACCATGAGTAAGAATTTCTGACGCTAGACTCATAAGATCGTTTTGCCCAAGAACGGGTTGTTTTTCAGATCCTGAATTCTGACGTCCCCAACCAAGGAACCCACTCAGCACAAGAATGAGGTTTCTTGGTCTCCCTGTCTCATGACTTCGCCCTTCACTTCTTGACCAATCATCGATCCCCACACTGCAGCCCCTGTCCAGAGGACTTAAAAACCCTGCCCCCCAAACCTCTCAGGGAGGTGGATTTGAGGCTTCTTCCCATCTCCTCATTCAGATGCCCTGTGATTATTAAACTCTTTCTTTGCTGCAGCCAGGTGTCTCTGTATGCTGACTCACTGTGCATTGAGCAAACAAAACTATTAAATTACAGTACTACTTACTCTTCTAATTACAGTGCTTATATGTATGAGGGTTAATATAAATACATATGACTCCTTAAAAATTAAAGTATGTTTTTTCTGACTATAAAAATTATACATAACCGGGTGCAGTGGCTCACACCTGTAATCCCAGCACTTTGGGAGGCCGAGGCGGGCAGATCATGAGGTTAGATCAAGACCATCATGGCCAACATGCTGAAACCCCGTCTCTACTAAAAATACAAAAATTAGCTGGGCGTGGTGGTGCATTCCTGTAATCCCAGCTACTTGGGAGGCTGAGGCAGGAGAATTGCTTGAACCCGGGAGGCGGAGGTTGCAGTGAGCCGAGATAGAGCCACTGCACTGGGTGCAGAGCCTGGGTGACAGAGTGAGACTCTGTCTCAAACAACAACAACAACAACAAAAAACTCATGCTAGTTTAATTTTCATTTATTTGATGACTTGCTATTTTTCCAAATGTTTACTAGTATTTTTATTTCATCTATTAGAAATGATATATTCATGTCCTACTGACTTCCAAGGGAAAGATAGAAAGTTGTTTTGCCAGGAACTATGAAGGTTGTTTGAATGGAGTCATCATAACCTAAAAAAAAGGTGAAATAACGAAGGTGAGATTTTTACTTACCATTGTTTGTTCCTACAGAAGGAATGCTGGAGCTGATAATTATGAGAATTTATCCTTCCATCCCTCATAGCCTAAGAATATTCATTATTTTCCCAATATCTGCACTGAGCCTGTAAACCAAAATGTATCTGAGACATGTCTCAATCAATTTACAAGTTTATTTTGCCAAAATTAAGGATGCTTACCTGGGAGACAGGCCTGTGCCTTTTTCCAAAGGTGATTTTGAGGGATTTAGTTTGGTTTGTTTGTTTGTTTTTGAGCCAGAGTCTCACTCTGTTGCCCAGGGTGGAGTGCAGTGGTACAATCTTGGCTCGCTGCAACCTCCACCTCCCAGGTTCAAATGATTCTCATGCCTCAGCCTCCCAAGTAGCTGGGATTAACAGGCGCGTGCCACCACTTCTGGCTAATTTTTGTGTTTTTAGTAGAGACGGGGTTTCACCATGTTAGCTAGGTTGGTCTCCAACTCCTGACCTCAGGTGATCCGCCCACCTCAGCCTCCCAAAGTGCTGAGATTACAGGTGTGAGTCACCGCGCCCGGCCAGAAGGATTTAAGATTTTATTTATTTATTTATTTATTTATTTTTATTTTTGAGACAGAGTCTTGCTCTGTCACCCAGGCTGGAGTGCGGTGGCACAACCTCGGCTCACTGCAACCTCCGCCTCCTGGGTTCAAGCCATTCTCCTGGCTCAGCCGCCCCAGTAGCTGGGATTACAGGCGCACACCACCATGCCCAGCTAATTTTTGTTGTTTTTAGTAGAGACGGGGTTTCACCATGTTGGCCAGGCTCGTCTCGAACTCCTGACCTTATGATCCACCTACCTCGGCCTCCCAAAGTGCTGGGATTACAGGCGTGAGCCACGGTGCCCAGCAAGGATTTAATATTTAAAATGGAAAAGCAGGCTGGAAGGGAAAGAAGGAGAGTATGGTCACATTACTGAATTCACATGTTGCAAGAGACAAGGAGCAAGTAGGGGAATAGTCAATTATGTATTACTCTCGTGCTTACCATAAGATAAGGTGGACATAGAGTAGTTAGCTGCAGTCAGTCCTGCTTAGGAATGAAAGGAAAGGCAACTTCTTGCATGACTCAGCTTTCAGCTTAAATTTTTTTCTTTTGGCAGAATGAATTGGGTTCCCAAGTTTTTATTTTCCTTTCACAAGCCTCTGAATAAACAAAGTTCCTGCCCACATGGCATTCAATTGCTAAACAATTATAATCACATAAATACATACACATATACGTATATGTTTTATATATATATATATATATAATATATATTTAATACATACGTCCGGGTGCAGTGGCTCACACCTGTAATCCTAGCACTTTGGGAGGCTGAGTTGGGTAGACTGCTTGAGCCAAGGAGTTCAAGCCCAGCCTGGTCAACATGGTGAGACCCCATCTCTACAAAAAATACAAAATACAAAAATTAGCTGGTCATGGTGGTGTGCACCTGTAGCCCCAGCTACTCAGAAGACTGAGATGAGAGGACTGCTTGAGCCTGGAAGGCAGAGGTTGCAGTGAGCCAAGATAGTGCCACTGCACTCCAGCCTAGGAGACAAAGTGAGACTCTGTCTCAAAAAACAAACAAACAAAATACATTCATATAGAGAGAGAAAAAGAGGGAGAATTTTATAATGATATGCATGAGGAATGTATAGGGGAAGAGGCTAAAAATAGGCCGAACTTACTAGTGAATATATTCAGGAGGTAGGACTGTGATTGTTTTTAAGTGATCGAGGGAAAATAGTGTACTGATTTTAAAATGGAAAACTCAACTTATTTTTTAAAAATTAAAACTCTGACAAGAGGGAGGTTTAATTGAAATCACAGTGGCTGCTCAGGGAAGTTTATAAATCTCGAACTGCAACGACTCAATAAGCATGAATTGCTTGTGATGATATTGACTTAATAGAGTTATTTTTTCCTTAATAGAAAACACATCTTATCAATATAATGTTATTTGTAAAGCATGGAAAGGACAAAGTGCTCTTGGGAGAAGTAGAAAGAGAATTTCACTCTGAGAAACCTATTTGGAGAAAGCTCCTCATCTCTGGCTTAGACTTTAAAATTAGTTAATAGTGTAATTAGGGATAGTTGTAGTAATAGTGGTATTGGTATGGTAGTTAGAGTTTAAATGTCACACAGAATACCCAGACCACCTTCCCCCAAGTGCCACTAAACTTATTCTTCTAATCAAACCTCTGCTCAAGGGATGTCTTCTTCCTCTCTTGGAAAGCTGTGTTCCTTACCTCAGAAACAGCCCTCCATAAACCTGCCCTTAAGAGAATCCTTGGCCAGGCACAGTGATTCACGCTTGTAATCCCAGCACTTTGGGAGGCCAAGGCGGGTGGATCTCTTGAGGTCAGGAGTTCGAGAGCTGTCTGGCCATCATGGTGAAACCCTGTCTCTACCAAAAAATAAACATTAAAAATAAAAAAATTAGCCAGGTATGGTGGTGCGTGCGTGTAAATCTCAACTACTTGAGAGGCTGAAGCAGGAGAATTGCTTGAACCTGGGAGGCAGAGGTTGCAGTGAGCTGAGATCGTTCCACTGCACTCCAGCCTGGGCAACAGAGCAAGACTCCATCTCGAAAAAAAAAAAAAAAGAGAGAGAGAGAGAATCCTTAAGACATGCCTTCTTGGATGCCCTCTGGAGAAATGTCAAGAGTAGCCAATATAGTCACCCCAGTCGGCTGTGGTGTGTGGGCCTCTAGTGTTTTAAGGTTCTAGGCAACTTAGCCCCTCCCAGGAGATGCTGATTTACTTTTCTCAAGGTGCATAAAGTCTCATCACACCAATATCTGAAAAATCTCTTTTCAAAGAGATGCAGGCAGCCTTCCAGCCCCATGATGTTAATACACAGGGTTAGGCAGCCTGGCAAGTGCACTGGGGCCCCCACTGAAGGATCATCTGGTTTCCATAGCAACAGTCCTTCCTTTCCACGGAGGATTCTATCATCTCTCCTGCTCACTCAGGCTTTCCAGAATGAATTGTTTTTTGTGACTATAGGTGTTTGTCCTTGATCCTGCAAAGAGAAAAGACATATTCATTTAAAACAAACACCCCCCACCCCGCCCCGCAACTGACTGCAGCTAGAATACTGCATTGCATCAGCTGGTCTTCCTTTCATTTAAAAATTCCATGTCCTTTCTCCATTTTGCTCCGTTCTCTAGCTTTATCCATCATTTTAGAAAACAGGTTTCTCTGACAGAAAACAAACAGATGGCAACTCCATCATCCTAAAACTGGCTGTGACGGGGCTCTAAAATTAAGTGTTCATGGGGCTCCCAGAAAGCCTAGGCTTGCATGGTATGTGTGGCTGACCTGTGAGTTACGATTGGAGGGGCAAGAGAAGGCTTTCTATACACAGATGGCTCCCCATACAGTGTCACAGTCTCTGAAGTGTTGCCTTTTGAGGTTTGTTTTCTTAGGTCAGGCACTGCTGTCCTGTCAGTATTTTCCTAAATTGCCAATACTCCTGGGAAGAGTAATACGTTAGGTTACTAATACTGAAAGAACTTGGGAAAGAGAGGAGGGGGTGCAGCGGGAAGGGAATAAAAGGGGCTCTGAAGACCACCTTTGTGTGCTTCACAGTGACATCTTCTGCAAGAGGGGAAGTGCAGGTCTTCATCTCTCTCTTTGTCTCTCTCTGTCACACACACACACACACACACACACACACTGCAGGACGCCTTCTGACAATTACAATACAGTAGTGAATTCACCGAACAGGACTGTTCCCTGAAACACCTACATACAATCCCGCTGGAAGACCTTTGAAACAGCCCTGCAGTGACTAAAAACTCTGTCCCCAGTGCCACTTGTTTAACCCTACAGTTTCCACAGACTAAAGGTAGTTTTCCTTTGGTTAATATGAAAACACCAAATAGTCAGATTGCTTTGTTAAATAAAGTGGATTACGGTGAATCTGTTCACTTCTATGTTTTATATTGCCCTCACTCCACAAATCACAGAAGATATTTATTTTTCCCCCAGTTAAATTCTGTTACCACAACCATTACAAACAAATGTCTATATAACCAAAATGTTAGTCAGCCCCATTCCAATGGAGCACATTTTAAGTGATGTTTAATGGGACATAATTTGAACATAAAATTCTATCTGTGCACTGTTTTCAAGTCTTTGAATCAGGCCTCCACCTATAGATGTTGGTTACCTATCAGGGAGCAACAGGTGATGCTAAGGATCACTTTGTAAAAACCAGGAATCACATCCCTGTAACTGACAGGAAACTGACTATATTCATCAGGGTTCTCCAGAAAAATAGAACTAACAGAATGTGTATATACATAGGAGGAAATTTTGTTTAAGGAATTGACTCGTGTGATCGTGGAGACTTTGGGAGCCCAAAATCTGATGGGAGAAGCTGGCATGCAGGAGGCCCAGGGAAGAGTTACAGTTCTAGTCCACAGGTAACCTGCTAGAGAATTCCTTCTTGTTCTGGATGAGTTTGGCCTTTTGTCTATTCAGGCTTTCAAGTGATTGGATGAGGCCCACCTACATTATGGAGGGCAACCTTCTTTACTCAAAGTCTACAGATTTAAATGTAAATCTCATCCAAAAACACCCTCACAGAAACATCCAGAATAATATTTGATCAAGTATCTGGGCAACATGGCCAAGCCAAGTTGACACAGAATTAACCGTCACACTGGATCACAAGGGCTGTGTTCAGCAAGAACTGACCTTGGTCAAACCCTGCCCCTGCCCTTATGCCCCACTCTTCTTCATTCTGGGTCCTGCTATTTCCATTTTATCATGTCTTCATCTTCTTTCCCCACCTTTCAGGTACCTTTCCTCTCTGACCCTATCCCTAGACTCACCTCCTACCCCCCACTCAAAGCCCTTCCTTCCTTAAAAAATGATGTTAGTCATTACACTTTAGGATTTAAATTAATCATTCTGTTAGCCGTCTTACTAACTTTCTCACTGTGAAAGGAAAGCATATTAAAAGAATTTCAGGGATCGACGAAGAGCTGAGGGAGGTATTTTTCTAGGAAGAGAAAGTGACTAACAGAAATCAAGACAAAGGGGGACAATCAGATTTTTCAGATGACAGAAAGCAGGTAAACTCTAGAGATCTAGAGAACTAGCAAATGGTCTCTTCAGGGTGTCATCATTGCAGTAAATGAGCTCTAGCTATTTCTGTCTTTATTCTTCAGGGTATTCAAGATTGCAGTTACTTAGGAGAGACAGAGCATCTGACTGATTGAACTTGGGTTCTGTATTCACTCCTGGGCCAGGGGGAGGCAGGGTACCTGGTCTGACAGTCCTTCCAAGGCTGCATGAACCAGAGGAGCTGTTACCAGAAAAGGGCAGAGTGAATTTGGGGCAGCAAAAACATTTATTGCTTATCGACTATCACTGCAAGGATTACTCAGAGGGTGATGCAGAATCAGCACCCCTCTATTTCTAAGATGACCTTGAATGTCAGAGCAAGGCACAAACAGGTTGCAGAGACATGTGGAGTATCTGGAGCACTGTCTCAGGATCCTTCCTCTCCTGCTGGATGCTAAGGACCTTAAGGACAAGAGCTATCTTTGCTTGCAATTTATTTGGCAGGCCCTGCAGGGCTGTGCAAATGATTCTATTTAATTTTTACTACTTGTGAGAAGGCACAGAGGGCTTTGAGAGGGCACAGAGGGCCTCTTATAATGGGTAGATATGCACATTAGCTGATACACTGGAAACTTTCCAGCAGGCATATCCTTCCAAGATGATAAATATTCTTCCTTGTTGGAGAAATTGAAGACATTTGTACTTGCAATCTAGCTTATCTAGTAAAACAAGACAAACTAACCAGTGATAGGGAGAAACATGTTTGCATTATTTTCCAACCTTGAAAATAATGTCAGATTATTGGACTGAGAACCAATGTCATCTTCTGGATCTGGTAATTATTTGGACAAAATCTCTTTGATTCTAGGTTCAAAGTCAAGGTGTCAAAAAAAAAAAAAAGGATACAACTGTTAAGCTTATTTAATTATACCTCTCACTGTACAAATAAGGAAACTAGGCCAGGCGTGGTGGCTCACTTCTGTAATCCCAGCACTTTGGGAGGACAAGGCCAGTGGATCACCTGAGGTCAAGAGTTCGAGACCAGCCTGGACAACATGGCAAAACCCTGTCTCTACTAAAAATACAAAAATTAGCTGGGTGTGGTGGCAGGCGCCTGTAATACCAGCGACTTGGGAGGCTGAGACAGGAGAATAGCTAGAACCCGGGAGGCGGAGGTTGCAGTGAGCCGAGATCATGCCACTGTGCTCCAGCCTGGGTGACAGAGTAAGACTGCGTCTCAAAAACAAACAAACAAAAACAAATAAGGAAACTGGGCTCAGAGAGATGAAGGTACACAGGTGATGGGTAGATAGGGACAAAGAAAAGAACCTAACCCTTTGGACTCCCCAAGCCATTCTAATATTTGTTTTTGTAAGTTAGTAGCTTCTGCACGTTAGTATGTCAGAACTCAACTAGTTTCCTATCTTTCCTGATAACCTCTCCGACCCACCCATGATTTAGCTAACATCTGATTTGGTCAACCAAGCACCCTGGTCCTCAGGTTCAGTGTGAGACTTAATGAAATAGGCGTGAATTTTTTTTTTTTTTTTTTTTTTTTTAGACGGAGTCTCGCTCTGTTGCCCAGCCTCGCAATCTCAACTCACTTCAACCTCTGCCTCCGGGGTTCAAGCGATTCTCCCACCTCAGCCTCCTGAGTAGCTGAGATCACAGGCGCCCGCCACCACGCCCGGCTAATTTTTGTATTTTTAGTAGAGACGGGGTTTCACTATATTGGCCAGGCCGGTCTGGAACTCCTGACCTTAGGTGATCCACCCAAAGTGCTTGGATTACAGGCATGAGCCACCGCGCCTGGCTGGCATGAATTTTTTCTTCTGTCCCTAGTTCATCTTCAGGTCACTGTCTGATTTTATTAGTTCTCAAATTTAAATCACTATGCATGCTCAGCTCTTCTAGTTATTTCCCTTCTTTCCTCATGTTGGGAAAAAAACCCCGATTTATTCTAATTGTGAGAAATGAAAGCGAACAAATCCTATCATTCCCTATTGTCTTGTGCAAATATGAAGAGAGATATGATAGTGGGGTAAATAAAAGCATCAGGGAATCCATTCGGCAGAATCTTTCTCCTCTCAGCGTGCTTGCAGTTAGATATTCTGAGATTCCAGTGGAGAAATGGTATGGTGGAAACATTGAGGTTCAACAAGGCTCAATTTAGGGCATATTTTATTCAGATTCTACCATATATATTGTCTAAAATGAAACAACACTGGGGAATGAAAAGGTTGGTCGAAGATGCAAGTTGCCTTTATTAAATAAAGACAAATATTTAATAAAAATAATGTATAAAAATAATCACAATTCACTTTCAAATCTGAAAATACTGAGTTTTCCAGGCTACACATAAATAAAACTGCCAACGATGACAATTCCAGCAACTAGGAAAACAAGTACGCCTACAAAGAAAAGTGAGAAAATTCATGGAGAATTTGAACTCAGAACCAACTCCTCGGAGCTGATCTTTTTTGGGGGAAGCCAGGGAACGCGCCGGGCGCTCTCATCAGCAAGACCATGTTTAAAGAGAGTGTGGAAGCACAGACCAAAATGGACATTCGAGGGCGAACAGCAGCTGGCAAAGGGATAAGTGATCCGAAGCATTAAAGCCCTTGAGACAAATTCCGGCGCGAACCGCCAGTGGGGGATGAGACTCGCAGGCGCAGCCCTCCAGGCCCCGGCGGACTGACACGCACGTTGGAAACGGAGTCACCCACCACAGCCCCGCAGCTCCAGCCAAAATGGCGCCGCCGCTCTGCCCACCCCGCGCACCCCAGGCGGCCGCCGAGCCCGCGCGCGCGCCCTGTGGAGCGAGGACGCCGGGGACGCGGCCAGGGACGCGCGCGTCCTCACGGCGGTTGCACGCCTGCGCGAGGGCGGGCGGCGGGGGCGCGCGCGCGGCGGGGGCGGGCTTTGCCGAGCGCAGAGCTGCAGCCGCCGAGCCGGACGTGTCCGCGAAGATGGCGGGCCGGGTGAGTGCCGGTCTGGGAGCCCAGGCTTGAGGCAGGGGCGCCGGGCTCGCGGGCACTCTGGGGTCCAGGCGGCCCCAGAGGAGTGGGAGTGAATCCGAGCAATGGGGCGCGAGGCCAGAGCGGGACTTGAGGGTAGCAGGGGAGCGGTGGCAGGGGATTAGCCCTCCTCAACAACTCCACCCCCCTCGAGGGGAGATGACCCCTCGTTACACGCGTCTGCTGCGCCTCCCGTCATCCTCCCTTCCCATCCCTTGGGGCTTGTTCCCTCGTCCTCCACACAGCCGCAGGGTCGCGGTCGCCGAAGCCCCCTCTGACGGGCTCTGGGGGTCTTTCCGCACCCCCTTGCGAGGGCTTATTAGGGGGCGCCGGAGTAACTGCCGGGAGCACCTCTGCTGCATTCGGGGCAAGGGGTGTAGGAAGGATCTTCAGGAACCCATGTCTGGCTCTTCACAAATTAAAGGTCGTTGGGAAAGAGGAGGGGGTGCCAATGACTTTTAGTGTTAAAGCCCGGCCATCTGGGGGACCTGTCAACTGTCGGGTCAGGCAGGAATTGGCTTTAGCTTGGAGTGAGGATGGATTTGGGGTGTCACGTTTTGTTTTTATGGATGACACTCGCTTCGAATGCAGCAGGATATGCTGTAGTTTCAGGGTTTTAAATTTACTTCCTCCTTTAGCCTTTAGGATCGTTGGGTAGGATGGGTTTGGCGAGGAGAGAGAGCTGGTTGAGTGCTGTATTGCAGTCTGCCTTGAGCTAAAAGCTCTCAAGGGATGAGTCCTGCCCGGAGATTACACTGGTCATAAACCTGAGGACATTAACTGCGTCATTGGGGGTGAAAGATGTGATTGACTGATCTATTTATAACAGAATTTTTGAATAAGTTTGCATAGATTTATGCATATATGCAAATGCCCTATCTGAAGGGACTTGTAGGTCATGAGATTCTAGAGTAAGAAGGGATCTTAAAGGTCATTTAGTTTGGCTTCTTTCTCTTCCTTTTCCCCATGGCCTCTCCTTTTAAGGCTAGTCCTTCTGCCAGTACTTCAGACCCTATCTGTATATTCACCTGCTCCTTCTTAACATAATCAAGCTTCTCTATCTTAAACCCTTCCCCCACCCCCACAGCTGTCACCTTTTCCCGTCCCAGTTTACAGCAGGAAATTTGATAGAGTTGTCTATATTTATTGTCTTCCATTTGCTTACCACCTACTCACCCTTCAACCTACTGCAGTCTGATTTCTGCCCCATCATCCCACTGAAACCTGTCCCTCAACTTAATTGATACCTTTCAATCCTTATCTTATTTGATATCTCAGCAGCGTTTGACGTTGTTGACCATGGCTTCCTTGACGGAAAGCACTCTTCACATGTGTTCTGGAATGCCTCGCTCCTGGTTTGACTCAGACCTCTCTTTTGCGGCCTCACCCTCCTCTACTTTGTTATTCATTGCTGGTATTCCTCAAAGGCCGTCTTCTCACTCTCAATTTCCCGCTCAGGCAATTTCTTCTAAGCCCATAGCTACAACTGTCTATATGCCAGTGATTCTCAATATTTTACCCCCAGTCCAGACCTGCCCTTTAAGTTTCAGGTTAATATGTCCAACTGCTTATTTAAAATCAAGGTCCCGAAACGCAGCTTTTTCAACTCCGAACCCAGGATCTTAGCCCACCTAACTTGTGTAGATACTCCTCGACTTAACGATGGGGCTACCTTCCGATAAACCCATTGTAAGCTGAAAGTATCAGAAGTTGAAAATGCATTTAATACACCCGATCTACCGAATATCATAGCTTAGCCTAGCCTGCCTTCCTTACACATGCACAGAACACTTACATTAGCCTACAGTTGGGCAAAATCATCTAACATAAACCTATATTATAAAATGTTGAATACCTCATGTCATTTATTACTGTGCTGATAGTGAAAAACAGAATGGTTGTGTAGGTCTTCAAAGTACAGTTTCTGCTGAATGCCTATCACCTTTGCACTATTGTAAAGTTGAAAAATGTTAAGTCAAACCATTGTAAGTCAGGGACCATCTGTACCTATCCAGTGAGATAGGAATATCTCACTGAATGATACCATCATCCACCCAGTTATATAGGCTGGGAATCTGAGGGAGGGAGAGGGTGGGTAACCCTTTATGTCTCTCTTTTGCTGTACCCATGTCCTCTGCCCTATCCCCCGGTAAAATTTGTCAGAGTTCTGCTCCTGCCCCCCATAAAGGTATTTAATTAGGGCCAAAGACTCTGGTTTGGGGGAATGGTTGCTTTAGACTAGTTCCAAGTCACCCACTGGACTATCTGGATTGGTCACATGGGTTCTGTCATTTTAACCTAAAAATCTCCAGTCTGTCCACCTTTCCACATCTTCATTTTTACCTCCTTTTCCCAAACTACCATCATTTCTGGTCTGGACTACTGCAGGAAGCTTCCAAGTATTTTTTTGTTCGTTTGTTTGAGATGGAGTTTCGCTCTTGTTACCCAGGCTAGAGTGCAATGGCGTGATCCCTGCTCACTGCAACTTCCGCCTCCTGGGTTCAAGCCATTTTCCTGCCTCAGCCTCCTGAGTAACTGGGATTACAGGCGCCCACCACCACACCCGGCTAATTTTTGTATTTCTAGTAGAGACGGGGTTTTACCATGTTGGCCAGGCTGGTCTCGAACTCCTGACCTCAGGTCATCCACCTGCCTTGGCCTCCCAAAGTGCTGAGATTCGTGCCCGGCCTCCCAAGTAGTCTTCTTAGAGCATGTGGCCCACCTCCAATTCATTCTTGACCTTCATTGTTCCTTCCCGTGCCTATTACTACTTAAACCCCTCCTCAGCAGCATCCCATTACTTTTGGGAGAAAACCAAATCCTTAATGAGGCCTTCAGGACTCTTTGTGGTTCTGCTCCTGCTTCTTTCCACTCATTCTCTTACTCTGTGTGCTCAGGTTATATGGTAAACGAGCCTTTCAATTCCTTGAACCTGTAGTTTCTCTTACCACAAGGTCTTTGCGAGTGGTGTTTCCTTTCTTTGTAACGTTCTTCCCCCCAACCATTTACCTCCTACTCAGACATCACTTAGCTACTCAAGGGAGGCCTACTCTGACCCCACATTATAAGTCAGGATCCTTTGTTATATACTCTTGAAGAACTGTATTCCTCTCCTTAGAGATTTATCTTTTTGTTACTTTGAGTGTGTGTTATTATTTGCTTCTACCACTTCACCTCAGTGAAAAGCAGAGAACATACAAGTTATTTAGTCATTATCAACTGCGCTTTGTGTACCTTGTGGGACTTAGGTACTCAATACATTTTTGTTGAAAATGAATCAGTCTCTGAACACTCTGGTGATAGATGGTATATTACCCTAAAGCTTGCCTGTAATGTCATACAGCTATGTTAGGTCTTTGTTATCTGGAGTTCCATGTAACTTTTATACGTAGTTACTATTTCTGCTGTTTCAAGCCATACGGAACTAAACACAATTCTTTTTCCATGTAATAGCTACTCAAGCTACTCATTTACTTGAATACAGGTTACATATCTCCTCAGATTTTCGATTTTGCAAGTTAAACATCCCCCAATTCCTAGCATATTTCATATTCCAAACCCTTCATCATTTAGGCTACCTTCCTCTGGAAGTAACCTAATGTTACTGTTTTGTCAACCTTTCTTCTAAAATGTGCCCAGAGTGGAACACAGTGATCAGAGAAGAATGTACTTAAGCTATTATTGTCTTGAGATGGACACTACCATTATTCATACCAGATAAAATTGTATTAGCGTTTTTTCTATAGTAAATCACATTCTTGGCTCATACTGAGCTTGTAGTCAGTGAAAACTCATGTTCTTTTAAAATCAGCTCCCTAGCTCCATTCTAGGTTTAGAGCAGTTTTATTGAACCTAAATCAAGACCTTATCCTTTTACAATTCATTTTTTTAGGTCAGTGCATGTCTGCTGTTTGTTGAGGTAATCTGGATTCTTAGTTCTTTCATGTTAGGAAACATAATAGCTGTCTCTTCCAGTTTGGTTAGATCTGTAGGTTTAATCATGACTTCTGTTTCTACGTTTGAGTTATTGGTAAAGGATAGAATAAGACAGGGTCAGAAATAACCCTTGGACATGCTGCCAGTGACATGCCTCTAGACTGATACCCATTAATACACTTGGGCACTGTTGCTTAAATACAGATGTGTCTCATTTAATTCCAACAAAACAACCTGCAAAGTAGGTAGTATTATCTTTGTTTTTTTGCAGAGAGAAAGAGAGAGAGATTTAGTAACTTGAGAAGTTCACATAGCCAGCAAGAAGCAGGGTCAAGATTTGAACTCAGATCAGCCTGGTACTGTTACCTAGTTCACCAGCTTAGTTGCAAGAGTGTAGTAAAGACTAGGTTTACCTCACCTAGAACTTTTTGGACATAATAATGTTCAGAAACTATCTTCTACCTTTTGGAAAATCTGAAAAACTTTGGCCCATCTGATTGTCTATCATTTCTTCTGATAGCCTTTATTTTCTAGTAACTACTGAGTGATTTTTAGCAAAAATAGTTCACCTTGTTGCAATACTTTTATTTGTGCATATTTATGGAGTACATGAAAATTTTTTTACATGTGTATAATGTGTAGTGATCAAGTCAGGGTACATGAGTCCAATGTATTAAGTATAGTCATCTACTCAGCTATCAAACATTGAATTTATTCCTCCTATCACTGGATCTTTTTTTTTTTTTTTTGAGACGGAGTCTTGCTCCGTCACCCAGGCTGGAGTGCAGTGGTGTTATCTTGGCCTCACTGCAACCTCTGCCTCCCGGGTTCAAGCGATTCTCCCGCCTCAGCCTCCTGAGTAGCTAGGATTACAGGCATGTGCCACCACGCCCAGCTAATTTTTGTATTTTTAGTAGAGACAGGGTTTTACCACATTGGTCAGGATGGTCTTGGACTCCTGACCTGGTGATCCACCCGCCTTGGCCTCCCAAAGTGCTGAGATTACAAGTATGAGCCACCGCGACTGACCTCATTGGATCTTTTTACCTTTTAACCCACTTCTCTTCAGCCTTTCTCTCCCTTACTCCGCCTTCCCAGTCTCTGTTATCTATTTTTCCACTCCCTGCCTCCTTGTGTTCAAATTTTGTAGCTCCTACATATATGTGAAAGCATGCAATATTTGTCTTTTTGTGCCTGGCTTATTTCACTTAAGAGAATAACCTCCAGTTCCATCCACATTGCTGCAAATGATATGATTTCATTCTTTTTATGGCTGAATAGTATTCCATTGTGTACATGTATGACATCTTCTTTATCCATTCATCTGTAGATGGACACTTAGGTGGTTGATTCCATATTTTTGCTATTGTGATAGTACTGCAATAAACATGCAAGTGCAGCTATCCCTTTGATACATTGATTTCTTTTCCTTTGTGTAGATACCCAGTAGTGGGATTGCTGGATGGAAGGTAATTCTATTTTTAGCTTTGAGAAATCTCCATACAGTGTTCCTTAGTGGTTGTACTAGTTTACATTCCCACCGACAGTGTATGTGAGAGTTCCCTTTTCTCTGCATCCTTACTAACATCTGTTACTTTTTGTCTTTTTAATAATAGCCATTCTGACTGGGGTAAGATGATATCTCATTGTGGTTTTGATGTGCATTTCTCTGATAGTGGTGTGGAACATTTTTCCATGTCTTCTTTTGGCCATTGTATGTCTTCTTTTTTAATGGGATTATTTGTTATTTTCCTTTTGAGTTGTTCGAGTTCCTTGTATGTTCTGGATATCAGTCCTCTGCTTGATGAATACTTTGCAAATATTTTCTCCCATTCAACAGGTTGTCTCTTCATTCTGTTGATTATTCTTTTGCTGTGCAGAAGCTTTTTAGTTTGCTTAAGTCCCATTTGTTTAGTTTTCTTTATGTTACCTGGGCTTTTGATGTCTTAATCATAAATTCTTTGCTTACACCAATGTCCAGGAGTGTTTTCCCTAGACTTTCTTGTAGTATTTTTATAGTTTTGGGTCTTAAAATCTTCAATCCATTTTGAGTTGATTTTTGTATATGGTGAGAGATAGGGGTCTAGTTTCACACTTCTGCATGAAGTTATGCAATTTTCCCAGCATCATTTATTGAAGACAGTGTCCTTTCCTTAGTGTGAGTTCTTGTCAGTGTTGTTGAAGATCATTTGTCTATAATTATGTGGTTTTATTTCTGGATTCTCTATTCTGTTCCATTGGTCTACATGTCTATTTTTATACCAATACCATGCTGTTTTGGTTACTATAGCTTTATAATATATTTTGAAGTCAGATAATGTGATGTCTGCAGCTTTGTTCTTTTTGCCCAGGTTTGGTTTGGTTGTTTGGGCTTTTTTCTTTTTCCTTTTTTGGTCCCATATGAATCACATTGGTATTTTGATAGGGATTTCATTGAATCTGTAGATTGCTTTGGCAATATGGTCATTTTAGTGATATTAATTCTTTCCACAAGCATAGGATGTTTTTTGATTTATTTTCTTTCATTGGTGTTTTGTAGTTTTCTTTGTAGAGATCTTTCACCTCCTTAGTTAAATGTATTCCTAGGTTTTTGTTTGTTTTCGGTAGCTATTGTAAATGGGATTGCCTTCTTAATTTCTTTCTTGGCTAGATCCTTATTGATGTATAGAAATGCTACTGATTTAAAGGTTTTCTAAACCTACAGATATATAATCAGCAAAGAGACAATTTGACTTTCTCTTGTCCAGTTTGGATGCCTTTCATTTCTTTCTCTTGTCTGATTGTTCTGGCTAGGATTTCCAGTACTGTGGTGAATAGGAGTGGTGAAAATGGGCATCCCTGCCTCATTCCAGCTTTTAGAAGAAAGATCTCACCTCTCCTCATTCAGTATGATGTTAGCTCTGGGTTTGTTGTGTATAGACTTTATTATTTTGAGATATATTCCTTCTATGCCTAATTTGTTGAGAGTTTTTTTAATCATGAAGGGATGTTGAATTTTATCAAATGTTTTTGTTGTTGTTGCAATACTCTTTTTTTTTTTTTTTTTTTTTTTTTTTTGAGACAGAGTCTTGTTCTGTTGCCCAGGCTGTAGTGCAGTGGCGCGATCTTGGCTCACTGCAACCTCCACTCACTGGGTTCAAGCAATTCTCCTGCCTCAGCATCCCTAGTAGCTGGGATTACAGGCCTGTGCTACCACACCCAGCTAATTTTTCTATTTTTAGTAGAGACAGGGTTTTGCTATGTTGGCCAGGCTGGTCTCGAACTCCTGACCTCAAGTGATTTGCCTGCCTTGGCCTACCAAAGTGCTGGGATTACAGGCGTGAGGCACTGAGCCCGGCTGTTGCGATACTCTTAATGGGTTTTATATTTCCTTTTTGTGGGGGACAGTTTATTTTGCATTCTTACTACTTTTGATATTCTGACATCATCTTATAAGTGGGATTTATATTCACTATGTAATTGAAGTTTTTTCCAATGAAGCACCGTATATAGTTTATCTGGGAAATTGGCTGAAGAATAAAATGTGTGATGTTATTCAGTGTACAGTTTCTAGGTCATCAGAAGATACCACTACCTTCCCACTACTGGAAAAGAAAAAAGAAAAGTTTTCCACAGTGCCTGAACTGTTTTGTATGCTTATCTTTTAAAATTGCCAGAAATCTCACTTACTGGAGATTCAGCAGTCCCTTTCTGAAAATACACATACTTTAGTGCAAATAAAGCCAGTGGATCTCTTTCTTCATAAGTCCTTAAACCTAGTCGAGGTCATCTGTTTGGCAGAGATAGGAGTAAGATAATGTGAAATAGGAACCAACGAGAGAGAACTTGCTTAGGAGTTGAAAGGGGTATGGAAAGATGTTAGAGGTAAAATTTGTCGAATCTAGTGTTTTGACTAGGGCAGGCCAGAATATTCAGTATCAGTATCAATATCAGAAGCTTTTGTAGCCTTTGTTTAGAAACCTAGTCATTTATAACATTTTGTGGGTGAATGACATCATTACCAAACAAACTTTCAGATGAAACTTTGGAACTCAAGCTGTAAATTGTGGATAGCTCATGTGCAGTACTACAAATCAAAACAAATACTATAAAGTGTTTGGTAGTCCATTTCCTGAATGAAAGTTTGTCCAAAGTATATCAACTTTCTGCAGTCTTACATGCAGTAGTTATTAGTTTTGTGTATCGCTTTAGTGGATATTTTTAAAAGTATCTTCAAATGCAATGAATTTTAGGAAACAAAACAATTCTTTAAAGCATCATTAGATAGCTTCTTCTTTCTGAAACCCAGAGGAATTTATGTATAGGATGACTCTTTTTTTCAAGTAGTTAAGTTAAGGTGCAAAAGTATAAGGTAAAGTATATTATCTTACCATTGAAAATTTTGGCAGTGGCAGAAGAGCGAACCCTTACAAATACCTTCATTGGGCAATACACTAAGCACTTGCTGTAATGCTTTTTAAAACATCTATACTCTGGCTGTGGTATTTTAAGTGAAAATCTCTCAGTGAGATACTCTTTCGTATTTTAGTACTGATATCCTTAATATTGCTCTGAGAGCTACCTTATACTGACTTCAGTTTCCTAGTGATTTAAACTACTAATTTCCAACTTATTTTTTTTTATAGTGAAAACTAAATATTCCTTTTGTAGATGTAACCATTTCTGGAAGCCCTAAGTATTTTTGAATGAGTATAATTCATGCACACTTTAAGAGATTTCAAGCATGACAAGCACAGTGAATAACATATATCCATGTGATTACCACTGAGGTTTAAGAAATGTTAACATATGATATCTGCTTCAGATATTTATCTTTTTAAAAATAGAACATTACAGCTGGGCATGGTGGCTCACACTTGTAATCCCAGCACTTTGGGAGGCTGAGGCTGGTGGATCACCTGAGGTCGGGAGTTCGAGACCAGCCTGGCTGACATGGAGAAACCCCGTCTCTACTAAAAATACAAAATTAGCCGGGCATGGTGGCACATGCCTGTAATCCCAGCTACTCGAGAGGCTGAGGCAGGAGAATCGCTTGAACCTGGGAGGCAGAGGTTGCGGTGAGCGAGATCACAACTCCAGCCTGGGCCACAAGAGTGAAACTCAGTCTCAAAAATAATAATAATAAATAAAAAATAGAACATTACAGATCCAATTGACTCTTCTTTGTATTGCTCCTTTTTTTTTTTTTTTTTAGTTTTATTTAAAAATTTTTTTTAGAGGCTGAGTCTCACTTGGTGGCCTGGGCTGGAGTGCAGTGGCGCAGTCATAGCTCACTGCAGCTTCACACTCCTGAGCTCGAGCAATCTTCCTGCTTCAGCTTCCTGAGTAGCTTGGACTAGCAGAGGTGTGCCACCACATCTGGCTAATTAAAAAAAAGTTTTTAGAGATAGGATCTCTCTGTGTTGCTCAGGTTAGTCTCAACACCTGGCCTCAAGTGATCCTCCCACCTCAGCCTCCTGAGTAGCTGTGGTTGTAGGTGGCAGCCACCACACCTGGCAGTATCCCTTCTTGAGACCACTGACCTTTCCCAGAAGTAATCACTGTCCTGAAGTTGGTATAGATTCTTTCTGTCTACATCTATGCATGTTTATGCTCAAAAACAATATATTGCTTTGTGTGTCTTTAAAATGTATATAATGGTTTTATGCTATATCTTTCTTTCTGCAACCTGCATTTTTCACTTAAAATAATTTTGAAATTTAGTCCTGTGGATATATAGTGAGCCAATTAATTCTGCTTAGCTACTCTGTAGTCTGTTTTGTGAATATACCACAATCATCTACTTTCTTATTAGAGGACAATTTAGGCAGTTCCAATTTTATTTTTCCCGGAATGTACATTATTTTAGTCGAGTGCCATTGCCACATTAGCGATATTTTGGTTAGTGAGGGACTGCAGATAGGAAGGTGATCCCAAAAGATTATAATGCCATATATTTACTCTACCTTTCTATATTTACATATGTTTAGTTACACAATTACCCATTATGTTACAGTTGCTTACAGCATTTGGTGCTGTAACATGCTGTACAGGTTTGTAGCCTAGGAGCAATAGGCTATACCATATAGGTTTGTGTAAGTACGCTCTATGATATTCATATAACGATGAAATCACCTAGTGACACATTTCTCAGAATGTATCCCTATTGTTAAGCAACACATGAGTGTGTGTCTCCATGCATATATGTGTAAGAGTTAGCATGTGTGTCCAGAGGTAGAATTGCTGGGCGATAAGTCATACTCATCTTTACCTAGTTATGCCAGTTTATACTGTCACTAGCAGTATATGAGTACCTGTTATTTATATCCTCTCCAACACTTAATATTGCTGACATTTTAACTTTTACAATATAATAGGTGTAAAACTATTGTTTAAATTTGCATGTTGTCCTCATTACTAGTGAGATTAAGCATTTTTCATATTGGTCATTGGGATTTCCCCTTCTGTGAATTACTTTTGTATATTTGCTCATTTTTTCTGTTGGGCTGTGTATTTTTTTAGTGATTTGTATAATTTTTCGTTTTTTGGGGGGTAGGGTATGCTTTGGATTCTAATCCTTTGTTGTAAATAGCTTCTCTCAGACAGTGATGGTCTTTTCATGATGTTTATAGAGTGTTGGATTTAAATTTTATAGTTATAATTACCCTTTTTTTTTTTTTACCTTGGTGATTTGTGCTTTTATGTGTTTTTCAGGAAATCTTTCTCCACCCTGAAGTCATTTTCTTATAAAAGTTTTAAAATTTTGCCTTGCACATTTTGGTGATTGATCAGGAATTTATTTTTGTGTTTGGTGTGAATTATGAACTAATTTTATCTTTTCCATATGTATAACCAGTTGTCTCAATATCATTTATTGAGTCCATTTTTTTCCTTTACTGATTTGCAATGCTATCTCTGTATTATATCCAGTTCCCATATATGTGTGGGTCTAAGTGTCGACTCTATTCCGTTTCATAATTCTTTTTGTCCATATTTGCATCAATAACACTGTTTTAATTGCTGTAGCTTTAAAATTATTCTTGTTATTTCATAGGGCGTACTTTCATTACCTTTCTTAATTTGGCATTTCTTGGCTCTTTTCCGTATGAATTCTGGGAACAACTTAATCCCCACTCCTTTAAAAAAAAAAAAAAAGACACTTTGGCCTGGCATGGTGGCTCACACCTGTAATCCTAGCACTTTGGGAGGCTGAGGCGGGTGGATCACTTGAAGCCAGGAGTTCAAGGCCAGCCTGGACAACATGGCAAAACCCTGTCTCTACCAAAAATTAGCGGGCATGGTGGCACACGCCTGTAATTCCAGCTACTTGGGAGGCTGAGGCATGAGAATCAGCTTGAACCCAAGAGGTGGAGGTTGCAGTGAGTTGAGATCGTGCCACTGCACTCCAGCCTGGGCAACAGAACGAGACAGTTTTTTGTTTGTTTGTTTTAAAGACACTTTTAACCTTCCGCTATGGATTTTTGACCTACATTTTTCCTCTTGTATTTTATAAGAGTAGACACAGAGAGCACTTCAATAAAATTCAGCTCAATAACTTTATTAACCTGATCTCCTTTTCTTTGACTTTAAGCTGAAAGTGTTAATTTCTCACAACTTGTGCTCTATAGATTTGAAACCAAATCAATTAGCATCAGCTGTTTATGAGTAATGCAGGGTATTTTGGTCTTTTGCTAAATTCAGAAAGAAATGTTAAAGTGCTGATGGATTTGCACTAGCTGTATAGATCTTTGGTGGAGGAGGAAATGGGAAAATTATTAATTTCAGGTAAGAAGTCATTTTTGAAATGCAAGATTCATTTCTTTTTAAAATCACCACATAATAAAAACTTTAAGGGCTGCATTGGTGGGTTTTTAAAAAAAATTGTGAAGTGTTTTTAGTGTTATGTGCTGACAAATATTTTTGTAGTTGCTTTGACAAGCAATGAAACTACCAATTATCACTAATTCTGAGTCTTCCAATGAACCTCTGTGTCAAATTTTTAAATTTAATTATCCTGACTATTTTTCTCCTAGAGAATAATATTGATATAATTTTGTGAACCATAGCAGACAGTTCCCATTGCTGAGAATAGAGCCTGGTGTGGGGATATTATGATTCTTGAATGGTTGAACAAGACATTTGCTTCTGAACATCTTAGTAAATTATCACTTCTGACAATGTCTGTAGTTTGAATTTTGATATTCTCTGCCAAGGTATTGAATACTCTAAATAATGTTGTTTATTCTATTATTTAAATCATTAGTATTATAGATCTAGCTTTAAACAGCTGCTGCACTCCAGTCCTTTTTCTTCACCTGCAGATATTGAGTCTGATAACTGTTTTGTATACATAGCCTTTCAGTAAATCTACTTATCAGTCATCAAATTAACTTAATTATAAGTTAAATGATGAGATGGACCAAGAGTGTTATTGAAATCTCATTTCCACACATTTCTTCTCTTCTTTTGTAGAAGGTAATGAAATGAACCTGTCAGTGTTCCTGTTTTTATGAAGTTTATTTCTCTTAGTACAGTGATTCTGATAGTGGGTTCTGCAGACCAGCAAATTAGCATTATCTGAGAACTTGTTAGAAAAGCAAATTCTCAGTTCCCACTTCAGGCTGACTAATTTAGAAACCCTGGGGTAGGGCTTAGCATTCTCTTTCAATAAATTCTCCAGGTGATTCTGATGTATGTTAAAGTTGAGAAGCATTCACTTAGTGTTTTGAGCTCTCCAATTTAGTTCCTTATAAATTGTTGAAGATATTTTTTCCAGATTTCTTTCCAAATATGTGCTCAACCTTGTTACTGATAGGTTTCAAGGTTATCGTCTTCTTCCCATTAATACCTTCATCTATATCCAATTTTCAAACTTTTAAGAAAGCATGGCTATTTTGCTGCAGTATGGTGAATTAGGTACTCTGACTGACCTTCCCAGATAAACAATTTAAAATTCTAGATAATTTTTTTTTGGAGGGAGGACAGGGTCTTGCTCTGTCACACAGGCCGGAGTGCAGTAGTGTGAACATGGCTGACTGCAGCCTCGACCTGTTGGGCTCAAGCGATCCTCCCACCTCAACCTCCCGAGTAGCTGGGGCCACAGGTGCACACCACCATGTCCAGCAAATTTTTTTATTTTTTGTGCAGATGGGGTCTTGCCTTGTTGCACAGACTGGTCTCGAACTCCTGGGCTCAAGCAGTTTTTCCACCTGGGCCTCTCGAAGTGCTGGGATTACAGGTGTGAGTGACTGTGCCTGGCAGATGAAATATTTTTTAAGTAAAAACCTTATGTGCATGGAGATAGCTGGCTGAAAAGTAAGGAATAATCAGGCCAAAAACTATGTGAAGGTGAAAACCCAGAGATATAAGCCAAGTACTGCTGCCTTGAGGACATTATTTGCAAATGACATTACTTGGAAAACCTAGTTAACTTGTGCTTGTGCCTCAAGAAGCTCAGAGAACGGAAGATAAAAGTAGTTTTCTGGTAGAACGTCCCACCTCTCCTGGTAAAGATGGTACCCCAAGGGTCTATACATCATAATAAATGAGAACTAGTAATAAACGTACCTTGTCTAAGGATCGGAAAGAAAAATTTCCTGCCTCAAACTTTGGTGGTGATGGGAAGGGTACAGAAATTCCCTGAGAAGTTTTACCCACAAGCTGACCTTCATGCAGGTTTGAATCCTGATTTTATATTACCTGGATGGTATGAAAATCTTAAGCCAGTAATTAAATATAAAAGTGGTACAAGAGTGACGATGCCTTAAAATGCCTAAGAATGCCTAAAAAGCAGCAAATACAAAGCTTCTTGGGAGAACCCATCTTGATCTTAGGATTTAGAAAATTCCTAAACATAAAGCTGTAAGAAATATGAACTCACATTCACAAAATGCAGAAAGAAATAAGATGCAATGAATGAGAGGAAGCAGAAACAATAAAGAGCAGAATCAGAACCTGCAAAGAGTTCACATATTGGAGTTAGCAGACACAGATTATAAGTACATATATTTAATATGCTTATAGAAAAAAAGAAATTTAAAATAGGAATGAGGAGCAAGTATACAAAAATGACCAGTGTACAAATTTAATAACAGATTAGACACAGCTAAAGAAAGATTTAGTAAAGTGGATCTGAAAAAATTGCAGTATAGAGGCAAGAAAATGAAAAGTAATAAAAGAGTTAAGAGAATACAGAGGGTAGAATAAGAAGGTTCAGTCTAGTCAGAATTCTGGGGCAGGGGAGCAGGGGCATGGAAAAGAATGAGGCAGAGGCAGTATTTGAAGAGATAATGACAGAGAACTGATGAAAAACAACCTACAAATTTAGGAAGCTAAAGAATCCCAGAAAGGATAAAAAGAAAAAAAATTCACACATAAACATTTTTTAAAGAAACTACATGATACCATAGAGAGGTCTTAAAAGCTGTCAGAGGCTGGGCATGGTGGCTCACGCCTGTAATCCCAGCACTTTGGGAGCCCGAGGAGGGTGGATCACCTGAGGTCAGGAGTTCAAGACCAGCCTCAACGTGGAGAAACCCTGTCTCTACTGAAAATACAAAATTAGCCGGGCGTGGTGGTGCATGCCTGTAATCCCAGCTACTCAGGAGGCTGAGGCAGGAGAATTGCTTGAACCTGGGAGGTGGAGGTTGCAGTGAGCCGAGATCGTGCCATTGCATGCCAGCCTGGGCAACAAGAGCAAAACTCCATCTCAAAAAAAAAAAAAAAGCTGTCAGAGAAAAAAGATATTACCTTCAACAAGTATTTGGCTGTCAGCTGTTTTCCTGTCTATAATAATGAAAGCCATAAGACAGGGAGTAATATTTTCCATATGCTTAGAGAAAATAATTGTCAACCAAGAATTGTATATCTTGTGAAGAATGGGGGCAAAATTAGACACTTTAAAACAGACAAACACTCAATGTTGTAACCATCAAACCTTCCCTACTAGTGGAAATTCAGATCAATTTCCTGAAGGCTAAAAAAAAAAAAAAAAAGTGACCACTGATGTAAAGTCTGAGATTTAAGAAGGATTGAAGAGTAAAGAATAATGGTAAATCTGTGGATATATTGAAATAAATATTGGCTTTATAAAATGATGTATGCGGAGGTTTTAAAAATAGAACTAAATAGGCCAGGTGTGGTGGCTCACGCCTGTAATCCCAGCACTTTGGGAGGCTGAGGTGGGCGGATCACCTGAGGTTATGAGTTGGAGATCAGCCTGACCAACATGGAGAAACCTCGTCTCTACTAAAAATACAAAAAAAAAAAAAAAAAAAAAAAAAAAAAAAAAATTAGCCGGGTGTGGTGGCGCATGCCTGTAATCCCAGCTACTCAGGAGGCTGAGGTAGGAGAATTGCTTGAACCTGGGAGGCAGAGGTTGCAGTGAGCCGAAATCACGCCATTGCACTCCAGCCTGGGCAACAAGAGCAAAACTCCGTCTCAAAAAAAAAAAAAAGAACTAAATATATGATAACAACATCCAAATCAAAAGAGTGGTTAAAGTATTTTATGATCTTTATACTGTTGAAGAGAAAGGTAAAGCTATTCAATTAACTTTAGATTTTGATAGGTATGTGTATTAGTATTTTCAGAGTAACTACTAAAATAATATAAATATTAGGAATAATTTATAGCAGAAAAAACAATTTTTAAAAGGCAAGGAAGAAGTGAAAAACATAGAAAAGGTCAGATAAAGAGGAAACAATAAAATATAGAAATCAAATCAAATATATGGTAGACTAAATGCTTCATTCAGACAAAGAATGTCAGATTGGATTATTTAAAAGCAAGCAGGCCGGGTGCAGTGGCTCACGCCTGTAATCCGAGCACTTTGAGAGGCTGAGACGGGTGGATCACTTGAGATCAGGAGTTCGAGACCACCCTGGCCAACACGGCCAGCTGGCCATGGCCAGCTAATACAAAAATTAGCTGGGTGTGGTGGTGCACACCTGTAATCCCAGGTACTTGGGAAGGTGAGGCAGGAGAATCACTTGAACCCAGGAGGCGGAGATTGCCGTAAGCCAAGATCATGCCACCGTACTCCAGCCTGGGCAACAGGGTGAGACTCTGTTTCAAAAATAAATAAATAAATAAATAAATAAAAGCAAGCAAACAAACTTACTGAAACAACACAAAATCCAGCTATAATTTTCAAGAGAGATAGCTAATACATATGAATGTAGAAAGATAGAAAGCAAAAGGATGGAAAAAGTCTATCAGGCAAACTCTAACCAAAAGGGAGGTAAACTAACTATATTAGCATCAGACAATATGATCTTTCAGACAAAAGAGACAGCTAGAGATAGGTCCCTCAACAATGAGAAAAGGTTTATTTATCCATAAAGGTAAAAACAATTCCAAACTTGTGTGAACCTAATAATTGCCTCAATATACAAAGAACAAAATGACACAATTATAAGATGAAATAGACAAATCTACCATGGTGAGGAGTTTCAAAACTCCCTAATTGAAAAATTAAAAAGACAAAATGGTTACAGCTGAAAATTAAAATTAAAAATTCATTTTCTCGGTTGCAATAGCCATTTTTCAAGGGCTTACTAGTGACATGTGACAATGGCTGCTGTATTGGACAGCACAGAAAGTACTTTTGCACTGCATTAATTTAGAAGACTTAATATAATTAACAATATTAATAATTGAGTATTGAACACCACATCCAAGGTGCAGATCTCTGAATAATATCTGATCATAATGTGGGCAAGTTAGAAATTAATGACAAGAAAAGGCAGAAACATGGGAGACAGGTGAAGATTTCTTAAACAGAATATAAAAAGCACTAGATACAAAGGAAAAAAGTGATTAATTGGATTTCATCAAAAGACACTGACTTAGTTTGCTTAGGCTGCCATAACACAATACTATAGACTTGGTGGCTTAAACAAAATAAATGTATTTTCTCACGGTTCTGGAAGCTGGAAGTTTGGGACCGGGGTGCCAGTATGACTGCGTTTTGGTGAGCACTGTCTTCGTGACTTGCACACAGGCTTCTTGCCACGTGTCTGTGTGGCGGAGAGACAGCAAGATCTCACCATCTCTCTTCCTTTTCTTATAAGGCCACAGTCTTGTCAGATTAGGGCCCTTCGCTTATGACCTAATTTAGCCTCAATTATCTCCCAAAGTCCCTATCTCCAAAATAGTTGGGGTGGGGGAAGTGCCTTGACTAATGAATTTTGTTGGGGGCAGTGGGGAGTGCACATTTCACTCCATAGTAGACACCATTGAGGAGAAAGACCAGAGTGGAAGAAGGTATTTGAAATACATGTATTTGACAGCCAGGCACGGTGGCCCACACCTGTAATCCCAGCACTTTGGGAGGCCGAGCTGGGCGGATCACGAGGTCAGGAGATCGAGACCATCCTGGCTAACACAGTGAAACCCCGTCTCTACTAAAAATACAAAAAATTAGCCAGGCGTGGTGGCGGGTGCCTGTAGTCCTAGCTACTTGGGAGGCTGAGGCAGGAGAATGGTGTGAACCCAGGAGGCGGAGCTTGCAGTGAGCCGAGATTGCGTCACTGCACTCCAGCCTGGGCGACAGAGCAAGACTCTGTCTCAAAAAAAGAAAAGAAAAAAAGAAATACATGTATTTGACAAGGACTTGTACCTGGAATATATAAAGAACTACAAATCAAGAATAAAAAGAAAGGACAGAAAGCCAATGGAAAAATGAACAAAGGATTCAAACAGGGATTTCACAAAGAACTTACCTGTAACGTATGTTAAATGCTCAACCTCATTAGTCATCAGAGAAATACAAGTTAAAACCTCAGGGAGATATTACTACACACCCACCAGAAAGTTAAATTAAGAACACATTTGTCATGACAATTCTGGGTTTGATTTTGTTTTGTTTTTTGAGATGGAGTCTTGCTCTTGTCGCCCAGGCTGGAGTGCAGTGGCATAATCCCAGCTTGTTGCAACCTCTGCCTCCTGGGTTCAAGTGATTCTCCTGCCTCATCCTCCCGAGTAGCTGGGATTATGGGCACCCACCACCACGCCTGGCTAATTTTTGTATTTTAGTAGAGATGGGGTTTTGCCATGTTGGCCAGGCTAGTCTTGAACTCCTGATCTCAAGCGATCCACCTGCCTTGGCCTCCCAAAGTGCTGGGATTACAGGCATGAGCCCGCGCACCTGGCCTGTCATGACAATTCTAAGTGGTGATGAGGATGTGCAGCAGCTGGAACTGATGAAAATGCATGAGCACAACCTCTTTGGAAAACTAGCAGAATTCCCTAAAACTGAATGTAGGCATGATGCCCATGACCCAGCACTTATAGTCCTGGGGGTGGGAGGAGTGAATATATTTCTATTCATGATTTCTATCTCTGATGACAGAAATTAAGCTAGTGGGTATCTGTGGTTGAGTAGAAGGATAGTGACTAGGAGCGGGCAGTATGGGATGCTGGTAATGTCCTCTTGACCTAACTGTTGGTTACCCTGGGTGTGTTCACTTGTAGAAATTCATTGAGCCAAACACGTACAATGTATGCATTTTTGTGTATATATGTTCTTCTTCAATAAAAACTTGATTTAAATAATGTTCTTTTTCTTAAACTGGGTAGTAGGTTTATGGTGTTTTATGTGTTGCCTGTGTTTTATACATATTTTATTCCTGTTCAGTGTCCAAAAAATATAAAAAGTAGTCACTGCTTTGTTGTTAATTTGAGCATCTCCTGCACCTAGCACAGTGCCTGGGACATTATAGATATTTATTAAATATTTGTTCTATGGAAAAGAAGTAGGCTAGTAATTTCTTTTTGCTTTCCAACAGCCAGTTTTTGATTCAATTATTTGTAAATATGATTTCTACTCAGTTGTTTCTAAATAATAAAATATGTAAATACTATTATGTTTATATTTATTAGTAAGCTGAATTTATTAAATGAGAAACCTCTCAATATTAAGGACACATCATAAATTATTAGCATGCTGTGTTATAATGACTAAAAGTAGTATCAACAATTTAGATAAGTATAGTGTGGCCTTACGGATGTAAGTCCGTAAGATCATGCAGCATTGAAGATGTGCAGTTTACTAGATCTTCTAATATTCTCGGGTGTCTCACTGTTTCTTTTTTTTTTTTTTTTGAGATAGGGTATCACTTTGTCACCCAGTCTGGAATGCAGTGGCGTGATCAGGGCTCCCTGTAGCCTTGACCTCCTGGGCTCAAACCTCTCACCTCAGCCCCCTGAATAACGGGGATTACTGATTTGTGCCACCAAGCCAGGCTAATTTATTTTCTTTCTTTCTCTCTTTCTTTCTTTCTTTCTTTCTCTCTCTCTCTCTCTTTCTTTCTTTCTTTCTTTCTTTCCTTTCTTTCCTTCTTTCTTTCTTTTCTCTCTTTCTCTCTCTCTCTCTCTCTCTCTCTCTTCCTTTCTTCCTTTCTTTTTGTAGAGTTTGGGTCTCACTATATTGCCCAGGCTGGTCTTGAACTCCTGGCCTCAAATGATTCTCCCTCCTTGGCCTCCCAAAGTGTTGAGATTATAGTTTTCAGCCACCGCACCCAGCCTCACTGTTTTCTTCAGTTGTTTCTGAACAACTGGAATCTCAGCTGTCTTTTTCCATTAAATCCCGTGTTCGTTCCTCCATACCATGCTGCCTCTTGCCCATTTTTGCATTTCTCCTTTCTGCTTTCCTGAACATCCTGAGTCTTACTGGGCTGGCATTCCCTTGTTGGGACAGGGGAGAGGCTCTAGGCCTTGGATCCTTGTTCTGATTCCTTCTCCAAAGAGTTTTCCCTTTTTCTTCCCCTTTCAAAACAACATAAGTGCAAAAGCTTTGTCAGGATGTTGGGAATTAAAAAAGCTTCAGAAACATTTTGATTCATTTAACAACATTACTCTGAAACTTTTTAGAGTAAGAGTACCAAGTCACTGAATAAGACGATCTTGAAATTAAACGATATTTTACAGTTTTAAAAACACCTTCACAGATCTTTTCTTATTAGATTCTCAGCACAACCTTATGAGTTGGCACTGTCAAAATTCAGTTCAACAAACAAAATCCAACTAACAGGAAAACTCACAGCTAACATCATACTTAATGGTTGAAGACTGAAAGCTTTCCCCCTTAAGATCAGAACAAGACAAGGATGCTCTTGCCACTCCTATTCAACACTCTATTGGTGGTTCTAGGTGGGGCAGTTAAGCAGGAAAAAGAAAAGACATTTATATCAGAAAGAAATAAAACTATATTTACCGATGACATGATCTTACATGTAGAAAAATCCTACAGAATTTACCAAAAAAAATTGGAACTAATAAATGAGTTCAGCAAAGTTGCAGGATACAAGATTATTATCTAAAAATCAGTTGCATTCCTATATGCTAGCTATGGATAATCTGAAAATGAAATAGAAAAAATTCCATTTATAATAACATCAGAAAGAATAAAATACTTATGAATAAAGTTAACCAAAGAAGTACACTAAAAAGTACACTAAAAAACAGAAAACATGTTGAAGGAAATTAGAGATCTAAATAAATTGAAAGACGTCCTGTGTTCATGGCTTGGAAGACTTAATATTGTTAAGATGACAGTGCTACCCAGATTTATCTACAGGTTTAATGCAATCACTATCACAGTTCAACTGCCTTTTTCCCGGAAATGGACAACCTGATCTTATAATTCATATGGAATTGCAGAGCCATATTTGCCACAACAGTCTTGAAAAAAAGAGAACAAAATTGTAGGACTCATACTTCCTGATTTCAAAACTTATTACAAAACTACAGTAATCCAGATGGCATGTCACTGGCATGAGGAGAGTCTTGTAAACCAATGGAATGCAATTTAGAGTCCAGAAATAAACCCATACATTTATGGTCAGTTGATTTTGACCAGGGCGCCAAGATCATTAACTGGGGAAAGAATAATCTTTTCAACAAATGTTGCTGGGGCAACTGGATATCTACATGTAAAAAAATAAATTTGGATCCCTGCCTCACATCACATATGAAAATTAACTCAGAATGGATCAAAGACCTAAACCTGTTAAGTTCTTCGAAGGAAACATAGGTGAAAATCTGTATGACCTTGGATTAAATGGTGATTTTTAAAGATATAACACAAAAACACAAGCAGTGAAAGAAAAAGGTAGATAAACTGGACTTTGTTAAAGTTAAAAACTTTCATGCATCAAAGGACACTGTAGAATGAAGACAACTCACAGAATGGGGGAAAATATTTGCAAATTATATCTCTGATAAGTATATATATTTTATATATATGTTGTTTATATCCAGAATATGCAAAGAACCCTTTCAACTCAACAAAGATAAGACAATGGAATTTAAAAATGGGCAAAGCATTTGAATAGAATAGACATTTCTCCAAAGAAGATGTACAAATGACCTATAAGCACATGACAAGATCTTCAACATCATAGTCCATAGGGAATTACAAATCAAAACCACAATGAGAGATAACACTTTACACCCTCTAGGATGGTCATACTTTTTTTTTTTTTTTTTTTAAAGACAGTAACAAGTTTTGATAAGGAAGTAGAGAAATTGGAGCCCTCATTGCTGATGGGAATGTAAAATGATGCAGCTACTGCACAAAAGTTTTGCAGTTCCTTAAAAAACTAAACATAGAATAACTCAGCAATTCTACTCCTGGGTATAGACCCAAGATAATTGAAAACATATGTTCATACATTAACTTGTACATACATTAACATGTGGCATTATTCATAGTTGCCAAAAAGTGGAAGCAACCCAAATGTCCATCAGCTGATGAAATGATAAATACAATGTGGTATATCCATACAATGAAATCTTATCCAGCTGTAAAAAGGAATGAAGAAGCCAGGTGCAGTAGCTCACAACTGTAATCCCATTGCTTTAGGAGGCCACGATGGGAGGATTGCTTAAGGCCAGGAGTTCAAGATTGGCCTGGGCAACATAGACCCAGTCTCTACAAAATAAATAAATAAAAAGAATGAAATACTATTACGTGCCACAACATGAACCTTGGAAACATTATGCTAGGTGAAAATCCAGTCACCAAGATGACGAATTGTATGATTCTGCTTACGTGAAATGTCCACAATAAGCAAATTCATAGAGACAGAAAGTAGATTAGTGGTTGAGAAGGAGTGAGAGAAGGGATGAATTGAGATTAACGGCTAGTAGGGACAGAGTTTCTTTTTGGGGTGATGGGACTGTTCTGGAATTAGATAGTGATTATGGTTGTACAACATAGTAAATATACTAAAAACCACTCAAAGGCTGGGTGCAGTGGCTCATGCCTATAACCCCAACACTTTGGGAGACTGAGGCGGGAAGATTACTTGAGGCCAAGAGGTCAAGACCAGCCTGGGCAACACAGCAAGACCTTGTTTCTACAAAAAAAAAAAAAAATTGTTTTAATTACCTGGGTATGGTGGTGTGTGCCTGTAGTCCCAGCTACTTTGGAGGCTGAGGTGGGAAGATCACTTGAGCCTGTGAATTTGAGGTTACAGTGAGCTGTGATTGTGCCACTGTGATCCAGCCTGAGTGATAGAGCATGACCCTGTCTCTCAAAACAAAACCCTCCAAAAAACAAAAACCACCCAAGTATACATTTTAAATGATTAATTTTATGTGAAATATATCAGCTGGGCGTGGTGGTTCACACCTGTAATCCCAGCATTTTGGGAGGCAGAGGTGGGCGGATCACGAGGTCAGGAGATGGAGACCATCCTGGCTAACATGGTGAAACCCCGTCTCTACTAAAAATACAAAAAATTAGCCAGGCATGGTGGCACATGCCTGTAGTCCCAACTACTCAGGAGGCTGAGGCAGGAGAATTGCTTGAACCCGGGAGGCAGAGGTTAAAGCAAGCCGAGATCATGCCACTGCACTCCAGCCTGGGCGACAGAACGAGACTCTGTCTTTAAAAAAAAAAAAAAAAAAATCTCAAAAACGGCAATGAGAACTCAATTAATATTTATCATACTGTATATTCCCTGAGTGGTGCAGGAGAATCAGAGCTTAGAATCTTGTGAGGAAGGCATGGTACTTAAATAAGTCTAGTGTAAGGCAGCTTGTAATAAGTAGTACTAAGACTGCTGAAGAAGCACAAATAAAGGAGATATTCTATCTTACTAGGAACCAGGGAGTTTCACAAACTTGGCTTTGCAAGGTGGGAAAGATTTTCACAGGTGGAAGGGGTTTGAAATAGGGAATTCAGTCAAAAGGAATAGTGTGAGTGAAGGAATGGAGTTTGGAATGTGGGGTACATGGGGTTGGGGTGGGGTATTGAGGTAGATGACGCAGAAAAATAAGTTAAAGATAGATCTTGCATAGGTGGCTGTGAGTAGCATGCTAAGGAGTTTGGGCTTTATTACTTATGAATCATATTTTTGGTTTCAGGTCATGTCTGGTGGCAGAGGGAAGGCTGAATTGGAGGAGAACAAAAGCTAGAACCAGGGACAACAATTATTACCATTGTAGTTTTTTAGGAGAGGTGATATGGCTGAACTAGGTTATGGTTGTGAGGCTGGAAGGGAGGCACATCCAAGTGACAGTGCAGTAGACTTAGTAGACTCTTGATTGTTTATGTGTGCATTCCAGGGATAGGCAGTGAAGGGAAGAATGACCCTGAAATCTTGAATTTAATGACTTGAAAGGATAATGATGGTATTAACAGATGAGGAACATAGCAAGACAAACAAATGAAAAAGTGAATACTGAGGAGAAGGAGGTACCACTGAATTTGGCATTTAGTCATTGGTGATTTTGAAGACAGCAGTTACAGTAAAGTGGCTGCTGGAAAGGATTTCAAAGAATGGTTGAAGAAGATAGCCATAGGATGAGAACATGGAAGGCAAGGAAGGGAGACTTGAGAGATTTGGTAATAAAGAGAAGAGAGAAAAGGGTGCTAGTTTG
Organism: Homo sapiens; assembly: GCF_000001405.40. Taxonomy (NCBI): domain Eukaryota; kingdom Metazoa; phylum Chordata; class Mammalia; order Primates; family Hominidae; genus Homo; species Homo sapiens. The sequence goes on from NC_000017.11 coordinate 46,614,629, forward strand.
AAATGAGTTAAAAGAACTACAGAGTAGAATTAAAATAAAGTAGAATTATGGGATTTTTGCTTTTTAAGTGACCCATGAGAGGCTTACTGGCAGTGTGCCAAGATTCAAGAGAGCAAAGATTGGCAGGGTGGGATTAAGTGATGGGATAGCCGGGTGCAGTGGCTCATGCCTGTAATCCCAGCACTTTGGGAGGCTGAGGTGGGTGGATCACTTGAGGTCAGGAATTCGAGATCAGCCTGGCCAACATGGTGAAACCTGTCTCTACAAAAAATACAAAAATTAGCCGGGTGTGGTGGTGGTTGCCTGTAATCCCAGCTATTTGGGAGGCTGAGGCAGGAGAATTGTTTGAACCTGGGAGGTGGAGGTTGCAGTGAGCCAAGATCGAGCCACTGCACTAACTCCAGCATGGGTGACAGAGTGAGACTCCATCTCAAAAAAGAGAAAACAAAAAACAAAAAAAAACGACGGTAGGGAGCCTTCTGCCTCTTTAAACATTTGAGATGCATGTCCTGAGATGCTTCTGTGAAGTTAAGAATATTAATTTTTTGATACGAATCTGACAAAACTAGACATCAAAATATGCCATATATGGTAATTAAAACAATGTGGTATTAGTATAGAAAGCAGACAAATAGTTAATGAAGTAGAACAACCAACCCAGAAATAGAACCAGATACACCTGAAAACTTCATATATGAGGTTTAAAATCAGTGTGGAAAGCTGGAAATCACCCATAGTTTCGTTATCCAGTCAGTTGTTTTTCACATTTTGGTGTGTTTCCATTTAGTTGGTTTGCCATACTTTTTTAAAAATAATGCTTTAAGGCTGAGCGTGGTGGCTCACACTTGTAGTCTGAAGCAGGCAGATCACTTGAGGTCAGGAGTTCGAGACCAGCCTGGCCAATCTGATGAAACCCCATCTCTACAAAAAATACAAAAATTAGCCTGGTGTGGTGGTGCTTGCCTGTAGCCTCAGCTACTTGGGAGACTGAGGTGGGAAGATGGCTTGAGCCAGGGAAGCAAAGGTTGCAGTGTGCTGAGATGGCGCCACTGCACTCCAGCCTGGGTGATAAAGCCAGACCTTGCCTCACAAAAAAAAAAAAAATGCTGTAAAGTAAAAGTTCTGTATACAATTCTGTGATATGAACCCTACCTTAGTGTGTTATGAGGATTTTGATCCTTATATGATATGATATATATAATCAAGTGCGGGTACGTTGTAGTTTACAGAACCATTACTTTGAAACAAGACCTTTAGGTTACTCCTAATTCATCACTGTTAAAATAATGCTGTAGGGAAAAAATTACACATAAAAGTTTTCTATATTTAAAGTGATTTTTGTGAGACAAAGTTTATTTATTGTAAAAACAGTTCCAGCAGTTCAGAATTGTAAAGAGTTTTACAGAATTGTAAAGAGTTCAGAATTGTAAAGACATTTTCTTGTCTTTCTCCTTGGTGGTAACCACTGTTAACAGTTTAGTGTGTATCTTTTTTTTAAGTTTAGTTTTTATTTTTTTGTAGAGACAGGGTCTTGCTTTGTTGCCCAGGCTGGGGTGCAGTGGTGTGATCATAGCTCACTGCAGCCTCATACTCCTGGGCTCAAGCAGTCCTCCCACCTCAGCCTCCCAAGTAGTTGGGACTACCGGCATGTACCACCACGCCTGGCTAATTTCTGTATCTTTTGTAGAGACAGGGTTTCACCATGTTGCCCAGGCTGGTCTGGAACTCCTGGGCTCAGGCGATCCCCCTGCCTCGGCCTCCCAAAGTGTTGGGATTACAGGCATGAGCCACTGCACCTGGACTAGTTTCTTTTTAATTTCTGAGTAGTAGTCAATTGTATGGCTCTCCTATAATTTCTTCATTCATTCATCTTTTGGTAGACATTCATGTTGTTTCCATTTTTAGGCTATTATGAGTACAGCTGTTGTGATCATTTGTGTGCGAGTCTTTGTGTGGATATATTTTCATTTCTTTTGACTAAAAACCTAGGGGTGCACTTGTTGGGTCACATTAACTTTGTAGAAACTGCATTGCATCTTTGCCGATATTGAAAGTTGTCAGCCTTTTATATTTTTCTGTGCATGCTTTTCCCCCCAAAAGACCAAAATGGGAATTGTTTTTCTTTTCATTATAAACTTGTAAAGGAATTTTAAAGTTCTAAGGGATGCCAGGCAGGAGGTTCATCTATGTGAACAGTTATTAGTTTGAGATAGATAATGTCAAGGATATCCCTAAAGGCTTTTCAAGAGATAACTATAGGACATATAAGTTTAACTTATTTCTACCCCATCACTTCTAGTCACATGTGACTTCAGAATTTTAACAGAAATTATTATTATAGGAATATGTAGCACAGAGGGATTCCATAGGCCTGAAGATTAGTACTGATGGCCTTTCTTGCATTATTCTAGGCTAGTGCTATCCGATGAAACTTTCTGCAGTGATAACCACTAGCCACAGGTGGCTTTTGAAACGTAGGGCTAGTTCAACTGAAGAATTGAATTTAACTTTAAATTAATTTGAATAGTGAAATATGTCTAGTGATTACCGAACAGTGTAGTTCTGAAATGTTATTTTTCAGGAAAGATCCTCTAGCAAGAAGTAGTTGAGTGAGACCTGTTAGCTGAGCTGGCCCTGGGGCAGGTTTGTGTTTTCAGTCCTTCCCTTTCCTGTGGGAGAAATGAAACCAAAGCCTAGAGCACCACAGAAGAAGAACCAGTGGATTCATAAGGGTGACAGTTCAGGTAGGGGAAGCTGTTTGGTAATGAGCTCTTTTGGTCAGATGCCACACTATTTTTCTTTCTGTTTATTTTGCCCTATTAAATTATTTAGTAAATAGTAAAGCGTACTTTAATCCAGTTTTTAAAGTGGACGTTTGGATGAAAGTATGTGATTTAAATTCCAAAACTGTGCAGTGTTGTCCAGAAGAGTCCTGATTAAATCACCCCAGTTTCTTTGATGAAGATAAGCAAATAATTTTATTTTTTGCTGTAATCCCAGCTACTCGGAAGGCTGAGGCAGGAGAATCGCTTGTACCAGTCCGGAGGCTGCTGCCCTCTCACAGGGCTTCCTCCTCTTGCACAGACGCACCAGTGCCTTCAGCCCCACTGGTCTCCCTCTTCTCCTTTCCTGGCCCCTGCTGGCCCAGTAGATGGGCCACTGGAGGCCACTAGATGGGGGCTGGGGAATGTGATGTTGGCGATCTGCGGTATCTTCAGGGTGACAGCCATACCCAACGCGTGGGACCTGGCTTCCACATCTATAGACCTGACCTAAGGAAATATGTGGGCGTGTGCATAAGGATGCCATCTCAGAACTGCATATTAATAAAAAGCTGAATCAAACAGTGTCCAACAAGGGTGGCTGTTCCAGCTGGTCATCTACAATCTCAGCTCACTGCAACCTCCGCCTCCTGGGTTCAAGCAATTCTGCCTTAGCCTCCCGAGTAGCTGGGACTACAGGCACACACCGCCACACCCGGCTAATTTTTTGTATTTTAGTAGAGATGGGGTTTCACCATGTTGCCCATGCTGGTCTTGAACTCCTGAGCTCAGGCAGTCCTCCCACCTTGGCCTCCCAAAGTGCTGAGATTATAGGCGTGAGCCACCGCACCTAGCCTGTACTTTCATTTCTTAATAACTGCATGACTGTAGTGGTTGGCTTTCATTATTGTTTCCTAGGGGCAAGGTCAATGTTAGAAAAATTGTGGAATTTTCCCTTGGCATTGCTGTGGTGAGTAGACAGCTACTATTTATAGAGACTTATACTTCGTTGAAAAAATGAGATACCATGCCTGGCTTACCATAAAAACACAGATGTTTCTGGATTCCAGTAGGGAGGCCTTTTGTTCACAGCATCTGTTTTGGTTGGCCAGCCAGATGACTTCTGTGGATTTTTTCACTCCTTTTGAAGGACACTTGACAAATAAACAAGTTTATAAATGAAAGAGTTAACAGCATTTTGTAAATTTATTTTATTACTTTAGCTATATCGTTCTGTATATTTTGAACTATCAGATCATTTTAGCTCAATTTTATCACTTCCTAAATAACCTTGAGACGATCAGTCCTTTGTTACATGTTCTTTGGATTGTTTATTCTGCAGTTGAGACAGATTTTTATTGATCTATAAATTTTTGTGTTCAACAAACATTTAATGAGTATTCACTGTGTACTAGGCCCTGTACTAACACTGGGAACTACATATGTGAGCAAGATATAGTCTCAGTCTTTGAGAAGTTTAGTGTCTTATATGCAGTGCAAACATGTAGACAGAATAAAATTATAGTTGAGTCCTTCCATTTGAAGTTTATTTCATCAGTTTAGTGGGGAGGGGTAGGTGTCTAGGAATGCCTTCCAGAAAAAGTAGTGTCTAAGTGGAGAATTGTAGAATGAGTGGGAGTTGTCCAGGGATGGAACAGGGGTTAGTGGCGGAGATTATATAAAAGAAAGAAGCTTGCAGGTGAAAATGACCCTGGGAAAGTGGGAAACTGAAAAAGTTCAGTACATTTCTGTCATATGGCTGATCAAGCTGTGACTGGGCAAAATGCTGTCAGCATTTGTTGAACACATAAATGCTGTCTCATTCACAAAGGAGACTTGTGACCTAGACTTTATTCATCTTGTGCTAAATTAGTGATTTCCAAACATTTGATCATGAATCTCATAAGTAAAAAATGTTTTGATTATGTATCCTCATATATTGATTATATGCCAATATTTGTTTATAGATGATATGTAGTACTAAAAGTTATATACGCAGTAGAACATGTATAGAAAACAAAAAAAATTAAAAGGATGAGCTAAAGATGGCATGTACAATATTCTCACAGTGTTAATTTTACTGAAAATACGGAAAGTAGGCTGGGTGCAGTGGCTCACGCCTGTAATCCCAGCACTTTGGGAGGCTGAGGGAGGCAGATCACTTGAGGTCAGGAGTTTGAGACAAGCCTGACCAATATAGCGAAATCCCATCTCTACTAAAAAATACAAAAATTAGCTGGGCATGGTGGCACACGCCCGTAATCCCAGCTACTCGGGAGGGTAAGGCAGGAGAATTGCTTGAACCCGGGAGGCGGAGGTTACAATGAGCCGAGATCATGCCACTGTACTCCATCCTGGGCGACAGAGCAAGACTCCATCTAAAAAAAAAAAAAAAAAAAAAAAAAACCCAGAAAGTAAAGTGGTACATCATTATTTAAAATCTTCGTTTAATATTATGTGATACAGCTGCTCAGAGGGCTGTTTCTAAATTCAGTTTATTTTGATACTTTAATGGCAGTCAAAGCCTGGATCAAAATGGAAGAATTTGGCTGCACTTTCTAAATCATATTCTTTCTTTCTCCAAACTTATTCACTATTTATGGAAATGCTTTATTGAAATGTGGCTGGTAAATATCCATCTATTAGTTTTTCTTGCAGATTAATAAAAATATATTATACTTTTATTGTGTTAATAAATGGGTTCCAAAAATCACTGTTAAGTCTTCATTTGGAAGATATTTTAAAAAGTTTTAGAATATTCTGTTTCTGACTTTATAAAGCATGAAGATACGAGTTTTTGGTGTCTTTATTTTTTAGATTTTGTATATATTGTTTCAACAGCAGAATAACTTAGCAATGGAAATGTTTCCAATTATCCAATTTTGAAATGCTCTATTAGGAAAGATTTTTTTTTCTCTCGCTCTCTTTTTTTTTTTTTTTTTTTTTTTTTAAAGATGAAGCCTCTCTCTTGTCCCCAAGGCTGGAGTACAATGGTGCCATCTTGGCTCACTGTAACCTCCGCCTACTGGGTTCAAGCGATTCTCCTGCCTCAGCCTCCCGAGTAGCTGGGATTACAGGTGCCCGCCACCACGCCCGGCTAATTTTTGTATTTTAAGTAGAGATGGGGTTTCACCATGTTGGCCAGGCTAGTCTCAAACTCCTGACCTTAGGTGATCCGCCTGCCTCATTCTCCCAGAGTGCTGGGATTACAGGCGTGAGCCACTGCACCCGGCCGATTTTTTTCTCTTTTTCTTTTTTCTGGAAAAGCTGAAAATAATTCTGACATGTTGCTAAACATTTTTATTTTGTAGGGGCAGAGTGAGTTTTTTTGTTTTTTTAATATCTTCTTGGTAGCATACTACTTATAACCTCCTCAGAAATATTTAGCAAGTTTGGAACTCTAGTCTTTTTATTTTAAAAAAATTGTGTAACTCATCTACATTTAACAAATCTTTTAAATACATTTCTTGTGGTAACTAGTGAATCTGTGTGGATTTAAAAACAAAAAAAAGATTATGAGGCCAAGGCAGGTGGATCACTTGAGGCCAGGAGTTTGAGACCAGCCTGGCCAACATGGTGAAACCCCATCTCTACTAAAAATACAAAAATTAGTCAGAAGTGGTGGTACACAACTGTAGTCCCAGCTACTCTGAGCTGAGAATGCGCCACTGCATTCAATTCTGGGCGACAGAGCAAGACTATCTCTCAAAAAAAAAAAAAAAAAAAAATTCAGTGGCTACTCTCTATCTCCCAGAGTATAGGAAGATTCTATATTCATACAGTTAACCTCAGTGACATCTGAGGTACCTTGTTCTGACTTAATTGCAGCAATAGTTTACCTGTGAATGAAGCCGTTAAAGGCTTTTGTATCAGATGCTATCACTGTAACTTTGTTCTGGAATTTTTTTTTTTTTGAGATAGGGTCTCGCTCTGTTGCCCAGACTGGAGTACAGTGACACGATCTCAGCTCACTGCAAGCTCCGCCTCCCGGGCTCACGCCTTTCTCCTGCCTCAGCCTCCCAAGTAGCTGGGACTACAGGTGCCCGCCACAACGCCTGGCTAATTTTTTGTTATTTTTTAGTAGAGACGGGGCTTCACCGTGTTAGCCAGCATGGTCTCGATCTCCTGACCTCATGATCCACCCACCTCGGCCTCCCAAAGTGCTGGGATTACAGGTGTGAGCCACCGCAGCTGGCCAGAATTCTTTTTTAAAATTCCAGTCAAAGCAGTCATTTCATCAGTGGTTACAGTTTTCCCATAAAGCACCTTGTTTCATTTACAGTTAAGAATACCTCCCTTTTAATACATTGTTCCTTGGTATCTTACAAAGTTGTATTTCCTGTATATTTCATAATTACCCAGCAAATACCCTAAGATGAAAGAATCATCTGTATTTTTATCCAATTGTATAGCAAACCCCACACACTGTATTTGTCCTGATATCTTCAAGTCTTTAGGGTTTTCTAAGAGCTTTTGACTATACTTACCAATAAAAGAATACATTTAGTTTGTCACCATTTTTATTTCTGTGTATAATTTCAGCTATGGTCCTTGGCTTTTTTTAGGGAAACCTTAGCAGTTTCGACACTAACTTTCGTACAATTTTGTGAAGTGTCACATTAAATAGCCTGTGACTTTAGACATAGGTGGAAAAATTATAGACGTTTAACTCTTGCAGTGAACACTTAAAAGCCTGGTGGATTATGAGGACTTTGTTCGTGCCATCAGATTATATCTTAAGGTAGAGTAGACATGTAGAGTGAGGTTCATCTTTAATAAAAAATGGGCTGGGTGCAGTGGCTCACACCTGTAATCTCAGCACTTTGGGAGACCGAGGTGGGTGGATCACAAGGTCAGGAGATCGAGACCAGCCTGGCTAACACGGTGAAACCCTGTCTCTGATGAAAATACAAAAAAATTAGCCAGGCGTGGTGGTGGGTACCTGTAGTCCCAGCTACTTGGGAGGCTGAGGCAGGAGAATGGCGTGAACCCGGGAGGCGGAGCTTGCAGTAAGCCGATATCGCACCAGGGCAGTCCAGCCTGGGTGACAGAGTGAGACTCTGTCTCAAACAAATTAAAATAAATAAATAAATAGATAAATAAATGGTGTGGCTGGACGCAGTGGCTCACGCCTGTAATCCTAGCACTTTGGGAGGCCGAGGCGGGCGGATTGCCTGAGCTCAGGAGTTCGAGACCAGCCTGGGCAACGTGATGAAACCCCCGACTCTACCAAAAATTCAAAAATTAGCTGGAGCATGCCTGTAACCCAGCTACTTGGGATGCTGAGGCATGAGAATCGCTTGAACCAGGGAGGCAGAGATTGCAGTGAGCTGAGATCCACCATTGCACTCCAGCCTGGGCAACAGAGAGAGACTGTGTCAAAAAACAAAACAACACATAAATAAGAAATTGTGTAAAGTCAATATAAATACCAGTACTAATATTTTATTTTTATACCCCAAAGGATTATCGTATAATACAAACACCCTTCAAGTACACATATCCCACTTTGGAGACTAATGCCCTAAACAACAGGGATAATGATATTGAAACTGGCCTTTTAGTTAAAATAAAAGCAAAGCCAAAAATAATTCACTTTCCTCTATAAATTTATATTTGGGAGACACATTTAAGAATAATCGTCCTGGCCAGGTGCAGTGGTTCATGCCTGTAATCCCAGCACTTTGGGAGGCCAAGGTGGGCGGATCGTGAGGTCAGGAGATCAAGACCATCCTGGCTAACACGGTGAAACCCTGACTCTACTAAAAATACAAAAAATTAGCTGGGTATGGTGGCGGGCACCTGTAGTCCCAGCTACTCAGGAGGCTGAGGCAGGAGAATGACATGAACCCGGGAGGCGGAGCTTGCAGTGAGCCGAGATCACGCCACTGCACTCCAGCCTGGGTGACAGAGTGAGACTCCATCTCAAAAAAAAAAAAAAAAAAAAATCAGCTTTGGCTTGAGGTTTGAAGAATGAACCCTTCAGTCATAGACTATGACTACCTGTCATAGCTCACTAGGAAACCCTAGGGAATCATGGAAGGGTTATTGGTTAAATATATTATATAAAGGAACATTTTGCTAGTTGCTATTGACCAAAAAGGCTGTTTTTTTTTTTTTTAAATATAGTCTGTAATTATTTTTGTTGAAAGATATTTGGAAGATGGTTTTTCTCAATCTATAGGAGATACAGTTCGTAGCCACCTGGGATCTCTTATAAAAAGATACTTTTTCATAGTATACTCTTTATAATATGCATAACATTTCATAATATACTTTTGATAATATACATAAAATTTGATACATAAGTTTACCAAATTTATTGAATTTACTTCAGTGCATTTTTATTAGTCAAGATTCTTTGGAAGATATGGAAAGCTAATTCAAAAAAGCTTGAGCAAAAAAAATTTGTTGGCTCGTAACTAATGTTCAGGACTGGTCTCAAGAACTTGGTTGCCAGATCTGTGTTTCCAGGTTATCTATTAGCTTGTCTGTGTCTCTGTGATAGTTTTACCCTTTTAGAGTGGAAAATCTTCCTCCTTGTGGTGCTCTGGCTTGCAGAAGAATGCCTTTGGTCTAGCGCCAGCATATATAAAATCCTGTGGGTGGGATAGAGTAGATGTGGTTGCATGTGTGCTGACTGGCAGTCTCACTAAACCACATGGAATGGGAAAGGAACAGTTTCCCAAAGGAAGGGTTTGCTCTTAATGCAGAGGAAGGGATGCTGGGAGTCAAAAATAATAGATGTTCATTATAGCAATGAGTGATGAAGAGAGGACAGAAAGGCATAAAATATTCTTTAAGGGAATAGAACATGACTTAATTTGATTTTCCTAATCATTGATTCTTACAGAGCATGCAAGCGGCAAGATGTCCTACAGATGAATTATCTTTAACCAATTGTGCAGTTGTGAATGAAAAGGATTTCCAGTCTGGCCAGTGAGTATCTGACTTTGTTTTCTTTTAACCTGCTAAGTGGCATTCGGGAAACTTCCAGAGAGTCATTTTTAGGAAACGTTGGAAAATATTTTTAAAAAATTCTTGCTGAGTTGGAAAATGGAGAAGATGAGAAAAAGTTATGTATTTGAATCATTACTGTGTCAAACTTTGATAAATACTGTATAATGTTTTAAAAATGTTTTATGTATAAAACTCTAGTTTTCATCAGTTTTCTTAGTAGAGCTAAACATACTGGTTGTATGAATCATATATGGCAGAGTTGTTAGGTGTTTGGTTCTGGCAAACTCAGATTGTTTGAGTTTTCCTGGCTCTACCAATTACAAACTGTGTGACCATTTCTGTACCTCTATGTCCTGATCTGTAAAATGGAGATGATCTCTTCCTCAAGGTAGCTATGAAGATTGAGTTACATAAATAAAGCACTTAGAACAGTTCCCAACATGTTAACAATCCCTTAGTAAATATTAGCTGTTATGATTATTATTACCATGATAATCCAAGAGACATGAACATTGGAAGATGGGCTGGGTATGGAGGCTTACGCCTGTAATCCTAGTACTTTGGGATGCCAAGGCAGGCTGATTGCCTAAGCTCAGGAATTTGGGACCAACCTGGCCAACATGGTGAAACCCCATCTCTACTAAAAATAAAAATTAGCCAGGCATGGTGGTGTGCGCCTGTAGTCCCAGTTTCTCAGGAGACTGAGGCATGAGAATCACTTGAACCCAGGAGGCAGAGACTGTAGTGAGCCGAGATCGCGCCACTGCACTCCATCCTGGGTGACACAGCGAGACTCTGTCTCAAAAAAAAGTAAAGGAAAAAGAAAATTGGAAGCTGCAAAGCAAATGTAGAATCCTTAAAGGCATTTTGCACTGTAATTTATTTTAACTGATTCATATCACCGCACTGCCAGGACTTCTAAAGACCCTGCTGCAAGTTCAGTGCCATCCATATGCTTCTGAGATTGGTACAGATAAGGAGATGAAGGGGCTGTAGGGAAATAAGAGGCAAGGTGGTAGGGTTTTAACTGAGCATTTTTCTTAAAATGTTATCTGTGAAATACCTGAGTTTCACAGAGTTAGAAATGCTAATCATCTTTGGTTTCCAGCTTCAGAGTAAGAGGCTGTACTATATGGTGATATTAACATTGTTTCCAGTGCTAAACATTCTGTGATGCTAAATTGAGCACAGGATTTTCAACAGATAAACTGAAGTATAGATAATCAACGTGAGAATTTGTGGAATTCTTTTACATATGTTAAATGTTCACTGTACTCATGGTGGGGTTACTCAAAATGTAGTTGATATAAGGAACATGTGTTCTAGTGGCAAAAAAAATACGTATAGAAACATTAGCCATTGATGTGAAAAATTACAGCATTCTGAAAAGATAATGTTTAAAAAGATAGTGAGCTAGGCATGTTAGGGCATGCCTGTAGTCCCAACTACTTTAGAGACTGAAGCAGGAGAATCTCTTGAGCCCAGGAGTTTGAGGCCAGCCTGGTCAACATAGCAAGACCACATGTATTAAAAAAAAAAAAAAAAAAAAAAAAAGATACTGCTGCTGCATAACAGGATTTGAAGCTTCTATCTTACACATAGTACTTTTTAGTTACCTGGTATAGGAGATTATCATGAGAGGACTGTTTTTTTTTTTATTTACAGGTAATTTCTGAACAGGGAATTAGCACAAAATTTTTTAAAACAGTAAATATTGATATCTACATGAAAGCTGATGTATTTTAGGAATTTTTTAAATCTTTTTTTTTTTTATTTTGTAGGTTGTTTTTGTTTTAGCCTGTTGAGAGAGTCTGCAAATAAATTTAATGAGTAGTCTAAAAACTAACTTTTTTTTGATTGCTATATCCTAGCTCTTTTATCTTTGGCTCTCTTCTCCTTATTAGGATGTGAAGTAATTCTCAGGAGAGGAAATGCATCTAGTTTTTACTTGATATCAAGGACTCTAAATCACTGGCTTCAGTTTTATGTAAACTGGAAATGTAAGGAAGTTGGTATTTTGGATGGTATTTTGGCTGGATTCTACTTGATGAGTGTTTGACCCAAGGTGCTCCTTATATCTGGAAAACATTTGGGATTGCTGATAGTTTGGGAAACTAAATTTGTGGTTCTATTTCTTCAAGACACAGATAGTGTCGTTTCCACCTGATACTCATTAAATATCAGTTTGACAAGAAATACATTTTGAAATTATGTTCTTCATTTCCTTCAATGTGGAGTACTAACTGTGTTTCTGTCCTTTAGGCATGTGATTGTGAGGACCTCTCCCAATCACAGGTACACATTTACACTGAAGACACATCCATCGGTGGTTCCAGGGAGCATTGCATTCAGTTTACCTCAGGTAACTCAGATGTTAATTTGTTCTCTTCTGTTTTTGAAAGTCATAGAATATGAATAATCTGTTCATTTTAAGCAAGCATCACCCTGTGACTGTATTGATTCATATTGAAGAAAAATATCTAAGTATTATATAAGGAATTTAAAGATACAGTCTTCTTTTTTTTTTTTTTCTTTTTTTTTTTTAAGACAGGGTCTCGTTCTGAGACCCAGGCTGGAGTGCAGTGGCACGATCATGGCTCCTGGTCTCAAGCAATTCTCATACCTCAGTCTCCCGAGTAGCTGAGACTACAGTCTTGTACCACTGTGCCTGACTAATTTTAAAATTTTTTGTAGGGATGGTGTCTTAACTGTGTTGCCCAAGCTGGTCTTTAACTCTTGGGCTCAAGTAATCCTCCCACCTTGGCCTCTCAAAGTGCTGGGATTATAGGGTGTGAATCATCATGCCCAACCTAAAGACAGATTCTTAATTGCCAGTTTTTGCTATGGCTGCCTTCTTTTGGCTTGATTTTTTTTCCCTAATTTTTAAAGATTTTGCAGTAAAATCAGTCAGCTATCACATAAAGCGTCAAGTTATTTTAATGTTAACTGCCAGGGTAATAGAAAAGTAGAAAACATTTTATTTGTGAAGTTGATATCTAAGAATGGTGATTTTATAATGTGATGGCGTTATACTAAAGAATTTGGAAAGAGTCTCAAATTACAACATAATTTGCTAGGCTCCCATAACAACTGGATGGGTTGTGATTACAGTTACAACTGTTGATGGATTCTGTAGAATCCAGAGAATTAGATTGCTTAGTGCTGTCCCAGGCACATCATACATAATATAAAGCACCAAGAATACTAGTCTGTATCCTCTTCTCCCTTATCATTTTACTCAGGCTGCTGACTGTCCCCAGTCCTAAGTAATGTAAATGGAATTCCTACCTCCTCCTAGTATGCTAATGAGCATTGGTTGACTTCCCTGAAGGTTTAGAGAAAGAGATCAAACACTCATTTAAGAACTATTAGGCTGGGTGCAATGACTCATGCTGGTAATCCCAGCACTTTGGGAGGCCAAAGCTGGTGGATCACTTGAGTCCAGGAGTTCAAGACCAGTGGGCAACGTGGCGAAACCCCACCTCTACTAAAAATATAAAAATTAGCTGAGTGTGGTGGTGCATGCCTGTAGTCCTAACTTCTTGAGGGGCTGAGGCAGGAGGATCACTTGAGCCCGGGAAGTTGAGGCTGCAGTGAGGCGAGATAGTGCCACTGTACTCTAGCCTAGGTGACAAAGTGAGACCCTGTTTAAAAAAGAAAAAAACAAAAACAAAAACTATTAGATGGGCCAGGTACCTCACGCTTGTAATCCTAGTGCTTTGGGAGGTGGAGGAGGATCGCTTGAGACCAAGAATTCCAGATCAGCATAGCGAGACCCTTGTCCCCCGCACTAGTCTCTACAAAAAAAAAATTTTTTTTAATTAGCTGGGCATGGTGGCACATGCCTGTAGTCCAGGCTACCTGGGAGGCTGAGGTTGGGAGGATCACTTGAGCCTAGGAAGTCGAGGCTGTAGTGAGCTATGATTGTGCCACCATGCTCCAGCCTTTGCTCCAGAGTGAGATTCTGTCTCTTAAAAAAAAGGGAAAAAAAAGGAACTATTGAAGATCTCTTGAAGCCCTCAAAAATTACAGGAAATTTTCACTTACTATTCCACCTGTCTGTTTGATGCCTCTTCATTATCCAGACCACTTTCACGTTTGTTTCTATAGATTAAAAGTTTGGGATATTCCAGGGTTCTCCAGCTTTTACAGAGTTCCATTTGGGATTCTGATTGTTAGCAATAGCTTGAGGTGTGACAGTTTCTCCTTGTCTCTGTTTTGTAAAAAAAAAAAAAAAAATTTCCCCGACATTCACTGTAGGCCAGCCTCTATTCTAGGTACTTTGGCATGTGTTAGCTCATTTAATTCTCCAAACAACCTTATACAATAGCTACTGTTGTTATCCCTAAGGACTGTTGTATTAGTCCATTTTCATACTGCTATGAAGAAATTCTGGAGACTGGATAATTTATAAGGAAAAATGAGATTTCATGGACTCACAGTTCCACATGGCTGCAGAGGCCTCACAATCATGGTGGAAGGCGAAGGAGGAGCAAAGTCATGTCTTACATGGCGGCAGACAAGAGAGCGTGTGCAGGGGAACTGCCCTTTATAAAACCATCAGATCTTCTGAGACTTACTCACTATCATGAAAACAGCATGGGAAAACCCACACCCATGATTCAGTTACCTCCCACTGGGTCTCTCCCATAACACATAGGGATTATGGAAACTACAATTTAAGATGAGATTTGGGTGGGGGCAAAGCCAAACCATATCAGCTGTCTTTGGGATTGAAGTACAGAACCTAAATGTGGCTTCCTTGTGACTTAAAGTCTAAGCTTAACGAGCATGGTGCTAAATTTCAGGTTGGCCAGAAGTGGGATGGGGTTTTACAGAAGAGGTCTTCTGGGGGAGGTGAAGGGCAGAGTGGAGGGAAACAGGATGTGGTAAGAAAGCCACAAGGGAGAGCACTTGTTGCACATATTCACAGTTCAGTGTCTTCTAAATTACCCGCCACAAAGTCTGCAGTGTTTGGATGGGCAGGTGAACTACTGATTTTCAACCAAAAATTGTTTTTCTCATTGTTCTTTGGAGTGTTATCAGTAATTACTAATTTTGAATCTATACCAAGCAAACCCCAGATTCCTGCCTAAACACAATCTGGCCTGCCTTCATACTTCTTGCCATTGTAAACAGTAGGGATTTGGGAAAGCCTGAAATCTAGCTGTAAATGTCTAAAAATCTTCTGGCTAGTATACAAAGAGTAGCCATGACCATCTAATGATTTCAGTCCCTGACTGGGTTTCAAAATAGATTTTCTGACCAGTTTTAATTTAGTCTTCATGAATTGAATGTCTTCCTTTTTGAGATACTGTAACAAACAGTAAAACTAACTGCAGCAGTACATTTAGAACACTGAAGTGTGATCTGATACAGTGAAGACCTTCTGTAGCATCATATTGTGCAAAGGAACATCCTCCTCAGTGGTGCCAGCTTTACTGCAAAAGGCAAGCTTTGCACGTTTTGAAACAGATGTTCAGATGTAAACTGTAGCACATGCTTTACTTTCCTAGGGTAAGTAACAAAGAACCATTACTGGGTAGCTTAAAACAACAGAGATTTATTCTGTCACCGTTGTGGAGGCCGGAAGTCTGAAATCAAGGTGTCAGTAGAGCTATTCCCTCTCTGAAGGCTCTAGGGAAGAACCTGTTCTGTGCTTAGCTTCTGGTGTTGCCGGCAATCCTTTGGTGTTCCTTGGCTGTAGCTGCATCATTTCAATTTCTGCCTCTGCTATCACATGATGGCATTCTGTCTGTGTGTCTATGTCTCTTTCTTAGAAGGACACCAGTCATATCGGCTTAGGGTTCACCCTAATTCATTATGACCTCATGTTAACTTGATACATTTGCAGAGATTGTATTTCTAAATAAAGTCACATCCACAGGTGTTGGGGGCTAAGACTTCAACATACTTTGGAGGGGGAGAGCACAGTTCAACCATAATAGCATACCATGTTTTGATCTTTGAGTGTATTCCTAAAATTCATTAAAATTCCTCTTTTTCTCTTGTCTAATTTTGATGGCTTTGGTTTTAAGTATCTTTTTTTCTCCTTTACAGAGAAAATGGGCTGGGCTTTCTATTGGGCAAGAAATAGAAGGTAGGTATATTTTTTAGCCACCTGATAAAGATTTTCTATGTGATTTTCTCACAGTTATTGAGATCTGTACAATTTTCTATTACTAGTGGTCAGATCTTAAACATTCATTGTATCAGAAGACTGGTTACATCTATGAGAATGGGAAGGAAATAGTTATGGTACCTCTGTTCCTATATCTTTTATGAAGTGTGTGATAAGGTCGTCATAGTTCAAGGCAAGGAAAGCAATTTATGACTTCCAGTTGGGGGCGTGGCGGGGTGGAAAGACTAAGCTGCTAATAGATAATAAGCCAAAGAACTAATAAGCAAAAAGTGGCATTGTCTCAGGCAATGTGGCAAAGTTAGGAAATGGAGTATGAGTCGTCTTTAGTCAGATGATTTTATGTCAACTTCATGGATACAGTAGGGGAAGGAAAGAAAATGCAAGTGTAATTAAACCAGCTTTTCTTCTGCTTGTCTTTAAAACTTAAAAAAAAATTGTATTTATAGAAAGGTTGCAAAAATAATACGAAGAATTTCTGTATACTACCTTTACCCAGCTTTACCAATTGTCATATTTTCTTTATCATTCTGGCTCCCTGTCTTCCTCTCTGGGTCTCTGTCTCTCTCTGTACACACACACACACACACACACACACACACACACACACACACACATCTTTTATCCTACTCCTCATTTAGGAACCTGACAACTTGTAATTTTTTCTAAGTTAGATGGAATTTAAACATTGGGGTTATTTTATTTTATTTTATTTTTGAGATGGAGTCTCGCTCTGTTGCCAGGCTGGAGTGCAGTGGCGCAATCTCGGCTCACTGCAACCTCTGCCTCCAGGGTTCAAGCGATTCTCCTGCCTCAGCCTTGCAAGTAACTGGGACTACAAGCACTTGCCACCACACCCGGCTAATTTTTGTATTTTTAGAAGAGATGGGGTTTCACCATGTTGGCCAGGCTGGTCTCGATCTGTTGACCTCGTGATCCACCTGCCTTGACCTCCCAGAGTGGTGGGATTACAGATGTGAGCCACCACGCCCAGCCAACATTGGTGTTATTTTTAGTTAGCTTTTTCTTTGTGGAAGTATGAACACTTGTTAAATTTAATGAGAAAGTGGGGTAGTATGTAGCTTAGGTTTCTAATTTTCATAAATTAATTTTTCTAAATATGAGGCTAAGAGTACTTAAAACTTTGAATCTAGATATTTTCTATTGTGACAAGATACAGAAATTCAAGATTATAAATTTTGATGAGTTGAGAAATGTGTTTTGCGGTTTAAGTTATAAAAGCATTCTTCTGCTAACAGAAATGCTTATCTGGATTGTAAAGTCAGATCTTTAAAGAAGTGGCTCAAACAGACTTAATAAGCAAAATTGTAAAACCCAGTGATAGGTGGGACTAAAGTGGAGTAAGCTTGAGGGAAGGTAGGGTTTTGGGGCCCAAGTGATGTGGATGATGTAGCCATAAAGATAGAAAACTGGTTTGGTTTAAGTAGTGATGTAGACCAAGATAGGATAGGAGGTGTGGTTTGAAGGAGTGCTCAAGTATTCTGGAATGGGAGTTCCGTAAGGTGAAACATTTTAGTCAAATCAGTGATTTTAGTCTGAGGGAATCTTCTGGAGGAATCATTTAGTCGGTCTTCTTTCCATCTGGCAATGCCATATTTTAAGTGTTACAGGCTGATGTTTTGACCACTATATATACACCTATTATTGTAAAGTCCAAGTTTATTCAAAGAACTGGATACACTTATTTTTTGCTTATAAAATCTTTCTTATTAGTCTTTTATATTAAATTACTATTAGCCGTAAAATAAGAAAACATTCTCAATCTTCTTTGATCCAGGATGAAATCTTCAGGACTCTTGTCCCTTTGGGACTGACCATGGTGCTGACTGTGGTGCTGCCTGGGATACTGTCCATGGTGCTGCCCATAGCACTTGAAATTGTAACAGTTTGGTCTTTTCTATTTAGGAACATTGGCCTTAAATTAAAATGCATTTGAAAACTACAGTCAGTGCATTACTACAGTCAGTAGTAATTATATTTTTATTTATTTATTTTTGAGATGGAATCTCGCTCTGTCGCTGAGGCTGGGGTGCAGTGGCATGATCTCAGCTCCCTGCAACCTCCTCCTCCCCAGTTCAAGCAATTCTGCTGCCTCAGCCTACTGAGTAGCTGGGATTAGAGGCATGTGCCACCACACCTGGCTAATTTTTGTATTTTTAGTAGAGAAGGGGTTTTGCCATGTTGGCCAGGCTGGTATCGAACTCCTGACCTCAAATGATCCACCTACCTCAGCCTTCCAAAATGCTGGGATTACAGGCATGAGCCACCACGCCTGGCCAATATTTTAAATATACTTATTCAAATTTCTCAGTATGAAGATGACATGAATATATGTATATACACACATATATATGCATTATGACATTATGATATTGTTTTGGTGTCTTTAATGCACAAAATGGTATTATACTGTACAAACCTTTCTGCAGTAGACTTTTGTCACTCAATATTATGTTTTCAAGGGCCATCCATCTTTTTTTGAGATGGAGTTTTGCTCTTGTTGCCCAGGCTGGAGTACAGTGGTGTGATCTTGGCTCACTACAACCTCTCCTCCCAGGTTCAAGCAATTCTCCTGCCTCAGCCATCTGAGTAGCTGGGATTACAAGCACTCACCCCCACGCTGGCTAATATTTTCTATTTTTATTAGAGATGGGGTTTCACCATGTTGACCAGGCTGGTCTTGAACTCCTGACCTCTGGTGATCCACCCACCTCAGCCTCCCAAAGTACTGGGATTACAGGTGTGAGCCACCACGCCTGGCCAGGCCGTCCATCTTTAATAAATATACATAAAGTTGGTTTTTGTTTTTTTGTTTTTTTTTTGTTTTTTTGACAGGGTCTCACTTGGCTGGAGTGCAGTGGTGCAGTCGTGGCTCACTGCAGCCTCAGTACCTGGCTAATTTTTTAATTTTGTGTAGAGATAGGGTTTCACTGTGTTGCCCAGTCTGGTCTCTAAATCTTGGACTTAAGTGATCTTCCCTCCTTAGCCTCCCAAAGTGCTGGGATTGCAGGTGTGAGCCACTGTGCCTGGCCAAGTTTTAATTTCAATAAAAATTGCTGTAAAGTATTCTACATTATGAATATACTACATTTTATTCATTGTTCTCCTACTGATAAACATTTTTCAATGTTTAAGTACTATAAATAATGCTGCAATGAACCTCCCTGTAGATGTGTTGTTAGACAAATGTTCTAGCATCTTTCTGGGACAGACATCTAGAAATGGAATTGCTGAATCATCATATTCATTTTTACATTAATATTTCAACCTATAAATGTTTTCAAACTACATGAGGGAAACAACTAAGCTCTTTTGCCTATCAAAGTTACTCAGCATATAACCTGTACTTTCTAGGATTTTTTTTTTTTTTTTTTTTTTGAGACAGAGTTTCACTCTTGTTGCCCAGGCTGGAGTGCAATGGTGCGATCTTGGCTCACTGCAGCCTCGCCTCCCAGGTTCAAGCGATTCTCCTGCCTCAGCCTCCTGAGTAGCTGGGATTACAGGCATGCACCACTGCGCCCGGCTAATTTTGTAGTTTTTAGTAGAGACGGGGTTTCTCCACGTTTGTCAGGCTGGTCTCGAACTCCCGACCTCAGGTGATCCGCCCAACTCAGCCTCCCAAAGTGCTGGGATTACAGGCATGAGCCACCGTGCCTGGCCATTCTAGGAAATGTTAAGAAGGAGCAAGCCATCCAGAATTGGAGACAGGAGAGTATTCTGAAACTTTTAGCCAAAATTTGAACTTATTATTTGATCTTCAGTGAGTTTTATGTTCCTTCCTCAGGCTTTGTTATTTTGCTTTTGAAGTAGTTAAAATATGTATATGTCCCCCTTTAAATACAGAAATCTGATTATACAAACAATTTCATTTAAAGAGTTTACAGAAAATCGGCCGTTCGTGGTGGCTCACGCCTGTAATCCCAGCACTTTGGGAGGCCAAGGCAGGCAGATCACTTGAGGTCAGGAGTTCGAGACCAGCCTGGCCAACATAGTGAAATCCTGTCTCTACTAAAAATACAAAAATTCGCTGGGCATGGTGGTGTGCGTCCGTAATCCCAGCTACTTGAGAATCTGAGGCACGAGAATCACTTGAACCCGGGAGGTGGAGGCTGCGGTGAGTTGAGATCGTGCCACTGCACTCCAGCCTGGGTGACAGAGCAAGACTCTGTCTCAAATATAAAATAAGAGTTTACAGAAAATCCTTGTACATAACTCAAGGGTCTAGAATTTAAGAAATAAGTTTAGAACAGAATTTAGAGTGTGAAACGACCATAAAGACTTATCTAGTTCAGTCTTGATTTATAGATGTGACAAATCAAGGCACAGACAACTTAAATTATTTACTTGGATTCTTCTGATTGCTAGCAGAATCTGTTGAAACACACATACTCAAAGTCCCTTTGAAGAAAACAGCTTTGTTTGTAAACCACTAGAATCTTTGCAACAGACATTTAATACTGCACAGTGACTTCTTTTGTTTACCTCTTGCTATTTGACCTCAGTAACTCACAGAAATGCCATGCCTGTTGTTCAAAGCAAGTGTGAAAAAACAGTCTTTGTTTATAACCTGCTTTTGTGGTGAGAACTGTAGAAGCTCACTTACCCAATGTGACTTGGACTGGTAATTAAGTGAAAAGTTGGTTAAAGGCTTTTTCTTGGAGGTGTGGTCCATGGATTGGAGTTCTGTATTATCTTTTGTGCATACACTTTACCCATAATTTCCAGGTGGATTTCTTTGAAATGGCTGGAGAACTTAGACTTTGTAGAGCATCTGAGAGTGCCAAAACCTCTTGGATTTTTGTAGAGTTCACTCCCAACCTTTTCTAATTTTAATGCTTATACCTAGTTAGCAGTATTTTTTTTTTCTAGAAGAAACACTTCATTTAAAAAATTTTCCCAAAGCTTTCAACTTATAATATCTATTCTAGAATGTCAAAGTCATTGTAATAACAGTTCAACAACCAGGCCTTCAGAAGTTTTTATACTATTTAATTATATTTCATAATTAACTGTAACAAGTGTAACTAGCACAGACAGATACCAGAATGAACTTGGTTGACCCATGATGTGTAGCAACTCCTGTCTACAAGCTCTGAGCGTTAGGCAAACCATAGGCTGATGGGTATATGTTGGAGGGATAAAAGTTGGTCAGCTTTCTGATGACTCAGCTCAGTGGAGGTTGCTTACGAGAGCTGCTACTGTATCCTTAAGGGGCCATTGGTAAATTTTAGGACAAGTATCTTCAGGGAACCTAAAGGGAAAATAAATGTGTGTGTGTGTGTGTGTGTGTGTGTGTGTGTGTGTGTGTGCTCGTGTGTGAAGCCTTATTGAAGAGTAGCAATAGACTCTTTCTTACTAGGCGTAATCAAGTTGCCCTCCTGGGGAAACTCAAATGCAAAAATCCTCTTGAACTTTTCTGGGTAGCCTACTCTACTCTTTCCTAATAGTACCACTACAGTATACAGCACTGTAAAATTTTTTGCTTTAAAAGTTTGTTTATAAACTGGCATTTATAAGTATACTTTTTGAGCTGATTTAAGAATCAAGTTTTTTTTTCTAGGGAAATGCTTCTTTGTAATTATCTGTCACTAGCAAAATTTGTTTTAACATATATTTTTCTAAAAATATGATATGTAAACTGTGTTGTAGTTGTACAATTAAAGGTTTTTGGTCGAACAGTTATTACATGATGTAAAATCATGTGTAACACTTTAATATTAATTACATTGTAACCTAAAATTCATTTTAAAACTTTTTATGTGGCTTGAACAGGAATTTTCTTATCCAAAGCTTTGTATGTATGCTTTATTGCCTCCTTTGTTATTAGCATGGAGACCATGGGTTTTCTGTTATTGTTGTTTCATTTAAACAGTTCATGAATATATTAAGCACCTGAAAGAAACTGTTAGATGCTGTTAATAGGAAGAGGAGTTAAAAACCTCGTCCTTGCCCTTATCTACATGTGTACATGTAGAACTTACTGTAGTTCCCTAGATGTAGCAGGTGCTCAGGAAACATTTTTGTAGTAGTAAAAAAGAAATGTCAAACTCTAACTTGCTCTGGAGCAAATTCCGCTAGTAAACATTGTTTTTCAAGCTTCTTTTTTTTGCCTTGCGTCCTACTTTCTTAGGCCAAAATAATTCATCCACATCCCACCTTAGCTGTTTTTTTGTGTCAAACAAAAATCTTATTTGGAAATAGCATGTTATGCCAACTGTGTTGGGGCATCCCATACTGTATTGCATTAAATGAGGAGAAAGATGCAGAGGCCATGTGGGGAGGATTGTGATCCTGATAAGAGTGGGATGAGGGATAACAACAGAGAGACTGCCGTTCAATATTTCTTTCTTTCTTTTTTTTTGAGACGGAGTCTGGCTCTGTTGCCCTAGGCTGGAGTGCAGTGGCGTGATCTTGGCTCACTGCAAGCTCCGCCTGCCAGGTTCACGCCATTCTCCTGCCTCAGCCTCCCAAGAAGCTGGGACTACAGGCGCCCGCCACCACGCCCGGCTAATTTTTTGTATTTTTAGTAGAGACGGGGTTTCACTGTGTTAGCCAGGATGGTCTCAATCTCCTGACCTCGTGATCCGCCCGCCTCGGCCTCCCAGCGTGCTGGGATTACAGGAGTGAGCCACCGCGCCCGGCCTGCCATTCAGTATTTCTAATTAATTCAGATGGGGAAGAAAATCTCTAGTGACTATTATTTTTTAAACCTGTACCTGTGTGTCCCTCCAGTGAAGGCCATTTAAACCCCATTTTTGGTGAAGTAGTTTATGATTCATTTATGTGAAACTTTTAGTTACTAGAAACACTACAGGTATTTTGTACTCCTGTGATTTTTAAAAAAATGCTTCTTTTTTTCCCCTAGTCTCCTTATATACATTTGACAAAGCCAAACAGTGTATTGGCACAATGACCATCGAGATTGATTTCCTGCAGAAAAAAAGCATTGACTCCAACCCTTATGACACCGACAAGATGGCAGCAGAATTTATTCAGCAATTCAACAACCAGGCCTTCTCAGTGGGACAACAGGTAGTTTTTAATTTTCTTTCATTCCTTTAACTTTATAGGTATTCTAATTTCTGCAGTTTTCCAAAATTAATTCCACCTTTTAAAAAGTGAGAGGGGCTTTGCGTATCAACTCGTATATCCAAGGTGAGTGATAAAAGTGAGGGAGATGTATTTACTGAACT
The DNA here is from genome assembly GCF_000001405.40 of Homo sapiens. Lineage (NCBI taxonomy): Eukaryota > Metazoa > Chordata > Mammalia > Primates > Hominidae > Homo > Homo sapiens. Next base: position 46,637,704 of record NC_000017.11, read on the forward strand.
TCAAGGAGTCTGTTCAGAAAAATTCTAAAGTAGCTTTTAGATTAAAATGTCATGTATAATTATAGCAGCTTTTCCCTCAGCAAATTTGGGAACCCTGTGGACATATATATCTGAAATTCCTTTTTATATCATAGGACATTTGTTTTGCCTCTGGAATGTCTGTCTCTTTCACTAATATAGTTCTGTAGAAAATGTAGCTCTTGGCCAGACATGGTGGCTCATGCCTGTAATCCCAACACTTTGGGAGACTGAGTTGGGAGGATCGTTTGAGCCCAGGAGCTCAAGATCAGCTTGGGCAACAAAGTGAGACCCTGTCTCTACAAAAATTTTTTTAAAAGTAGCTGCGTGTAGTGGTCTCAACTACTCAAGAGGCTGAGGTGGGAGGACGGCTTGAGCCTGGGAGGTTGAGGCTGCAGTGAGCCATGATTGTGCCACGGCACTCCAGCCTGGGTGACAGATCGAGATTGTCTCAAAAAAAAAAAAAAAGTTCTTATTTTGGTTATGGGCTTATTTGAGAATCTTAAAAAACTGAATTCCTGCTAGATAGGAAAAGGATATAGTACATTATTTTAAAAAGAGTACTAGAATTGGAATGAACCTCAAGAGATTACCTTATGTAACTCCACATATACAAATGAGGAATTTTATTTTTTTATTTTTTAAAATTTTATTTATTTATTCATTTATTTTTTGAGATGGTGTGTTACCCTGTCATCCAGGCTGGAGTGCAGCGGCACCATCTCAGCTCACTGCAACCTCCGCTTTCTGGGTTCAAGTGATTTTCCTGCCTCTGCCTCCCGAGTAACTGGGATAACAGGCATGCGCCACCACACCCGACTAATTTTGTACTTTTAGTAGAGATGGGGTTTCACCATGTTAATCAGGCTAGTCTCGAACTCATGAGCTCAGGTGATCCATCCGCCTTGACCTCCCAAAGTGCTGAGATTACAGGCATGAGCCACCATGCCCAACCATTTTTTTTTTGTATTTTTAGTAGAGATGGGGTTTTGCCATGTTGGCCAGGCTGGTCCTGACCTCAAGTGATCCTCCCACCTCGGCCTCCCAAAGTGCTGGGATTACAGGTGTGAGCCATCACGCCTGGCCAAATGAGGAATTTAAGATCTAAAGAAGGTAAATGGTATGCCCATGGCTACACAGCTAAGGGACATAGTTGAGATAAGAATTAATTAAACACATATTTGATAGTACCTAGTGCCTAGTACCAGTCACTGTTTTAGACACTGCAGATCGGCAGTGAACAAAATAGATATGATCCCTGCTGTCATAGAACTTACTTTCTAGTTGAAGAAAACAGAAAATAAGACAGGAATACCATGTACAGTTAGGTCTCTGATGAAAGTAGATCAGGACAATTCACCAGAGAGCTATTGCGGTGCTGTTGTGTATTGGATGACCAAAATTGTGCTCAGATTGCCTAGCTAAACTTGATGGTTTTTACCTTTGCTTTTAGTTTTAGTATCCTAATAGAAAATGTTTAGGAGAATGTTTAATAGAAAATGCTTTGGTATTTATAATAATTTAAAACTCAGTAGCATGTAGAAGTCAGTAAATCCATGAAAGAGAATCTTTCGTAATTCAGAGAAGAAGTAAATATCTTACTCCAGATCACTGTCCTTAACTGTTTCTTCTCATTTGTGGTATCTCGTAGTAGCAGAATGGACAGACAGCCCAACCTGTAATATTTACCATTATACCCCAGCACATAGAAGAAGACCAAACTTTTAGAAGGGACTCAGCAAAGATTTGGTGAATGAGTAATTGAGCATTCAGAAGCTGTCTCTGCACTTGTAGGGCAAGCATTTTGTACTAGTGATAGAAAAGCAGGAATTGTAGAGTCACAGACCCAGGGTTGACTTCTGGCGCTCTCATTTACTGTGACTTTGAGCCTTGTTGCATAGCCTGTTTCTGCATCTCAGCTTCCTCACTAGTAAAATGGAGTCGTAGTTTCTGCTTCCAAGAGTGTTTGTGAATATTATATAACTGGCTGTAGTGTTTGAATAAAATACTAAGAAACTTTATTCTTTGTTAGAAATAGTAAATGTGGTACTCTTGAATTACTTTAGGTGGCACTCTGACATTTAAATTAGATATTTTTTATCCATGTGGAAGAAATTTTAAACATGAGTTTTGCAGTCATTTTGTAAACACTGATCGTAAGTGCTAATTCCCTTTTCTTCATTGGCTGTGAGTAGTTTGTTTGAGGAGCAGATTGGAGAGGAGTATATAAGATAAACTGGTTTTCTGCATTTGAAAAACATTGGTGATGATCTGAGGATCAAACTATTATATTATGAAGTGATTTTTCTCCCCTTACCTCTTTTCTACATAGCTTGTCTTTAGCTTCAATGAAAAGCTTTTTGGCTTACTGGTGAAGGACATTGAAGCCATGGATCCTAGCATCCTGAAGGGAGAGCCTGCGACAGGGAAAAGGCAGAAGGTAGCTTTTATTTCTGATCATCTTTACTAGATCATCTTTATAATGTAATTTGTGCAGATTGATTATAATTTTCCTATCTGTTGCTTAGTGATTTTTTTCATATTGTGTACCCTTTTAAGATAGTAGGGAGAAAAAATTGCTTTCATAGCCATCATTGTTATTAAAATATAGCTTAAAATGTATTTATTTGCAGACCTAATATTAATGTAAAATGTAGACGTATATGTACATATAATTTGCTTGAATGCAGATATTTATTGTAAATAAATAATAAGAAACGCATTATTGGAAAGATATAGGCATGGAAATAAGGCATGTAAGAATTGTAGAAGAAAGTTATGAGAAAAGTAAAAGTAGCTCAGATGATAGTCTGGAAGGTTTGCTTTGCCCAGAGAGACCTCATTTCCCCCTCACTTTTGGCCTTGCTTTGAGAAGTCCAGAAGTTTGCTATTAGACTACTAATTATTGTCTTTCTCTACAGATTGAAGTAGGACTGGTTGTTGGAAACAGTCAAGTTGCATTTGAAAAAGCAGAAAATTCGTCACTTAATCTTATTGGTAAGATTTACAGTTTTTAGAAGATTTGAAATGAAGTGGGCCTATTTCTATATGTAACTCAACTACAGTGATTTCCAAATGGGGAAAGGAAAGAGGGGCATCTCTCTTGAGAGAGTTTATCACAGAAGCATGGGGTATTTCCTGTTGGTCAGTTTGCTGATGAAAACGTTTAAAACCTTCATCTGGATCAACTTTGTCCAATAGAAATAGAGTGTGAGCCACATGTGTAATTTTTAATTTCCTAGAAATTGCACTAAAATAAGAAACAAATTAATTTTTTAACTTTTAATTTTGAGATAATTTTAGGTTCACAGATTTGCAGAAATAGCTCAGAGAATTTCTGTATGCCCTTTACCAGCTTACCCTGATGTTAATGTCTTATTTGACATTTTCAAAAGTACAATGATAAGAAATGAACATGGTTTCATTTCTGCTAACTAAACTACAGATTTTATTGAGATTTCACCAGTTTTTCCATTGTGTCCTTTTCTGTTCCAAGATCTAATTTAGGATCCCATATTGCATTTAGTTGTTCTGTCTTTTGAGTTTTCTTCAGTCACTGACAGTTCCTCAGACTTTGTCTTTTATGACTTTGAGAACTGGTCAGTTATTTTGTAGAATGCCCCTCACTTGGTTTTGTGTTAAATGAGATAGCATCATCATTTCTTTTAGTGATTAAGTGATGAATGTGCAGGTCAAGTCTTCCCAGCAGATTCATGGTTCAGTCCTACTCTTGTACTCTAGCACAATTTTTGTCATATTAAAACAATTGCAGCTTATTCTCTGAGAATAGTAACTCACCAGAATAATGTGACATTAACTGGGCATTAATTCTTATTTTTGGTTGATTTAACTATGTTGATGTCTACCCTACTAGAGAGTAGAGGGTTTTCATTGGTTGCACATCATCATGTCCAGGGTCACTTAACAGTCTTTGAGTGCGTGGCCTTTATTTCCTGGTCCACAAATTACCATTCCCCCTTATTGTTTTTTGTTAATTATAAAATATTTTATTTATAAAATATGGATAGGCATTCGAAAACAATTCACACACTGTAAAATTTGGTTCTGTTTTCATAGTTTTGTAATTTGCTTTTTTTGCTTAGCATGTTTCAAACATCTTAAATATACACCTATAACATGATTTTTAATGCCTGTATGTCATTTTATGAAGGTAGGATGTATTTTCCTGTTATTGATCTAGTACATTTATGAAGTGACTTCTTTGTATTTTATTTTTGTGTACCTTTTGTTAAGATATCCCAAGGGAGTTGCATAACTTTCATAGGTATTTCTAAGTAATCCATGGGAAAAAAATTGTGTAGTTAATTGGCATTCAGTAAATTTTGCCCACAAGAGGGCAGTAGAGTGTAAGAAAAAAATATTTTTCATCGCTTTCCAAAGGAAATCTTAAGGCCTCAAAACTCTAACCATAAAATTATCATCTAGTATAAACTTTTAAAAAGCGTTACTTTATTTTTAATTGACAGATAATAATTGTATATATTTATAGGGTACAATTTGATATTTTAATACATGTATACATTGTAGAATGATCAAATCAGCCTAATTAACATATCACCTCAAATATTTAGCATTTCTTAGGATAAACTTTTTTTAATGTGACATTTTCTTCCCTGGTTTTATAAAAACCATATTATTACTTTATTTTTTGTTTATAATAGAGCATACTAAGGTACTTAATTTATTCTTTGTTTGAAATAGTAAATGTGGTTCTCTTGAGTTACTTTAGGTGGCACTCTGACATTTAAGTTAGATAATTTTTGTCCTCTTGAGAATTTTTAAACATGAGTTTTGTAATCATTGAAGTCTTTAGGATGATTTCAGACTTTTGTGTCCAAGTGAAGAGAAAGCAAAGAAGACATCAAACTTGTTCAGTATATTTCCTTAGGCTGAGGGGTTATATGCCCAATTACCTGTATAAGCTTAATCTGGATAAATATATGTATTTTAAAATAAACTTGCGTTAGGAGACTTCAGTGACTGCGAGATTTCAGTTGCATTTCTGCCAGCTAGTGTTGTCTTCATCAGATATGGCATTTCTTCTGATCAACCGAGTTAGTTAATTTAGTTAGATTGAAGGTTAATAAAACTAAGTTTTATGGACTGATACAAATAGACTACAGCATAAGTTTAGCTAGTCATTTTGACAGTGTGTTACCATATATGGAGATCAGACAAAGTAGATAGCATAGCAAAACTTACCCTTCTGACTGTAAAATCAGCTAAGATTATATTGTTCGTTTTGTATATGTAAGGGTAGCTTTTCTTTATTCATTTAGGATGCTCAGGGAGTTCTGTCTGTCTTTTTAGACTTAGTGATAAAGTCCTTGTTTCACATTTGATAATATTCGTTTGACATAGGCAAAGCTAAAACCAAGGAAAATCGCCAATCAATTATCAATCCTGACTGGAACTTTGAAAAAATGGGAATAGGAGGTCTAGACAAGGAATTTTCAGATATTTTCCGACGAGCATTTGCTTCCCGAGTATTTCCTCCAGAGATTGTGGAGCAGATGGGTAAGTTTAAAAAGGAAAATGTTATAAAATCTTGTGTTGTTAAAAAAATTAATGCAATGAAGAATCTCTTTTCAATAGTTTTGAAATTATTTTTCAGACCCATTATTTTTGTCTTTTTCTTTAAAAATGAACAGATAAATTTTCTGAAAAACTTTATAATACCAGAACTTTTAAAATTACATTTTAATTTTATGGGGAAATCATAGAAATAAGACTTGTGGTGGCTCCATTTTGTTTATTTATTTATTGAAGAATGCTTTTCTATGGGGCATATTTAGAAACTTCCCCTGACAGTAATAATACTAGTAGTGACTCCATTTTATTTATTTATTTGCGTAAGAATGTTTTTCTATAGGGCATATTTAGAAAGTTCACCTGACTCTAAAGATCACTATGGGTCAGATGTACCCTGCTGAATAATAACTATCTATTAGGCTGTGTGCATTGTTCTGACATTAGCTGCCGTTCCTTTTTATTGTACTGTTGCATTACCCAGTTAGTACATCTTCATACCTAATAAATGGGTACTTGCATATTTTTAAATTAAATAAGTTTGATCCAAAAAGACAAATGCAGGATATACATTGGAGTTTCTATATTGCATACAAAGAAGTGCACTATTCGTTTACCACTTTCTTCTTGAAGGTTTATTTAATTTATCTGTGTGAAGTGACTTTATTTGCCCAGTGGAAATGCTGTCATGACTGTTTTCATGTCCATATCATTCGTTGGATTGGAATGTGAGCAACAGAATATCTGAGAAAGGAATGTATAACATAACAGCTTCTGGCAGACTATTAGTGTAAAAACAGCATCCAAAAAAAAATGGAAGGAATATGAATATATTACTCCGCTCATCCCCATCATTCTTTATCTTTAAATTGCTACTGGAAGATAAAAGTATATTTATTATAGTGGGGATAAGAACTGCTTTCTAGGCACTAAGTGCTTGGATTGTATTAGCCTTCTATTGTTGGTAGCCTTTCTGCCTGGTCGCTCACTCTGATAAATTACAGGCACGGCACACACCTGTTCACTGAGTAAAGGTCGAGTTTGGAATTGGATTAAGAGAAAATGACAGAGACCCTCATCACCTGAGTTTTATACACCTTGAAATGGCAATAGCATACTTTTTATCTCAAAGATACAAAGGCCACGTCCATTAAAAGCAGAATTTTAATTGGGAAAATATTTTAAAATGTGGTAGTTCACTATCTTGGTAATGTGTATTTTCGATCAAGACATGAAAATATTGTTTAAGTGTATTTTGGGTAAAAGCAGGGATAAAAAGATGATTCCAAATGTTGTAAGTTATTCTTGTGGAATGTTTTTACTGGTTTTCAGAACTGAGATCTAGTGCAGGAAGAGTCTAATGATTCTGTTTCTTAGAACATTTATACTGTTTAGCCAAAAAGTAGAAAAATAACTGCATTGGTAGTAAGCCGTCTCTTTTAATTATAAATGTTTTCTCACTGTTTGGAAGCTATTGAAGATAACAGTTATTCAGATACTAGTTTGCTATTTGTGCATTATCTAGATCCTGCACTTGAAGCTACGCGCAACGTCAGTATGCGTTGGGTAGATAATGCGTAAAGGAGTTGGTCTCACATTGGTCAGTTTGTGACCTTGCCAGCTGTTGGAGAGTTTTAAATTAAATCAGAACAGATTTGGAATTTGTTAGTGAATTTCATCTGTTTCTGATATCCGTATTGAAATGAGCTGAATTACAGTAGTGTGCTTTTTGTTGTTTTTGATGTGTTTTTTGACTAAGCACTATGGATTTGAATTTTGTGAGTGCCACTGTCCAGAACCTTTTTTATGGATTTATTTTTCTAATATTTTTACACTAATTTAATTAGACAAAAAATGAATTCTATCCTTTTGGAAAAGTTTTTTTTTTTTTTCTCTTTATGGCTTTTTGCCATCAGGAAGCATTTGTTACCAATTTCATTGAAAAGACAAACTAGTATAAAGCTGTCCTGGCTTTTGAGCTGAATTGAAAAACTTATTTTCTTTATTCTGGATGAAGTTTCTGGGTATCTAAAAAAAAGTAAAGCTTCTTCTTTTTTTTTTTTTTAATGGTTAAATGGCTGAGAAATAATTCTTTTGTAATGCATGTATAATTCCCTGTCTTCCAATAGAGGCTTCTTTTTTCCTTTGAATTTTGGGGGAATTATATAGTAAAATCCTTTCTTGCACTCCAATTACAGTGTGGTTATAAAGTTCTCCTTAGGCTTTGGTAAAGGTATATAAATAAAAATGGTTATATTTTGACAGAATATAAATAAAATTATACAAATTATTTTTATGCATATTCTGTGTTGTTTTTTTTTTTGACATGTCAGGTGGGAACAACATGGATTTTTTTCCCCCACTCTTTGTTAACTAAATAGACAGATCTATATGGTTTGGGGATTCAGCTGGACACTGAGTATGACTGGTTAAATCAGTTCTAATTTTTAAAAAAGATTAGAAAAGAATAATTTATGTAGGTTATGGGGCTTTTTTGTTTTAAGCAGAAAACTTTACTTTTGGCTTGAGACCAAATTACTGTCTTTACCATGGAGTCTAAAGTGATGTCTACTTCGTAAACAGGAATCTTAACTAAGTGGATTTTTTGCCTATATATCAATTTTCAAATTTACAAAGTGATAAATTTAGAATATTCTTCTCTTCTGTCATTATGTTCATCAGACTGATAATTATGCTTCTAGGTAACAGAGTTCTTTCTTTTTGTCTATAAAACTTCATGTTGCCTTTTCAAAATTGAAAAATATAGTTTAGCTACGAACAGAATGTTGCTGATGAGATATAGGAGGACTAAAGGACTTAACGAGAGGCACACAATTAAGCAGTAAAATTAGGGAACCAATGAGGTAATATACTTGAAAATAACTGTCATGGAGTTTCCAATCTGTTAGTTTCTCTCTTGAAGGTCTTTCAAATAGGTAGTGTATACCTTAGGCCGGGTGCGGTGGCTCACTCCTGTAATCCCAGCACTTAGGGAAGCCGAGGTGGGCGGATCATGAGGTCAGGAGATCGAGACCATCCTGGCTAACACGGTGAAACCCTGTCTCTACTAAAAACAGAAAAAATTAGCCGGGCGTGGTCGCGGGCGCTTGTAGTCCCGGCTCCTCGGGAGGCTGAGGCAGGAGGATGTGTGAACCCGGGAGGCGGAGCTTGCAGTGAGCCGAGATCGCACCACTGCACTCCAGCCTGGGCGACAGAGCGAGACTCCATCTCAAAAAAAAAAAAAAAAAAAAAAAAAAAAAAAAAGAAGAAGATAATGTATGCCTTTCTGCTTTTGTAGTTTTGTTATATTTTTGTAGAATTAAAATCAAGGAAACCCTTAAAGGAGAAAGGAAGTCACATAAAGCTCTCTAGACTGAGGGATAAAGGAAAAGGGATTATTTAGGGGAATATCAATTTAGACTTTTGTTTTTGTTATTGTTTTAATCAGAGCAACTGTTGAGTTTTCCCCTTGTCTGAAGCAGTTGAGCTCACCCAAACCCAAGTGGGGCAGCCCTTCCTTGGAAGGATATGAGAGCAACGAGCGAAGAAAACTAAACCTATACCTTGCACTTAGTAAATACCAAATAGATATTTAGTTAGAATGCCTTCCAACCCCCCACAAAACAGATTTTTAATTAAGAATTACCTTAAATCCATAATTTTATGGGCTAATAGAAGCCACATTTGAGTCCCAGGGTAGAAATGTGAACATCAAAGCTGGTATCTGGAAGTATGGGTGAATAAATTCAACAGCTGATTGCTGTCTTTCAGCATATTCAGGTGTTAACTGAATAGATACTGAATACTTGTGTTCGGACATTTACCACACTTATTCCCCTGTATGCAGTTTTGTGGACAGTGTTCAGGATAAATAAATGATTGATTACCTCAGTTCTCACTGTAGCTATTTTGTTAGCAAAGATAGCGTTTCTGCCAAGAAACTTCATTTTTTCAGCATCCCTGGCAATTCTCTCTAAATTATAAATGTCAAAGCAAAAAAACACATCGTTTTCAATGAACAGTGGAATAATTGTTAAAGAATTAGTCAGCATCTCTTAATGTAATCCTGGGAATAGGTTCACATCTACCCAAGGAAAGACCTAGAAGGAAAAGGATGTAAAGAGGGAAGACCTCAGCCTCACACTGTCTTTCAGTGGATCTGTGGGGTGTAGATGTTCAGGCCACCTAGTGGGGAGGAAAGCCACTTGTTATGGTCTTGTGCCCCCATTCTTTGAAACTGACACTGTGTTCTTTTTGGTCTCCTTTCCCCAGTGTCTCCCTCTGTAAGCCCATTTTCAATCGTATTTTTAAGGTTTCTTTTGAAATTCAAGAGGAAAGCAACTCTTTTCTGATATCATAAGTGAAATTGTAGTTACTCTATGAAACAGAACTGCTGAGAAGATAAGGAACCTTTCAATCACACAGACATCTTTCACATACTAAAAACAGTGCAAATAAAACATAGTGGAAGAAAGGGCACTAAGGTTTTGTGCATGCCATATTTTGGAGAGAGGGAGTTCTTGCTAAGATTAACATAAACACTGACACTCTTAAAATGCATTTTCACACCCCCACTCATGAGGAGAGATTGCATTTTAAATGGGGGTTAAGACATCCAGGCGAACTCCAGGGCTCTGTAAAAGGAACCCTAAGGCTAAAGAGCTTATCTGAAATTTGAAAAAAAGAAAAAAAAATGAAGCCTTCTGACATTCATCTTTTTTTCTTGTATTAGTCATAACTTGCTTTTCAGCTATATTTTAGGTTTTGAATGCCAACCTGACATCTGTTCAAGTCTGCCTGTAATTTATTAGCAGAGGAAAAGACAGCAGTTGCTCACTAGTTAGAGATGCAAAATTTCTGCCTTCCTGTTCTCCACTAAGTACTTATAGATGATACCTGGATACGAAGAATGTAATAATTTACTGAAAACTTCAGGTCAGGAAATTTATAAAGATTTTTTTTTAATTAGAAGAATAAAATGGCTTAAGACCATGTGATTTCAAAAATCTCTAGATCAGGATTTAGAGACAAAACATAGACCCTAAAAAATACTTTAGATAACTTTCTATAAATTGTAATTTTTTTAACCTTGAATTAATTTTTCCATTGGTTTTAAATTTTTAAGTTAAATGTATATTTGAACAGTAGTTGTGCTTATATCTGAAAGTCAAACTGTATGTAAATTCACCTGGCATTTTGCATTTATAGACAGACTTTAAGAAACAAATCTTTTGGAGAGGTAGTGCTGTCTACAGAGTCACCAAATGGATTAGATTTCCTGGCAACTACAGTTGAGTTACTTACAGATCAACAGTTGGGTCACTACAAAGTTGAGATCTAAGTGTTAACCTGAGTGCCCACCAGTAAGAAACCGGTTAGAGGCAATCTTAAAATGATATAGCTCCAAATGTAGAGACATGTTTGTGTTAATAAAAAATATATAAAAGCAAATGCATTCTAAAAATCTCTAAGGACATACATTAAATTGAAAAAAGGTTTATGGCTGAATGTGGTGGCTCACACCTGTAATCCTAGCACTTTGGGAGGCTGAGATGGGAGGATCACTTGAGCTCAGGAGTTCAAGACCAGTCTGGGCAGCATAGTGAGACCTTGTCTCATTTATTTATTTTTTTAATTTAAAAATTTAATTTAAAAATTAAAAAAAGTGTTTACTTCCATGGAAGGGAAGCTAAGATGGGGAATAAAGGGAAAGTTTTGTTCTTTTACTCAATTTTACCTTTATGTCTGAATGTTTTATTGTATTTCTAATGTGTGATTTTAAAAGCCAACAGACAAAAGATAATATCACAGTATGTTTCTTGGGGTGACTCTACCATCAGCATGGAAAGTCAGCAGGAAACAGGTACATCCTTCCGCCTTCATGAAGTTTTCTGTGGAGGAGGAGAGTGCAGGGTAAAAGGCCTGGATTCCAAGGGCTTTGCTGGCAGCCCCTTAGAGGGTAGACAGAACACCTATCCTATTTGGTCAAGAAGAGAAAAAGTTTCTCCATATATAACAAACTGCTTTCCCCCAGAATGTTCTGCATTATAGTAATGGTGTAAGTAGTCTGCCCTTCAAACATGAGAACATTTGCATCCAGGCCTTTAGGCAGCCAAGGCAGCATTAAAGAAGAAAGAGTGGGAGCAGAGCGAGCTGAGGGAGAGCAGAGCTTCTGACATTTGAGGAACTGGGCGTGAATTTGTTTTTAGTCTTCAAAAACCATTCTCTTGAGGAATCGAATTCCCATGACTCCTGAAGTGAAGCGGTTGGTGTTTTCTCCTGCGTTACTCCCATACGTAAGTTGGTGATTATAATGAGGGTGGTGGCTAATACTTATATAATGCCAGACGCTGTTCTGTGTGCTTTATTATTGTGTTTATTAATCCTCACAACAACCTTCAGAAGTAGACACTGTATTGTCTCCATATTATGGAGCAGGAATCTCTGTCTCAAAAAGGTGAAGTAATGGGTCCAAGACACACAGCTAGTAAGTAGTAGAGTCAGATTTGAACCCAGGCAGTCGAGCCCCAGATTTCATTTCCTTAACCATTACATGTTATTCTCCCATGAAAGCCCATCGTGTAAAACCATTTTAATGGGCTTTCTAGCTTCACTTTTTTGGGGACCTTTGAAGCAATCATTGAGGCAGCCTTTGTTCTAGCCAAGGGCCAACCATGGCACCATTGAGATTTTGAGCTGTATAATTATTTGGTCTGGGGACTGGGTGTCCTTTGCATTGTAAATAACTAACTTTTCTAGTAATCTGATGTGTTCAAATTGTCATGAGCTCAAGAGACATGAAGATTTGGTGGTAGGCTGTAATACCTAATGCCACTTTTTTCATGTGTTTTTTGTCACGTGTTGTAGCAGAATACAGGAAGGAAGGAACTGGAATGGGTGTGTCAGAGAAGCTGTCTTAAACTGTCAACCTGGAGAGGGAACATAAATGTTAAAATTAAATAATCATTAAAAAATTAAGCAACGTAACAAGTGATATCAAAGGCCAGTATTTGATTAAGTGCCAGATGAGCAGTACAATTGATAAGCCCTACAGGAACTGAAAGGGAATCACATCGAGAAGACTTCATAGAAGAGGCAGAGCTTGAGTAAGGCCTTAAATGCTGAGCGGTTTTGGATAGGAGGAGGGAAGGGGATAGTTGTCCATATCCTGGGAAGAGTGACAGACTAAACACGGTATAGACTTCATGACTTAGACCAGTCTAACAGAGCTGTTGTTTGGAAGAAACAGGAAATAGGATTAAAAAGTTAGTTTTGGGTTGGGTTGTGGAAATCTGTGAGGAGATGTGGACTCTTTTTAAAGTACTGTCCCTGTTTAAGCTTCCAGACAGACTCAGAACCTTCCAGACAGACTCAGGTGCTTCTCCTGTGTTTCCCTGCACCTTGTATATACTTAGAATCCAGCTGTGTTCTTAATGTAATTATTCATTTGCATTACACTCCTAAGGCAGAATTTCTTAACCTTGGCACTATTGACATTTTAGGCTGGATAATTCTTAGTTGTAGGGCGCCTGACCTGTGCATCATAGGATGTTAAGCGCCATCCCTGGCCTCTACTTGATGTCAGTACTTCCCTTCCTCACCACTCCGAGCCCCAGTGACGATTAAAAGAAATGTGATGAAACTGTCCTGTGTTGAGAACCATTGCTCAAAGGCCTTTGAAGGCACAACTGTAATGTCTTCTTATCCATGTATTATCAACATCAGGGGTGTTGGGATGTAGGTTGCAGGTCATTGTTGGACCATGAACCACTGTTACCAGTCCACAATAAGACAAATATTGGAAATTAAGAATAAGTAATTACAAATGTTTATAGCAATTTGACATTATCACAATTTTTTTAAAATTATATTTTACAAAAATGTTGGTCTGCAATGGATTGGAAATTTAAAAGGAAAAAAAATACAGCTGGACCTTAGCATACATAGTTTGAGAAGCACTGGCCTATGTAAATATTTGCAAAATGAATGAAATTTTTTGAACAGATGCCTTAGAGAAAAGGTGAGGCGAATAGTCTTAGAGACCAGTAGACTATTGCTGTCCAGTGTGTGGTACTTAGAATCTGGATTGGGGTGAAGGCAACAGGAATGGAATGGGAAGAAAATACATGAAAAAATTGCAGACATGAAACTGGCAGAATTTGGCAATAGTTATTGTGGGTGACAGAATTGGAGGTGAGACTCAGGTCTTGTGAGAAAATGTTGGAAATGAGAAACTCAGGAGAACATAGTTTTGGAAAAGTAGAGAATATCATTGCACATATTTTCAATATCGTGAAAGGAAACTGGAAGCTGAACTGAAGAGAGGAAGAATTACTGGCATTTCAATTTATTGAAGCCTAGCTTCAATCAGTCTGCACGTGTTTAGGAAACACACTGTTGACTACTTTTGCTTGAAATACCCTCTTTACTTGGCTTTTCTCACTCCAAGCATTTCTGGTTTTCCTTTTACCTCTCTGGCTGTCTCTTTTCAACCTCTTTTGTGTCCCTTAAAATGTTGGGGTTCCTCAGGAGTCTGTCTTTGACCTATTATTTTTCTCTAATTATTCTCCTCCAAATTAATCACATCTGTTTCATAGCTTCAATTAGTATCTTTATGCTGCTAACTCTCAAATATGCATATGCCACCTCGGTCTCAGTTTAGAACTCTGGATTTGTACCAGCATAATGTGTTGGGTATTTCATGATCACATAGTAAGCTTGAAATTAAACACATTCAGTTGCCCCCTCAGTCCTCTCTAAACATGCATCTATATCTGTGTTTTCTATCTCTGGCAATACTCTAGCCAAAAATCTGGACACCTTTAACTCCTCTCTTTCCCTCACCTCCCACTTCCAGTAAGTCGCAGAATAGACCGTCAATTCTGCAATCTCCGCAATCTCTCTGAAATCCCTCCAGTTCTCTCTACCTCGCCCTGCCACTCTTCCTTCAGGACACCATTATCTCTTGCCTGAATTGCTCCATAAGCCCTCAGCCTTGCCCTTCTCTAATCCATTCTCCACACTGTAACTGGAGTGATTTTTATAAAAAGGCAAGTCTGATCCTGTCACTGCACTGGTTCAAACTCTTTAGCAGCCCGCCTTAACTCCTTACATGGTTTACAAGCCCTGTGTGATCTGGCTCCTGCTAAACTTTCTTGCTTCGCCTCTCAGCCCGTGCCCCTCCCCCATACTCTGGGTTCCAGCCAGCCTGTGCTATTTTCAGTTCCTCTAATTTGCCATGCTACTTTCTCTTACCTCTATATCCTAGGGTTATTTTTTTTTGCTTTTTTTTTTTCTTAACCATCTTTTCATCCAATTCCTGTTCACTCTTCAGGCCAAAGCTTTGAACTCACTGTTTCTAGAATGAGTAGGCTTTAATGTTCCTCATGTGTGTTCTAATAGCTCCATGTTATTTTATGCATTATTACATTGTATTATAATTGCTTATTACATGTCTGTATTCCAAGTCCTCTCTCCATGTCCCTGCCCTCACAAACATAGTATACCTTCAGTAAGGAATAGGCCTTGTTTATTTTGGTCACTGTCGTATTCTCTCCTCCCGGCATGGTGTCTGGCTTATAAGTTTTCAGGAAATAAATAAATGCCAGGAACTTGATTAATCTTGATTAATTAAATAGAACACTTAGACAGTTTGATCCAAGCCCTGCCCTCATGATACTTACAGTCTGTGTGGGAGTAACACTGTATTTGCACATCCCAAAGCAGTACTGTGTAAAACATAAGGTGCATTGTGAACCAGATTAGCAAAGTAGGCCACATGGAGAAGCAGCAGATGCATTTAAAGAGCAAGACTGAGCCATATCTTTAAAAGTCAAAGCAGATATGATGTTTATAATTCATTACTAAATCCATGTAGATCCTCTTAGATTCTGAATTTAGGAAAGACCTCTTGGATTGGTCCTGAATGGCACTAGGCTCCAGAAATAAGAAAAGGAAGAGTATTTTCTTGGGTACTTGTGAGCTACCATTTGCTTCATTGGGAACTGCCATTCTTATGTAAGGGCACTATAACAAGAGTGTTCACATTTAAGGGCATCAGGTCAATATTGCGTCTGTGTGAGTTTGTGTGCATGTGAATGCACACATGTATTTTCTATTTTTAAATAGAAACACATTATAAAAATAATGCATCCTCATAAAACAGCACAGATAGAGTAAAAAGTGAAATCTCCCTTCATTCTACCCACTCCAGTTTTACTCCCTCTCTTAGAGGTAGACACTGTAAAGAGATTGGTATGAATTTTTCAAACCCTTTCCTAAGTATTTATACAATAATATATAATCAATCCATTCATTCATTTATTGAGACAGGGTCTTGCTCTGTTGCCCAGGCTGGAGTGCAGTGGTGCAATCATACTCCGTTGCAGCCTCGCACTCCTGGGCTCAAGTAGTCCTCCCACCTCCACCTGCCAAGTAGCTGGGACTACACCCAGCTAATTTGTGTGTGTGTGTGTGTGTGTGTGTGTGTGTGTGTGTGTGTGTTTGTGTAGAATTGGAGTCTCACTATGTTGCTCAGGCTGGTCTCAGACTCCTGGCCTCAAGCAGTCCTCCCGCCTCAGCCTCCCAAAATGCTGGGATAACAGGCATCAGCCACTGTGCCTGACTTTTTTTTTTTTTTCAACCTAGTAGTGTATCTTGGGTTTTTTTCTGTGATAAAGCACACAGATAACATTTTATTTTTTAAAAAGTTAAATAGTATTAGCAGATCTGCATCCACACAAGTCCCGTCATGGTAAGTTAGCGTCTCTTCCTCAGCAGTAAGAAGGCTCCTAGGCACACACCAGAACAAGGTTGGCATTGCGTCTCCTTTCTACTCACTTGTATGGCCCTAGGCTTCTCAATGCGGCAGGGCCCTGGGCGCTCAGCTACTTGAGCCTTGGTACCCTTGCCTGAAAAATTGTTTATTGGTAGGTAACATTAATGTGTGTAAGTTTTCTAACACAGTACCTGGCTGACTGTCAAACACTCCATGGATGATAGTTACTTGGTATGATTATATTGCCAAGAGGCACTTTTGGAGCTCTGTAAAAGGCAAAAATTTATAACCCAATCCCTTTAATCTAATGTTAAGATGTGTTTTCTTCTTATCTTAAATTTTGTTGCTGTTGAAAATAGTTAACACCTGAGATTTTCCTCCTATGCTGTTTTATAATTACCCATTTTGAACAGTGTTTGTTGATAAGGTAGTCAAGGGGACACTTCGAAATATTTTTTCTTTATTTGTGAAGTCATACTTTGGCTGATTTATATTTAATTTTTATCACATTACATCGGAGAGGAGCAGATAAATTTTCTATCACCTCTATAAATTTTCTATCACATATAAGAAAGTGTATCTTATATGTGATACACTAACTTGGAAAAACAACAGCTATCTTGATAGACACAATAGAGAATAGGATGTCAGAGGAAGAGAAGAATTAGAATGTTAACAATAATGCTAGTAAAAAGCTACCCAGGACTTAAATGGTATTATTTGAGAGTACTTCTACCATGATTCAAATAAGACTTGCCTTGGAATTCCATATGATTTGTTACTTAGAGCAGTCTACCTTTAATATGTTTAATATGGTCATACTTTAAAAAAAAAAACCTGCAAGAAACTTGGGTTTCACGTTTTTGCTTTTTAAAGAATTAACATAATGTTATTTCAGGTTTGTAAAGGAAGTTACAGAAGATAGCAATAAATCCCTTCCATATACCATTTTAGTCATAGTGCAAAATTAGGCATTGAAAATTATTATGGGTACTGTATTAGATATTCAAAGATTTATTTGTGGCTTTGACTTCTTTACCAACACCTCTGGCTTTAATACAGTATCTTTTATCAGAGCAAGTAATAGTTTGAATCCTTTTCTTACAAATCCTCTTTTTACTCAAGTGACTGCAAACTTATAAAGATGCACACATCTGTAGCTTGAACGTCTATGCTATTTGCTCAAGTATTTACTTGAATTTATCCTCGATGATATGATTTTTTGAAGTGCTTTGATTTTAAATTCTATCTAGAATCCCATCATGAGGGAGAAATCTTAGCAAGACTTAAGCACCTTTTCATAATGACTGGTTACTGTAGGATAAACCTATAATTAGTATGTTGCTAATCCACACGTTAGATATATCCCATCAAATTTCAAATATACACAGGAGAATTATCCACATTGAAGGTTATTAGTGCATTCCAGGGACATTTCCATGTTGATTCACAACTACCCCTTTACCTTACACTTTCCTGTGTTACTAGACGTCTCTTTCTGTAAAACTTCTCTTTGTTGTTACTTTTTACTTTTGTATGTGTTACCTGATTACTTTGGCTTCCTCTGTGACTACTGAGGGAGCCAATTGTGGCTGTGATGAGCTTAGAGAAAGGGAGATGGGGAAGACTCGCTTAAATGAGTTACAAATTCTCTGTAGTCTGATCTTTATCTGGCTATTGCAGTATGACCATGGGTGATACTAAATGAAATAGAACTCAACTCCCCAAAATTTGGATTTGTCTTATAAGTCGTAATGGCTCCAGGTGGGATACTGTGTCAGACCAAGGATAGGCAGATGATAGTTTATTGCCACAGTCAAAAGATCGAACCCTTTTTTTTCATGTTATCTAGAAATGAATCTTTAAAAAAAAAAAAAAAGGAATGGGTTGAACTTATAATATTTTAGCAACTCATAAAATAACTTGAAGAAAAAGATCATTTGGAAGGAGAGACAAAACAGACTGAAAGACATTGTTTAAATTTATGACTTTTATTATCTTACTTGAATGCTATTTTTGCCCCTCTCGCTATTATTAAACCCTTTGCTTCCTGTTTTCAGTTGCTCCTGTCAAGGTATGAATTTTTCTTTGGATGATTGTCATCTATTTCATATTATCTAGTATTCCTCTCTATTATGAGAAAATCAAAAGTAGACAGTGTATCTATAGCTATAGATTTAAATGCACTAAGGTAATTATATATTTGAATCAGAGACCTAAGGAATAATCTAGTGTAGCATTTACCAAATTTATTTAAACTTAACATGCTTACATGAAGACAGACCTATTTATGTTTCCAAGGAACACCAGTTTGAGAAATGCTGATCTTACCTGTGTCATTCTTATTTTGTAGATGAGGACATTGGGACCTCAGAAGAATAAGGCAACTTATTTAGGCTAAAGTCACTGCTTGTCTACTGGGGCTGGAATCCAGGTTGCTTAGTCTGGTGCCCTTTAGGCTTCATGATTCAGCCACTTAAGACAATTTGATTTATTGTTGGGCTTTTTAATTCTAGATTTCATAACTTGGATATGAAACTGTACTTCCCAGTCTCCAAAATAAGCTTCACTGTTTTCTGGAACGTGAATTAGATTCAGAAAGCCCCTTACTGCCTTTAGATTATTGCAGCCTCCCCAGTGGGCCCCAGGGATCCAGGAAAAATATCTTTGTTTTTCACCTAGTCCTCTCCTCAGCTTTTAGAGGGACTCTTAGATCTATGTTTATGAAAAGACTTTTATTAGTTCTTATAGTTGTAGTAATGCATGTTTATTGTAGAAAATTTCAAAAATGTAGATGAATAAGAAGAATAAAACAATCACTCAGTGTAAAAAACAAAAAACCCTGAAAAAGTACCATTAATATTCTGGAGTATATCATCCAGCTAGTTTTAGCTGTATATACATAGAACCAAAAAAAAAAAAAAAAGCATTTTGCTGTTTTATAACTGGTTTTCTCCCCACTCAGTAAGTTAACAGTTTTTCTTAAATATTCTCTACAACATTCTTTATTTTGTAGAATGATAATGCTGTGGTTTGTTTAATCAATCCCCTCTAGTTAGAAATTGTATTCAGTTTTTTACTATTATACACTATGTTTAACAAGCACCTTAGAAACTAAATATTTCTACACATTCATATTTCTTTAAGATAAATTCCTGGAAGTAGAATTGCTGAATCAAAAAGGATTCACAAGTGTAAATGTTTTTGACATGCACTGCCAAATTTAGACTTCCTTTTTGAAAAGTCAAATGTTAAGGAGATCAAAGCAATCACTAAGCAGGTACTCTGGAAGAGAAATAGAAATATAAAAAATATAATGGTTTCATGAGAAACTAATAGACAAGGTTTCAAGAGACTTGGAGTCTAGTTTTGGATTTGTCATTGAATGGCTGTGACTTTTGGGTCTTAGTTTCCTCATTATAAAAATGGGAAGATAGACTAGAAATAGAAACTTTTTCAGAATAGTCACCTTATGAATGTTGTTTCAGTGAAATATAAAGGTCTGTACATAAGTTCTGCAGGGAAGATGCCATGTATTTGCTCATTCTTCAAGTTTCAGCTTGATTGCCTTTGGAAGGTCTGTCACACTTAACGTCCTCCTAATAGAAGTAATTGTTTTACTTTTTGGCTCCTCATAGCCCTTTTTAAATGTTGGTTCTGTATAGTTGTATCTTTGATTTTTAATATTGAGGTATTTGTAACAGAGGTTATCTTACTCATCTCCTGAAAGCACTTGGCTTAGCATAGTTCTTGGGTATATAATAGAGACTCAGTAAGTATCTGTGGAAGTTGAGAGTGATACCTTGTTCCCCAGTGTATAACAGCAAAGCCTAGCCTCCTCCTGTTGAGCATTGTCTGTTCTCGCTTTGAAGAGCTCACCACATTTCTTCAGTTTGTTTTTGTTTTTATTTTATTTTATTTATTTTTTTTTTTTTTGGCGGGGTGGGGTCTTTCCTATTCAGTAACACAGTGGTTCTCAGTCTTTGGTGTGTATCAGAATTTTTTTTTTTTTTTAGAGTTTTGCTCTGTTACCCAGGCTGGAGTGCAGTCGTGTGATCTCAGCTCACTGCAACCTCTGCCTCCCAGGTTCAAGCGATTCTTGTGCCTCAGCCTCCCGAGTAGTTGGGATTACAGGCACATGCCACCATGCCTGGCTAATTTTTGTATTTTTAGTAGAGACAGGGTTTCATCATGTTAGCCAGGCTGCCCTTGAACTCCTGACCTTAAGCGATCCACCCACCTTTTCTGGTATTACAGGTGTGAGCCACCCTGCCTGGCCCAGAATTTTTAATGTTAAAAAAAATACAGATTTCCAGGCTCTCAAGTACACTGAATGTGAGTGTCAGGCACAAAGCCGAGACACAGCGCTGTCAATAGCTGAGCTCTCCTTGGGGTTTTAGCTTTGTCAGGCAAATTGATATTCAAGTTCCAGGTCTGCCACTTACCAGATGTGTCTTCCCCTTACCAGGGGAAGGTCACTTTACCACTGTAAGCCTCAGTACCTCTTCCTTAAAAAGAGGGTAAAAATAATACCTTAGCTCATAGTTTTAAAAATGATTACGTAAGAGAACATATTAAAACACGTAGTATAGCCCTTCCCATATCTGCAGTTCTGGCCTTGATCTGTAACTTCTTGGATCTTATATGCATTTATTATTTATTTGTTTCTTTTTAAAATAACATTTATATTTTTTCAACTTTTAGAGGTTAATATGTTCATTATAGAAAACTGAAAAACACAAGAGGCATATAACTAAAAAATCATCCATAACAGAATCAGTTTACATTCTGATGTATCTTTCCAGTCCTTGTATGTGTATACATATATACATAACTGAGTATACCTTTTTACATGGTTACACTTATATAGTATGTGCCATGCTTTCTTGCATATCATGAGTACTTGAGTATCAAAATACTCAGGGCTTTAGGATTCAGACATTGGTAAATATTCACGATACATTTTCTTATCTTTTGTGGGGACAAAAATATCTTAAAAAACAAAATGGCAACAGGTCTCTGGAAATGCATATTGGCAGGTTTATAGTTAAATACTGTGTTCACTTAATACCCAATATAAAATGAGATACAAAGCAGTCAAGTAAGTATAATGCTTCTTAGATAGTTCAGTATGAGATCTGCACTATTAAAATATTACCAGAAATGATGTTTCTACTTAATTATTTAACAATTCATATAGTATTCACAAAGTATACCAAGAAAAAAGCACACATATGTCAGTGGTTATAATCAGATTGTAAATATGGACATATCTATATATATCTCTTCCCTTACCTTTCTTTCTGCCCCTTCCTTAGCAATCCAGTACGTACTGATGTATACTGCTCATAGGTGGTTTAACATTGCCATTTCCAAGATGCTTCTTTTCTAATGAAATTAATTTACTATCTAGTTAATTCACTAGCTCTATTTTATACATTGTCACCTCATAACATCTAGAAAGCTTAGTGTTGTGAAGTAAGGACTGATAAACAGAGGCACTTTACTAAAAAATCACTTCCTAGAACTGTGGCTACAATATGAAACTATCTTCTAGATATGAACATACTTGCAAAGAACCTTCCTTTTGCCTTTCTTCTTCCTTCTTCAGCTCAATGAATAAGTACAGAAATGCATATAGCTCTACGAGATGGGTTAACAACAGTCACTCCCAGACAACAAGCCTTGCTAAAAACTCTAACAAGAGGACATTTATCAAAGAATCATTTTACTTCTTAAACTTTCAGCATACTTTGGGCACTTCTCAGCATTGGGGCCTTGTTTGTCCTTTGCATACTCAACAATGCTAAGTAAATGCACTTGCAGAACGACGAGTAGATAATCTGCATTTATCTCAAAACACACTGGCACAGAACTCTTCCACCGTCACTTCCTGTCTCTCCCACCTCCTTTACTACCCAATGAGCAAAGAATATGTAGCTCAAAGAGATAAAAGTTTAACAGTTCCATTCTAAAGACAGTCATTCCTGTTAATTGACATAAACTTACTTAAAGTGTGTTATTTTGTGAAGACTACATGTTTCAAACGTCTACTGTATAATGATAGCATTGATTAAATTGTGTGCATATAACAAAGGCTATAATCTGAAAGTATCTTCGAAATATGAATATTATAGCCAAGTACACTTCACCTTCTCACTTCCTTCTTATCATTATCAGCCCAAAGGACAATATCAGCGTTCCAAAAGTTGTTTTCAGAAGATAGTCTTACCTATGAAGTTTTCGGGCATACAAGAAAAGTATATAATATGTTTTAGTTCATCATCTCTTCTTTTGTCAAACATTAGCAACCTCTTTATCATCTAGACAACAAGATGTAAAATTAGGACTTGCTTGTTCATTGTACAGATAACCCTCAATGGGTTATGTCTCAGCAAACCCATCGTAAGTTGAAAATATCCTAAGTTGAGAGTGCATTTTTGACTTACAGTATTTTCAGTTGACTATGGGTTTATCTTGTCGTAACTGATTGTAAATCGAAGAGCATTACCAAATGCATATTGCTTTTATACCATCATAAAGTAAAAAAAATTGTTAAAAGTCAAACCAGTTTAAGTCGGGGACCATGTGTATACACTATGTGCACAGCAAAGTAAAATAAAATGCACAGAACATGCAGGTAATCTTGCCTAACTACAAACACATGGTATAGAACCCTTTATTCCTTCCTACACTTCCTTTGCCTTCCTCCTCCCTCAGTCCACAAGCACAGATCTGTACCACTCAAAGAGGAGGTCTAATAATCCCATTTCCGAAAGACAGTATTTCATTAAATTTATTAATTCCTTTTATCCAGGCATTTAGTGGTCATTTTTAGATGACCTTTACCACATATCTTCAGATGCTTTCACCGTCCGCCATAAGAATTTTTACTGAAATGAATTCTTGAAATGTTTAAAACTTTGTTACATTCTTTCTCGTTCCACAAGTAGTTATCCCTTCCCAGTTACCTTTCTTTTTTAGGTCTGTGGAGTCATGATACATCTATCCCCTTTTCCTTTGTTTTTCATGCATTTGTCAAATTTATTATTGAATACTCCTAAATTTTTTCTGCCTTTATCATTTGTTTTTTCTTTTTCATTGCTTTAGTCAGTTACCCTTGCACTACAGCAGTAGCCTCTTTATTATCTTCCTTGCCTTTAGTCTTCTTCCTTTCCATCCTGGAATATTTATTTCAGAGCTTACTGTACAAAAATACCAGATTCTATCAGAGAACATCAAAGGAATCACAGAATCTCAGTATTGCAAAGGATCTTAGCCATCTAGTGCACACACCTGTTTTTTATTTGAATCTCTTCTACATTTCTTTTTATTATTATTATTATTATTATTATTATTATTTTTGAGATGGAGTCTCACTCTAATGCCCAGGCTGGAGTGCAGTGGTATGATCTTGGCTCACCGCAACCTCTGCCCCCCTGGTTCAAGAGATTCTCCTGCCTCAGCCTCCCAAGTAGCTAGGATTACAGGCGTGCACCACCATGCCTAGCTAATTTTTTGTTTGTTTGATTGTTTGTTTGTTTGTTTTGAGATGGAGTCTGGCTCTGTCGCCCAGGCCGGAGTGCAGTGGCATGATCTCGGCTCACTGCAAGCTCCGCCTCCCGGGTTCACGCCATTCTCCTGCTTCAGCCTCCCTAGTAGCTGGGACTACAGGCGCCCGCCACTATGCCTGGCTAATTTTTTGTATTTTTAGTAGAGACGGGGTTTCACTGTATTAGCCAGGATGGTTTTGATCTCCTGACCTTGTGATCCGCCCGCCTTGGCCTCCCAAAGTGTTGGGATTACAGGTGTGAGCCACCGTGCCTGGCCTTTTGTATTTTTAGTAGAGACGAGGTTTCACCATGTTGCCCAGGCTGGTCTCGAACTCCTGAGGTCAGGTGATCCACCCGCCTCAGCCTCCCAAAGTGTTGGGATTACAGGCATGAGCCACCGTGCCTGGCCTTTTGTATTTTTAGTAGAGATGAGGTTTCACCACGTTGCCCAGGCTGGTCTCGAACTCCTGAGGTCAGGTGATCCACCCGCCTCGGCCTCCCAAAGTGTTGGGATTACAGGCGTGAGCCACCGTGCCTAGCCTTTTGTATTTTTAGTAGAGACGAGGTTTCACCACGTTGCCCAGGCTGGTCTCGAACTCCTGACGTCAGGTGATCCACCCGCCTCGGCCTCCCAAAGTGTTGGGATTACAGGCGTGAGCCACCGTGCCTAGCCTTTTGTATTTTTAGTAGAGACGAGGTTTCACCACGTTGCCCAGGCTGGTCTCGAACTCCTGACGTCAGGCGATGCACCCGCTTCGGCCTCCCAAAGTGCTGGGATTACTCATGCCTGGCCCTCTTCTGCATTTCTGCTGAGTAACTTCTGCCAGGTTCCTTAGGCTAAGCTTAAGTTCCTCCAGTGACAGGAATCTCACTCCCTCCTAAGGCTACATTCCTCTTTTGGACAACTATAGGTTTAAGTTTAGTCTTCCTTATGTTAAGGTAAGATGTATTTGCTTGTATCTTCTCCTACAAGCTCTGGTTCTTCCCCTGAAACTACACAGAACAAGCATGATACTACTTCTTTATGAACACTCTTTAGGTATGAAGAAAGCTATTGTCCAGACTTCCCTACAGATTCCTCTTTTCTCTAAGCTAATTCTCCTAAGCTTGGTTGGTTTTTTCTAGCCAGTCTTTTTAGCCCTTTACCATCCTATTCACGTTTCTGTGAACTTTAACATTTATGTATATTAATGTTAAGCTGTGAAACCTAGAATTTAGTGGAGTAATGCAAATGTGGTCTCTGTTGTAAAATAGATCAGAACTATTTATTCTTTATTTAAAACACTAGTCCTTTAATGTAGGCCGAAATTGTGCTAACATTTTTGACATCGACATTCTATCTTAATGCTTATCTAGTTTACTAATGAATGAAATTCCCAGTCATCTCTCACAAAACTGTATCTCCCCCAGCTGTACTCAAGTACAGAAAACATCTATTCTTGATAACTTTTATCTTGTTAGAATAGCTCTTTTCTCTTCTATAGCTACAACTTGTCAGTGTGTCCTTATCAGCTTATGATTTAATTGAGGCTATAGAACATATACACTTAAAAAAAATAAGCTAAGAACTCTTAGAATAAAACAACATAATGTATTGTCAGTTGTAACCATGAATGATGTTTTTCAAAGTGTGTCCTCTGGCCTACATTAGAGTTACTTAGGGCGCTTGTTAAATATTCAGTTTCACTCCAGACTTAATGAATTCAGATTTCTAGGAGTGATGTCTGGAAATCTGCATTTTAACAAGCTCCATTGGACATTGGTGCATATTAAAGGTTGACAGCTGCTACTCTAAGTACTGAAGGATTGAGCCCAAAGATATGATCAGAATTAGGTGGCATTAATAAAGGAGGTGATTTCTGGGGACAGAAGAACATGAACTGTTAGAGTAGGTAGAAATTCCAGGTGTAGTAAAGAAGAAATAAATTGTCTGCTAGGGAAGATATTTGCTAGGCTGAATTAGGGGCCCAATAGAACAGCACATAAAAGGAGTTAAAAGCTAAGGGACGGAAGGAAAAAAAACAAAGAAAGAAAAAACTATAAAATTCTGAAACCAGTAAAGATACATGCTGCCATTTGGCAGCAAGGCAGACCTGCTATAGAAGAAGCATGATCTTTGTCATCAAGAATTCATGAAATACCAGGCAACACCCTATGAGGGAATGTAAAAGGGTGGGGGTGTCAGCAAAGATTAGTTTGGAGCATTGCTACACACATCTCATCTTTAGTTCTAGGCTATCTAATGAGAAAATCTATATTAAATCTAAGTTGACTGATTTGGATATAGACCAGTCGGATGGTAGACAGCTTGCACAGCTGCTTGGTGCTCAGGAAATAGGCTGTTTTCACTAGCATAGCAAAACTCAGAGTGCTCTTGGCATTTTGAAGTTGGTGGGACAACAGCAAGTCTCTACCAGACAGAATAGTGCCACGAAAATGGATGGTCAAAGTCCTGACTGCCCAGATGGTATCAGGAGTAGTGGTCTTGGTCTTAAGTATTTCCATTTCTTAAAGATTTCATAAGTGCACAGATAAACAAGTGTAGATGACAACCTATTTTAGATGTTGATTGAGAGTCTTAAGGCCAGGCGTGGTGGCTCACACCTGTAATCCCAGCACTTTGGAGGTCGAGGAGGCTGATCACTTGAGCCCAGGAGTTTGAGACCAGCCTGGGCAACATGGTGAAACCCCATCTCTACAAAAGAATACAAAATCAGCCAGGCATGGTGGCATGCACCTGTGATCCCAGCTACTCGGGAGGCTGAGGCGGCAGGATGGCTTGAGCCTGGGAAATGGAGATTGCAGTGAGCTGAGATAGTGCCACTGCCCTCCAAAGCCTGGGCAACAGAGTGAGACCCTGTCTCAAAAAAAAAAAAGGTTTTTGAAACAAAAGGCCCTCCTATATAATGAGTCAATGAAAGTTATGCTCTTAGAGTAAATAATTATATTGTACTACTGAAATGGTAAGTCAAGTAGAACTAAGAAAATACTCATGACTCTAGTTCCAATTTACAATTTTCAACAGAACCATAAGAGAAGTTGTAATTATGGAAACTTAAATGATCAAATATTAATTTGTGTCCAGGCGCAGTGGTTCACACCTGTAATCCCAGCACTTTGGGAGGCTGAAATGGGTGGATCACCTAAGGTCAGGAGTTCAAGACTAGCCTGGCCAACATGGTGAAACCCCATCTCTACTAAAAATACAAAAATTAGCTGGGCATGGTGGCACCTGTAATCCCAGCTACTCAGGAGGCTGAGGCAGGAGAATTGCTAGAACCTGGGAGACGGAGGTTGCAGTGAGCCGAGATTGTGCCACTGCACTCCAGCCTGAGCAAGACTCTGTCTGAAAAAAATATAATAATAATAATTATGATTATATTTAAAAGATCAAATATTAATTTGTGATTATATTTTCTACAAGGGCATGCACTATTTAAAATTGAGCACTCAAATCTGGTTTGCACAACTGCACAGAGAAGCTTGCAAGACTGCCGAATATGTCCTGACTTGCTACTAGTCTTTTGATAGCCTCCTTCTTTGGCAAACATGGCTAGTCTGCATTTGTACTGGAAGCCACTTGGGATTCCTCTTTAAACATCAGTCATTGTTCAAAACCCACTTCGCACTTCTTTCTCTCTTTATAGATCATGTTGCCCCCAAAATGAACTGAACACTCTTATCTTAATGCTAATTTGACAGAGACCACTTCTAATTTATTATCATCCTGCTTACTCTTATATAAAATTAGTGTTTGCTATAGTTTTTTCTCCCTTTGAATACCTCAAAGTTGACTGACAGTTTTTCCTCAACGCAGCTTGCCTCTGATAACATCCAGAAAAAATGAAGAAAATATACTGCTTTGTAAAATAGAAGAGCTTAACAAGTACAAATTTGTCACTTTTTTCGGGTGTTTCGAAAGAGTGTAAACAGTAAACATTGCTGTTTATTTCTTGTGTTTCAGAAGTAAGGCTATGTATTTTTATCGAGCTATTTACAATTTACATATAAGATGTAAGTATTTTCATGAATCATTTTCATCAGTGGGGTGGATATACCTATCATAGCGGATACGGTCCTATTCTGACTTTTAGATCAGAAATCACTTTCAGTTATTTGTAGCACACACCTTAAAGCCTATTAAAGTTCTCCCCACCAAAATTTGTATTATTATAATCACTGGATGTCAACACCTGTGGCTCAAACAGTATCCAAATTTTGTATATTGTTGGAGGATTGCTGATTTAACTGAGAGTTGTAGCTAGAAATAAGGTGAGAAAGAATATACAGGTAATACTAATCCACCTCAAACTAAGAAGCAAAGGATGGTGGATGGGCTATGTTGATCTAGCGTTGCAAAAACACTTTTGGATGAAGTGCCCAGAAATAGCCCCAGTTCCTTTCACTAGAATCAGCTCGTCCCAGGTGAATGCCGGCAGAGCAGGGTGTGTGCTCCCCAAGAAAGGGCAGTGACCGCTTTCCAATGTCTGGCAGTTAGGGGCGATGAGAGTAGTTGCAATTGGCAAGATAAAGGGGAACTTTGGAAAATAAATATACTTATGATAGAGGAGGCAGGAGAAAAGGTCAAGGGCTGTACACATGTGGAACTGATAATCATGGTAGCTTGGCTTCTATGAATGGGTACATGTTGACCCTTAAGTGAGCTTAGAAAGCTTGAGAAGTCAGTATGCGTGAACTGTTTGAGGCATAAGAAAGGCAGGATTTTAAAACTTTTTTTTTAATTTGTGCAAATTTATGGGATACATGAGAAATTTTTTACATGTATGTAATATGTAGTGATCAAGTCATGGTATTCAAGGGATCTGTCACCCCAGTACAATATATTCTTATTAAGTATAGTCATCCTACCCTGCTATCAAACATTGAATTTATTCCTCCTATCTTACTGTACGTTTGTACCTTTAGCCTACTTCTCCTTAGCCTCCCTTCATCCCCAGTCACCCTCCCCAGTCTCTGTTGTCTACTTTTCCACTCTCTACCTCCATGTGTTCAAATTTTTTACCTCCTACATATACGTGAGAACATCTGATTTTTGTATTTTTGTGTTTGGCTTATTTCATGTAAGATAATGATCTCCACTTCCATCCATGTAGCTGCAAATGACATAATTTCATTGTTTTTATGGATGAATTGTATTCCATTGTGTAGAAGCAGGCAGAATTGACTCTGATAGTAGTCTAGCTGGAAGAGAGGCTATAGCTACAAAGAATCTTGACTTACCAAAACACTAGTAACATGTCTGTGAAACTGCTGTAGTCTAACTCATTTACTACTATGTTAATTTGGAGCGTGAAGTTCATCAGTGGAATGGGTACTATAATTTGCAAAGTTCAAGTGACAATTCTGGTAGATAAAGTTTTAAGGAGCAGATGGTCACAACTGTCAGTCTCAGAAGTAATTTGGTAAGTAAAATAGTCATTTATTTGGAAGTTTTTTGGTAACCTAATTGTGATCTAATTGTCACCAGTTGGGAGTCTAATTCCATTTTCATCACTCATCTGCAGAAAGGTGAGAGAAATAAGCTATTAATTAATAGCCAATATTTACGAGCTCTTACTATCCACCATAAAGTATGCTAAGTGCTTTATGTGCATTATACTTAATTATAGTAACTTTCTGAGGTAGTTACTATTATTATTTCCAGCTAGTTAGTGGAAGAACCAGGATTTGAATCCAGGCAAACTGACTGCAGAGCCCTCACTTTTAACACTACACATAAAACTGAGTTTATTTAACAGAAAACACTGTCCTTTAACCTGAGATTGTGTCTACCTTTCAATACTAAAATGTACTTTTTATATGAAATGGTGGTGATAGACGATGTCAGGTTTGATTTTCTTTTTTTTTTTTTTTTAAGAAATCTTTACCTTGCAAAACTAAAACTAAAACAACCCAATGACAGCACTGCTCTCCAGTTTAAAGAAAACAAATGTTCTTTTGCTAGTTGTGAAATCTAAATTTGAGAACCACTGACTAGAAAAGTGGGACTCTTAGTAATTTTTAAAGTTCTTTAGAGATTTTTCACCTGATTTATTTTCTGATTTCAACCTCCTTGTTTTCATTAACCTTTTCCTTAAGTCCACCTCAGCCACTCATTCTTCGATTATACACAAGACTTTGTTTGCCATTACCAGCAACCACACCACTTTGGGGATCTCAGATGTAAGCATCTTGCTCTCGCGCTGCCTCCCATTTTTCCTTGCTTACTCCTAGCATTTCTCCTGTTACCAACTCCAGCAACTTGGACCCCACTGGAACCTCCAGTATAATTTATTCTATCAGTTCCCAATCTTTTTGTTCTCTCTCTCCTCTTTCCCCAGCTTAACCTCCATGGTCTATCACATATATCCTCTTTGTATACACCTTTAGCAGCCTTGCTCCTCATCTTCTGTTGTCAAATCCACAAGTGTTTCTCAGCTACCTGCCTACTCTGTGCCAGTATTCTCGCTGTTAAGCATGGCTTAAGAAAAACACAAAACCACAGTGTCTGATCTCACTTTAAATTTATGAACCAAATCTCAAGTGAGCCCTCAGTATTTCTTGGAACAGATATTCCTAGTATTCCTTCTGTATTTCCCTAGTCCAATCCATTTATTCTCCTATTCTCTGAGATGACTAGTTCTTCTTCTCTATTTGGCTCAACCCCCAAGCACCACCTCTTCCATCTTTACCAGCAGCTGATGACCTGGAATCTTTACTTCACGGAGGAAATAGAGGCAAACAGAAGAGAACTTCTTCATCTTCTTCATCTTCCCACCACAAGATGTATGATTGGTTGAATGAGAGAAAGACTGTGATGTCCTAGAACTTCAGTTGCTCCTATATCCAATGTAATTAGCAACTTAAATTCCAAAACCATATATAAAAATCGATTTTTGGCCATTTGAGATTATACTCTTTACTACCACTTTCCTTTCTCTTATTATAACCAAGAGTTGTTACTATGTTTGTGCCTCATCCAAATAAAAAGTAGGTATTTTTTAGAAAATGATTAACGGGAGCAATTAGTAAAACAAGCAGTAAAATACCCGGATACAGGAAATTGAGCCAGGCTTGCTGGTATGTGCTTGTCCCAGCTACTCGGGAGGCTGAGTTGGAAGGATCGCTTGAGCCCAGGAGTTCCAGGTTATAGTGAGCTGTGTCACACCACTGAACTCTGGCCTGAGTGACAGAGTGAAACCCTGTCTCTAAAAAAGTACTTGACATAGGATATTGAGAGAAGAAATGCTTTGGAACTATGTTTGATTATACCCTTAGCCCACCTTAGTTCTTACTTAAGTAAGTTATAGATGAAGGAGAAAAGATGGGAATCACTTTGAAGATTAAGGCCTCAAACTTTGTGGAAAATGGAGGAAAAAATGTTGAAAACAGTCATGTGATAGTTTTTACCTTACACTTTTGATGGGAAAATTAGATAATAGAATTGAGCTATACGTATGTTGACTGCACATTACATTAATTTAATCCTGTTATTTACCTCATATTGCTAACCTTTAAAATTAAGATTTGAAAAAAAAGAGATGGGTAAAACCAAAAAGGTCAAAATTTGTATGCCAGCTTAGATGAAATTTGTATTTATAGAACTGAATAAGAATCTACACCTTACCTAATACTGTGAATTGCTTATGTAAATACAACAAAGGATGGTCCCTCGATGACCTGAATCTCATATGCTGAGTTCACTTAGTAACAGCGTCCGTCTGCTCAGACACATTTTCCCAACTCCCCATGTGCTTTCCAAACCTTTACCATGTTTCCCAGTATCCTCTCTTCATCCCTCATTTTGTTGATGACCTAGTTCCTGCTTCACATAGTCAACAGAACCCAACAGGAATAACCTCAGCTTTCTTCCTCCTTGTCCCTTTATTTAACTGGTCTCAGAAGGAGAGGTGTCTTTACAAGCTCTCCCTCTCCATTCCTCCTCTGTTGCCAAAGTTTCTGAAAGTGTGGTCTCCATATCTGCTTATGCTACTTAGTTTTCTTCTAAGTGAAAGGTAGGGACTCAACCCCAAATGCTCTGACCCTGTTCGAAGACCCTGTGGCCTAGAGCGGCATGTATTTCCTGATTTCTAAACCTAGTGCCCTTTTTCCAGGCCTCATCCTCTATCACTGCAGCATTTATCTCTGTTGTCACATTCTTCTGCTTAAAACTTTTCACAGCTTTTCACGTACCCAGGGCAGGCATTCAAAAATATTGAAGCAGTAGTTTTGATGTCTTTTCTGAGCTTTCACCAGTATTTTTAATAGGCACTACTGCCTAAATGTCAAATGCCTTATAGCCAAAAACAAGTAATGATTTCCTGTAATCTCCAAACTGATTCCTCTTCCTCTTGCTATGTCTTGGTATCCCTGAGGTTACCATCATTTTATCCATGTACCCATGCTAGATGCCTCAAGGTCATCCTTGACTCCTCTTCCTTCTCTGGTTTCCATTTGGTTTCTAAGCTTTGATGAGTATCTCCCGCATCTTCTTTTCTTTTTCTACTATTTCCTATGACTCTTGCCTCTTTCTGTTTATTGTCTTTTGTCTGGATTATTTCAGTAATATGTTCAGGAGTTTCTAATTTGGATTCCATGGATGGACCTCAAAGGATTAAAGAACTCTCTCAAATTTGTATGCAAATTTTTTGTGCATGTGCATTTTCCTGGGGAGGTCCATTAGACTGTTCTGTGGGAAAGAGAGGAATAGAATGAGAGACAATGACAATTTAAATCAGGTCCACTGATTTCTCGTTCTATACCTGGCCTTTGTTATTTAGGTCACTAACCTAAGGCACTTATCTCTGAGGAGTGAGGTGGCATGTAAGATATTAAGAATAAAACAGCAGCATTAGTCAGTCCAGCTGGGCAGTCAGTCCAGCAGCCAGAGATCAGAGGCTCCTCAATATCAGATCCAGGCTTTAATATCCTAGAGAAGCTCAGGAGAAAGCTGGGGCATCAGCAGGAGCAGAGGGTGTCCTCCCGAGGCCCCTGGACCCATTTGTTCCTGTGCTTCCAAAGGACTTAGAGGGATATGAAAACTTAACTGGCAAGAATCCAGAGTGAGTTGGTATCCCCAGAAAAAGGTTCAGAACATTCCCCCAGCTAGCCTCCCCTCCTTTGCCTGTTTGGTCTCTCGTTCTTTCTCCACTCTGCCAACACAGTTAGCTTTTAAATACATATCTCCTGGTGTGCCTTCCGTGATTGTCACTTACACCTAAGGGTGATTAGACTAATCACCCAAAAATGTGGGGTTTTAATCACCTATGAAACAAGTTAAAAAATCATGGTCATGGTTTCAAGGCCTGCCAGTTAGGAGCCTGCCAGCCTCGTCGCCAGGCACTGCCCTCTCCTCACTTCCAGGGCTCTGGCTACAGCAGGTTACTACTGGCTGTTTCGAGAGAACAGTGTCTGTGTCCATATCCCTATGCCTTTGATCATGCTAGTCTCTCTCTTTGGGGTGGCATTTCCTCTCCATTGCCTGTGAACCTCCTACTCATTCTTCCAGGCCCACAATGGATGTTAGCTCTTCACCTGAGTCCATTCTTAATTTTCTGCCATCACTCTGGCAGAATCAGTATCTCTTGGCTAGAGTCCAAAAACATTTCATACATATCTCTGATAATGTCATATTATATTGTAGATAGCCTATTTTTATTTCTGTCTTTCCTACTAAGCCAGAAATGCCCTACAGCTAGGGACTGTCTTTTTCATGTTTGTATCCCTAACAGCTACCTTTGCATCTAGTCTAAACATGAGCTTAGTACACTTTTGTTGAATGGAATTAGTTATAAAGAGTTTTTATGACTCATTTAAAATTAGAGACCAATGCTTACTTAATAAGTCAGAATAGGCTGTAATAATAATAGTAATAATAAAGTCCCATTTCCACTGCTTATTCAAGTAACAGCTTCCTTTGTGGAAGTACATTTTGAAAGACTTCACATGTCAGTGTATATTTTTGATGTGCTCATTTGAGATCCTAAAAGAATTATAGTTCTAAAGCAGACTAGAGCTTCTATTACATTCCTGTTGAAGTTATATTAAATATATTCTATCGTTTCACATATCTGTATTATATATAATAAGTTGCATGGGTAAACATTTTATCTCTTTTAAACTTCATGGTAATAATTTGTGAATTGTTTATTTTATAATATCTGAGTAAATTTAGTTCAAAACACATTAATTTGAGCATTTTCTGTGTACAGAAGCATAGTTGCAAAGTTAAGATTCTTGTGTTTATGTTGTTTTGTTAAATTCGGAAAGTCTCAGTCTTGCAAATGTATTTTTTTTTTAAGTATTTAAATTAGCTCAGCTATGAGAATAAGCACGGTCCATAAATTAAGAGCTTCAAATAATTTTTTAAAATCCTTCATATTCTTTGAGTTTTGTAGGAAAAGAATCAACAGTTTACTTATTCAGCCTTTCCTGAAGTCCATAGTAGGTGCTGGGCATCATGCTGGGTGAATGAGATAGTACTTGCATTTGAATAGTTTACAGTCTTATAGCGAAGAAGCCATGTAAACAGAGAATTGCAATATAAACCTTGGAGGAGAGGAAGGAAGACTACTTTGAGAACCGAGATTAGGTTGAGAATGGATGAGTCTGCTGATCAATTTATAGATAAAGAAGCAGAGAGGTGAAGTCTTTTTTTTTTTTTTTTTTTGATATGTGAAATAGGAACCTAGGTTATCTCTAAGAATTCATAGCAGGGGGTAGCTCTTGAGAAGAACAGTGAAGATCTGGATAATTAATAAGGAGAATTAGAGATGAGCTAACAAAGACAAGTAAAGAGTGGCATGAGAAAGCAGTGAGCATAGAACTGAAACTGGATAGCATGAAATTCTGGAGGTATCAGTCAGTAGCACAGTGGTATAATTTTCTCCAGCTGTGCTATGGAGAAATTATACACATTGTGGCCAATGTGTAGTGAATAAAGCCATATTGTATTCAGGGACTATGGGGTGGTTATAACAGAAATTTACAAAGAATAAATAGTTAAAAGTCCTTCAAAGAAAGCATGGCTTACTAGGGAAGGCAGTATGGTTAAGAGGAAGTTGATAAACTTGGAGAAAATGTAGAAGTCAAGAAGTTGGAGATCAGAAGGGCTGGTGCTTTGTAGGAACTCAGAAAATCTTCATTTTCTTCTTTCTGGATGTCCTCTCCCTATGAATGTTTCACCACCACCACCTGCCTCAGCTACAGTTTATACATATGAATAGTTTCAAATCATGATGGTAACAGTTGGCTCAGAGGGCAAGATTAGGAGCCAGACTTCAACGTGCTGCTAATCCAGCGTGTCCCTGTAACTTAGATGCTGGTAGTGCTTGGTGGTATTGGCCTCTAGGAGAAGCTCAAGGCTTCTCCTGTTATCTCCCTACCACTCATACTTGGAGGGTGAGTCAAAGGCCAAAAAGCATTTTATTGGGCAGTGGTTCTTAGGGAAGGGATTTACTCTGTGATGCAGAGGGTTAAGACTGTAAGCCATCAAGTGTTTCCCC
Organism: Homo sapiens; assembly: GCF_000001405.40. Taxonomy (NCBI): domain Eukaryota; kingdom Metazoa; phylum Chordata; class Mammalia; order Primates; family Hominidae; genus Homo; species Homo sapiens. The sequence continues at coordinate 46,673,106 of NC_000017.11, forward strand.
TCCCTCTCCATGTTCAACCAAAGGCACAGTTCTTATTACTTTCAAGGATTTAAAAAGGAGTCTTTTCTCAGCATAAAGGAGGAAGTGAAGACCAATTTTGACAGCCCAAAGGGTCTTCCTCCTCAGAATCTAAAATTTCTAATAGAGTTGTTTGCATCTTGTGATTTTACTTGAGTCATCAAATGTATTGTACTTTTTTTCTTAAAGATATACTTCTTAATGCTTTCATTTCAGATAAGGACAAACCATTTTCCATGGCGACACACTATTTATATTGCATTTTCAGAAATTTCCCTTTTTACCCATACTTCGGAGTGTGACACTGAAACCTGATAATCTATTATTTCACAGAGTGCTTTTTTGGGTGTAATATAAAGATATTATATAATTTTAATAACCTTTGAGGTACAAGTGGTTTTTGGTTACATGGATGAATTATATAGTAGTGAAGTCTGAGATTTTAGTGCAGGACCCATTGTCCAAGTAGTGTAAACTGTACCCAATATTAGTTTTTTATTCCTCACTCCCCTCTCACTTTCCCCACTTCTTAATTTTCTGCCATCACAATGTGTTGCCCAGGCTGGTTTCATGCCCTCACTTTCCCCACTTCTGAGTTTCCAAAGTCTATTACTCTGTACACCTTTGTGTACCCATAACTTACCTCCCTCTTGTAAGTGAAAACATATGGTATTTGATTTTCCATTCTTGAGTTACTTCACTTAGAAAAATGGCCTCCAGCTCCATCCATGTTGTAGCAAAAGATGTGACTTCGTTCTTTGTTATGGCTGAATAGTATTCCATGGGGGTGTGTGTGTGTGTGTGTGTGTGTGTGTGTGTGTGTGTGTGTGTATACACATATATGATATATAATAATTATATATAATTTATCGTTATATGTAAAACAAAGCAAATTTTTTATTTTTATAGAGACAGGGTCACAAAGTATTGCCCAGGCTGGTTTCATGCTCCTGGGCTCAAGTGAGCCACCACACCCAGCCAAAAATAAGTAATATTTCCCAGTTAGACATTTTCAGAGTAAAAAGTATTTGTTCAAAATCATAGCATGAATGGACTCTTCCAGAGACCTTTAACTGGCAGCATTTCCCCCTCAAACTTTAGTACAGTTATAGGAATTGTTTCTGGATTTTTGGCTGTATATTCTTGTTCATGGCTCATGGACATTAACATATGTGAATGGCATCACTGTGTTTTTCCTAAAGTGCATACGAAGAAGAAAGAACACTTTCCTTTAGAGTCTTACTTAGATTCTAGTTAGCTGATATAAGACTGTTTTCTTTTCCTTTTCAGGTTGTAAACATGTTAAAGGCATCCTGTTATATGGACCCCCAGGTTGTGGTAAGACTCTCTTGGCTCGACAGATTGGCAAGATGTTGAATGCAAGAGAGCCCAAAGTGGTCAATGGGCCAGAAATCCTTAACAAATATGTGGGAGAATCAGAGGCTAACATTCGCAAACTTTTTGCTGATGCTGAAGAGGAGCAAAGGAGGGTAATGTGAACATAAGTGTGATTTAGTAAAAGTTTATCACTCGCTATACGATGAATGAGACCCAGAGTTATGGAGACAAACTTGTTGCTTTGATTTATATTTTGAAGCAACTTACAGGTAAATTTACCTAGTACCTAGGTTATATATGGCACTGCACCAGGGACTGTGGAAGATTTACGTGATGAGCAGATGTTGTTGCCCACATATTCCTATAAACAAAGGTAGGTGATTGTGTAAGCCAGAGGTTTTGCAAAAATAGGTCATGAATATATTTTCAGGTGACACTTTTATTCCATATTGCTTCCAGAGACTTGTGCTCATTTATCCTTTGGAAGAAAAGGGGAAATTAAATCCATAAATAGACTTATGAAATCGTATTATGTAAGGTTCATATGCAAAAAGCTATCTTACTTAACACTGAGTCTTGCTCAGTTATAGAGTGACAGGATTGAGTTGTCAGAGCTCAAAGGAAAGCTTGATTTGCGTCTCAGAAATGAAATTATTTAAAAATCAAGCTAGAATTTACTAATTCTGATAGTTTTACATGTCAACTTGACTAGGACATAAAGTGCCTAAATATTTGGTAAAACATTTCGGTTGTGTCTGTGAGGATGTTTCTGGATGAAATTAGCGTTTGAGTTGATAGACTGAATAAAGCAGATTGCCCTCCCTAATGTGGGCAGGCCCCATTCAATCAGTTTAAGGCCTGAACAGAACAAAAAGGCTTACTTTCCTGCAAGTAAGAGGGAATTTCGACTTGCCTGGTTACCCTGAGTTGGGACATTGGTTTGGATGCACACCGAAACATCAGCTCTTCCTGGCTTGGAGGCCTTTGGGCTGGAACTAAATAATGCGTATTAGCTCTCCTGGGTCACCAGGTTGCTGACAGCAGATCTTGGGACTTGTCAGCCTCTGAAATTGTAGATTTATCCCAAGGAATTGGCTAAAACGATTATGGAGGCTGACATATATATGTGGGTGTATATGCATACATACATATTCATAGAGATTTATCATAAGGAAAACACACACACACACACACACACACACGAACATTCTATTGGTTCTGTTTGTCTGTTCTGATTAATTATCCTAATACTAACATATTTTTTTCATTGACAGTTTAAGAACAATGCCATGAGATTTCTGGTTCTAGCAATACAGTAGACTAGGTAACCAGAAAACCTTCCTTCTATAAACACCTTCAAATGCTAGGTATACACTGTACCCCTTAAATATGCACAGTTATGTGCCAATTAAACACAAAATAAAACTTTTAAAAGTTCTGGGTAAAACATAACTGAAATCATTTTAAATGCATAATTGAGCTCTTCAGAAAGAAAACTGGATCTCCAGGAAATTAGAGTCGTAAGATACGGGCTGCAGCTTTTGGTTTCATAATGTATGGGTTTGGGTTTTAGTACCCACTAGGGAACAGAACATGAGTCCTTGAATCCATTTACAGTGTGGACTAGGAACTGGTACCTTCAAAGGGGTTGTGTCTATGAAAAGAGTGGACTAGAAAATATCTGCTGCCACCACAGGGAAATTAACAAAAAATATTTAACTGCCTGGGTTCTGGAATGGAAGCTGGGAAATCTCCTATGGGAATTCTTCTTCTTTTTTTTTTTTTTTTGAGATGGAGTTTTGCTCTTGTTGCCCAGGCTGGAGTGCAATGGCGTGATCTCGGCTCACCACAACCTCCGCCTCCCAGGTTCAAGCAATTCTCCTGCCTCAGCCTCCCCAGTAGCTGGGATTACAGGCATGCACCACCACGCCCAGCTAATTTTGTATTTTTACTAGAGATGGAGTTTCTCCATGTTGGTCAGGCTGGTCTCGAGCTCCCAGCCTCAGGTGATCTGCCCGCCTTGGCCTCCCAAAGTGCTGAGATTATAGGCGTGACCCACCATGCCCGGCCTCCCATGGGAATTGTAAACCATGGATCCTTGTTCATGCTGGTTTAGAATTTGAATGAATGTATGCTACCTATGTGGCTTGAAACCCGAAGCTGAGAAATTAGTTAAAAAAATTATTCAGGTGCAGTGGCTCATGCCTGTAGTCTCAGCTACTTGGAAGGCTGAGATGGAAGGGTCACTAGAACCCAGGAGTTCTAGGCTGCAGTGAGCTCTCATTGTGCCATTGCACTCCAACCTGGGTGACAGTGCAAGACCCTATGTTAAGGAAGAAAAAAATTAGTCCTGGGCTAGTGATAGCATAAGTTGTCAGATATAAGCAAACCCCAGGGGGTGCTCCAACAACCTAGGCTGAAAGGAATAGAAAAAGTAGTCATGAAAATTTAAAACTCAGCAACCAAGTTTAAGATAAGACAACAAATTTCAGCTGAAGAGAGAAGTGGTAAACAGAAGAATAAACCTAAAGAAATCACCCAGAATGTAGCACAGAGAGATAAAGGGATGGAGAAGATGAAAGTTGAGATGAGAGAGTTAAAACAAGAAGTCCAGATAGAATAGTGTAGAGGCATTATTCAAAAAGAGAATGACTAAGAATATTCTAGAATTAATAAAGACATAAGTACTCAGATTCAGGTAGCACCATGAGCCTATATGGGATAAATGAAAATTAACTTATTTCTAGACTTGTTATAGGAGAATGCCAAAGAAAAAAAATCTTAGTAACAAAAGAAAGACATGGAGATGACTTACAAAGGGGTATCCATTATGTTGATAGCAAACTTTTCCATGACAGAAAGAGAGAACAAAAAACAGTAGAATAATATCTTCAGAGAGCTAAGTGAAAATAACTGTCAACTTAAAAGTTAATACCCAGCTTAATTCTCATTCAGGAATGAGGGTGAAATAAAGACTTTTTTTCTTCAGGCAAAGGATAATAGAATTAACTAGTTGCAGAAGCTTGTTGGAAGATTATGAAGCAAGATGTACTGAGACTGAAGGAAGTTGAACCCAGAAGGAAACAGTAGAGCCAAGAAACAATGATGAGCAATGAAATTGGTGAAAATATAGATAAAGTCTGGGAGTTCTACTTCTAGTAGTGGCAAATTAGGTCATTTGAGTCATGTGTTCCACTGAAGACTACCAGAAAAGCTCAACACAATATTTAAACATGTTTTGCTTGAAGGTATCAAAGAAGAAAAATGGAGGCCTAGAACAAAGGTCCTCCTGGTATACTGGGTCACTGTTCCTCTCGAGATATTAGCCAGTTCTGCAGGAAGCTGCTAAAACCTAAGCAGCCCTTTTGACAGGCTAGTGGGAGTAATGGGGGCAGAGATTAGTGCCCATGGCCCCTAAGGAGGGGACACCTGATGAACATAACTCATTTTGAGTCAAGACCCTGAAGGGCTACACCATAGGAGCAAGGGTTAACCAGGAGTAGACATACTCTCACTGAGGCTGCAGATCAGCTTTGAATCATGTCAGTCCCTAAAATTAGATTGAGGGTTCCTAAATTGCTAGTGCCCCTAGGCATCTGGCAGAATTGTAAATCCTTCCTGGAAGAAAGTGGTATCATGTAAGGTCACAAATTGTTTCTAGTTTGCAAATGCAATGTCTGGCTTATAATCAAAAGCAACTGGAAACAGATACACAAACAACATCAAGAAAAAGAAAAGATGGTTCAAACAGCCTCTAGATATTGGAATTCTCAGATACAGACTTTTGAAATAATTATACTTACCACATTCAAGGGGATAAAAGACAAGACAGATTTTTGGCAGAGAACTGGAAACTAAAAATAAACAAATATAAATTCTAGAACTGAGAAAATCAGTAAGTAAAATTAACTCAAGTGAATGAGTTTAAATAGCAGGTTAGACACATCTGAAGAGAGAATTAGTGTACTGAAAGATATAAGATGAAAATAACCAGAGACAAAGAATGAAAGGAATTAAGAGAGAGTAAGAGAGAGAGAGAGAGAGAGAGAATACCGTTTAAAGGTCTGGTGCGTGTATTTAAAGTTCCAGAAAGGCAAGAGAAAGAGGATGAATCAAAATCAGGATTTGAAGAGAAAATGGTTTAGAACTTTCTAAAACTGATGGAAAACATTAGTCCATAAATTGCAGAAATGATATGAACCCTGAGCAGGAGAAATACCAAAGAACTCTACATATATAGGCATTATTGTTAAATTGCTGAAAACCAAAAATGAGAAAAATCTTAAAAGGAGCTAGAGAGCAAAGGAAAATTACCTTCAAATAAGCAACAACTAGCTAGTAGCTGTCTTCTCAATAGAAATGATGGAAACAAAAAGTCAATCAAAGGCCATTTTTAAAGAGCTGAAAGAAAATAACTGTCAACTTAGAATTTTATATCCAGTAAATGGATGAATGATCATAGAAATATATAATGGAATACAAGGCAGTAATGAAAATAAATAGCCTACAGCTATATACAGTTGTGAATCTCACAAATAAATTATTGAGCAAAAGAAACCAGATTTCAAAAAACACATACTGTGTGATTCCATTTATAGAGAGCTTACCTAAAGTATAGTGTTTAACAACACATGCTTGGGTGGTAAAACTATAAAGGAAAATGAATTATTACCATAAAAATCAGATTGTGGTTACCCATGGGGAAAGGTCAGGGAGGAGTGCTTGGGAGGGGTTGTGAGGAGGTGCTCCCAGGATGCTAGCAGTATTCTGTTTCTTATGATTACGTAGGCGTTCATTTTGTGACAGTTCATTGAGGCATATATTCACATTTTGTAACTTTTCTCTATGTGTGATGTATTTTGCAATTAAAAGTTTTAAAAATAAATTTTAATAGCATTCACTGAGAAAAACAATAATGATATGAATATTTTTAAAGGATAGAACTAAAATATGGAAAAAAACGTTTGGGAAGTAGATTAAATTCATGTAAGCTCCTTATATTATTGGGGAAGATGGTAGGGAGTTTGAGACCAGCCTGGTCAACATGGTGTAACCCCATCTCTACTAAAAAAATACAAAAATTAGTTGGGCTTGGTGGCGCACAGCTGTAATCCCAGCTACTCAGGAGGCTGAGGCAGGAGAATTGCTTGAACCCGGGAGGCGGAGATTGCAGTGAGCCAAGATCGTGCCACTGGATTCCAGCCTGGGTAACAAAAGTGAAACTCCATGTCAAAAAAAAAAAAAAGAAGCTAATAATGTTAGTTAACATTAAGTCAAATGTGCATGTGAAAGTTGTACATTGTGCCCAAACTTTTCCAAAGCATAGGGAGGAGCTGGGAAAGAAACAGTGGAAATTCAAATACTTTAGAAGGCAAGAAAGAAATAACAAGACTCAAAGACAATGTGATGATAATAAAAAGGTAATTTTAAAAACAATTTCATTTATAGCAGAAATCAGAATGTAAAGTGCCTAGGATTCGATCTAGCAGGAAATGTGCAAGACCTTTAAGGAGAAAATTCTAAACATTTTTGAAAATCTTTTTTTAAGCAGCTAATAAATGGTAAGATATAACATGTTCATGTATGGGAGAACTGACAATGTCATAAAAATGAGTTCTGCCCATCTTGGTCTGTAAGTTGAGTGTATTTCCAGTGAAGCCTAATAGGAATTTTTTAACATTTGACAACTTGATTCTAATTTTTTTTGAGGCTTGAAGAGTTATGAGAATTTTGAAGAATAATGAAGATTTACTTTTATCACATATCAAGACTTACTAGAAAGCAATAGTAATTGAAACAATGTTATATATTCATGCAAAAACAGACCAAGGAAACAATAGAACACAGGAAGGAAGAGCCTGCTCTATGACAAGTGATGATACAGATCAGAGGGGAGTAATAGGCTGGCTGTGCCTTAAACGGAGCTGAGATAATTGACTACCTATTTGGAAAAAGATAAAATGCAATTCCTACCTCACAGCATACAAAATTGCAAGTGGATTTACAAAAAAACAAAAACATAAAAGCCTACTAAAATTTATAGGAGGAAAACTTATTTAGAAGAAAAATAGGCAAAAATGTTTTAAGATTTGAGGCTAGGGAAGAATTGATACAGAAAGTAAATCCATTGGAAGTGTTAATTTGGCTACATTAATATAAAGAAAATTCTGTATGACAAATTACACTGAATACAAATGTCTCAAACTGGGAGAAGATATTTGCAGTGTATATAATCTACAAAGAATTGGCATCCTCTATAATAAATTCTCTATAAAAAGTCTTGTATAATAAGAAAAATATAAATACCACAATTTAAAAAAACTGTCGAAGGATTTAACACGTAGTTCTCAGAGAAAGAACACAATTGAAGAAAAGCAAATGAAAAGATATTCAGGAAAATGTATAATAAAAGAGGGATTATTTCTTAAACAACCTGGCAAAATTTACAACAGCTGGTAAAACCAAGAGTTTGTGGGGTTATGGAGAAACAAGGTCTCATATACATTGCTAGTTGGAGTATAAACTAGAAGAATATACCAAGTGGGTAGTATCTTGCAAATAAATTTGACATCTTACAAAAATGAAAATGCACAAACCCCATGAGTTCTACTTCAAGACCACTACCTATGATAAACAACATGACATGTACCAGGATGTTGATTGTCATGCTATTTGTAATAGAGGAAAAAGAAACATCATTACTCTTCCTTAGTAGGAAATGGAATAGCATACAGATATTAAAATGAATATGCTGAGCACAGTGGCCCACGCCTGTAATCCCAGCACTTCAGGATGCCAAGGCAGAGGATCATTTGAGCCCAGGAGTTGAAGACCATCATGGGCAACATAGTGAGACCCCACCTCTACAAAAATTAAAAATTAGCCAGGCATGGTGGCACATTCCTGTGGTCCCAGCCACTTAGGAGGCTGAGGTGGGATGGTCACTTGTGCCGGGGAGGTCAAGGCTGCAGTGAGCTGTGATAGTGCCACTGCACTCCCGCTTGGGCAACAGAATGAGACCCTGTCTCAAAAAAATAAAATGAATAATAGATTTACATAGATCGACATGAATAACACTCAGAAATATAACATCTCGTCTTCAAAAAAAAAACCTAGTAAGCTGTACTGAATTAATCTATCCTACCATTTAAAATTTTTGTTGAGGGTAAAATAATATTAAATATTCCCTTTATAGCAATCCTCTTAGTGCTTTAAGTCTGCTTGTTGGGTCCTTAATTGTTTCAATTTTATACAAGGTCGTTTCCTTTCCTGCTTTCCAGCATTTCATTAAGTTCTTGTTCAGGTCTCCAGCTAGATCAGTCTCATTGGTTCTAGCAGGTGTGGGTCTTGGTGGGTTGGTGCAAGTCCATTCACTATTTCAACTCTTCAGAAAGTCCCGGAACCAGTCAGTTTTGCAGTTCATTCCTAATACTAAGATTGTTTCTGCTTCACTTATCTTTTTAACTTACCTCAGTGTACCAAGAAAAACAGTCATCACCATATACTATCTAGGTTGAATAAACTCCGCTTAAAAATTATTTTAGATTATTTTCCAAATAATTTACAAAATACAAGAATAAAGAGATAAAAAACTATTAAAAATTAAATAAGAACTTAAATATATAAATAAAATTTTTATGCCATGTTTCCCTGGTCTTGAGGTGTTTTGGATTTTGGTTTTTGGAATATTTGCATATACATTAAGATATCTTGGCGTTGGGACTCTGGTCTAAACATGAAATCCATTTATGTTTTGTATATACCTTGTACACACAGCCTGAAGGTAATTCTGTACAATATTTTAAATAATTTTGTTACTGAAACAAAGTCTGTGTACATTGAACCATCAGAAAGCTAAGGCATCACTATCTCAGCCACTAGATGTGGATGGTCTGTGGTTGGTTGGCATCACCATTGTTTCTGAGTGTAAATTTATATGCCTGATAAATAATCGTTTTCATACATGTATTGAGACACAAGTACTTAACAGTAAAAAATATGACACACCATTAATACAGTGAAAAAATAGTGAGTTTAGGGTAACTAAGCAGCACAATGGCATCACCAGAATACCTGGATAAGCTGTTAAACAACAGCAACACCAAACAGCAACAGTTTCAGTCACCACCTACGATGTTGTGGGGGGCTTTTGTTTTGGTTTGGTTTTTTGAGATGGGGTCTCACTCCATCGCCTAGGCTGGCATGCAGTGGCACCATCATGGCTCACCGCAGCCTCAAACTCCTGGGCTCAAGCCGTCCTCCTACCTCAGCCTCCCGAGTAGCTGGGACTACAGGTGTGCACCACCATACCTGGCTAATTTTAAAAATCTTTTTGTAGAGACAAGGTCTCCCTAGGTTGCCCAGGCTGGTCTCAAACTCCTGGGCTCAAGCGATCCTCCTGCCTGAGCCTCCCAAAGTGCTGAAATGACAGGTGTGAGCTACCATGCCCAGCTGATGTTGTGTTTTGATTAAAAGATTATCATACAGTAACCCCCTGTGTGTGGTGCACCTTTCAGATTTTGGAACATTTTGGATTTTGAATTTTTGGATTAGGGATACTCAACCTGTATACCCCAAATGGGCAGGAGCCTCTGAATGCAGTAACTGTTCATCAGCTGTCCTGCATGAACTTACAAATACTGATTCTAAGTTTCAAATACATCTTTGTTGGCTTCTAAATTATTATTACTTCTGGTTCTTCTTGCACTTACAGCATCAAAACATAATGCTTTAAGAATTTTTTTGAGATCTTTGGCTCCTAATTTTGTTGAAGAGAGGATGACCATTATATGTTCCACAGTTGCAAAACATTTTTATTTTTAGATTTGTAGATACCTTTCAGAATGATCAATTCTGTTTTTTATGGTCAATCCAATTTTTTAATGTCTACTTCATCTATTTCTTCTGGCTATCTCTCTGTAATACCTGCCTTCAGCATCTGTCTACTTTTAAACTATATCAAGAAAATTTGGTGCACAAATGAAATAAAAGATGAAAGAATACTGTCATGTGTCCTTTTAGCAAAATGGGATGGCCTCATTTCTTGTCACAAGATATTCCACAAAGAAGACTTTCTATTGAATAAGTAACTGAATGAAAATGCTTTGTCCTTAGATTAAAAGTATATTATTCACTCATTGATTCTTGAGTTTGAGAAAATGTATGTAGGGCATCATCATCTGAAGACACATAGACTGAGATTTTACTTATAATCATCAATTTCAGCATCTTTATTAGAGTCCTAAGTGCTCCTATCTTATTCTTTGTGTTCAACTTCTGACTCATCTAATAATTCTAAAACAGTTTCCTCAGATTTTCTTCGTCATTCTGGCTAGAGAACTTACAAATGTTAATGCTTAATCGTATTCAATAAAATGTAGAATGAGGTCACAAAAGATGTTAGCTCCAGACTTCTTTTATGCCTTCTTGAAAGATAACACATATCTTGCACAACACAGTAAGAAAACTGAAGAGTGATGTCATAGTGATACTTGTTTCACTGTTTCTAAGTAATTTAGTCATTTTTTATTATACTTTAAGTTCTGGGATACATGTGCAGAACTTGCAGGTTTGTTACATAGGTATACACATGCCATGGTGACTGGCTGCACCCATCAACCCGTCATCTACATTAGGTATTTCTCCTAATGCTATCCCTCCCCTAGCCCCCCCACCCACTGACAGGCCCCAGTGTATGATGTTCCCCTCCCTGTGACCATGTGTTCTCATTGTTCATTTCCCACTTATGAGTGAGAACATGTGGTGTTTGGTTTTCTGGTCCTGTGTTGGTTTGCTGAGAATGATGGTTTCCAGCTTCATCCATGTCCCTGCCAAGGACATGAACTCATCTGTTTTTATGGCTGCATGGTATTCCATGTGCCACGTTTTCTTTATCTAGTCTATCGTTGATGGGCATTTGGGTTGGTTCCAAGTCTTTGCTATTGTGAACAGTGCCTCAATAAACATGTGTGCATGTGTCTTTATAGTCGAATGATTGTAATGGGATTGCTGGGTCAAATGGTATTTCTGGTTCTGGATCCTTCAGGAATCACCACACTGTTGAAACAGCATGGTACTGTTACCAAAACAGATACATAGACCAAAGGAACAGAACAGAGGCCTCAGAAATAATGCCACACATCTACAACCATCTGATCTTTGACAAACCTGACAAAAACAAGCAATGGGGAAAGGATTCCCTATTTAATAAATGGTGTTGGGAAAACTGGCTAGCCATATGCAGAAAATTATACAAAAATTAACTCAAGATGGTTTAAAGATTTAAATGTAAGACCTAAAACCGTAAAAATCCTAAAAAAAACCGTAGGCAATACCTTTCAGGACATAGGCATGGGCAAAGACTTCATTCTTCTATTTTCTTATTTTAATCCTTTTTAAGCATAGTTGAGAATAATTGATGAGTAATGATGTAATTTCTAGTGTGATGAAATAGCATAATGTGTCTTAGATTCATAAAAAGATCTAGTAGATCCAAATGGCAATTGTAAGATAGAATTTTATTCTATTTTTTTAAATATTGGGTTTTTTGTTTTGTTTGTTTGCTCTTTGGAAAAAGGAAAAAAGTCATGAGATATCAATTTTTATAAATAGTACTACTTAAAACAGAAACTCAGAAACTGAGATTGGGTCTAACGGACCCTAATGAGATACTGAGGATTAAACACTAGGCAGAAGTGAGTTAAAATGCCATATGGAGAAGCATTTTATAACATCTCAGTTGTGATAGTTAACCACATGGCTGCATAGGTAACTTTGGTGCTGTTTTTAAAGTTGCAAGCAATTTAAATATTAAACTACTGATGATAAAATTGAGTTAGCAAAGAATTTCCAGTTCGATATTAATTATAGCCAGCCTTTTCAGTTATACCTTTCTCACATCCAGAAATGGCTTGATGTACTCAGCTAATGACCTCATGCAGGATATATATGTGTGTTACATAATAAAGAAAAACATCACTTCTGTAATTTTGGACAGTCCACACTGACGGAGATGAACACTTGCATATAGGTCAAACTAGTTAAATATAGAACAGCCGCTTTTGAAAGCTGTTGCCAGGGCTCAACAGCGTCAGCTCTGTTTCTATGGAGAAAGACTTTGCAGATGTTAAAAACAGAGCTAGAAGCCAATGAATGGAAGAGGATTGTGCTGTGGAAATTTAATTTTTTTGATAAAGGGTTTATTGATGAATCAGCTATATTAGTCTGTGAACGTTAATCTTGACATCTTCTTTACCCAATTCCCAATTTCTTGGAATAAGATCTTGCTTTTATTTAAGTAACACACAATGTAAAATTTGATGTTATTGTACTGACTAGGTGGGGTAAGGGACCTGATGACAGGTAACAAGATTAGTAAGGTTCTGAAAAGGTCAGAATTGTACTGAATTATGTTTAGAACAGATTGCCTCCGTGATCATTTAATCAAACAGTGTTCGTATTGTCTTTGTCCTTGTCCACATACGTGATTTTTGAGGTTGGGCTGAGAAGGAAATCATGATTCCATCAACAACATAAGGCACATTGACAGTAAAACTCATATATTATAGCAGCTTTTTGTTTCATGCTGTATAGGGCAGACAACCTTGAAGAAAAAAAAAACTTTAAAAAATAATGTAAAATTTCACAGTTTTTCAGTCACAAACAGAAGTATCCTTGTTGTCACTGAAGATGACAAGAATTAATATCCTGCTGTATAGAAGTACTTTGGCAAAGTTAAGGTTGTAGTTCCAATTCCTCATTTCCAATTTTTTCTCCAGATGGAAAGATGAACAGTTTTTGGTATTGAATTTTTTTTTAGGAAGCAAGTTATTTATCATTAGATATCTATTCAGTAAATGCAATGATACAGAAAAATGAAGTTTTTTTCCCTCAGATTTGAAATTAGGTTTTAAAATATGGAGGGAGAACAATTTGTAAGTAATGTTCAGGAACAAAAATAAAACCTAATGAAACTTTAGAAACTTTGATGGACATCTGTCATCCTACATACAATTGCATTAAAGAATAGAATTTATTATTATTTTATCTGGTTTATTATGCTGTAAAATGAATTTTTCTCTTTTTGTATGTAGTTTTATGAAATTTCATACATGTATAGATTCATGGAACCACTGTAAAAATCAGGATGTAGAACATTTGCATCACCCCCAAAAACTCCTTCATGCAGTCCCTTACTGGTCACCCTTTCTTTTTAGTAACCCTGGTAACTACCAATGTGTTCTCCATCCCTGTAGTTTTATCTTTTCAAGAATGTCATATAAATGGCGTCATACACTATGTAACCTTTGGGGACTGGCTGTCTTCAGCATAATGCCTTTGAGATTCATCCAAGTTGTTGCATGTGTCAAACATCCCTTTTTATTGTTGAATAGTATTTAATTGTGTGGGTGTACTATCATTTGTTTATCTCTTGACCCACTGAAGGCCAATTGGGTTGTTTTCTAGTTTGGGGCAATTATGAGCAGAGCTGCTATAAACCAAGTAGTGGAATTTTTAGGTCATATAGCATTTTATCTATTTTTTATTTAAAAATATATATTCAGGGTTTGTTTTTGACCCAGTTGAATTTCCTTCAGGTCATTTTTGGAACTCTTTCTTCCTATGTCTGATGTAACATTTCATCTTTCATCTTTGTCATTTTTTTATTCCCCCTTTTCTTCAGATTACTATAGGTATATTCTGGTATTGTAGCCCAGAATCTGTCCTGCTTTTATATTCCTCCAGCTTAATTATATGATCCATCTTCTTACGGTATCTACGGCTTGCTACAAGACTATTCTTTACTATTTGCAGAAGACGTTCAGATGTATCTTGCTATCCTTTTTTATTCAGTTGTGTATATCTTGTTCTCTATTTGGAGGCCTTTCCAAATAGATGTCTTGTTAACTCTTTAATCTTATCATGCTAGAAACAAACAAACAAACAAAAAAAATTCCCTTGTATCTTTTCCCTTCTGCAGCTTCCTTATCATACTACAGGGTAATTTCTTTTCTTCACTGTCAGTCTTCCACCCTACATGCAAGCAATAATCAAATCTAGCATTTGCTGTTTGGTCATCACCACTCCTGTCACCAAAATTCTCATTCTGTTTAGATTCTGCTTGCCTCATTTATGTACCATTATTTGTTTCTCACTGACCTTCCAAGTGCATACTCCTTTTCATCCTAAAGCCAAGAATAAAATCATTTTATATAAAGAGCATTCTACTTTGCAGTTCATTTACTGATGTCCTCTGTTTCAGTAGGAAGGCCTAATTCTAGATTTCAGTCTGTCATGATAGTACTATAACTTCTGCTTCTCACATTAGGTAAATTTTATTATCCCTTTTATAGGACCTTGACTGCCTCTGGGCCTTCTGTTCAGTTGAACCCACATGCTTCTAACTTCTTAGCTATTAGACCCTCTCTTTCCCCTTTTATATGTCTTTGTTTTGGTACAGCTTCTCATACCCAAAAGCAGGTATACCTGTTAGTAAGGAGGATACAAGTTGTATTTGTAGGTGGTATGATTGTCTACCTAGGAAATTCAAAAGAGTCAGATTTTTTTAAAAACTTAGATATTATAAATAAGAGTAAAGTAGCCATATATAAAATAAATACATAAAAATATATTTCCTTCATACTTCTATACTGTTTCTGAAATATAATAGAAAAATCCCATCACAATTGCCACCAAAAAACATAGCTAGGAATCTTTATGAAGGAATGAAGGAATTTAAACAACAAAAACTATAAAACTTTATTGGGAAGCTGGGCCCAATGGCTCACGCCTGTAATCCTAGCACTTTGGGAAGCCAAGGTGGGAGGATCACTTAAGTCTAGGAGTTCAAGACCAGCCTGGGCAACATAGTGAGACCTTATCTCTAAAAATAAAAATAAAAATAAATTTTAAAACTTTACTGAGAGACGTAAAAGTGTTGAATAATTGGAGAGGCATTATTCTTCTAAAAAACCAAATATGCTATACAGATTTTAGTATTTCCTAAACTTAGATATTTAACCTAATTTCAGTCAGAGCTTGGGTTTTTGTCTGTTCTTTATTTTTTTATTTTTAATTGGTGGAGGTTATTCCCCCTCATAAGAATGATTCTGATGTTCATTTGGAAATACACATGGTTGGAAATAGCCAAGATAGTTATGAAAAAGAAGAATGTATAGAGGAGAAGAGCTTCTTCAATGTACTACTGTAAAGTTATGGAGATAAAAACATGAATGAATCCATTGAGCAGAGTAGACAGGCTGGTAATAACCTAGCATACATCAAAGTCCAAACCTTGGTATGATGGCAGCTCAGTCAACGAAGAAAGGAGGGATAATTTAGGGAACAATGCTGGGTCGGTTATTTGAAGAAGAATTAGTTGGCTTCTCACTTTACTTGTACCATACACAAAAATAAAACACCAGATAAAGAATTATATGTAAAGCAAAAATTTAAGAAAAGAAAATATGTGACCATCAGTGTCTGTAATGGGGAACAATTTTAAGGATAAAACTAATGAAAATATCATAAAAATAAAAATTGTGCTGGCTGTTTAGTAGAAACAGAAAACGCCTTCCACTTACCGAAAATATACCATAAATAGGCTGGGCACAGTGGCTCTCGCCTGTAATCTCAGCACTTTGGGAGGCCGAGGTGGGCAAATACCTGAGGTCTGGAGTTTGAGACCAGCCTGGCCAACGTGGTGAAACCCTGTCTCTACTAAAAATACAAAATTAGCCAGACTTGATGGTGCACGTCTGTAATCCCAGATGTGAGAGGCTGAGGCACGAGAATCGCTTGAACCTGGGAGGCGGAGGTTGCATGAGCAGAGATCATACCACTGCACTCCAGCCTGAACGACAGAGCGAAAGTCCATCTCAAAAAAATATATATACTTATATATATGCACACATGCCATAAAGAAAAGACAACTGGCAAACTAGAATAAAGTAGTTACAAGTATAATAATGGCCCTAATGTATAAATCATTTTTTAATCAATAGGAAAAGCTCTTGAATTTCAACAGAAAAGGGTATAGAAGACATATCAAATACTAATAAAATTACCAATGGTAAAAACATGATTTTTTAACAGCACCAGCCCCTTCAGTAATTAGATAAATGTGATTTAAAAACAACAGAAAGATACTATTGTCCATCTATCAAATTGAGAATTACTTTTAAAGTGTTTCTAATATTCATTACTTGTGGGAATATACCAAGATAGGCACTATCAGGTACTGTGCTGGGATTATAGATTGATAAAACCTTTCTGGAAAAGTGTTTCTACTTTTTCAAGTGTTCCTATTTCAAGGGCCTTAAAATACTTAACACACCTTTTAACCTAACAATTTGCCTTTAGCAAGTATTCATCTATATTGTCAAGCGTTTAAGTATAAAAGTGTTCATTGTAGGCTGGGTACAGTGGCTCACATTTGTAATCGCAGCACTTTGGGAGGTTGAGGCAGGAGGATCACTTGAGTCCTGGAGTTCAAGACCAGCCTGAGCAACATGGCAAAACCCCATCTCTACAAAAAAAAATAAAATATTTTCCAGGCGTGGTAGCACGCATCTGTAGTCCCAGCCACTCGGGAGGCTGAGGTGGGGGATTGCTTGAGCCCAGGAGTTTGAGGCTGCAGTGAGCTTTGATCGCACCACTGCACTCCAGCCTGGGCAACAGAGTGAGATCCTGTCTCTACAAAGAATGAAAAAAGAAAATGTTTATTGCAGCAACATATATAATACTAAAAACTTAGAAATAATTAAATATCTAACAGTAAGGAATGAATATGGAGTAGGAGAGTTAAACTGTGAAACCATTCATATGATTAAATATTATAGAGCTATTAAAAATCATATCATCGGCCAGGCGCGGTGGCTCACTCCTGTAATCCCAGCACTTTGGGAGGGCAAGGCAGGCGGATCACAAGGTCAGGAGATCGAGACCATCCTGGCTAACACGGTGAAACCCATCTCTACTAAAAAAAAAATACAAAAAAAAAATTAGCCGGGCATGGTGGTGGGCGCCTGTAGTCCCAGCTACTCGGGAGTCTGAGGCAGGAGAATGGCGTGAACCCGGGAGGCGGAGCTTGCAGTGAGCCAAGATCACGCCACTGCACTCCAGCCTGGGCAACAGAGTGAGACTCCGTCTCAAAAAAAAAAAAAATATATATATATATATATTGTATAGGGATGGGAAAGGGTTTAAAATAATACCTGTACTGAAAAACAGGATGCAAGGTATTACATAGCTCCATTTTGGCTGAGTTTGAGATGATTGTGATTTCTTTATTTTTTGCTATTTTCCCACATTTTTTATAATTATATATTTTGCAATTGGAAGCAAAAATAACCATTGAAAATCGTTTTCAAAGAATAATATTCAAGAGAATACAAGGTGCAGTAAGTTCTTAATATTTAGTTAAAATATAGAAATCTGTGGACCATTAACAGCACTTATCTTTAGGTAATGTAATGATGTTTTATAGATGGGTCTTTATTGATGGGATGTCACTATGTTGCCCAGGCTGGTCTTGAACTCCTGGCCTGAAGCAGTCTTCCCACCTCTGCTTTCCAAGTAGCTGGGATTACAGGCACAAGCCATGGCAAATGTAGTATATTTTAATTTATGTTTTTAGTGATGGAATCTCACTGTGTTGCCCAGGCTGGACTCCAGCTCCTGGGCTCAAGGATTCCTCCAGCCTCAGCCTCCAGAGTAGCTGGGACTATAGGCACGTACCACTCTGCCCAGCTTTATTTTTACACTTTATTTGTTTTACAACTTTTGCTCTGTTAACAAATCTACTACTCCTTTAAAAAGTTAAAAAACATTCTCTTATTAAAACAAAGATTAGGCTGGGCATGGTGGCTCACGCCTGTAATCCCAGCACTTTGGGAGGCTGCGCTGAGTGAATCACCTGAGGTCAGGAGTTCGAGACCAGCCTGGCAAACATGGTGAAACCCCGTCTCTACTAAAAATACAAAAATTAGCCAGGAGTGGTAGCACATGCCTACAATCCCAGCTACTCAGGAAGCTGAGACAGGAGAATCACTTGAACCCGGGAGGCAGAGGTTGCAGTGAGCTAAGATTGCGTCATTGCACTCCAGCCTGGGCAGCAGAGCAAGACTTCATCTCAAACAAACAAACAAACAAAACAACGATTATATCCTTATCGGAGATTTAATGGATACTAACCATATTTAATCCTCAGTCTCATTATGCTCATTTAATTTTTATTATCCGTATGTTGTCATATTTAGGTTATGTTCATTTTTTACCAGTTTTGTTAATCCCTAGTATTTTTTGTTTTTGAGACGGAGTCTCACTCTGTCGCCCAGGCTGGAGTGCAGTGGTGCAGTCTCGGCTCACTGCAACCTCTGCCTCCTGGGTTCAGGTGATTTTCCTGCCTCAGCCTCCAGAGTAGCTGGGATTACAGGCACCTGCCACCACACCCAGCTAATTTTTGTATTTTTAGTAGAGATAGGGTTTCACCATGTTGGCCAGGCTGGTCTCGAACTCCTGACCTAAGTTGATCCATCCTCCTCTGCCTCCCAAAGTGCTGGGATTACAGGCAGGAGCCACCGCACCCGGCCGTGTTTTTTGTTTATAAAAGAAAAAATTTCCAGAGTGCACTTTACTCCCTGATAGGAGACTAAATTACTTAAATATAAATTTTAGAAGGTACGTGTTAAATTAACCTAATGAATTAGTAGCATTCAGAAGTGTTTGTATCTGTTAAAGATTCAAAATATACAAACTAATTTCTTTTAATGGTGATTCTATTTCTAGTAAACTAAGGCAGAAATCATTATGCAGAAGAAACAGCACCCTGTTAACCATGTTCTTTTTATAAACCGTCTCTGTTCTCACTTTATTGTTAGGAAGGCGTAATCTGTTTTCATGTAATATAAGTACATGTGAGTCATGTTGAGTTTCTTCACTCATTTGTCCAATTCCCAGTCAACCTGTAGGTGGAGTTAACCTTTAGTTACATAATATAACGAAACAAACATTAAACCTACTGCTTCTGGGACAGTCTTCTCACCAAAACTCAGGGAAAATGGGAGGGTGTTGCCACTGACTGACTTAATGAAAGTATCTGACAAATGTAAGGTCTTTCAAATAGTGAGATAAGAAATGTATATAAATTATTTGATCGACTACTTACTTTCTATCTATACACACACACTATCAGTATATAATGTGTATTTTCATTTTATAGCTATTAAATATGAGGTTCTAGAATGAGTTTTCAGTTTGCAGAATTCTGAGAATCTAGTTCCAACACCTTTGAGAGGACAACAACCACAATTGCACTTGCCATATTTATTAGTCAAAATGAAGTGAAGTCAATCTGTTGAAAGCTTTGTTTTGTTTTTCTGATTAGTTTGTTTAATAAGACATTCAAATTATGATCTTTAATATAATTTCTTCCCCTAATAGCTTGGTGCTAACAGTGGTTTGCACATCATCATCTTTGATGAAATTGATGCCATCTGCAAGCAGAGAGGGAGCATGGCTGGTAGCACGGGAGTTCATGACACTGTTGTCAACCAGTTGCTGTCCAAAATTGATGGCGTGGAGCAGCTAAACAACATCCTAGTCATTGGTATGTTTACTTTTTAAAAAAGTACTATTCATTCAAAAACGTTAGCCATAAGTTCTGAATTAAGATGTGTGTAGGTTGTGATTAAACTGTTTTGCCAGTGTTTCCAAATTAGAATCCAGTGATATTGAAGAATCTATTGTAATGCCTAGGCTTAATAGGAAAAATAAAAGATGGATTTCAGTCACTTGTAGGTTTAAGCTTATAGCTCACCCACAGGTGAAAAAGATGTAGGTTGAAGCTTATAGCTCACCCAAAAATGAAAAATACACATGAAACAATGGAATGCAGTGGTTTTCAAACTGGGTCTTGCAGGCCTTCGGGGGTCCTCAGAGGTGCTTTCAGGGTCAGTGAGGGCCAGGGAGTGCGTTTCAGATCCTACATCACTATTATAACTTCCTCTTTTAGCTGTTTTATGTACTGAGGTGCTTCTGAAGATGACTTCTGGGGGAAAAAAAAAAAAAACACCCTGCTGTTTTATGAAGTCTGAAAACCACTGGCCTGTAAAAAAGAGAAGGAACTTTGGAGTCAGAGAGATCGTGTCACATTGCCCCTCTGTCACTTTGACAGATTATTTACCCTTTGAATCTTAAATTTTCTTTTTAAATACTGGAAGTTTTCATAACATTTATATTCCATTGGCTTATACAGTAGTGAAATAGTAAAGCAAAGTCTCCTTAGCTTGTTAGGGAAATTACTATTCTTACATATACTAAAAGGACATTTGATTTTATTTTTGAACTCTGATCATTTGTTGTTTTGTTTTAACATCTGTGTTCAGGAATGACCAATAGACCAGATCTGATAGATGAGGCTCTTCTTAGACCTGGAAGACTGGAAGTTAAAATGGAGATAGGTAAGGAGATCTGTCACTGATTGGGTGTGTGGTGGGGGGAGTGGAGGCATTTAGAGTTCATTAACAGGAACAATGTCATATGGTGTAGTATTTTTTAGAAAAGGTTTATATCATGAGAAGTAGATGTTTACATGCTTGAGTACCTATAAGGAAAACATTAGGATCATAATAATCTCCTCTAGGCTGGGCGCAGTGGCTCACACCTGTAATCCCAGCACTTTGGGAGGCTGAGGCAGGTGGATCACTTGAGGCCAGTTGTTCGAGACCAGCCTGGCCAAGATGGTGAAACCCCTTCTCTACTAAAAATACAAAAAACTTAGCCGAGTGTGGTGGTGTGCACCTGTAATTCCAGCTACTCGGAAGGCTGAGATAGGAGAATCGCCTGAATCCAGGAGGCAGAGGTTGCAGTGAGCTGAGATCGTACCACTGCACTCCAGCCTGGGAAACAGAGCGAGACTCTGTCTCAAAATAATAGTAATAATAATAATGATAATCTCCTCTGATGGTGCTTTCGAGACTAGGAAAATGCCTATTTTATTTTTAATTTCATCAGGCTTGCCAGATGAGAAAGGCCGACTACAGATTCTTCACATCCACACAGCAAGAATGAGAGGGCATCAGTTACTCTCTGCTGATGTAGACATTAAAGAACTGGCCGTGGAGACCAAGAATTTCAGTGGTGCTGAATTGGAGGGTCTGGTGCGAGCAGCCCAGTCCACTGCTATGAATAGACACATAAAGGTCAGGAAAATCAGCTAAACAGATTATAAACATTATGCCAGTATTCTTTCTCTTTCCTTTCAAGCATATCAAGGGGTAGGGAAATGCTGACTTTTGGTGGAGAAGAGATGGTAAAAGGAATAAGAATTAATTGTCAACTGCTAAATCTTCAGAGTAGCAGGAAGGAAGATAATGTTTGCATCTGCCCTGTAGTAACCACTGACTCATCTACCTTAGGTCATCACCATCTGACACAGACACGTAAAGTGAAAATTTTGAAGAAGTGTTTTTAAATCTTTGTATTGTATTAAAAGTTGTAATATGGCCAGGCATGGTGGCTCATGCCTGTAATCCCAGCACTTTGGGAGGCTGAGGCGGGCGGATCACAAGGTCAGGAGATCGAGACCATCCTGGCTAACACGGTGAAACCCCGTCTCCACTAAAAATACAAAAAATTAGCCGGGCATGGTGGCGGGCACCTGTAGTCCCGGCTACTCGGGAGGCTGAGGCAAGAGAATGGTGTGAACCCAGGAGGCAGAGCTTGAAGTGAGCTGAGATTGCGCCACTGCACTCCAGCCTGGGTGACAGAGCGAGATTCCGTCTCCAAAAAAAAAAAAAAAGTTGTAATATGTCAGAGGAAGTGGGAGTTTCCACGTACTAGAATTTTGGGGGCTGCTTTATTCAGCAAATATATTGAATAGTTGATGTGTTCAAGCTATTGGGCTGGAGACATAAAGATAATTGTGAACTCTTCCCTCAAGGAGTTCAGAGTCAGGAAAATGGACATATTTTCAAATTAGTACAATAATATTGTAGTTACCATGGTAGAAATACGTACTAGGATACTTTTATTTTGATAAAGTGCTCTTGATCTTCCATCTCTTCTCTCCTTTAGGTTTTAGTTACCACCTGTAGACAGATTTACTGAACATATCTGTCTCCTACTTTCAGATTTGTACTAAATACCCTCACCTAGATGTTTTATCAGGTCTCAGATTTAATATTGCAAAACCAAATTTATTGTCTTTTTTACTACTTTCCTTTCTGCTCGCATTTCCCTGTTTATCCCAATTTCCCAGGCTTAAAACATCAGGATTATCTTTGATTCCTGGCACTCTACTGTGCCCTAGGTCAAGTCACTTGCCAAATTTTTTCAGTTCTGTCTTGGCAGTGCCTTTTAGTTCTCACTGCCACTACCCACCTTCTCTTTGATTAACCTTCCTGTATCATATCATTCAACCATTCAGACACTTTCAGTGATTCCCCATCATTTACAAAACAAAGTACAGGCTTCTTTTGGGTCTTTTGGGTCCTCTAGATCTGACCCTAACTGGCCTTTCCAAATGTGCTCCTGATTATTCTCCACATACTTCAGCCAAACTTAAATAATCACCGGTCATCAGACATTAATTTATTTTTCAACATCTCTGCTTTGGTTTTGTTTTTTTTGCATCACTGAGGATCTTCATCCTCTACGTTTACCTGTCTTTTCAAAACCTGGCTCATATGCTACCACTGTCCTCACACCTTTTCACATTTTCCCTTTCAAGAATGTTATACCCGTTTCCTTCTTGAAATAGTAATGTATCATTTATGGTACTGTCAGTTGACTTTGGTTCACAGTAGATTTATTCGGCATCTACTGCATGCTAGACCCTGTGCTAGGAGTTAATACCCCGACTGCAAAGAAGTAAAGTACCTACCATTAAGCTGCCCTCAGTCTAACCCTCCACGTGCAGTAACAGAAAGTACATGCAAGGCAAGAGAGTGAACTCATGTCAGATATGGTCAACTTGTGGGGTGAGAGAAACCTTCATATGCATGTCTGTTGGTAGAGCAGGGCCTTTTAGGTAGAGGGAACAACATATGCAAAGAAGCAGAGACACAGAATAGCATAGTGCGTTGGAGTAGTTTAGTATTGCTTCAGCATGGAAGTTAGGGGAGGGATGGTAGAGAGATTGTGGGGGATAAGTCAGGAGACTAAAGTAGGGATGGAGCACAAAGAGCCTTTTATACTCTGCTAAGAAGTATGGACTTTTTTTCTGTGAGTAGTGCTAAGCCATTGAGTTTTAAGAATAGCAGTGACATAGTGTTAAAACATAAGATCACTCTGGCAGCTCTGTCGAGTGGAGTAGTTAGAGGAGTGGAGTTGGCGACACAGGACAAGAGGGGGAGCTTTTATAACAGTTCAGGCAAGAAATAAAAGCCTGAACAGTTAGGTTGAGTATGTAGATATTTGGGTATATCCTATCACTGGTTCTAGACCAGGAATCCAGCCAACTACCAGTTTTTATAAATAAAGGGCTTTTTTGGAACAGTACACATTAATTTGTGTACTGTCTATGGCTGCCTGCATGCTACAGTGGCAGAGTTGAGTATTTGCAATAGGGGCTGCATGGCCCACAAAGCCTATTTTAGTGCTTTTATTTTAGGTACTATCTGCCACTTTACAGAAGTTTGCTGGCCCTTGTTCTAGACTTTAAATCCTTATCTTATTCACCTCAGAGTCTCCCATAGTACCCCAGATAGATCTAAATAATGAGCACATGGTAGGTGTCCAGTAAATTATTTTTCTTTTTTTTTTTTTGAAACAGAGTCTTACTCTGTCGCCCAGGCTGGAGTGCAGTGGCACAGTCTTCGCTCACTGCAACCTCTGCCTCCTGGGTTCAAGTGATTCTCCTGCCTCAGCCTCCCAAGTAGCTGGGACTACAGGCATGTGCCACCACGCCCAGCTAATTTTTTGTATCTTTAGTAGAGATGGGTTTTCACCATGTTGGCCAGGCTGGTCTCAAACCCCTGACCTCGTGATCCGCCCGCCTCAGCCTCCCAAAATGTTGGGATTACAGGTGTGAGCCACCATGCCCAGCCAATATTTTTTAAATGAGTAAACTTACGTAACTATTCTGAATCACGCTCTATCCATAAGTCATAATTTCCCTACATAATAGAGGTGGATTTGTTCTAGCTCAAGAATGCCAAAGGTTTGGATGGTGTGGGAATATTGTATTGGGTCTTTATATAATGGATCCATTCAGGGACTATGTTTTTATTCTTCCTTGTTTGTTTGTTTTGAGACGGAGTCTCACTCTGTCGCCCAGGCTGGAGTGCAGTGGTGCAATCTCGGCTCACTGCAAGCTCCACCTTCCAGGTTCAGCCATTCTCCTGCCTCAGCCTCCCAAGTAGCTGGGACTACAGGCACCCACCATCACGCCTGGCTAAGTTTTTGTATTTTTAGTTGAGATGGGATCACCGTGTTAGCCAGGATGGTCTCGATCTCCTGACCTCGTGATCCGCCTGCCTCGGCCTCCCAAAGTTTTGGGATTACAGGCGTGAGCCACCATGCCCGGCCATGCTATACTGTTTTAATAAGAAGAGATGGCAACTTCAAGAAAAATGATGTAAACAGTGTGAAAACTGGTCCCTACCATACTGATCTTTCATCTCAGACCACATGGGTGCATCTTGATGTAATCCACAGTAACTAGTTTACTAGTTGTCATATTTTTCATATGTGTTGGCCATGGAATTTTTCTCTTATTTAGTCATCTGTCATTTTAACTACAATAATCCTATCCCAAAATTTCACTTTAAGCCGTTGTCTCAGTAAGAAACATGCTTTCTTCAAGCATATATTGGGTTTATCTACATATGAGGCAATGAGGGATGGTGGGAAGATCGCAGATATCGTAGTCAGAAGGTGTGGTTATGCATTATATTTCTTCCACCTTTTTGTTTCTGACCTGTCAAGGGGAGACACTACCTATCTAATCAGATTTTTATGAGAATGAAAGCAAATACTTTATATAAAAGTGCCTTGTAAACTCTATAAATGCTAGTTATCTCCATTTTTTTAATTGGCTGATTTGAGAGGATATCAGTACTTTTCAATATATGAATTTCTGATT
Source organism: Homo sapiens (assembly GCF_000001405.40). Classification (NCBI taxonomy): domain Eukaryota; kingdom Metazoa; phylum Chordata; class Mammalia; order Primates; family Hominidae; genus Homo; species Homo sapiens. The sequence goes on from NC_000017.11 coordinate 46,698,547, forward strand.
TTTATTGACTCTTTGTAGTTACACATTTTCTAATTGTAAAGCTAAAATGTTTGTCACCCTTGTACATAATATATTATCCTTCTGATTTGCAAGTAAGCAGTAGTGCAAATAGTTCATGTTTCCATCACTTTTTTCCACATGATAGAATTATCTGTAAGCTTCAGGTGATATGTATTGACTTGCGATCATTGCTCCTTGTACCAAACAGCTCCTAACTTTTCACCATATCAATGGAATAACTATGTAGGCACTTTAGGGATGAGAAAGCTATGTAAGACACTAACCTTACCCCCAAAAAGAAATATTACTAACATTTCATCTTCTGCATTTTAAAAAATCTGCATTGTCAGAAGGTCTTTAAAGACTATTTTTCCAATGACTCGTCCTTGGCTAAACAAAAGAAGTACAGTTTTAGTCTTCCATTGCTATAGATGTTTGTAGCTTTAATAGTGATTGATGAATAAATATTTAAATTGAAACTTATAAAGTTGTTACTGAACTTTAAAACATTCAAAACGTACAAGTGTTATGATGTTCTTTCTTTGTATTTTAAAAATCCATTATTGGTGTTATTTTGCTTCCTTTTCAAAAGATTGAGGCCTAAAGAAAGATTTAGTCAGGTGGACTAAACAGGTCTTTCCTGTTAAACTGTTTTTTCAGGTTTTCTGAGACAAGTGGAAAATCTGGTCAGAAACACCTGTTGTTCATGTCATTTATACTTGAACCTATGATTGCGGTCAACTAAAATTCATGTGACATTTGGTTGTTTTTATCTTGAAAGGAATTTCTGCTTCAGGTTGAGAAGATTCATAACCCAAATTTTTTCTCTAATCTGTTGTGAGGAAATAAACTGAGGACACACACACACACACACACACACACTTTCTCTCACATACACTTTCCACCTGAGTCAAAGCTCTAAGTTATGTTTACAGAATTTCATAAAATTATTTCTTATTTTTTTGCAGAATTTTTGATTGATTAAGGTCATTCTACCCTTAATTTAAGAGGAATGATAAGAACTTTGAAAGGTCAGATTTAAAAGGTTATGAAATTTAAGGGTGACCACTTGATATTTGCTAGTGTTGAAATACAAGTTTATTAGTTTCTGCAGGTATAAGCTGAAAGATGCTGCCTCTTCTATATTGATTAGCTGTTATAAATAAAATGCAGGAAAAATGTTGCTAATTCAAACAAATGAGAAAAGGTTTTCTGAAAAAGTAAAAATTCAGAATTATAGACTTTTTAAAATTTTACAAATTTTGATAAAATGCTAAAAGTCAGCTAAGAGCAGTCCTTAGAAAATTTATTTTAATGAGCAGGTAGGAATAATTGACAATTGGAATATTGATGGCTTACAATTATGTAACTTACAGAATTCCTTATGTGCCTGAAAACAGTTTGTTTTGAAATACTTCTTCCCCACACCCATCTTAATTCACTTTTAAGAAAGGACTCAGCAATTAATTGGGTGAGTCTTTTCTTAATAATTAGCAAAATGACAAGTTTTATACCAGCTTCAGTCCTAAAATCTATCGTATTTTTTGGCAAATTTTGAAAGATGGGCAAGATTTTTCTTTCATACTGCTGTATGTATCTATCATTTGAATTCGGTTTTACTGTAAGAGAATCAGAATGCAAAATATTATGGTAAAAACCTAGGCCTGTGTAGGAAAGAGGTGTTTAAAGTGAGGCTGGTAGCTTTGTTGAGATTTTAATGTTTCGGTCAGAGCTCTTGTCTTCCCTTTGGCCTGAGAGTTTGTATCTTGTAGAATCCTTTCAGATGTATCAAAAAGTTTGAATCAGAGTTAAAACTTTTATATAAGGGTATCTAGGAAGGAAGTCCTGTATCTGCCTTTTATAACTTATGGAAACCCCCAGGTTTGTATAAGTATAAAATGAGATAATGTGATATGGTGAAATGAGATAGTGTGTATGAACATACTTTATAAACTATAAAGAACTGTAGACATTTGTATATTATTAATTATCATAATTCTTTCACGGATATGCTTGTTTCCTGTGACACCATTTTTCTTTTTTTCTTTTTTTTTTTTTTGGAGATGGAGTTTTCTTCTTGTTGCCTAGGCTAGAGTGCAATGGCGTGATCTCGGCTCACCACAACCTCCGCCTCTCGAGTTCAAGCGATTCCCCTGCCTCAGCCTCCAGAGTAGCTGGGATTACAGGTGTCCACCACCATGCCTGGCTAATTTTGTATTTTTAGTAGAGACAGGGTTTCGCCATGTAGGTCAGGCTGGTCTCGAACTCCCGACCTCAGGTGATCCGCCTGCCTCGGCCTCCCAAAGTGCTGGGATTATAGGTGTGAGCCACCGTGCCAGGCCCATTTTTCTTTTTTTAAACTTAGAAATGCCAAATAAATGCGATTAATATTTATCAAACCTCATATGTGCCAATATAAGCCCTATTAATAATTTAAATGTTTATGTTTTTTTGTTTGTTTGTTTTTGTTTTTGAGACGGAGTCTCACTCTGTCGCCCAGGCTGGAGTGCAGTGGCGCCATCACAACTCACTGCAAGCTCTGCCTCCCGGGTTCACGCCATTCTCCTGCCTCAGCCTCCTGAGTACCTGGGGCTACAGGTGTCTGCCACCACGCCTGGCTACTTTTTTGTATTTTTAGTAAAGACAGGGTTTCACTGTGTTAGCCAGTATGGTCTCGATCTCCTGACCTGGTGATCCTATTGCCTCAGCCTCCCAAAGTGCTGGGATTACAGGCGTGAGCCACCATGCCCAGCCCAATAATTTAAATGTTAATTGTTCTATTGAAGTAAAATATTTGTCTCTTTGTTACTTTTTACTTTATTTTTAAAAGTATAGAAGTTATAGATGATGGCTTTCTTTTTGTAAAAGATTCAAGAATGTCAAAGCATATAGGGAAAAATGAGAAAGGCCATCTCTAACACCACTTTCCTTTCCCTCTCCAGAGTTAGCCAAAATTTGGGATATATCTTTGAAGTTTGTTTTCTTTATATAATATTTACATTCATATACGTATGTGCTTTTTTAAAAAAATGAACATTAATGGAATTATACTGCAGTTTACATTTTTCACTTGCAAATATTCCTTGGATAGCTTTCTGTGTCAGTGTATGTAAGTCCCCTTCATTATTTTGGACAAATGCAGAGTATTCTAGAATATTGCCACATAATGGAAAATATAAGATCCATGAACACAGGGACCTTTTCTGTTTTATTTACTGCTATGACTCCAGTTCCTCAGATAGTGCTTGGTGTCTGGTAGGTATTCAGTAAATAGAATTAATGAATAATTTATTTAACATATGGATTATTTCTGGTTGTGGCTGTTGAAAAAATACTGTTGTGAAAATGCTTACTTGCCTCCCTGTGCACACAAGGAATCATTTTCTAGGGTAGCCATCCAAATGTCTTTTCAAAGACATGGTTTCATTGTCTTCTAGTTTCTAGTGTTGCCAGTGAGAGTTATCATACCAATCTCGTTCTGGTTTCTTTGCAGGAAACCTGTTTTGTCCCTCAGAAAGGTTCTAGGACTTTCTCTTCACCTTTGGTGCTCTGAAAGTTTACAGCAGTGGGTCTGGACAGATGTGTGCTTCTTTTCATTTATCCCGATCATCACTCACTGAACCCTTTAAACTGCAGAGGCACACCTTTCTTCAGCTATAGGAAATTTTTTTCTCTTCTGTCTTTTATTGTTTCTTCTCTATGACTCTTTCTGTTCTCTCCTTCTGAGACTCCTGTTAGATCACAGTTAAAACTTATGGATATTTCTTTCATGCTTTGTAGCCTTTCTGTCTCACTTTCTGTCATTTTGTGGGATTTGGGGCGGAAGGGAAGATAAATAACTGTGTTCTGTTTGCCATCTTCACCCAGCTTCCTGCCATAGTTCTTTTTATCCCACAAGGATGACTTTTTTTTATATCTGTCACTTCATTTGTCTCACAGTCTCTTCCTAAAAAAAATATGACTCATATTTCATAATAATTGATGGAAGGTTGATATTTATTTAACATGCGTTTGTTTTATAGTCAGCTTTTTTTGAAAATGCTTTTTTTTTCAAAGCCATGATACCAATTTAAAAATTAGGCTGTGTTGTTTTGTGCTATTGGTAGTGAGCCCAGTCGCTTTAAAACACGTGTTGGTATCTTAATCACTCATCTGGTCCAGGCAGCTCCAAGTGCTGATAAAGGCCTTGATGCTTCTCCAGATGTCTAAATGCTAGCTCCAGGTGCAGTAAGCAGACTATTTGGAGCTGGCACATAGATTCTGAAGCACAATGTATTAATACAAATGAAAGTTTTAGGTTCTTGGTCTCCTAGAGTAATGGTTCTTAAGCCTGGTTCAGTACCAGAATCACCTGTGGTACTTGGTAAAACTATAAAGACCCTCTAATAGGCCTGTTAAATCAAAATCCCGTGGGGAATGGGACTGAGCGCCTGTATATCTCTGAAGGCTCTGGAGGTTATTCTGATATGCAGCCAAGTATGGCTGTGTTTTCATTTCTGTATATATTTTCTTTTTGTATGGATTTTTCACTGTTCTTACTCTCTGTATGTATTTTTTCTTACTCATGCCTCATGAGTTAAAATGGCTATACAGTGTCCCTTGGTACAGATGTGTTCTAATTTACATAACTGATCCCCTCTTGGTAGACATTATTAATATGCTTCCCATCTTTTTTCATAACAAGTTACTTTAGTAGATATACTTGTACATATAACTTTGTACACATTTGTGAATATATTTAGGGGATAAATTACTAGAAGTGGACTTGTTCAGAGGATATATATATTTGTGAATTTGAGAGATGTGTTTTCTTTGATTCCAATTTTTAAAATTGTTTTAAAATGCCCATAAAATTGTCCGGGCGTGGTGGCTCACGCCTGTAATCCCAGCACTTTGAGAGGCCGAGGCGGGTGGTCACAAGGTCAGGAGATCAAGACCATCCTAGCTAATATGGTGAAACCCTGTCTCTAGTAAAAATACAAAAAATTAGCCGGGCGTGGTGGTGGGCACCTGTAGTCCCAGCTACTCGGGAGGCTGAGGCAGGAGAATGGCATGAACCTGGGAGGTGGAGCTTGCAGCGTCCGAGATCGCGCCACTGCACTCCAGCCTGGGGGACAGAGTGAGACTCCGTCTCAAAAAAAAAAAAAAAAAAAAAAAACAAAAAACAGAAAACCATAAAATTTACCGTGTAACCATTTTAAATGTACAATTCAGTGGCATTAAATACATTCTTAATGTTGTGCAACCATCACTACCATTCATCTCCAGACCTCTTTTCATCTTGTAAAACTAAAACTCCATACCCATAAACAGTAACTCCCCATTCCTTCCTCTCCCTATCCCCTGGCAGCCACCATTTTACTTTCTGTCTCTTGGATATCAGCTACTCCAGGAACCTCATATAAGTGGATTGTACAGTATTTGCTTATTTAACTTAGCATATGGTCCTCAAGGTTCGTCATGTTGCAGGATATCAGAATTTTCTTTCTTTTTAATGCTGAATAATATTCCATTGTATGTACGTAACACATTTTGTTTATCCATTCCTCTGTCAATGGTCATATGGATTTCTTCCACATTTTAGCTATTGTGGGTAATGCTGTCATGAACAAGGCTGTACAGATATCTCTTCAAGACCCTGTTTTCAGTTCTTTGGGGGTATATACCCAGAAGTGGAATTGCTGGATCATATGATAATTCTATTTTTAATTTTATGAGGAACCACCATATTTTTGTTTTCCACAGTGACTCAACCATTTTACTTATGTTCCCACCAACAGTGCATAAGGGTTCTGATTTCTCCGCATCCTCACCAACACTTCTTATTTTCTGCATTTTTGTGGTAGTAGCCATCCTAATGAGTATGAAGTGAAATCTCTTTGTAGTTTGGATTTGCATTTCCCTAATGATTAGTGAGGTTGAACATCTTTTCATGTGCTTATTTAAGGCCATTTGTATATCTTCTTTGGAGAAATGTTTGTTTAAGTTCTTTGCCCATTTTTTATTTAGTTTTTTGTTGTTCAATTTTGGCAGTTCTCTATGTATTCTGGATATTAATCCCTTATCACATATATGGTTTGCAAATATTTCAGATTTTTTTATGTGTGAAAATATGCTTTTAAATCCTCAAGAGTTACGTTCTTAAACTGAATATATTCTTAACTATTCTTAAATCTTGGAAGTCCTTACATTTTGTTTTTATCTCTTCTTAGGCCAGTACTAAAGTGGAAGTGGACATGGAGAAAGCAGAAAGCCTGCAAGTGACGAGAGGAGACTTCCTTGCTTCTTTGGAGAATGATATCAAACCAGTGAGTATGCCCATTGAGTGATATATAGGCCAAAAAGTAATGATAATAATAACTCAGGCGAAAAGTAAGTGCCATTTACTCAGTATTATGGAAGGTTATAGCATATGCAGTTTCATAAAATGAGAAAATTTTAGTATTGGAAATGTTCAGTATGAGAAACATCTGTACAATAATCCTAGTGGCTGGTGATATTATTTACTGAAATATTTTCATGATAGGAAGCTTACCATCTTGTAAGGCAGGCCATTCAATTTTGAGACTTTCCAGTTATTGTTTTACTTTATATTGAACTAGAACTAATTTTCTTATTGGTTCTTATACAATCCCAAGCTACAGAAACCTAACTTCAGTCCATCTTCCATATGTCAGTTATTAGGATATTTAAAATTAACTCTCATATCCTCCTCTGTCTCTCTCTCTCTCTCTCTTTCTCTTCCTTTCCTCAGCCTCTTCCAAGGCATCCCTTTTTCTTGCTCAGTACATTTAGTTTCTCTGACTACTATAGTTTCTAAGACTTAAAAAGTGTCAGTTTTCTTAAAACGCACTCAAAATGGTCATAGTTGGAGCTTTAGAATACAGTTTAAGGTTATTAACCCATTTTCCTATAAAACAACTACTAACATTTGAGTAACTTTTGTTTAGAGTCCTGTGTTAATACAAAAACAAATTGTAGAAAGTCCCAGTTCTTAAAGAAGTGTGTGCTTTTCTTTCTTAAATGGACCTCAGGTCCATTAAGATTAATCTTAATCTTTATGACACACTGTTATTAGTCTGTATTTTCATGGCATGTAAAATAACATATGGTATATGTAGTTTTCTGGGACTTGCTATTTATTAAATATTTTATTACCAAGAGTCATCTATATCAGGGATCCCCAACCCTCAGTACTGGTCCATGGCCCGTTAGGAACTGGGCCACACAGCAGGAGGTGAGCAGCAAGTGAGTGAGCCTCATCTGTATTTACAGCCACTCCCTATTGCTCGTGTTACCACCTGAGCTCCACCTCCTGTCAGATCTGTGGTGACATTAGATTCTCATATGAGTATGAACCCTATTGTGAACTGCATATCTGAGGGATCTAGATTGCACACTCCTTATGAGAATCTAATGCCTGATGATCTGTCACTGTCTCCCATCACCCCCAGATGGGACCATATAGTTGCAGGAAAACAAGCTCAGGGCTCCCACTGATGCTACATTATGGTGAGTTGTATAATTAGTTCATTATATATTACAATGTAATAATAATAGAAATAAAGTGCACAATAAATGTAATGTGCTTGGGCTGGGCATGGTGGCTCGTGTCTGTAATCCTAGCACTTTGGGAGGCTGAGGCGGGCGGATCACGAGGTCAGGAGTTCGAGACCAGCCTGACCAACATGGTGAAACCCCATCTCTACTAAAAATACAAAAATTAGCTGGATGTAGTGGTACGTGCCTGTAATCCCAGCTACTCACGAGGCTGAGGCAGGAGAATCGCTTGAACCCAGGAGGCAGAGGTTGCAGTGAGCCAAGATCGCACCACTGCACTCCAGCCTGGGTGACAGAACGAGACTCTGTCTCAAAAAAAAAAAAATGTAACGCACTTGAAACATCCCGAAACCACCTCCTCCCCCAATGGAAAAATTATCTTCTATAAAACTGGTCCCCGATGCCACAAAGGTTGGGGACTGCTGATGTATATGATTTCTTGTAGCTAGACATCATTCATTTTCATGCTGAATAGCATTCCATTGTGTGAGTACCACAATTTATCTATTTTCCTGTCAATTGTGAATGTTACCAGTATTTTGTTATTAAAAAAAGATTTGTCGTAAGAATTCTTGAATGAATTTCTCTTATTTAGGAATAAAATTATTAGGTTGTTGGATATATGAATGTCCCGCTTTAAAAAAACATTTCCCAGTGGTTGAACCAACACTGCCCCCAATACTGTGAAACATATCCTCTTGTTCTGTATCCTCTCCAACACTTGGTATTATCAGATTTATTTTTTATTTATTTATTTTTTTTGAGATGGAGTCTCACTCTGTCGCCCAGGTTGGAGTGCAGTGGTGTGATCTCAGCTCACTGCAACCTCCATCTCCCGGGTTCAAGCAATTATCCTGCCTCAGCCTCCCGAGTAGCTGGGATTACAGGTGCTTGCCACCATGCTTGGCCGATTTTTGTATTTTTAGTAGAGACGGGGTTTCACCATGTTGGCTAGGCTGGTCTCGAACTCCTGACCTCAGGTGATCTGCCTGCCTCGGCTTTCCAAAGTACTGGGATTACAGGCGTGAGCCACTGCACCCAGCCTCAGATTTAATTTTTGCCATTCAGTTAGGTGTAAAATGAGATCTCATTTCAGTCTTGATTTGCATTTTAGTTATTAGAGAACTTAAGCATTTCTCCATATGTTAATTGACCATATGCATGTATTGTGTGAAATAGTGTCCAAGTCTTTTGCCTGTTTTTCTGTTGTACTGCTTATTTGATTGATACAAGTTCTTTATATACTCTTTTTTTCTCAATTTTGTATTGTGTTAAAATACATATAAAGTTTACCATTGTAATCATTTTCAAATGTATAGTTCAGTGGTATTAAGTATATTCATAATGTTGTATAATCATCACCACCATCCATCTCTAAAACTCTTTTCTTCTTCTTGAACTGAAACTCTATACCCATTAAATAATAACTCTTTTTTCCCTCCCCTACAACACCTGGCAGCCACCATTCTACTGTCCATCTTTATGAATTTCAGTAATCTTAAGTACCCATGTAAGTGGAATCATAGTATTTGTCTTTTTGTAACTAGCTTATTTGACGTAGCATAATGTCCTCAAGGGTCAACCATCTTGCAGCATGTCAGAATTTTCTTCCTTTTTAAGGCTGGATAATACTCCATTATATGGGCCAGGCGTGGTGGCTCTTGCCTGTAATCCCAGCACTTTTGGAGATTGAGGTGGGTGGGTCACCTGAAGTCAGGAGTTCAAAACTAGCCTGGCCAACATAGTGAAACCCCATCTCTACTAAAAAATACAAAAATTAGCCAGGAGTGGTGGCACACACCTGTAATCCCAGCTACTCGGGAGGCTGAGACATGAGAATCATTTGGATCCGGGAGGTGGAGGTTGCAGTGAGCCGAGATTGTGCCACTGCACGCCAGCCTGGTGACAGAGCAAGACCCTGTCTCAAAAAAAAAAAAAAAAAAAATCCATGATATGTACATACCACATGTTGTTATCCATTCCTCTGTCAATGGCAGCCAGGCTTCTGCCACGTTTTGGCTATTTTGAGTAATGCTGTCATTAGCATGGCTGTACAGATATCTCTTCAAGACCCTGTTTTTAGTTCTTTCGGGTATATACTCAGAAGTGGAATTGCTGGATCATATAGTAATTCTATTTTTAATTTTTTGAGGGACCACCATACCGTTTTCCACGGTGGCTGCACCATTTTACATTCCCACCAGTGGTGCACAAAAATTCTGACTTCTCCACATGCTCACCAACAAATTATTTTCTGTTTTTTTGGTAGTAGCCATCCTAATGAATATGAAGTGACATCTCATTCTAGTTTTGATTTGTATTTTCGTAATGATTAGTGGTGATAAGTATCTTTTCATATGCTTATCAACCATTTGTTACATATCCTTTTTTTTTTTTTTTTTTTTGAGACAGTCTTGCTCTGTCACCCAGGCTGGAGTGCAGTGGCACAATCTCGGCTCACTGCAACCTCTGCCTCCCAGGTTTAAGTGATTCTCCTGCCTCAGCCTCCCCAGTAGCTGGGATTGTAGGCACCCATCACCATGCCCGGCTAATTTTTTTGTATTTTTAGTGGAGACAGGGTTTCACCATGTTGGCCAGGCTGGTTTCAAACTCCTGACCTCAAGCGATCCACCTACCTCAGCCTCCCAGTGTGCTAGGATTATGGGCATGAGCCACTGCACTTGGCCACCATTTATTTTATATATATATATATATATTTTTTTTTTTTTTTTTTTTTGAGACTGAGTCTTGCTCTGTTGCCAGGCTGGAGTGCAGTGGCGCAATTTTGGCTTACTGCAACCTCCGCCTCCTGGGTTCAAGTGATTCTCCTGCCTCAGCTTCCTGAGTAGCTAGGACTGCAGGCTTGCGCCACCATGCCCGACTAATTTTTGTATTTTTAGTAGAGACGAGGTTTCACTTTGTTGGCCAGGATGGTCTCAATCTCCTGACCTCGTGATCCACCCACCTTGGCCTCCCAAAGTGCTGGGATTACAGGCATGAGCCACTGCACCTGGCCTGTTATATATTCTTAACAATAATTATTTGTTCCAAGTATCTCCTTTAAAGACAAAAGCCAATTTGGTTAGCCCTGTCTTTTTATTACTATTGTGACTTTTAAATATAAAATAATCATTTTCAAAAGTAACTCCAAGATTTTTTTAACAACAAGTAATTTGGCCATGAGGAAGTGACAACTAAAAACTTAATTTTATTTATTCCAAGGGTCTGGAGGATAAAAAAAAAATGAAATTATGGGATATGTAAGGAAGATATACACGTTATATATCTTGGGAGAGTCACTGTTTTATGGTTCAGGCATCTTAAAGCTTCTGCTGTGAGGCTTGGAGTATATAACTGGAAAAATTAAAGACAAAAGCCAGCCTATAATTTTTTTTTTTTTTTAAATGAGATGGAGTCTTGCTGTGTCTCCCAGGCTGGAGTGCAGTGGCGTGATCTCGGCTCACTGCAACCTCCGCCTCCCGGGTTCAAGCAATTCTCCTACCTCAGCCTCCCAAGTAGCTGGGATTACAGGCACACACCACCACACCCAGCTAATTTTTGTATTTTTAGTATAGATGGGGTTTCACCACGTTGGCCAGGTTGGTCTGGAACTCCATACCTCAGGTGATCCACCCGCCTCAGCCTCCCAAAGTGCTGGGATTATAGGCTTGAGTCACTGCGCCCGGCCATGAAAATTTCTTAGAACAGCCATTTAGCCAGTTTGGATTAGTTTCATCATTACTTTTTACACTGCTACTGAATTTGCCATATCTAGGCCAAAGAATGAGAACCTTCCTCTGTATTCAGGAATCAAAGGACCAGTATATGCAAAGAGACTACGTAAAAAGTGGTCTGAAAAATTATTTTGTGGCAAAGTAATAGAGATATGAGATCACTGGATACTGTTTCAAAGACAGTATTACAAAAACAGCTTTATGTGAGGTGCATGTTCTAAAGAACTATTAAAACTATTCCATACATCAGGTAATCAAAAGTTGAATTTTGAGGGATGTGATGATCTTTAAAAAATTGAAATTCTCAAGATACATGATCTTTACATGTACATGATCTTTACATGTAGTAGGTTATGTTTTCCTATTTATTCTGTTAACCTCATGAAAATCCAGTTCAATTGTAAATACTAAAGTTATTGACTACTTTTGGCAGCTGTTTTGATGGGAGGTATAACCTTTGAGATTAAAAGTTGACAATGAAGAAGGGTGCAATTTAAGCTCCAATATGTAGTGAACACAAATAGAATTATTATCTGAAATAATTGCTTTTATATCCTTCTTATTACAGCTCCTCATTTCTATCTCATCCTAAATCTTATATTTACACATATAAACTTAACATTGGTGCCATTTAACTATGTCCCCTACCACAAAGTTGATGTGAACATGATCTTCTCATTACCATTTCGTATTCTCATGTTAATCCATAGCACCTGCAGTCAGTGTTAAGGTAGCATATTTGTCTATTGCGCTGTTTCTAAGTCCATAATCTCTTTTTTCCTTTGTTCTTAACAGAACAGCCTCAAACTGCATACTGTTGATAAAAATAAGCACATTGGAACATATTCTTTCTCTCAGGAATTATGAGGGTTTGAGTCTGGTGGAATCTCAGCCTAGAATCCATTGTTTTTATTCCATTAAGTCACCCAAAGCAGCTTTTTTTTTCCTATTGGGAAAAAAGTTAAATGAGAAATTATACAAGTTGTTTTGCTTTCCAGGCTTTTTATATTAATATGGGATAGTGATCAATACCTTTAGCATGTACGGATTATAACTCGTCTTTTATACTGTTAGTTTTTAACACTAAGGCTCAAAATGCTTTAGACTCCTTTTTCTTAATAGGCCTTTGGCACAAACCAAGAAGATTATGCAAGTTACATTATGAACGGTATCATCAAATGGGGTGACCCAGTTACTCGAGTTCTAGATGATGGGGAGCTGCTGGTGCAGCAGACTAAGAACAGTGACCGCACACCATTGGTCAGCGTGCTTCTGGAAGGTGAGAATGAATGAGGAGATGGCATTAAAAGTTAAAGGAAAAAAAGCAGCATTTTTTAAAAGCCCGTAAGCACATTCTAGAAAAGTGAATTCTTTTTCGTTTTTAACCTTGTTCTTGATCTGAAAATAGTAATCCAATCTATGTACCAATATTGTGTACAAATTAAAATTTTCTTGGGGTAGAATGTTAGTGAGGAAAGATAGCAACTAGTTTTCTTGTAGGATTATATCTGTATTTCTGTGGCACTTAATACACTGAATGATGCCACTTAGCCTCAATTCAATTAAATAAATACTTACTGAGTACTTGTATTTTAGTCATTGAACTAGTTGCTGGGGATACAAAGACATTCAAGTGTTCATTCAGTCTGGTCATGAACAAAGACAGTGTAAAGAAATTCCTGACTACGGTGTATGTGTGTAAAGGTGTGTGTGAATACAAGTCATTTAGCATAGGGGTGGTCAGGGAAAACTAGAGATGCTATTTAATCTAGGCCTTGAAAGACCAGTTAGGATTTTATTGAGTAGACAGACAAAAGGGGAAGGACATTCCATTCACAAATAATTAATTTACAGTTATAATTAGTATGACGGCAGAAAAGTTCAGTGAGGCCCCATGACAAGGGAACCTAACTACCTCTAAAGGTCTGGGGGATGAGAGCTCCCTGGGAGAAACATATTAAGCCATGACTTGACCAATGAGGAGACTCTGGCCAGCCAAAGTCACTGGGGAGGATGTTTGAGGCAGAGCATGTGAAAAAGTCCTGGGCAGGAAGGAGCTTGAAAGAGAAAGGGAGATTATCCTGACATGAGACTGTAGAAGCAGATAGAAGCCAGTTCATATAAAACCCTGTAGGCCATATTAAAGATTTAAACTATCTTAGGGGCAATGGGAAGCCATTTGTAGGATTTTAAGCAGTGAAGCCACATCATCATCACTGCTTTATGATGGAGAATGGATTGGAGGGGCAAAAAGATACAGAAGAGACTAATGGTTAGAAGCAGTTGGATTAGTCTTAATGAGAGTCGATTGTGGTTTGAAGTATGTGGAGTAGTGTAGATGGAGATAAGTAGACTAATTAGAAATATTTAGAAGATAGAATAAAAATGACCTCATTATTATTGTCAATCATAATTATGCTAGCAGTTTTTGAGCCCTTGCTATTTGCCAGTCACTCTACTAGCACTGTGCACATATTATCTATTTAAACCCCACTTCAGTCCTCCAAGGGTAGATGCTGCTGTTGTCTCTATTTTGTAGGTGGGGAAGCTGAAGCCTAGAAATATTTGTTAGATTGGATGTGGGCAGAGGTATCAAACATGACCCCCTGGGTTCTGGCATACATAGCCCGATAAATGGTGCTGTTTACTAAGATTGGGAACACTAATGGAAAGCAGATTTCTGGAAGAAAGATGATGAGTTCAGTTTTGAACATGTTAAATTCAAGGGTCATATAGGAGAAGTAAATCGGAAATGTTGAGCAGCCTGTTGGATATGTGGGTCTGGCTAGCAGTAGACTCATGAGTTGCCAGTATATAGACTGTGGTTGAAGCCATGGGAGTGAACGAAATCACTTACAGTGAGGGTGTGGGTTGAGACGAAAAGGAGGCCTAGAACTTGTCTCTGAAGCATGTTAACACGTAAGGACTAAACAGAGCAGAAAAATTGACAAAAGAGACTGAGCAAGAGTAACCAGAGAGGAAAGGGGAAAGAGAGAATGTGTGTTACAGAAGCCAAGAAAAGAAACATATTTTAAGAAAGAGGGGAATTATGAATTGTATCAAATGCTCCTAAGAGGCTGAAAAAGATACCAAAATGTTTGTTGGGTTTGATGACATGGAGATCATTTGTGACCTTGATGGGAGCCTGTTCAGTGTAATGGGGATGGGAGCCGTAAGATTTAGTGAGGATGGGTGGGAGGTGAAGAACAAAAGCAGCCAGTGTAAATAATTACATAGGCAAGTTCCATTTTGAAGGGAGAAGAAGGTGCAGTTTTGAGGGGTATGATGTTCAGAAAGAGTTTTTTGTTGTTATGTATTAAACTGTCAGATAGACTAGAACATGCTAAAACACTTTTGGAAAGGCTTCAGGGAAGAGGAAGAAGTCGAACATATGGGAGAAAGGAACAATCAGTAATGTCATGTTCCTGAGAAGATGGAAAGGAAGATTTGATTGGTTTATGGTTGAACGAGGGACACAGCTTCCAAAACAGGGAAGGGAAGGCAGGGATGTCTAAATGTAGGTAAGTTCGTAGATTTGCTTGCCTTTATGAGAAGGCCTGAGTCTTTAGAATTCTAACTTTTTACATCACATTTGCTTCTAATAAGGCAGTTTTCCCCTGCCCCCAATATCAGCTCTTAAGATTGTCTTTTTTTGTTAGACAAATGATTTGATAGAACTAACAACATAAGTACTAATATGCATTTGAATGCGTTCTTTTAAGAAGCAAAACCCTTACACTCTGTATATTTTGCCAAAAGTTTGAAAGATTAAGGATATGTGAGAATGTCAGGAGGCATGTATTTCACCATACTTTTGAGAAATGCTAATTAGTTCATTAAGTTTAGTTGCTAATAAATAAGAGAAAACATGTCTGCTGTGAAATTGTGTCAGGAAATGTTAATGAGCAACTAGTCGAGACCTCAGTATGTTCTGGATAAAAGTTTAAACTTGTTTTATTTCCCTTTGCTTAGGTTGGCTTTTTTCCCCTGACTTGCTCATATCTTTATGCAGGCCCTCCTCACAGTGGGAAGACTGCTTTAGCTGCAAAAATTGCAGAGGAATCCAACTTCCCGTTCATCAAGATCTGTTCTCCTGATAAAATGATTGGCTTTTCTGAAACAGCCAAATGTCAGGCCATGAAGAAGGTATCAAGATTTTACTTTCATTTTAATTTCCTATCTCTTAAATGTGTGTGTGTGTGCACATATATATGCCTTTGTACATGTATACATATAAACCCATAGCAACTATGTTCTTCTCAAGTGGAACCAAATTATCAGCAGAATATGGGGGAAGCAGTGACTGTTTTAGATTTTCTAACTTTGTAATGTATTTTATTGAGTACCTTTACCTTCTAAATTATGCTTTGTTTAATACATATTAAGTTTCATTGCCTAGTTTTGTATCAATTTGATTAAAAGAGTTATAGTTGAAAGTGTTTGAATAAAGTGGACAAATTCATTTAGGATTTTTTAAAGTTCTTTCATTATTGTACAAAGTTGAACTCTTTGGGGTCAATTAAGTTGAGGAAGACAGAGATGTATCAATGGGAAAATAGTCCCAGGAATCCCTACAAAAGGATAGTTTTATATTAGGTAATAATCAGAATCTGCTTGGTAACTTAATGCAGTTCTCATACATCTTCCTTTCTCCAAGTGCCACTCGTCACCTTCTTAATTAACATGGCCACTTTCTACCATCAGTGAAGTTAGAACAGCATAGAATAGAATCCTAGAGCTGAAAAGACTGTAAGACCATTTGGTCCATCTCTCTTACATTCAAGCAAGTGCCATGCAACAACAACAACAAAAATCAATGATGAAGACTTTAAATGGCTGTTCCATCTTACTTGTTAGATCATGTTTCCATTGCTATTCTAATTTTGCATACTGCCAGTCAAGAAATTATTTTTTGTATCCAGCTGAAGTATTTCTTTTATTTAAATTCTTTTTTTCATGCTTGATCTTTTATAGATATGAACTGACCGTAAGTCCAAGAGATGTGGGAAAATCAGAATGAGGTGAAAGAATCTTGAGAATTGAAGTGCTCCCTAGTAAAGACAGCTCAGGGTTTTCTTTTACATTGCTCTTAGGCATTCGCTTTATAAAGATGTATTGTAGAATTCTTCGGTGTTTCTTTGGGAAAGAGACTGAAGAAGAGAAATAGATTTAAAAGATGACTCCCAAAAAATGTAAGCTTGAGAAGCTAGTCTCTTGTTTGTGCAGGTGGCAGAAAATTGCACAGGGTACTTCAGATGGATGGAGGAAGCCGAACTTGTAGCAGGATTCCAGGCATACACATTGAAGAGTCCAGAGAAATACATAAAAATGTTTGAAATTGAGTGTGAAAAGGAAATATTGCCAGATGCAAAAAGAACTTATAATATCATAGTTTATTCTGTCTCTGAGGTGAAACCAATAGTATCTGTCCTTCCCAGGAAAATCTGAATAGAATAACTGGGACCAGTGATTTCCCTAGAGTAGGTAGGGCTGTTTTTCTTTGTTTTTCGTTTTCCCTCTGATGGGAACCCTTAACCCACTTCTTCTGGTAAAAATTTAAATAACAGCCCTTGAAATCTGTAGCTGTTGAATGTCCCATTTATTTATTGAATAGCTAATTCTATTTGCATTCTCCTAAATCATCTATTCCTGTGCTTTTTCAAAAGTAGTAGTCATCTTTGCAGATGGTAAATTACTCCATTGCTTTCCACCAGCTGCCAGCTTCTACCTCAGATGTACTCTGAGATGTGGGTGGATGGTCCTAGTTTTTCTATAAAGTTTTTAAAAAGTACTTCAGGCTTCTGCAGATCAAAGCTACTTTGTAAGTGTGAGATATTATCATTTTTATTATTTTAATCTCTTGCAAATTGACTTGAAGGGGGAAGGTAATATGTGCTGATTTTAGAGGCTTAAATGGTTAAATTAATGGTTTAATAACTTATTATTTAATCTTCAAATTGTTGAAGCCTTTCAAGGTAGAGTTTCAGATGAGTAGAAAGCTAGGGAGTATAAAAATAAGTGTCCATACAAGCTTATTCAAAATTGTTTTAATTCATGATTCACTGTCCGGATCATCCGTGCACTCTTAAAATTATAAAAATTATTTCTGCTTCAGCAGTATAACAAATTTATATTAGAATTTTTGGTTTTCCTTGGGGGAAAAATATTATTCTTTGTCATTAAAGTTCAGAAAAGAGAAAGGAATGAAGCATAGGTTTCTTAGAAATATATTAGAAATATTACAAAATATTTCCCTGCAAATAGTTTTCACATTGTTACCTAATGATAGGTTGACAAAAGCCTGAGGGGTCAAACCAGTCTAAAGATGCTAAGTCTTCCAGGTTGTTTTTGAAAATGAAATGTAAATGTCATTCTTTAGTATAAGTTCTAGTCTACCTCCCACTACTGTTCTTGCCCCTCCTTTTTTTTTTTTTGAGATGGAGTCTTGCTCTGTCGCCCAGGCTGGAGTACAGTGGCGTGATCTCAGCTCACTGCAAGCTCCACCTCCCGGGTTCATGCCATTCTCCTGCCTCAGCCTCCCAAGTAGCTGGGACTACAGGCACCCGCCACCATGCCTGGCTAATTTTTTTGTATTTTTAGTAGAGATGGGGTTTCACCGTGTTAGCCAGGATGGTCTTGATCTCCTGACCTCATGATCCGCACGCCTCAGCCTCCCGAAGTGCTGGAATTACAGGCATGAGCCACCGCGCCCGGCCTGCACCTCCATTTTTAGTGTGAGGATGGAAAGAAGATGTTTTAATTTTTTTTCAGAGCACAAATAATTTATAGAGTTTTATAATTCTGGAGAAAACCTTTCTTTTGTTGTTGTAAGTGCAAAAATTAAGGTAGCTTTTTCTAATTACAGAAATAATTTAGAAAATACAAGAAAGAACAGAAGAAAATAACAATAAATTCATATTTGTCCTTCAATTCTCTTTTCTACTCAGACACATGTGTACACATGAACACATATACCCCCTCCCTTATATATTGGGGATTACATTGAAACATACTGATGTAAACTTGCTTTTTTCACTTAAAATATTATGAACTTTTTTCAGTGTAACTAAAGCTAATCTGAACATTATTTTAAATTAATAGCTGTCTAATATCTGAACAATCCCTTTTTGTTGGACAATTAGGTTGTTTCCAGGTTTTTTTCACAATTATAAATAATATATATCAAAGAGTTATCTATACTCCCAAGTTCATTGCAGCAGTATTCACAGTAGTGGAATGGAATCAACCTGAATGTCCCTCAGTGGATGAATGGATAAAGAAAATGTGACACATATACACTGTGGACTGTAACACAGCCATTTAAAAAGAATGAAATCCTTGTCATTTGCAACAACATGGATGAAGGACCTGGAAGACCTCATGTTAAGTGAAAGAAGCCAGGCACAGAAAGTCAAATATCACATGTCCTCATTCATATATGGGAACTAAACAATTGAACTCAGGGAGGTAGAGTTAGAATGATGGTTATCAGAGGCTGGGAAGGGTAGTGGTAACAAAAATACCATTAAATAGAAGTAATAAGATCTAGTGTTGGACAGCACAATAAATTAACTATACTTAAAAATCATGGGCCAGGCACAGTGGTTCACGCCTGTAATCCCAGCACTTTGGGAGGCTGAGGTGGGGGGATCATGAGGTCAGGAGTTCGAGACCAGCCTGACTAACATGGTGAAACCCCGTCTCTACTAAAAATACAAAAATTAGCCAGGCATGATGGCATGTGCCCTGTAATGCCAGCTACTCAGGAGGCTGAGGCAGGAGAATCGCTTGAACCCGGGAGGCAGAGGTTGCAGTGAGCTGAGAGCACACCACTGCACTCCAGCCTGGGCGACAGAGCAAGACTCCATCTAAAAAATAAAATAAAATAATGTGTCGTTCGGGGAGTGGGCCTGGTGGCAGTGGCGGTGGCAGGGAAAGAGTTGGAGCAGTGCCAGCGGCAAGCGAACAAGGTGACGGAAATCACGCTTAACAACTTTGACAAGGTCCTGGAGCATGATGGAAAGCTGACCGAACTGGAGCAGCGTTCAGACCAACTCCTGGATATGAGCTCAGCCTTCAGCAAGACAACAAAGACCCTGGCCCAGAAGAAGTGCTGGGAGAACATCCATTGCCAGATCTACTTGGGGCTAGTGGTGGGTGGTAGCCTGCTCATCATCCTGATTGAGCAGCTGGCCATCTTTCTCCCTCAGAGTGACACCAGTAATGCCCCACAGACCTAGGATGCAGGCACCACCTCAGGGCCTGGGGACTGACAGCTGGTCCTGAGGGAGAAGCCAAATGGCTGCACTGGCTGGTTCCGGTCTCCAGAGAACCTTGGTGTTTGCTCTCCCCTGACCCACCCCAGTGAGTGCCAAAGGGCAGCCCCAACACGTGCACCCCTGCATTTCTTGTCATGCCACAGACTGGCCCTCGAGGGCACCCTGCCATACTGGCCATGCCGGGCCAGCCCCACCTGAAGCTCAGTGAAAGCTGATTAAAAAAAAAAAATTATGTATAGATCAAAATAACTACAAGAGTGGAAATTGAATATTCCTAACAAAAAGAAATGATACATGCTTAATGAGTTTCACAACTACCCTTATTTGATCGTTACATGTTTTATACTTGTATCAAAATGGTGCATGTACTCCATAAATATGTATAACTATTATGTAGCCATAACTAAAAATTTAAAATTTATATAAAAACAGTATTCCATAGGACTACCAAACTAGGGAAATTACTGCCCCCATTTTCTCATTAGATTTTTCTTCACTAGAGTAGTATAACATGACCGAGAATTTGGGCTTGCTCAGCTCTCCACACTGACCGGCCGAATGACCTTGGATATGTCATTTAACCTATAAGCCACTGTTTTCTCATCTGTCAAATGAAGATAATATTAATAGCTGCATTATAGGGTTATGAGAATTAGATGGTAATTTCTGTAAAGTGTCACAGTGCCTGGGATATAATATGAAATCAATGAAGTGTAGTGGTTATTTTTACTTATTATTATACATACATTTTTTATTATTTCCTTATGACAAATTCTCAGAAGTGGGATTGCTAAGGTAAAAATATTAGTATTGTAAAGATTTTTGATACATAGTGCTATCAAAACTCTTAGGTAAAAAATGCTCTTGGTTTTATAAAGCCTACGCCTTCAGAATGTTGTACTAATTTACACTTGTAGCTTCACCATATAAGAGTATGAGTTTCTTGGGATTCTCACCCGTACTTGATATTATTAAAATATTTTTTGCCAGTTGGATAAGCAGAAGGTTGGCATTTAGTTATTTCTTTAGCTACATTTCAATGACTAAATGCTCAAATTTAAGATTTTTCAAAATGTTTTGCAATGACAATAGTCTGTGAAACTGAAAAATATGTAACACATTAATTTTTGTTAAAGATGTGTGGTCTGAATTAGTTAATTCATAGAGCATCTTTACCTACCACTTTATTACTTAAACCAACAGGTAAGAGTTTTAGTAGAGAGGGCTGTTAGGCTTGCTTTAATGAGTACATGAGATTTTATTATAATTATACTATTGCCTCTTTTTCACAAATGGATGGTGCTAAAATACGTGAAAGTAGTTTATTCTCAATTAATTTAAAATTCACCTTGTACTTCTCTTAATTTGCTTATTAGTGAATCCTTTCTCCATGGATAAACTCCTCAAAACTGCTGAAGTATGTATGAGGTATTGTCCTCACGTTCTGGGGGGTATACCATATGTTCCATTAAGATGTTTGAAGTATTCACAGACCTTCCCCTTCTCCCCTATTTTACGTTTGCTTCCCAAACTTCATTCTATTTTTAAATTTTAATTCCTTTATCCATTTTTGCATCAATACTTGTTTAAAAATCTATTTTACTAGTTCTATTCGTGCCATTAAATGAACAAAAGAAGAAAGCAGAATTTGATTTTAACTAATTACCTAATCTTGATGCTTTCTGAGTATACAATCAGTAGAGATGAAGTAGAACAATCAGATAGAACTAAATTGTTTGAACAAAATTAAGTAAAACTACCAGTGATTTATAAAACTGTACCCATTAATAACATGATATAGTCTTATTTTCAAAGGATTGAAAATTAATGGAAGAAATTTTCCTTTCCACTAGCTTTGCACGAAAGAAATAATCTTCTTTGAATATCCTCCTGTAAATCCCACTGCAAATTGTAGTCTGCACAGAACAGAATCGTGATGCCTAATCCTCCTCTTTTCATGGTTTAGTCTATACAAAGAGCAGAGCTGGAAATTGGATCTTTTGACAGCAGTTACTAAGCAACAGAATTTGGATGTTTTTGGTTAACATCCTAATATATAATGTAGCTGATTTGTTGAAGTTTTTGCATATATTAGCTGAGAGAAGTGGGCACTCCGGAAGTGACTACAGGTCCCTGTATGGCTGGGGAGGTGGGCATTTGTTGTTGTTTTGTTCAATACACTGTGTCTTTTGGCATTTGTATCTCTTTGGCGTAGAAAGGAGGCTGGTGCAGAACTTTCAGACCTTGTGACTTTTTATATTATTAAGAATACCCTTCTCTGTGGCTCACGATATGAGAAAATGTAAGATTTTTTCCTGAAAAGCAGGGAGAACAAATAAAGGATTTTAAGGTCATTCCAGGAAGCTTTAGAGCTTTGCCAAAAGTTTAGGTCCACTTCCTGAGGCAGTTTCATTAGCAGACAGCTAATGTTTGCTTGGTCTACTCCCAAGTTATTTTTAGAAACGAGATTATTACTGATAGCACCCATTTGAATTTGCTCATTTACGTTTTTATATGCTACCAAATATGATTAGAGTATGCTTTTAACTAATCGCTGACAGATTTACTGCATTAGGGATTTTCTAAGCTATGAGATTCCTACAGTCATCAGATTTCTACTAACTAGGTACTTCACGCCAAGTACTTCAGAACTGAGATGAACTCTTTCAGCTCCCAGAAGAACCAGAGTGTTTGGCTTTGCTTACCTAAGGGCACTAAGGAGGTCCCAGAGGATGGAGGGCTGAATCTCCTGAGAGCATGCTTGTTGTGGCTTGTGATCCCGAAAGGCTGGGATTAATGGAACTAATGCTGGTGTGCTCCCATTTGCACTTGTGTAGACTCTGGAGCCCGTAGCTGCTGCCCCTGTCCCACACACAGGTGGCTCCCCAGTTGTCTGAAGATCCCAGGAGTGGGCTCTGGGACTTAAGAGCTTGCCGTGTCCTTGAGCACCACATTCAGACCTGCCCCTAATCCCTGCGTGGCAGAGCCCCGCTTCTCCTGTCCCTCAGTGCTCACGGAGTGCATGTGGCACACTCTTGCCTTAAGCCCAGGCTCCCCACACTCTGGGTTGTCTCTCATACCCCTCCAGCCTGTGTCGTACCTCCACCTTTGCATGCAAGAGAGGTTACAGTTTAATATGACAATCTCATTATGTGCACAGGTGGACATAACGGGCTTCTGTGTTTTCTAGAGCTGCTCTTCCTTCCTTTAGAGTAGACTTCCCGTTATTTCATGAGACACAGGCTGACTGATGCCACTCTTTCCCACATTGTTTCCTTCTTCAGTTCTTCCTGTTTTTTCTTTAGCCTTCTCTTTCAGACTTCCCTCCTAACTTTAAGACCCTATATATGTATGTTGATAATTTTACCTGTTCTACAGGAAACTTCATAATAGAACTGGGCTGACTATACATTCTTTTTCTGTGTGTGTGTGAATATATACTTTTTATTTAGCCATTTTTGTTTACAATTGAAACTCTGGGAATTCAAAATTAACATCCTTGCCCGTGAGCTTCTTATAGACACCAGAAAAAGTTTCAACCTTGTGTTCCACATTGTTCTGCTGTGCTTTGTCCAAATGAACCTTTATGAGCCGGCTGCTATCTAGTTTGACGGGGATTCTCTTGCCCACAATTTCGCTTGGGAAGACCAAGTCCTCAAGGAAGGCATCGTGCACAGCTGTCAGAGTACGGCTCCTGGGACACTTTTGCTTATTTTTTGTACGGCTTTTTCGAGTTGGCTTAGGCAGAATTCTCCTCTGAGCGATAAAGACGACATGCTTCCCACTGAACTTTTTCTCCAATTCGCGTACTAGCCGGACTTGGATTTTCTGGAAAGATTTCAGTTGAGGAACGGGAACAAAGATTATGATAGCTTTCCGACCACCACCAACTTCAGTTTCCTTGGCTGCCGTAATATTCAGCTCCCTGAGCTGAGCCTTGAGGTCCGAGTTCATCTCCAGCTCCAGAAGAGCCTGGGAGATGGCCGGACTCGAACTCGTCCGGCTTCTCGCCATTGGGCTTCACGATCTTGGCGCTCGAACTGAACATGGCTTTCTCCTGGGAGAACTTGCAGCGCCTGCTTAGGAAGAGACCCAAATCTCGCGAGAGCACGTCAAAATCCCTACATTCTTAAGATTAATTTTGGGGGGAGTCTGTAAGATACGGTTCTTACCTTCTTACCTCCAGCCTCAGTCCTCCTGGCATCTTCTGTGTTGGGGCATCTTTGGATCTAGAGCAAGCACTGTGTGACCTGCTGTGTGCTATAACTCACGGTGAGTTTGGCACTTCAGTTGTACTAGTCTGGCTAGGGCAGTTTGTACAATTTTACTTTTCTCGCATCTTTCTTTCCAGTACCTCTCCTCCTGCTGGGATTTATCTACCTAAAGTTGTGGTGCAGCTTCCCGGCTTAGTATGTAAATATCTCACTTGGATTTTCCTGTGGCAGCTAACCTCACGTACTTGCCAGCCAACTCTGAGTATCTTCTTAGTGAGAATTCTGCTGGGGCCTGGGCCAGAAAGGGTGAAAGGGACTAAGGGACTGAGGAGACTAGGCAGAAATCGTGGATCCTGGGAAGAGTTATGAGCACAGGTTACACTAGTGACTAGATAAGGAAGAAAATGTACGTGTGAGAAGAAAAAGGGATGTGTGTGTATGTATGTATTTAAATTAGAGCAGAGTAGCTACCCGGAGGAGTTTCAGTTGACTGGTTACCTGAAACTAGTCAAGTTACAACTGGAATTGCACAGCCTTCGTCATGGTCGGTGTGTTAATAGAGCTTGCTGTGAGTGCACCTCTCCCTCTGATAGTAATTAGCACAGAGACCGACTGCAAAAAACAAGAACGTCACTACTTGATATTAAGTGACTGCTGCAGGTATTTTTCCTCTCAAATGTTATGTGTAGGCCATGCAGTCAACTGTGAAGTGATTTGGAATGCTTTGTGAATTACAGTGTCTGAGATAAGTTGGTGAGACTACATACCATGTAGCAAGTCATCATTAGTTTAGACCTAAGCAATGTCCTGAGTAAGGTCCTTGCAGCCATATAAGCTGTACATTGTTTTGAGAAGGAAAAACATAGAACTACTGCAACCAGCCAGGCTGTGGTGTTCCAGGTCCCTGTGGCTCTAATCCATGATCTCACAGCCTGATGGTCAGAGTTATATGCTGGCATCAGAGCTTTTAGTAGAATTCTGAAAAATGTTTTGAAAAGCAAAGCATTATTTTCAGTGATTCCTTAAAATTACCTGAGTTTATAAGATACCACATTGGCTGCGGTTCCATCTTCAAAAAAAGTAGCAAAGAACCGCTGTAGAACTGCTTCTGAGCTTTTCAGTTGTCTCGAATGTACCAACTCAAAGCCAAAAGGAACCATCATTGTGTATCAAGAGACTGAAATAAATATCCTATTCTCATTTTCTCTTTTTCTGTGTTTGGGGAGGAGAAGATAAAAGGCCCTTCCCTTCTTGCTCTTTAAATGTACTCATGATCCATTTTCAAACCAGCTTCACCTCTGTGTTTTATTTCAGTTGCCAAATCAGGACAGATCCTTGACTCCAGTTTTCTCTTTCATCACCACACCCATTCATTCACCAAGTTCTTTCAGTTCCTCCTCCTAAACATCTCTAGATTCTGTCCACTTACCAGCACACCCACTCCCTGGCCACCATCATTTCTCACCTAGAACTCCACAATCTCAATTAACTATTATTCCCCTCTAATGCTTTTCTATACAATCAGGAAAATGTTTCTAAAACATAAGCCTGACATGTCAGTCCATTGCTTATAACCCTTTAGTGGCTTGTTATTGCCTTTACAGTAAAATTTTAACTCATGAAATTTGTAAGACTCTTTACGTCCAAGTTCCTTCATCACCTCTTCTAATTCATCTCACCTACCACTCCACTGCATTGACACCAACACCACTTTATTTTAATTCTTATTGACCGTTCCTGCAGTGTTCCTGAATGTTCACATCTCTGTGTCTCCTAATTTTCAGTATATTCTGCTTAGAACACTTTCTTCCACCCTTTCCACTGGTTAACTGTTGTTCATGCTTCAAGTCTCAGGTTAAGTGTCACTTCCTAAATTTAGGAAACTGTCCTGACTCCCTAAGTCCATTTAAGAGTCAAGATAGGCTGAGTTATGCTGCATGAAAGGACAACCCGAAAATCTCAGTGGCTTAACACAACAAAGTTTATTTTTTATTTACACTACTATATCTCCGTCATGGCTCAGACAGTGAGTTCTGTTCATTATATTTTCTCAGAGACTCAAGCTAATAGATAATAGAGGCCCCGCCTTACATCTGATTCCATGATAGCCAAGGCAGGGAAAGGAGTATGGTGAATCATGCAGTGACTCCTAAGGCTTCTTTCAGAAAGGGGTGTATTTCCCCTCATATTTCATTAACCAAAGCAAGCCCCATAGTTATGCCTAACTTCCAAGGCACTGGGGAAATACTGCCTACCCTGTGCCCCCGTATCATCTTGTATTTCCCCTAGCCTAATAATGTCATGCTTTGTTATAATTACATGTGACTTGCTTCCCCAACTCTAACTTTTGTGAAAGTAGGATTATTTTTGTCTTATTTATTATCCTCTGCAGTGCCTTCATTAATGCTTGATACATAATAAGAATTCAAAAATATTTGTTGAGTGAGTGAATGAATAAGGCAGCACTCCAAGACTCAATCCTTAGGCCTTTTTTTCTTCTTCTTCTGCCATTTCTTCTTGAAGATGGCTTCCTCTGTCATGGTTTCAGCAGTCACTGCCCTGAGAGTGATTTCCATTCCCTGACTTCAATCAGATATCTCCAACTTCTCACTTAATATTTCTACTTGAATTTAAAATGTGTAAATTTATTCTTTTAGTAAATACTTCTTAATTACTCTCTAATAAGGCATTATATTAAATGATATGAGGATACAGAGGTAATTAAGACAGCACTTGCCATCTGAGGGCTTGCAATCTAGTATAATACAAAAATAGTACAATGAATCAATAATATATATACGTAATATACAAAATCCTGTGCCAAAGGAGAAGACAAGTGATTTATGGCAAGATGGAATTGGAACTTGTGTTGTTTCAACCATTGAACCTACAGAGCAGACATCATTACTGAATTCTGTTCTGTGCTGGGCACTACACATAACATGAACAGAATAAAGCTTTTATCCACCTCACAGTCCAGTGGGGAGACAGATAGCTTAGGACGAAAGGATAGATGGGGTTTAGACAGAGTGTGGGAGGGTAATTAGGGGGTAAAGGGATGGTGCATAGGAAAACGTTTTCACCAGAGGGGTTGACCTGATTAAATATCTGGAGAAATTGTCAGTATTTATGCCAGGAAAGAGGTAAGGAAGGAACTGAATCAAGATGGTCACAGTGAGACTCTATTATGGTAACTTAATTGTTAGGAATACTTTAAAAACCAAGTATACACAGGTTGTTTTTAAACCTAACATGAAAAATGGTTAATATCATGAGTTTGACTTTATTTCTGTACCTAATTATAAGTCTTCAATGGTTAAAAGATACCCAGGAAGGAATATATGCCATTCCAAGCAAGATGTTGGTGCGGGTGGGGATCGGGTTTACTATCTTGGTGTGCTGAGGTTGGTTACCAACCAGAGAGAGTGGGCTGGGATGCAGAAACTAATTCTTACTCATGACACTGATGAGATTTCCTGAGCCCCACCTGTAGTCTCTGGAATAGTACCTTCATTTCCAAAAAGGCTAGTCTCAAGGCCTTGAGTACTTCTATTCAACTTGCAGATAAGCTAATTCTTCTATCTGATTTGAAATTACTACATCCTTGCCAGGCTAAAACCGTTCCTTCACTGCTTAATTTCATTCTCATTTTCTTGACCATCTTAAGACAGTGCATTCATATCTTTTGTCTGGTTTTATACGTACATCTATCTGATCCTTCATACTCAACCTTTAATTCTTTTGTAAGCTCTTTTACCATTATGGTCTGATTTGAGTTGACAGAATTCTGATCTTTCAGTGTTACTTTTGCTTAACAGAGCCACAATTCTTATAGATAATAAAATGGCATCTAGTTTTATTTTACACATCTCTTGTGGCTCCATCTAGCTCTTGAGTCATTACACTAAAGTCCTGCTCCTGACACAGATACCAGAGACCAGTGTGATAGAAGTGATGGGATGTGTCAGTTGATTAATGATCAGCTAGTCCCCAGCCTGCCCAGGTGTGACACACACAGCTGTTAGTGCTGAAAACAGCCTTAGCCTGCTCTCTGTTCAGCGGTGATCCAGTGTGTCAATTCTAATTTATTGTAGTCCAAAGTGTTGGTGTTTTCCTGTGCTTTGTTTAGTATTGCTCAAGAAGTAACTAAACTTCTTGGAAATTGTCGTAACTGTGGAGGACAGTGAGATAATAAATGACTTTGTTTTCTTTCAGATCTTTGATGATGCGTACAAATCCCAGCTCAGTTGTGTGGTTGTGGATGACATTGAGAGATTGCTTGGTGAGTCCTAACTTCTGCTGTTGTATTATCTTTGCCACATTACAGCTAATATCTCAAAAGTTACAAGAGAAAATTAACAAGTATTTATAAACTGTAAAGCAATAGAAATACCTTTCTTTGTCTTACAAGGAAATATAATGTTCTCTCTTAAATAGCTGACATCAATGATAGTATTCATTTTAATATGCCCTGTGACTATAACACCATTATAAACTGCTTTCTTGTAAGGGCCCATGTCTCATTTTGTATCTTCCAGTGTGCCCTTGCCATAGTAAATGATTAGTAATTTTCATTGATGAGTATATCTGTTATTTAGGACCTCTGAGCTCAGAAATTCACTTGTGAACTTTGACAGAACTAATGAAAGAAGGGTTTAGGATCACAGAGAAATCTGCAAATTCACTAAAACACTAAGGGCAGAAGTTGTAAGCTCTCTGCACCTCAGTTTCTGCTCTTACAAAACAGAGACTATAATCCCTCTCTTGCTTATCCCACAGAGTAATTGTGAAGACAAAAATGGGATAATAAATCTTGAAAAAATTTTGTAAGTTAAAAGTGCAGTATAGTAATTTTTAAAATATGTATTAAATATCTCCTGTGTTGAAGTGCACTCCTACAGAATACAAACATGAAGAAGACTTGGTCCTGGCACTTAACTCATAAGAAATAAACTGCAAGGAAGGGCCAGAAAGTTGTTAATTTTATTTCACTGTAAAATTAAATCAGTCTGACATAAATTCATTACAACAATGGCTCAGGAAGGGGTAATACACTCTATTGAAATGGAAACCCACCTGGTGACTTAATAACATCTGAAAATACTACCCAGTGTCTGAATAATCCCTTCTTCTTTAAGCTGTCCATAATGGTGTAGTCGTGATTTCAAGCTAACTGTTCTTACTGCATTTTTCCCATGATTTTCAGACCTGCTTTTGGTCCTCTGTTATTTATTTTTTTAAGTTTTGGCAGTGTCTGTTATAAAGCAAAGCAGGTATATCTGTGAGGTCTCCATAAATTGATAGTGGGTTTTGGGTCTGCTAGGTTTGATACATCTCAGCCCAGTTTATGGGATGATTTCTTTAAAAGCTTTTAGGCACAAACTCATAGCTCTGTGTAAATTCCTTTATCTTAACACAATTGAGGTGTGTGGTCATAGCAACACTACCATGTCAGGAATGTGTGCCCTCTGAGTACATTTCACTGGTATGAATAGTTATCATCTGTGCATGCTTGCTCATTTATTCAATAAGCACTTGCTGAGCCCTTCCTCCTCTGGTAGAAGTATTAGAGTCTCAGAAAAAGACGCTGCTGCCTGTCTTTATAACATATGTTGGCAAATGTTAATGCAAAGTAGAATGTGCCATGTATTTTGGATATTCTGTTTTTTTTTTTATTTTTATTTTCCCTCCCACTGTTCTCATCAGGTGGATAGTCTGAAAATGGAGGGATCAGTTTTGACCTCAGGGGGCCTGCGAGTAGCTCTAAGCCCAGGGCAGAGGTGCATATGCAGTATGCAGAGAAAGCTAAGCAGGTGGCATTTACGCTGAATCTTGAATTATTGGTAAATGTTTAACAGGTCAGATGTTCTCTTAGAAAGTTATCTGTTCCTTACCATCTGAGGGCCAATCTTAGTGGTTCTGCCATTGTTTCCGTTTTATTGAAATTCCTTATTTTCCCCTTTGCCCATTTTCTAACATCATGTTTTAATATCAGTGTACTGAATGGCCATGGTTTGCAGTAACTTCTTAGAAATGCTTGGTAAATACACCTGGAATTTTTTTTTCCTTCCAAAATAATCCCAGAAAAAACATCTACATGAACTCAAAGTGAATATTTAGAAGCTTTTTCAAAAAATTTATAGAGCCGAGTACAGTGGGATTATGGCAACCTATAATCCCAGCTACCTGGGAGGCTTAGGCAGGAGGGTTGCTTGAGCCCAGGAGTTCAAGACAAGCCTGGGCAACATAGCAAGACCCTGTCTCAAAAAAAAAGTTACAGATAAGAGTTCTTATATTTTAAGCATTTAGGTTATTAGAGATATTTTTTCTTATTATAAATAGTTTTATGACTGTTATTTAAGACTGTTTACTCTTTAAATTTTTTTTTTCTTATTCTATACATATTCTGCTTATGTAGGGACTGTGTTTACTTTTGATGCAAAAAAAAAAAACAAAAACTGAATGTTTGGAATATGTACATGTGTATCAAATCCCTAAACATAATAATGTTTCTTTTCCAGATTACGTCCCTATTGGCCCTCGATTTTCAAATCTTGTATTACAGGCTCTTCTCGTTTTACTGAAAAAGGCACCTCCTCAGGTAAAATAATACTACTAATAAGGAATATTTTAACAAAGAGTTTTTCAGTAAATCGCATATAATGATACAATCTTTAAATAAGCAGGTTATCATAAACATAAAATTCTGTTGTTGAAAGGATTTTGAAAGGTCGTCCAGTCTTGACTTCTGTTTAAGGTAAATTATTTTATCAACAGAATTTTTCCATTCCTTTTCTGAAGAAATCAAAATCCCACAGTTTCTGTGTGGAATACAACAATTAGCATTGTATTTTGTTGTTTTGTAAGTTTTCCACCATATTACATATCCCTACTACCTCCAACTGCCAAGGGAGATTATGATATTAATAGAGAAGGCATTGAATATGTTCCCATATGTTTCATTTATAATTTCATGGGTTTTCCTAAAAATTTGTTTATGGGGATATTTAAGTTTATTTTCTTTGGGCAGTTAAAAAACTATTTTTAACAGATGATCTTGAGTTATTTTTCTTGGGTCATGTGGCACTTTTGAGGAGTGAATTTATAGCCAGGATCTTGATTCCTGTGTTTGCATTTTTACTGATGTGGCTATTAGAGACTTGTGATTTTGGTAGGTTAACAAATTTAAAACCAACCTATGAAGGTTGGTTAAATATGTTAAATTATGTAGAGGCTGCCAGAGCATGTTTGGCTGTGTCACAAGACATGAGTTCTCTTGATTGATTCTGCATGCTGTAACCTTGAAAAATGCCAATCAAAGGCAGGTACAAAGCAGTTAAGCACTGACTTGAAAAGCATCTTAATGTCTGTATGAGAATCTCATATTTAAAGTTAGAGATAGAAACTAATCTGTAAGGAAAATATTTACTCTTAAACTGGTGAATCTAATTTTTAATTTAACAGTTATATATGTGCGTGTATTTTGCACTTAAAAGTAAATGACTTGTCTTGGTTTTTCTGGAGTTTTTTTTTAACTTCTAAAATAATGAAAAGAAACATAACCTATAATAGTCTTGAAGATTTGCAACATATGTGTACTGTGGAAGGATTTTTAAATCAGCTTTTCATAAACCATCATTCCTAGTAATTGGAGTCTTAGCTTATACTAAGGGTGAAGTTAGAGAGGTGAGTGTATTTTCCCTTTCTCTGATTCCTGCAATATTTTCTTAAGTAAGTAAACGTATATATCTAAAGTTGCTGAAACAGAAATAATTATCTACATATATCATGATTCCTCCAATGTTTTCATAAATAAGTAAACGTATATATCTAAAGTTGCTGAAACAGAAATAATTACCCCCAACATCTACATATATTATGCACACAAAAAAACTTTATGTCAGCATATTAATTATAAAAACTATTAGAATGTGAGACTTTTTCTAGGCATTTAAATTTATCTCTTAAAATAGTTCTTCTTTTTTAGCTGAAAATAATTTATGCTAAAAGTCACTTGGGAGAAGGAAGATTAACTTCAGTGCTATCTTATACTTCTTGTTCTTTACATTGTTAAATACTATACACATTGATTTAAACAGAGGTACACCCCCTTGGCTGAGAAGCATTTGTGATCCAAAGTAGATACTAACAGAAATAAACAGAAACTATTAACGAATGATCTGCCACACTAAGATTTAAGAATAATTGTTTCTGTGTTGTAAAACTTATTGTAAGATTTTTGAGGGAAGGAACATTATCTTATGCTTTTAAATCTCACAGCCAATGGCATAGAGGCTTATACGTACATGCTTCACAAATACCTTATCAACAAAAAAAAATTTTTCAGTGTCTTTTCATTTTAGTGGGCTCAAGTGTTTTCATATTGCTGGAGTTTATATTTAGACAGGATATGATAAGAGTGAAAACATTCAAAAATAAGTAAAGTTCAAATGGCCAACAAGTATAAGAAGAGGTACTCAACATCATTAGTCATCAGAGAAATGCAAGTCAGAACCAATAGTGAGATACCACTCATTGCATACCTGCTAGAATGGCTATCATCAAAAAGTCAGGTAATGACAAGCGCTGGTGCAGATGTGGAGAAATTGGAACCTGTATGCACTGCTGGTAAGAATGTTCCTCAAGAGGTTAAGCATAGAGTTACCATATAACCCAGCTATTCCACCAAGTATACACCTACAAGCAATGAAAAACATATGTCCACATGAAAGCTTGTATGTGAGTATTCATAGCAGCATTATTCATAACTAAACATTTATCTGATAAAATCTAGTATATCCATATAATGGAATATTACTCAGCAATAAAAAAAAGTAGTACCATTACATACTACAACATGAATGAACTTTGAAAACATGCTAAGCAAAAGGAGCCAGTCAAAAAGACCACATATTGGATGATTCCAGTTACATGAAATGTCCAGGACTGGCAGATCTATAAAGACAGAAAATATATTTGGGATGGCCTAGGGCTGGGAGGGGAGAATGAGAAGAGTGAGAGGGTCACTGCTAATGGGTATGGGGTTTCTTTTTGGGGTGATAGAAATGCTCTAAAATTGATTTTGGTGGTGTTGTGTATATCTGTGAATATACTAAAATACTGAATTGTACACTTTAAATGGGTAAACTGTGTGCTCTGTGAACCATATCTCAAGCGATTACATTTTTTAGAAGTGGTTTAGGAGCTACTTAAATGATGAAAGGAGACATAGAGTTAGAAGTGAGGGGTGAGCATCCAAGGTACGTGGCCCAGCTTGGGAGAAAGAGGAATTGGATCATTTAAAAAGAACATGGAGTGAATTTATCTAAGGACTGAAGAGGAAGAATATAGAAATATGTAAGAAGTAAGAGATGTGGTTGCCTTAGTGATTGGAAATGGCAGGGGTTCTCTCTGAAGGGAATACCATCTGGTCATTAATCTGAATTTGGTGACTCTGACCTGGACTGCCAGATTACCTGCAGTATACATGAATCAGTAACAGGATAAATTAATATTTGTAGTATTTCTAGTTGGCATGTATTTAACAAAATAAAAATGTGCTTTGTCATACCACCTTGCTTTTTAAAATGTTTATATTCTCTCAAGAAAATAAGGGGAAATTTTCAGGCTGATCCAAGTGTTAAGAATATTAGTCATTGTAAAATGGAAGCATTCACTTTGTCAAACCATTAGCATATAGTTTTTTCAGATGTTTTTAATTAAATATTAAAGGTATATTCAGCTAAATATTGTAGAAATGCATAGAGTGATAGAAAAATATTTATTACTGGTAAGAAAACAAAAGTTGTGAGCATTTTTCTTTAAAAGGAGGAACTATACTTATATACACTACAGTAATCATATCAGTCACAGAATCCTCAATTTTGCATTTGTTGTATTTCCAGCTTTCACACAGAAAAATTGTGTGTGCATGTGTGCACGTGCTCAAATAAAAGAATCCCTTCAGGGGCACTATGTTGTTATGTATCCAGATATTCTCTTTTCTCCTTCCACCCCTCCCCCACCACCCCCTCCCTTCTTGTAAATTGGCTTATTAAAACTGGTTCCCAAGCCCTCCTTTTTTCCCTTTGTGATTGCCTTGGTCTTGGATTTTCAGTGTAGAACTAAAAATTCAAGTCAGATTTCAGTTACTAGGATAATTTTCTTTGAATTTTAAATTTTTCTAAGTAAATGCATAGATTTTTAATGAACCTGGTATTCAGTGGATTTGCTTTAAATTTAGCTGCAGAGTTAATTTCATGATTGATTTATTAGCCCTTTGAAAGTATAAAAAGTGGTATCTGCAGTTCGTGAAGAGTGAAAAACATCATCACATTTTGTTTAGCATCTTTTTAAAACCAATTAAAAGCTTTTCTAAAATGGATTGAACAGGAGAAAATAAAACATGTTCCCTAGGTCTTTATTTCAATCAAGTTTCCCTGTGTTCTGCAGGAGAAGAGATCGAGAGGGGATAGAAAAATTGAAAAGGGCTGTCCCAGCAGGGAGCCAAGCCGGAAAAAAGGGCTTCTCTGAGAACTCAGCAGCAGCAGCTAAGAAAGCTCCCAGCCTGCTTCATCTACATGCAGAGTCACACAAGGCATGGGGGTGCTCACTGTCACACAGAGGTTTCACATGTGCTTCCCTGCTGATTCCTGTGAAAAGCTAACAATTGGCTTGGAGGGTAAAAGACCACTGCAGTTCACCCTCCCTGAGCTGGACGTACAATTTGTCCAGTGTTAGGAAATGTCCGGCTTAGCAGTGAGAGGCTTGAAGACACCCCTCCTTCCAGTGAGATTCCTAACGCCGTCTCTTTTACTTGATGACACTGGGGCTCTTTTCAAGTTTTGCAGATTTATGGAAGTTGAGGGGAATGTGCTTTTCAAGATCAGGAGGATGAAAGCCTTGGTCTTAATGTCAAGGAGGAAGCGGTAGTGAGTGGTAAGGCCAGGTAACTCTTCCTGCAGCCTGCAGGACCAGTGGCTTGATTTTTCCTCATAGATCTCTTCTGCCACCTTCTTTTTTTTTTCTTTTTGGGAGACAGAGTGTCTGAAAAGGAACTCCTTGGGCTGTAAAATGACATGATTCCCCAGTTTCCTCAACAAGTGTGAGAGTAGTTAAGCCTATTAACCTCACTGTTTAATGCTGGGTTTGACACTTTTGTGCATCAAATTGGAAAACCTCATCTGTATGTAACAGGGTAGCCTCGTAATTTATGGAGGAGCAATCCTTCCTCAGTTCAGTGCTTCCCAACCTTTTTAGATTATGGTGCATACAAAATGATAACATCTGATGATACACTTGGGTAAGTGGATGAGGCCACTCACAACTGGCCAGGGCTCTAGCCTTCCCAACAGCTGGCAGGAATTGATATCTTAGTCCAGGTATAACTCATTTGAAGCTCAACGATTGGAAAACTCTTTGGAAACTTTAAACTTTTACAAAAGAAGAATTACCACTCCAACGTCATAGCAGTATTACTGAAGTAGAACTCAGACCTAACAGTTATTAGTGTTCTGGCTAAATTTTATGATGTTGTTGAGAATAGTAACTTCCTCGCTGCTCTGACACCTAGGAATATTACCTAATAAGAGAGAAATACAGCTTAAAGCTTGGAGGACCTAAGGTGTGGACCAATAAGAAACTGTCAGCATTCTCAGGATGGGGACTTGGGTAGACACACTTGTTTCTGCATGAGTTTTGTTTTTAACATCAGCAGTCTCTAGACAACATTGCTTTCATGTAGTCCTTACATGACATCTTAGCAGTCTTACTTCAGATATGGTTATAGGACATCTTGGTATCTTGATAATATTAAGCAACTCTTTAGGCTTTGGGTTGCTTTAGTGAAATAAGCAGATAATGGAAGAGACTCCAAATCATGCAGGCCTAAACATGAGTATCTCTCCATCTATTTGTTCAAAATTAACTCTGGCTAATGACTATGATATGACTCAATAAGATATATAACCACTTTAGGAAAGAGGCTTAGTCATTTTGCCAGACACATTAATTTTAATCCACTGATGTGGTGACTTTTGCATTGGGCTTCATTTCTTTTATCTAAAAAAAAAAATGATGCTTGACAGTTTAGTGGCCTTCTTAGTAAGTCAGTGACATTAGATACCTACTATATTTATAATACTCTCTTTAGGTATACTTTGCTTAGTATAGTAGATTTTCTTGGAAAGTCCTTTGTAGATTGAACATGTGTGTGTGTATATATACATATCTCTGAGGACAAAGGAAATTTCCAGAGATCTGTGTTCTTGTTTTCTGGACAGAAAGATAATGTATAGTGAATGTATAGTGATCAACTAAGATAATGCCTAGTGAAGCCCTTTGTAAACCTGTGGACTACATAGATAGACAGTATTAAAGAACATATATATATAGTACATATATATGTAGATTAATTTCAAATGTATCAAAAACAGTGAAATAGGCCAGACATTGTGGCTCACGCCTGTAATCCTAGCACTTTGAGAGGCCAAGGCAGGAAGATTGCTTAAGGCCAGGAGTTCGAGACCAGCCTAGGCAACATAGTAAGACCAGTCTTTACAAAAAAAAGTTAGTCGAATGTGGTGGTGAGCATCCGTAGACCCAGCTATTCAGGAGGCTGAGGCAGGAGGATCGCTTGAGCCCATGAGTTCAAGACCGCAGGAAGCTGATTCTTACCACCGCACTCTAGCCTGAGTGATAGAGCAAGACTCTGTCTCTAAAAACAAAACCAACAAAAAACAGTGAAGTAAATTATTTTATAAAACATTGCTACAGATATCTGCTGAATAAAATCAAATTTTCAAAATAGGGTTTTGTTTTGGTTTTGGTAGAGCACATCTATAGTAGATATTAATACCAGAATAAATTATAAGATATATATGCCATTTTCTGATAACTCAAAATTAAATATCTAAATTTTAATCATCAGAGAAATGCTAATAGTGTTGAGACGAAATATTTTTTCATTGCTAGAATGTATTCTTCCAGATCCATTGCCTTAAATAAGTTACTGTGGCATTACATTAGCTTTTGAAAGGTGGGGATTATAACGTCGTAGTAGTCCATGGGTGCCATGACTCTAGTTAAGAGCACCCTTTCTGTAGAACTTACTCTTTGTATTGAACTTGAGGTTTAAAAAAAAAAAAAAGAAACCTATGTCTTAGCTCAGATATCATCTGGCATTATAGCCTTGAACGTCCCTTAATTTCTTGGTGTCTATTTCTTCATCTGTAAAATAGAGATAATTCCTCATGTGTTACCTACTCTGTTGAGGGTCAGCTAAGATAATGTGTAGTGAAGCCCTTTGTAAACTGGTGGACTACATGAGCTGTCCAGGCGCAGTGGCTCATGCCTGTAATCCCAGCACTTTGGGAGGCTGAGACAGGTGGATCATTTGAGGTCAGGAGTTCAAAACCAGCATGGCCAACATAGTGAAACCCGATCTCTACTAAAAATACAAAAATTAGCTCGACGTGGTGGTGTGCACCTGTAATCCCAGCGACTCGGGAAGCTGAGGCAGGAGAATTGCTTGAACCCAGGAGGCGGAGTTTGCAGTGAGCTGAGATTGTACCACTGCACTCCATCCTGGGTGGATGGAGTGAGACTCTGTCTCAAAAAAAGAATTGCCTTTGGATAGTCCACAGAACCTTTTCAGCTTGTAAGATAGGAAAACTGAAGAACGTATAATAACTGCTATATAGAGGAAGTTTCCATAGGAAGTGAGTTCAGAGCTCCCACTTTGGAATGCCTGAACCCAACTTCCCTCATTTGCAGTACTGGGAAAAGAAACCTGCTTCCCCATCTCTCATTCACTGAAATTTAGAAGCTTCCTACATCCTAAGACAAATACTCTTGTCTGGGGATTAGGGATTCCTGTTGTAGAAAGAAGTAGGAAGTGGAGACAGGAATTGCCAAGATCAGTAGGCCACCACCAGGTCACACTTGTCTTCAGCCTCCAGGGACTGGCCCACCTGCTTCCTTTCCCTGCCACCACCTGTTGCTTGTGGCTGAAGTTCCCCTTTTCTCCTAACTCATGGTGCAACAAAGTGGTGCTTCACAGTTTCTTTCCTACCTTTCTGTCCCAGAAACAAGAATGCAGATCTTTGGAGATTTCCTGTGTCCTTGGGGATCTCACAATGGCCAGAAGCCCTGGCCCTCCCTCTACTCCTTACCCTGTTAATCTTGGATGGTAGGATTATAGGTGATTTCTTTTTTATTTTGCTTTATTGTTTCCTGTACTTTATAGATTTTCTACAATAAGCATATGTTACTTTGATAATCAGGAAAAAATAAAAAATGTGTATACAATTATTTTTAACTTAGCAGTATAACTGTCAAAAATTCCTTAATTCCATTGCTTTGGTACTAATTTGCTGCTAACCACTAGGGTTAAATGAGACTACCTTTGTATCTAAGCTTGTCTATGTATAATATATTTTTAACCTTGTTCTTTTTATGACTTAAGATTTAATTGAATATCTGAAATATGCTGTGGGTTTTGGAGTAAAAGTGTGCAAGTGCCTCCTAACTCTCACAGTTGTCCTGGGAAACCCACCTGGCACTTGGCTCAGTGCCATGCTCCCCATCTAAACTTACCATGGTTGAATGCCAGTGTGACTAAAGTTGACCAAGGTAGATGGTAACGATTGTCTTAAGCTTCATTGAAAGGAGATCGGAAGTTTCTTTTTCACCAAAAATATTTCTTTTGACATAGAAGTTTAAAACATTTCTTTAAGGAACATCTGCTTTTATTAGATGTACATTTAAGAAATCCTTCTCAGTATAGAGATAAAAAGATGAATAAGACATTGTACCTGCCCTCAGATGGCTCATAGTCCAAGAACACTGTTCAATTGTGAAGTTTGTGCACAAGGTGGGCACAGGTCAAGTAGCAAATGAAGGTTAACATCCAGCCCACATGCTGCCCACCAAGGAGTCCACCCTGGTTTGGGACTGAATCTGCCCTGAGTAAGGTTACCAGATTTAGCAGATAGGAATATAGGATACTTAGTTAAATTTAAATTTCAGAAAAACATCACATAATTTTTTAGCATCAGCATATCCCATATTTTGGTCAGACTTATACTCAGGTATTTCTCTAGCAACCCTAACGCTGAACAAGAGGAAGAGGGTGCCTTTTAGCTCATACGAGGTGCTGGGGCTTGGGGAAGGAAGCAAGGGTGGCTGCACTCACCCAGATGATTGCTTTTTTCTAATTTGTTCACCTAGGGTGTGTGTGCGTGTGTGTGTGTGTGTGTGTGTGTGTGTGTGTTTTCTGATCCATGCAGAAGCTAACTGGTGTCCCTGTCACAATCCAGGGTGGGAGAAAGATGTGAAAACATGATGCATAGAGTTAGGTTTTATATGTTACGTGGTTCCAGTGGAACATAAAGGAAAGTGTGGTCCATTTTACCTGAGAAGATGTGCAAATCATTCACAAATAGTAGTTTCGGATCCTGGTCTTGAAAGATGAGTAAAAGGGAGATTTAGTCAGGGCCATTGTGCCATGCTAAGGAATTCAAGCGCTGCAGCAATGGAGAGAGAAGGTGAAGGATTTATGTATGCTAAAATTAGCATATTATTATTATTATTATTATTATTATTATTATTATTATTATTAGAGATAGGATCTTGCTGTGTTGCCCAGGGTGGAGTGCAGTGACGCAGTCTCAATCACTGCAGCCTTTACCTCCTGGGCTCAATTGATCCTCCCGCCTCAGCCCCTGGAGTAGCTGGGACAACAGGTGCACACCACCACACCTGACTAATCTTTATATTTTTTGTATAGACAGGGTTTTGCCATGTTACCCAGGCTGGTCTCAAACTCCTGGGCTCAAGCAGTCCACCCACCTCAGCTTCCCAGAGTGCTGGGATTACAGGTGTGAGCCATTACACCCAGCCTAAATTTTTTTAATTAACGTACAATATGATACTTGAGAATTTGAGGATATGTTCTGTGTACTTATCTTAGGCTTCATATGGCATAGTTTCACTGGAGGGAAGAATAGAAATTCATAAGAAATTATAGGCTTCATTTTTTCTAAATGACTGAAGCTTAACCTCTTTAAATATCAATTATTATACTTTAGCCTTTTTTAAGAGGAAAAAAATTGCTACATACATTCTTAGTGTCTGAAGCAAAGTATAATAAACTCTATGTTAATGAATAAGGACCATCATAACAAACCATAATTGATGGGTCAGTATTTTCATGGGTGGGACTCAGCAGGAACTGTTGGAATATACAGGATTCCGTCCTGGTGCCTGTTAGGTAGATACGGTGTGCCCTGTTTGTTGAGTTTTTTGTACCTTTTCTTTTTTTAGTGGTTTTGCTATCAGCTGTTACTTGCAGAATCCAAGTGAGTTGTGTCAGCTGGCCTGCCTCTGATGACTCCTTTTTCCAGTGTGCTGCTTTCATCTGCTATAAATTAAGGCAGGCAACCACCAGGATTCATGAGCTGTTCATACAGTAAGAGAACTAAACTGTGGTTGGGCGCAGTGGCTTACGCCTATAATCCCAGCACTTTGGGAGGCCAAGGCAGGAGGATCACTTGAGTCCAGGACTTCTAGACCAGCCTGGGCAATATGGCAAAACCCCATCTCTACTAAAAATACAAAAAAGTCCAGGCACGGTGGCTCACACCCGTAATCCCAGCACTTTGGGAGGCCAAGGCAGGAGGATCGCTTGAGTCCAGGACTTCTAGACCAGCCTGGGCAATATGGCAAAACCCCATCTCTACTAAAAATACAAAAAAGTCCAGGCACGGTGGCTCACACCCGTAATCCCAGCACTTTGGGAGGCCAAGGTAGGTGGATCATTCAAGGTCAGGAGTTCGAGACCAGCCTGGCCAGTATGGTGAAACCCCCGCCTCTACTAAAAATACAAAAATTAGCCAGGCATGGTGACAGGCGTCTGTAGTCCCAGCTACTCAGGAGGCTGAGGCAGGAGAATCGCTTGAACCCAGGAGGTGGAGGTTGCAGCGAGCCGAGATCGCGCCACTGCACTCCAGCCTGGGCAACAGAGCGAGACTCTGTCTCAAAAAAAAAAAAAAAAAAAAAAGCCAAGCATGGTGGTGCACACCTGTAATTCCAGCTACTCGGGAGGCTGAAGTGGGAGAATCACCTGAGCCCAGGAGGTCGAGGCTGCAGTGAGTGGAGATCATGCAACTGCACTCCAGCCTGGGCAACCAGAGTGAGACCTTGTCTCGAAAAAAACACAAAAACATAAAACTGGGCTGCAGTGAGAGCTGGAGAGGCCTTCCAGAGAGCAAGGCCCCATTTTGACTCCTGTGGGCCCCTTCCTCTACTAAAAAAAAAAATAAATTTTCCACCTGTTGGTACAAAGCTGAATATATTACTATATTAATATTTTCTTCCACCAAAAAGTTCTTTTTTTCTGATTTTTTTTTTTCCAGGAGTGCAGTGGCGCGATCTCAACTCACTGCAACCTCTGCCTCCCGGGTTCAAGCAATTCTCATGCCTCAGCCTCCCAAGTAGCTGGGACTACAGGCGCACACCACCACACCCAGATAATTTTTTGTATTTTTAGCAGAGATGAGGTTTCACCATATTGGCCAGACTGGTCTCAAACTCCTGGCCTCAAGTGATCCGCCCTCCTCAGCCTCCCAAAGTGCTGGGATTACAGGCCTGGCCTGATTTTAAAAGAAATTAGAATAATACTTTCATGGGTTCCTCAAAGTTTCATAGGCCCTGGGCACTGTGTCTAGTGGGTAAGTTGTCCTTGCCTGTCAGTTTTAAAGTTACTTGAACCTCACATTGTTTTTTCAGTACTAGGAGTGAGAGGATTTTTGCTTATTTCTGGTTCTTGGCTGTGCTCTGGATAGTTGAAATTGTTTAGCAGATTGGCCTCCAGATAAGTAAGGCATTATTATTGGATATAGTAAATTCATGTTCTGGAAGTTTGGGGCCTAAAGGAGCAATGTGGGCTCTGTAGGGTTAAATGAGGGCAGGGTATGGTGAGAAGGCAAATTTTGAAACATTGTGAACATAAGAGACAATTGCAAATTGGCAGAAAACTGGAGAAAGCATTTTAATAAACAAATGCTATGGATAAAAATCACAGAGGTAAAAATTAAATTAGAAAGGAGAATATTGACCTGATTAGAACACAGGGGTCAATTTAGGGTATATCAAGCTAAAAGCTGAGATAGGTAGGGAAAATCTACTGTGGATATAAGAGTGGGGAGTTTGGATTTGCTGATTAATGTGTGGTCATCTTAGTTAAGTTTCTAATGAGAGAGCATGCACAGAACCCTTCCTTTAAGGTATTAAGAATACTATGGCATGGTCAGTACAACTTTATCTTTTTCTTTTTTTTTTTTTTTGGACACCAAGTTTTGCTCTTGTTGCCTGGGCTGGAGTACAATGGCACGATTTCGGCTCACTGCAACCTCCGCCTCCTGGGTTCAAGTGATTCTCCTACCTCAGCCCCACAAGTAGCTGGGATTACAGGCATGCACCACCACGTCCAGCTAATTTTTGTATTTTTAGTAGAGATGGGGTTTTACCATGTTGGCCAGGCTGGTCTTGAAATCCTGACCGTTGGTGATCTGCCCGTCTCAATATCTTCTTAATTTATTTAACCTTTTCTCCTAAGAGCACAGAGGTCATTATTTCTAGGTAATAAATCTCCCTAACTCAAATTAAGAGATCAGCCATTGCTGATATGGGGCTTGTGGGGGCAGGGGCAAGAGTGGACCCCAAATCTAGTTTAAAATTACACAAATAAAAACAGTAGACAGCAAAGCATAGTGAAAATAGCAATGAGGCCTGAACTGTAGTTTCAGCTCCCTCACTGGACATGAGAGCCTCAGACAGATCACTTTACCTCTCACCCCAGGTTTCTCATCTGCAAAATGAGACAGAGAATGAGGGGGTTTGGGGGAATGAGGTAATCTTTAAGAGCTGCTCCCAATGTAAAATCTGATGATTCAGTGTCTTTTTCACAAATTGGAATTAGATATCCTTTAATATCATGAAGTCTGCTTTTGCCTATAGTATTTTAAATTATTAAGGGTTCAGTTTCTCGTTTCATATTCAGTCTGTATCATGAATTCCCCCCCTTATTGTCTTCTGTCCTGCTTGCAGCACCATGAGGATGGTTACAAAGAAGTAGACTAAGAATTTGCTTCAGGGTAAAATCTAATGGAGAGTTTAAGTGTAGTTGCCTGCCTAGTTGTGGCATGATTTATTTGAAACATCCTTCCTTTGGTATTCAGCTTAAACATTTAACTGCAAAAAAAAAAGAAAAGAAAAAGTTACAGGCATTTAAACAAGAGAAATCAGAAATGCATGCAAAGAGGCCCAATTCCTCTCCCTTCACTTGTCTCTGGTTGCTTTTAATGGTAGTCGATCTTTTCCCTTGGTTTGGGGAAACCAAGAGTTGTAGGAGATGTTAATAGTACTTGGTTTTTGTTTTTGTTGTTGTTGTTTTGAGATGTTTTGCTCTTGTTGCCCAGGCTGGAGTGCAGTGGCGCCATCTCGGCTCACTGCAACCTCCGCCTCCCAGGTTCAAGCGTTCTCCTGCCTCAGCCTCCTTAGTAGCTGGGATTACAGGCATGTGCCACCACGCCTGGCTAATTTAGTAGAGACAGCATTTCACCGTGTTGGTCAGGCTAGTCTCCAACTCCTGACCTCGTGATCCACCCGCCTCGGCCTCCCAAAGTGTTGAGATTATAGGTGTGAGCCACTGCACTGGCCAATAGTACTTGTTATCTCACTAGCTTAGGTTAATGACAGCTAATGAATCTTATCTTTCCTCTGCTAGAGAAGTCTGTGTTATCCAGTCAATAGCTAATCAATTGATTAAAAGAGATAAGCCAGACTTTGGCACGAAGCATACATGCCGTTCATTCTAGATTATTTTCTTTAAAATTTGTTGCTATCAACACTTGGGGCTCAGAGGTGTAGACTCTGAAATGATAGTTACTTTCCTTTTGGACACTTAATATAATGTGCATTTTTCTAGGACCAGAAAGTAATAATGAAGGAGTGATCTGCTACCCTTGAAAGCTATACTGGGATTATCATTCATTCAGTGCATATTTATTAACTTTGTACTTTGTACAAGGCAGTATGCTAGCCCTGGAAACATCAGTAAAGCCAAACCGACTTAAGTCCTGTCCTGATGAAGGAGAACTAGCAAGAAATACAGTAAATATAGTAAGTATATAGTATGTAAAAGGCGATCCAAACTGGAGGAGGGAAAGGGCAGGATAAGGGTTGGGGAGTTGCAGTTTTAAATGGAGGTATGTGGGGATTGAGTTGGCCTGTGGAAAAGCTGACATTCAGGCAGGTCCTTGACTTGGAGGGAAAGGCCTGTGTGGCTATGGAAGGGAAGAGCATTCCAGGCAGAGGAATCCTCTCTGTGTGCCAGGCATGCCATGCTGAGTACTGCAAGGGCGCAGATGGATGATACGTGGTTTCTACCATCGGGGAGTTGACAGGCTAGAAACAAGATTCAGGCTTGAAGATAAATGCAGAGAAGCACTATGGCAAGGTAGAATTTTTCTAAGGGTCTCTGTTGAATAATACAAGCTAAGAAAATATGAAAAATTATTCCTATTTCAAGAATGAAGCCAGGTTAAGTGATAGACCAAAGGACCTCTACCAGGAAAGCTTCTTACTCTTGGCTCTGAGCCAATTTCCTCCTCAGAAGTT
Organism: Homo sapiens; assembly: GCF_000001405.40. NCBI lineage: Eukaryota > Metazoa > Chordata > Mammalia > Primates > Hominidae > Homo > Homo sapiens. Next base: position 46,743,013 of record NC_000017.11, read on the forward strand.
GCTGCCTCTCCCTGAGGCCCCACGCTGCCATGAGTCCTTCTGACTCTCTGTGAGTCACCCCACTGCCATGACTCCTTCGGAGGGGGTGTCTGACCTCTTGCTTCAGGCCTCTTCTGGGCCTCACAGTAACCCTTGTGAAGCTGAAGATGGGAGCTCTCATCTTCCCTAACCCAGAGCCAACCTTGGCCTCTCTGCGTCATTTGCTGCCAGTGCCCTGTGTTTGTTTTTGGGAAGAGAGGGATTTTCAGGCATCCCGTCCCTCACCCACCTGACCTAACCGTATGGATTCCTGACACCACAGGCAGAGGACTATTCTTCAGGTTCCTCTGAAGCCCACCTGTTCAGATGCTTGCTTCTTTTCCTTCTTGCCTGTTCTGACTGTGATGACAGAGACCCCGCCTCAGGAATCTCCACCTCACACTCTATTCTCATAAGTAGGTAGAATTTTCTCATCGCATATTTATGGTTGAGGAGGAGATAGATGCTGAGAAGTTAAATAATCTACCCCAAATCACACAGCTGTGAGTGATGGGGCCTCTACTTCTGTTGCACCAAGCTACCTGTCCATCAGGGGACTTGCCTCACCATTGCTTTCTGCCAGCCCTGGGCTTGCCTTAAAAAGGACATCATATGCATAAGACACTGGTTAAAAGGTGCAGCATGGTCCCTGGAGATGCTCACTCTTACAACTGGCCTGTCCTTGGGGCAGCAGCTCCTCACAGGCCCCTAAGAGGTAGACCTCCTGCCTGTGGCTGCCAGAACCCTCTTCTCCATCACAGGTCTTCCTCCTCAAGAGCCTTCTCTGGTTTCCTGTTGCTTTTTATATTAAATATTTCCCTTAGTTTAGCATCCCGAGTCTGCCTTTTGCTGATTGTTCCCTCCCTGTGTCTGCAGACAACTTCGTTTTCAGCCTTGGTGCTCTGTCTCAGCTGCTTCTACCACACACATAGGATTTAGGCGCATTCAGGACCTGTCCCTTCTTTTCAAGGGCCTTGCCAGTGCCTACTTGTTGTCATTGTCTTTGCAGTACTACGGATAACCTTCCTAGATAACCCCCCTCCAGGAAACTGTCCCCATAAACCGGGTGCCCTCCGCCATGATTAGTTTGTATTTGCGAGTGTGTTACTTGGTTGTGTTCCCTGAATATTTATTTGGTTTTCCCAGCTAAGTTGTAACTTATTTGAAGGCACAAACCAAATCTCATAATTCTATTAAGTACCTAAAAGGAGTAAATTATTGTTAATGCTCCAATTGGCTAATGTCTATTTCATATTTTACTTACCAGATTTACAAATGCTTAATATTCTGAAATATTTCACTCTCATTTACAAAAACATCAGATTCTACTAAGCAGAAAATAAAGTTTAATGCCCCCAGCACATAGCAGTTTTGAGTTGCACTTTTAAACTCACTTCTTAATCCATTTCAGGGTTTTCAATTGTTCACAGTTAATTCTTCTTACCAAGGGTGTATTACACTTGCTCAGCATTGAATGATATGGAAAGAATGGCCTTTCTTTCCTGCATAACTGACTTTACTTTTGTTCATAGGTTGAAATCAGCCCTTCCATTTCACTGCAGTATTATATTAGTGGCATTTTTATTTAGGGAAAAAAAAAAGCTTTCTTCCACTTGAACTTTTGTTACAAATCAGTTTATTGGGTCCAATCAATGGGCAAGACCTATGAAAGGGTGTGGATTATCTGGTTGGTCCTTTGTGTGGCAAAAGGCTTAGATGCTGCTTAGTACTCGCTCATTCTTCATCATGTAAAGAAGTGTTTTTTTTGAAGGATCAACACCTGACTGAGCCCTGCCTTTTTCATGGAAATGTTTTCACCTGAGTTGCTGCTTATGGTACTAAGAATTAGTTAACTAATACTTATTTAACCTTGGAACAATGTTTATCATAATCCGATTGGCAGATAGTCATTTTACTTAGGCTTTTTCTTTATAGCATCAGGACTAGCAAATCTCAGTAAAGAGTATGCTGGGAGCAATTTCTTTTTTCCCAAATAGGTTATCACTCTGTGCTTTTTTTTTTGCTTTCCGTCAAGGGGCATGTTTGGGCACTGTGGACATTAAGACTGGTGGCCACACATTAGGAAGGTGGAGGTCCCCTCTTGGGTTGAGCACCACTTTTGTTTTTAAAGCTGCATCCCCATTTCATGCTGCTGGCAGTGTTTCCCTTCAGACGAATCCCATGCAATGTATCACTTTAATATATTCGGAGCTGTTTTTCATGATAAAGCTTCCTTATGAGCACTACCACTAATTAATACACAAAATGGCCCAGCACAATTTAATAATTTGGTAATGTTTTTCAATGTTTTCTTAAAGATGACGCTTTACAAGTCAAGACCCAAACTTGCCTGGGTCATGACCTCTTTGCAGTTTTTGGAGTCTTGTTAAACAAGAAGGAAAGCAAAACATAAATTAGCGTCTCCAGTATGGTTGCTCTACATTTCCCAATCTTTCAACACTTTGAAGAGCATAGTCACTGTTAATGTAAGAGAACATCTCATGAGGAAACTGGCAGCGATTTTAAAAGTCCGGCTTTCTGGAATGAGTAAGAAGCTTCTTCCTCAGTGCCACTGTTCTAGGGCCAACATTGTCCTTTGTGAGAGAGGAGCAAGATGAGGAAGTTTGCATTATGGACTATGGAACATTAAAAAGCTAAAAAAGAGAAGTAACAGTTACCTTTAATCATACTGAGGATGTATCAGCATGTGTGGCCTTTGGCATCTGTTAGCCTTTAGGGCTATGTTCCCAAGTTTGCCATTAGAATTTAGTGTTAAAAAATACTTTAAATATAACAGCACCACTTTTTGTTATAGTAAAAATGTATGTCTTTACTCGATTGTAATTACCTCAACACCCAGCTTTTGTTGTTATTTTGCCCTTGGACTTAGGTATTTCTGTTCCTCTGGCTTAGAATGTCCTTCCCCTTCATCTTCCTAATCAACCTACTCATTCCTTACGACTCAACTCATGTATCATCTCCTCCAGAAAAAGCTTTCTCTGCCACGTGTTTCTTCCCTCTACCTGACATCCTTGTGCGTAATACCTCCACCTTTCCATATTGTACTATAATTATCTATTTTGCATCTGTCTTTCTGTGGAAGGTCTGTTGCATATTCATCTAGGAACTTGGTAAATGTCTGATGATAAGCATTTGATTTTTTCCTAGTTGATTCCTCAAATAATAATAATGATTACCCTTTAATCTGAATGCTCACAGGTGTACTTCTATCTCATATTCTATGCGCAGTCATCTGTTAAGCTAATGGCTAATTGTACCAGAGGGTCTCAACTTTGTTTCTTTGATCTGCATTGGTTTATGGTGGTACCTTGCCCATTCTTGGCACAGCAGGTGGATAAAAACAATGAGTAACATTGAGAAAGGCTAATGTGTCTTATTGACAGTAGTGGTATAATGTTTACCAAACCCAAATTGAAATTATTTTGGTTTCTTAAAATCTTTTCCCGATAGCCCATTTATTTTAATGTTCTGAATTTCCAAGATCTGTGTATAGGTTCAATGATTAGTCTTTACTGAAGACTTATCTATGGACTGAGTGTGTATTATAAATCTAGTGACATAAGTTTAAAACTTATTCCTTTTTCATTTTCCAAGTAAACTTTTTTAGTAATGTGTTTTTCTTTGTAAAGACAGGCAGTATATGATTTAGGTCTGGATCTGGTTTCCAGTCTTGGCTCCATCATGTATTGGTTATTTGGCCTTGAACACAAATGACTTGCCTTGAACACAAATGACTTATATCTGTGAGATTCAATAGCTTCATCAGTAAAATGGGGATAGTAGTAGTACTGAATTTTCATGATTATAATGAAAATTAATTGAGAGACTGATCTGGAGAGGTGCCATACTACAAAGAGGATTAAGTGGAGGTGTCCCTATTAAATGGCGAGATACCCAGAAACATTACCCTGTTGACTCCAGTATGCTGGCAACGAGGCTTTATAGTCTTTGGGAAGGAGACTGGAAGATTCTTCTCTGGGAAAAATGTACACATACTGACCTTTGAAGGACCCCCAGTAATCAGCCAGGTCTTACCTGATCATCCTATAGTGAAGCCCCCCGACACAGTATTTCCATTCATAGTTTAGCTCTTAAATGTGAATTAGCTATCCAGCAATCACCAGACACTTGAGGAAAGCCTCCAGAAAACAAATTGGAAAAAGGGGCAAGTCATAGGAAACAGACAAAACAAGGAACAGAAGAAAACATCATTTTTGCAATCTATAATATTCACAAGTTTGTTTTTTGAGACAGAGTCTCACTTTGTCACCCAGGCAGGAGTGCAGTGGTGCCATCTCGGCTCACTCCAGCCTCAAACTCCTTGGCTCAAGCGATCTGCTCACCTCAGGCTCCCAGGTACCTGGGACGACAGGCATTTGCCACCACACCCGGCTAATTTTGGTATTTTTGTTGAGATGAGGTTTCGCCATGTTACCTAGACAAGTCTCAAACTCCTGGGCTCAAGTGATCTGTCCATCTCAGCCTCCCAAAGTGCTGGGATTACAGGTGTGAGCCACCGGCCTCAGAGATCTAAAACAAGATATTGTATTTTAATTGCACAGGATGCAATTAAAAAAGAAAACATTCAGAAAACAAGAAGAGCTCTTAGAACTGAAAAATAAGTTAGTGTAAAGGTTGGAAGATAAAATTGATACTAACCTGAAAAGTATTAGAAAGAGAAAGAAATAAAAACTAAGAGTAAATAAGAAAATTAGAAGATTAGTCCTAGAGAATCAGTATCCAACTAAGAGGTTCCCAGTGGGTGATACAGAGAAAATGAATGGGAGGAAATCTCAAGGAAATGTATTTCCTAGAACTGAATGATTGGAATTTCCAGTTTAGAAAGAAGGAATCTAGTGCCAGCAAAATGAGTATAGAAAGAACCATCTTAGGATATGTAGTTTTCAAATTGCAGAACATAGGAATGAAGAAAAGATTCTGAAAGTTTTGTATTAAAAAGGTTAGAAACAAAAGATCAAAGATCAGATAGCATTTGTCTTTTAGCCTTCAGTGCCTTCAAAATTGTGAGAAAAAAATTATTTCTAACCTTTTTATTTATTTATTTATTTTTTTGAGATGGAGTTTCGCTCTTGTTGCCCAGGCTGGAGTGCAATGGCGTGATCTTGGCTCGGCTCACTGCAACTTCTGACTCTTGGGTTCAAGCATTCTCCTACCTCAACCTCCCAAGTAGCTGGGATTACAGGCACGTGTCACCATGCCCAGCTAATTTTGTATTTTTAGTAGAGATGGGGTTTCGCCATGTTGGTCAGGCTGGTCTCAAACTCCTGAACCTCAGGTGATCCACCTGCCTCGGCCTCCCACAGCACTGGAATTATAGGCATGAGCCACCACACCTGGCCTCTAACCTTATTTTTTACAACTAGCCAAACTATTAAGACAAAGGATACAATAGTAAGGCTAGAATAAAGGTATTTCCAGACATGCAAGGTCTTTAAAATTTTACCTCCCTCACTCTTTCTGAGGAAGCTTTTGGGTACATGCAGCATAGACAGGGGAATAGATGAGGAAAAGGAAGGCTGGGATACAGGGAATCTAACAGAAGAGAGAGGAAAGCTCCAGAACTACAGCTGTGCCCCAGGCCTAGAGAGTCACCGCTTCAGATTGAACTGTGAACACACAGGACTCCTGGAGGGGAATTTCTTCAAGAACACAACTTTAAACTATGTAATGTGTTTGAACATACTGAAAGGAGACTTGTGATTGTTTTAGAGACAAACTTGTGATAAGTACCTGGTAAACTAAGCAAAGGGGAAAAAGGCAATTAACTCCAGTAAAACAAAATGTTGTCCAAGAAAGGAAATTGAATAGTACTCTGCATGGCCTAGCTGTAAACCACATTTGTATAAACATAATAAATACTGAATATAGATTTAACTAAAGACTGTGAAATAACTGTATCGGAAGGATGTAAAAAGGGGCATGTGGTGGGGGAAGGGGGGTAGTGCAAAATTAATAATAAATCCCCATCTTCCATGGTAGGAAGTTAGTAAATCATATTTAAAGCTGAAAACAAAAATCTAAAACCAGTAATGTAACATTATTATTTGAAGATAAGGAAGTAAATATAAGAAGAAAAGCCAAGAGAATTGAAAATGGTTGCCTTTGAAGAAAGGGAACTGAGAATGGTAGCATAAGCCTGGCATAGTTTTTAAACTTTTTTTAAAAAAATATTTTGGGGTTAAAAGTAAAAATGAAAAATATTAAATGTGACAATTATGGAAAGCACTTTAGCCCATGCCTTTTACAGTTCAGTGTTGCATAAATATAAACTCTTATTACCCTGCTCCTTCTAAAAAGTGTACTAAAGCCTTGTAAAGCCAGCGCCACATACTTTCTATTCATTTCATCTTTTTTCCCCAATTCCCACCATACATGTGCCATGTTGGCTCTGAGGAAGGAATTACATACATACACGTCAGTATCTTTCCATTTGTTTGTGTATCTTCTTGATTTACTAATCCATTGTTTTATTGATGTGAATGAGAAGGAGCTGTTCACATGTTGCCACTTTCTGAATCATGTGGTTGGTACCTTTTTTCAGGATTTTCAGGAAAATCCTGAATTGTTTTCTTCTGTTTTGCCTAATCATTTGCATCGGCAAGATTAAATAAAAGTCTTTTGCAAATTGTGTTCAAGCTTACTGTAGTTTCCTAATTAGTCTTATTATGTACATTTTAACACATTTTCTCCCTATGATCAGGGCCGCAAGCTTCTTATCATTGGGACCACTAGCCGCAAAGATGTCCTTCAGGAGATGGAAATGCTTAACGCTTTCAGCACCACCATCCACGTGCCCAACATTGCCACAGGAGAGCAGCTGTTGGAAGCTTTGGAGGTAAAAATGAGTCAATGGATTGCACACTGTTTATAAGAAAGGAATTGAGGCTGAAATAAGTAGTACCACATTATACCTGGTGTTTGGTTTTTATGCTAATCTGGAACATGGGACCCGGGGATATTACAGGTTGTATATACCTTATCCAAAATGCCTGGGACTAGGCCAGGCACGGTGGCTTATGCCTGTAATCCCAGCACTTTGGGAGGACGGGGCAGGTGGATCACTTGAGGTCAGGAGTTCGAGACCAGCCTGGCCAACATGGTGAAACCCTGTCTCTACTAAAAATACAAAAATTAGCTGGGCATGGTGGTGGGCACCTGTAGTTCCAGCTACTCAGGAGGCTGAAGCAGGAGAATCTCTTGAACCCAGGAGGCGGAGGTTGCAGTGAGCCAAGATTGTGCCACTGCACTCCAGTCTGGGTGAGGGAGCAAAACTCTAACAACAACAAAAAATGCCTAGGACCAGAAGTGTTTCAGATTTCAGATTTTTTCAGATTTTGGAATATTGCATTATATTTAGGTTGAGCGTCTCTAATCTGGAAATCTGAAATGCTTCAGTGAGCATTTCCTTTGAATGTCATGTTGGCACTCAGAAAGTTTCCAATTTTGGAGCATTTTAGATTTCAGACTTTTGGATTAGGGATACTCAACCTGTACCTCCAGTTGTTTTCAGGAATTAGAGAAGAAAGATGAATATACATGACAGTGAGTTAATTTCCCATTCCTCAATGTAGGCAGCTACAAACTGCCAGGAATTAATTGCTCTGTATCCAGCATGAGTGATGTATATAGATTACTTGGACCAGAAACTTGAATGGGTGGTGGTGTGGGGGTAAGGTAATCACTGTATAGAAAAATTAACCATTCATAGTGGCTTTTAGCACATTTCCTTGCATTTAATAAGTTGGAACAATGATTAAAGCCTTAGAAATGTCAAAAAAAAAAAAGCTACAGAAGTAAAAGGAACTTTATTAACAAGTTTAGAAATAGAAATGTTTTCTTAATTTTTTGAAAATGACAGTCATTTTTAAAAAAGAACGTTCTTCATTTAACTTTTAATATCAATATTCACAAGTAACTTGGTGAGCTCTATTGGAAAATATTATCTACTGAGTTGTTCAGCAGTGGTGGAGTCAGTAAAGCTTCTTAAAGTCCTCAAGGCCCCCAACAAAATTGAAATTTATCTATATGATAAATGTTTTCAGGTTACCCATGTAGACAGCTTTTGTGCAGAAGCTGGGTAAGAGAATTAAAGGAGTTTGCTTTGACACATACAGATTGTTCCTAGAAAAGAATGTTAAAAATTTTAACTTATATTTATTATGGATTGGAGCTATTTTTTTCCCCAGAAAATATAAGTTACATAGCGGTCCATAAGAAAACAGGGTTTAAGATACCAGTTTTCACTTTCATGATTGCACCTAATGGGTTTAGGATGGTGAAGGTCAGACTGGATTTTAAAGTAGGAGAGAATTCTATCAACTTGAACAGTTAGGTAGTTCTTATCACTCTTCTTTTAAAGGTAAATAGAATTAACCAATGTTGATGTGTTCACTGTAAAAGTGCTTTGATTATTGTTTATTGTTTTTGTAGCTTTTGGGCAACTTCAAGGATAAGGAACGCACCACAATTGCACAGCAAGTCAAAGGGAAGAAGGTCTGGATAGGAATCAAGAAGTTACTAATGCTGATCGAGATGTCCCTACAGGTAAGGTACTTCGTTCTCCGTATGACTCAGACAGAACAAAGCTTCAGGACACACCAAGAGGGTTCAGTATTTCCTTTGCCAAGGTTTTAATTAATTTAAGTTTTGATTTTCTTATATTATTTCCAAACTTAATTTGGTATTAGTAGCCTGCTTCTGAGATTGATCACTTAACAATACTTTTTAACTTCTTAAAATTCAAAAATGGAAGGAAAGATTATAAAGTTAGTTTTCATTTAGGGAGCCACTAGGTCTTAGAACTAGAAAAGACTTCAAAGAGCAGTCGTTCTTCTGCCCCCTCATTTTGGAGATAAGGATACTATGTGAGCCACAGGCTGTCAGTGAATTATCCAAGATCACATCACCAGGTTATTGATGGAGAAGGGATGGTGTTGCACCTCAAGTCAGTAAGCGACTGCACATATACCAAACGGTGTCTGGGAGACTGCTTTAAGGGACAAGTTAATTAAGTTGTGCAGTCTAGACTTGGGATCTGTATATTTGTCCCTGGCTGGGCTCCTAGAAATTTCATGCAAACTACTGTAGGGTTGAAGCATCCAGAATCACATAGAAAACTGAGCCCCAGGGTGCTGCCTGGGCAAAGACAGATGAAACTTCTTTGGGACTTTCTCATATCTCCTGGCAACTTACCTTTCTTCATTTTAGAACTCCACCCTTCCATGTGCCCATGCTGTGTCTTCTTGTCCTTATCTGACATACTAGGTAGCTGATAAATACCTCCCTATCAAGCCCTATGAGTTCAGAGACCTTGGCTCTTACTATTGAGTCCACAGCCCCTGGAACAGAGCCAACACATATGAAGGTGCTCAGTAAACTTTTATTATTATTATTATTATTTTGAGACAGGGTCTCGCTCTGTCTCCCAGGCCGGAATGCAGTGCCATGATCATGGCTTACTGCAGTTTTGACCTCGCAGGCTCAGGCGTTCCTCCCGTCTCAGCCTCCCAAGTAGCTGGGACTACCAGCGTGTGCTACCACACTCAACTAATTTTTGTATTTTTTGTAGAAACATGGTTTCACTATGTTGCCCAGGCTGGTCTTGAACTCCCGAGCTCAAGTAATCCGTCTGCCTCAGCCTCCCAGAGTGCTGGGATTACAGGCATGCACCACTATGCCTGGCCCTCGGTAACTTTTTTTCTTTTTTTTTCTTTTGAGACGGAGTCTCGCTCTGTTGCCCAGGCTTGAGTAGTGGCATGATCTCGGCTCACTGCAGCTTCCACCTCCCGGGTTCAAGGGATTCTCCTGCCTCGGCCTCCTGAGTAGCTGGGATTACAGGCGCCCACCCACCATGCCTGGCTAATTTTTTGTATTTTTAGTAGAGATGGGGTTTCACCATGTTGGCCAAGCCGGTCTCGATCTACTGACCTCAGGTGATCTGCCCGCCTCGGCCTCCCAAAATGTTGGGATTACAGGTGTGAGCCACTGCGCCCGGCCAGTAAACTTCTGTTGGATGAATAACTGTAAATTCATTTTACAGTTAGGTAAATGGACAGAGTGGCTGTATTCTAGGCATCATGTGTTACTAGGTGTTACTAGGTCCATCTAGGTGGACAGAGTGGCTGTATTCTAGGCATCATGTGTTACTTACTGATGGTCCTGCATTCTGCTAGTGTGGGCAGTGAGCGGCAGAGGTGAAGTTTCTGTTTCACAGTTACATCTGAAATAGGCTCTTGGACCAATAACAAATTGGAAACGTGAAGTGAATGCTTTTTAATCTTTTCTGGTAAATTTATCTGAAAATAAAATTTTTTTGACTTTCAGAAATCTAATTTAATCTACTGAGCTTTCAGATGGACTATTTTTAAGTCAATTAATTTATTTTCCATTATGAGCCATAAATTAAAGTCACAGACTAACCACTTTGTTTAGACTTATTCTTGGTAAAAGTGCAAATACAGGTGTATTGGCTCTTTCCTTGAAAAAAAGATAAATCTGTCAGATTGTCAGCTTCTTTTTTTTTAAGTTTCAGTATAATTTTTTTTCAATAATTGCATAGAAGAAACTATGTGGATTTTTTCCCCAACCCTCATCCCTTTCCCTTCCTTTGATGCCTGCAGGTCAGTGATCAAGTTAATGCTTCTTATGCATGTGGGATAGAGAGTGAGAGTGGGGCACTCAGGCCTGATCTTCAGCGACTGACATTTCATAGGCCTCTGAGTTTGAACCCCTTCATGTCAAATGGATTTCGTGCAGCTGAGTGAATTCTCTTTAGATCTGCCTTAGAGAGGCTGAACCTAAGTGAAGAGGCATGTAGTTTTGCAGAATATAAGTCGTGGTACCTCTCTGTTCACTACATGCTATTCTGTTAAAACTTGCACAGAGCTGAGGATCTGCTCTGACTGGATGTCACCTGAGGGAATAAAGTCATTTATCTAGATTACTTTTTTCCTCCCTTTCTCCTGACTTTTAATTCCATAGCTACAGGCAAGTCAGTAAGTTGTTGCTCACACATATTAAATATATTTAATGGGCAAAGAACTGCAAGTACCAACTACAACTGCGCTCCAGCCAGTTCTTTTTTTTTTTTTTTTTTTAAGAACTTGACAATTGATTCATATGTAATTCTATTCCCAAAAAGGAAAAATGTTTCTTTTGTTAGCTATTCACACTTTTTCTTAGTCCTTTGTAGTCTGACCTCTTACCTTTGATACATTTGAAACTTCTGTTCAGTGTTTTTCTGGGATAGAAGAAATCTTAAAAAAAAAAGAAAGAAAAGAAAAAAAAATCCGTGGTTGGAGTGGGAGTCCAATTGCACATCTCCCCACAGCTGCACTGAGCATTTGAAAGTTATTCCTGGAGGGCAGGGAGTTCCCTCTTGGGAAACAGACTCCTGCTCTGAAACATATTTTAAAAGTTAGGTGTGTTTCTTACAATAAAAATTCATCTTCAGGAACTAAAGATGTTTTTAACGATTGTTTTCTAGATAACTTCATATCTCCTGTGGGCCTACGAGAATAAAGTACATTTAACGAGTTAGTATAAATATGAATAGAAAATGAAAACCAGTCGAGATAGCTAATAATAACGACCTGAACGAAGCACCTGAAACAAAGTTGCGCCATCTTTTCTTAGACTCATGACACATTCGCAGTCACAGGAGACCCAGATTCATCTGGAGATGATTTCAGGAATCAGCAGTACTCTTCATTTTTTTAGTTTTAGCACAACTTTGTTACTACAAAGAAGAAACTATATGACGGATACTGAGGCTAAGAAAAGCTACATGGTTGGTTATGTAGAGTTAATAAGCTATTTTTTAGTTGTTGAATTAACCTCAACTTGGTATCTTCTACTTTGCTGTGACTTTAGTAGCCTTTTACACCTTCAACAGGTGAATTGGTTGTCATTTGAACTCTGATGAATGGCCCTGTCCAGTCTCACAGCGATGCCTCACAGGCATCAGCACAGGGCACGCCTGGCCCAAGTGCCTATGATGGCCAGCGGGCTTGGGTCTTTTGGAACCCAGTGTACATAGTTCTGGAAAACCCCATTCACTTCCTCCAAATGATGTGATCTGCTTTGTTTTGTGTGAGAATGCTGGTCAAGGAGCAGGTAACACATTCAGTGACCTAGCAGAGCATTGATGAAGTGTGAAACCGAACACTGCCTTCTCATGAAGCAAGTGCAGAGTTGTTAGAAGGTACCATTAACCCATCTTCATTTCTTCTGATGTATTTAGATGGATCCTGAATACCGTGTGAGAAAATTCTTGGCCCTCTTAAGAGAAGAAGGAGCGTAAGTACATACAACATTTAATGACCATCAACCAAACTTACCACCCTGTTAAATCCCTGTGCCTATTCTAAGAGTTGCTTTCCTAGATAAGTTTGTTTCCATTTATTTGAATTCTTCGCTGTGTTGTAGGTCCGAGAGACCAAGCAAGGAAGTTGGTTGTACTGTTGGTTTGCTCTCCCTGTCCTGCTTCGCAAAACTTCCTTGTCACAATGCAGGAAAAACTTAATGGTACATATTTATTGGAACCTGCTTTTACATGCATGGAGCTGTGACCATTTTCTTTTGTGAAGTGCTCATCTAATAGCAAATGCATAGTGGGAAATGTAGGATAACCATTAAGAAGCTTTTAGTGATTTTTTTTTTTTTTTTTTTGATGAATAGTTTTTTACGGACCCTCATCTGTTTTTTTGTGTTTTGGTATTTCTTTTGCAGTAGCCCCCTTGATTTTGATTGAAAATGAACTATTTGAAACACACAGTGACCAAGGGAAGTGACCAAGGTGAAGATGGCCTAGGATCTTCACTGTCTTACTCAAGATACTGGACTAAGTGGAACGTTCTCTACCTTCAACATGTGCTCGCTCTGCATGATTAGTGCAATAAAACTCCCTTCCTTATGCATACTGAGATAGCTTAGTGTCTCGTGGAAGGTGTCAATTTGGTTTAGAATGCTGCGCTTACCTTCCCATGCAGGCTAAAGTGATTCCTTCTTGCTCAGTCCCTCTGGGTGGGAACCATCCAGTACTTGTGGACACTACACGTTTCAACCTCTCTACTAGCACCATCACCCTTGAAAACTCTCAGTCAGTGTCATGAATGTTGCATGACAACAGTTGGCCGATTAGAAGGCAGACTTTCTACATGCAAATCTGGCTTAGTAAATCGAGGTGTGGGCCAGAGATCCTCTGACAGCTGTCCTGAGCTAACACTAAAAGTCACTGGGTATTTGGTTAAAGGTCTCCCACAAGACTGGTATTCTCTTTGCCTGAAGAAACAAGGCATTGAATCTCTAAAATGCTGTTCTCAATCATTGTCAGAGATGTTTTCAAGTTGCAGTCAGAAGATCTTTCTTAATAGAAAGTCAGATGACTACCGTGTTGGTTGTGACTTCCCCTTAAGTATAACTAATTTGCTCTGTGGTAAGAGATATGCTCATTATTACCACTTAGAAGATGTTGTTAAAAACATGTGAAAGATAGGTATGGAAAAAGCATACACCCCCAAACAGAAAGGAGTTATTAAAGTAATTTACAAACCTCTCAGCACTAATTAGTGTCCAACTCCAAGTGGGTCAATTCCTTAGTATAATATTAAGGCTTACTAGTATCACTGCTTTTTCCTTAGCTTAATGACTTACTTAGAATTTATCCTTTATTTTAAATGATCTGTACTATCTAGTGTCTAAAACACTATTCTCCAGAAAAATCAATCATTTTCTAGCCCTCTCCCTCAGTCCTTTATTGTCCATTCCAATACATTGAACACATTTCCTTTACCCTCCACACACTTCTTCCAAAAGGAAGCACCCGTTGAGTCCTTTTGAGGGTGATTTGTCTTACAACTGACTGACTTAGCAGGAATTTAATTAGGTCATATTTGGTGATGAGACTTATGGAGTGTGCCTCTCTCTCCCAACTGCTGCTTAAAATGCAAGGACAAGCAATTAGAAGCCATCCTAAGGTGCTTACCTCACACGCCACCCATGAGGCTTGTGGCCACAGTGGCACTTGGGTGTGGCTCCTCTGTTATTTGTCCTCATGTGAGAAAGCAGATCATCTCCAAATCTTGCCATTTGTATACTTTTGGTGGAGACTTGGATGTCATATCTTCTTTGTTTTGGGTTTTCTTCCCTAGCTTATTTTGTGGCTTTTAAAGAAGTGGATTGTATTGTGAGATCCTGTGATTCCTGGTGGCCAGTATCCTGGATTCCTCTAAGATCTTGCCTCTTTCCTCCTCATGAAAGCAGCACACATTGTGTTAACTTATGTCTCTTGTTAAATGAGCTTAATGTCTTTGTGTTTTGTCCAAAACTGTATTGAAAAAATATTGTTTAATGCAAATGAAGGAATGCAATAAAGAGTAAATATACTTGAAAATGTTCTGTAGACCAGTGTTTCATATAGAACGACATGAACAGCTGATAGGAATGGAGGAAGAAGGAGGGGGCTCAGGAAAGAAACCTCTCCGTGTTTTGTTACAAGTAGCATAACATGAGGGATGATTTTTATTTTAAAAATCTCTTATTTAGAAAGTATAGTTATTTAAAAACATCATTAGAGTATCAGAAAAAGTTAATATACAACCATCTTTATGCTTTATACTTATTTTATCTTACTAAAAAAAAAAAATGCCTGGCACGGTGGCTCATGCCTGTAATCCGAGAGGGAGGCTGAGGTGGGTGGATCACTTGAGGTCAGTAGTTCAAAACCAGCCTGGCCAACATGGTGAAACCCTGTCTCTACTAAAAATGCAAAAAACAGCCGGGTGTGGTGGCACATGCCTATAATCCCAGCTACTCAGGAGGCTGAGGCAGGAGAATTGCTTGAACCTGGGAGGCAGAGGTTGCAGTGAGCCAGGATCACGCCACTTGCACTCAGCCTGGGCAACAGAGCAATACTTTGTCTCAGAAAAAGAAAAAAAAAAAATCAACTCAGGTACCTAAGCCACAAACAAGGTTAGTAATAAACCAGAAAGGAGGGTTGCCACTCAATTAGAATTACTCCTTTCTGTGAAATGTACAAACCAAGGAACTTCAAGGCTCTCAGTGAGATTGCTTCACATGGTTCACTTTTGTATCCTCCATAGTTTTTTACATTTTTCTGAGCTATCAGATCTCTTAACCTCCTAAACCTTGATCCTTAGCATTGGCTCAGTTTAGGACAGGAGGCAGCTCAGAAAGTCCACAAGGCCCTGTGGGGAAGAGGCCAGCTTCAAGAACTTCCACAACGGGAGTTCCTGGGAGGAGGACCCTGAGGCCGACCTGGTCCCTGCATAGCCTTGAGAAGGTGGGTTCTTGAAGCTGCCCAAATATTCTTCAAAGCCAGTGCTGTACAGCAGAGCGTATGAGATTACAGAACGGCCTGTGAAGAAGCAAAGGAGGCTCCAGCTAGCTGCTGCCTTAGGTTTCTTCATCTATAGGCGAATTGTTAACCGGCTATTTTTTTGTCATAAGATGTTTTTGAGATCAAAACCTCAAAAGAGGAGGTTATTTTATCCTTTCTAAATTTGTACATCTTCACTGGGACACTTTTTTTCAATGTCACACAGAAAAATTGCATAATTGTGGTTAAAGTCAGAAATATGTTTTTACTTTAAGGCTGTCTTTTCATATCCTAAAAATTGCAGCCTCCCCTTTAAAAGTTTCAGCAACAAGTCACAAAATCATGGAGTAGATTGAAGTGTGTACAATAATCAAATCCTGATCAACAGACTTGTTGAAACAGTGAGTCAGCTATAAACAAACACCCCAGCCCAAACACAGAAGGTGAAAGCAGGATTTCATTTTCCTTGCCTGACAACTTGGTCCATAGCCTCTTTAAAGAAGTGACTGGGGGCAGCCGGGCGCAGTAGCTCACACTTGTAATCCCAGAGCTTTGGGAGGCTGAGGCGGGCAATCACCTGAGGTCAGGAGTTCGACGCCAGCCTGACCAACGTGGTGAAACACCGTCTCTACTAAAAATACACAATTAGCCGGGCATGGTGGCACATGCCTGTAATCTCAGCTACTTGGGAGGATGAGGCAGGAGAATTGCTTGAACCTGGGAGGCAGAGGTTGCAGTGAGCCAAGATCACACCACTGCACTCCAGCCTGGGCAACGAGCAAAACTCTTGTCTCGAAAAATAAAATAAGTGACTGGGGAAGGGTGTGTATGAGAGTTCAAGAAAGCAGGTAAGTTGCAGAATTTATTGCAAAATGATGTAGAGTTTCTCATCAGCTGGCAAGCCGTACTGAGACTGGGTCCTGGAGACGAGCCCACAAGGGTGTGTGCTGGACGGGCACCATGGCATAAAGATGCGGGAGATAGCGCCTGTGATTGGCAAGCATCCCAAGTGGGTGAAGACAAAATATCCAAGGAGGGATCATGTTTGAAATTTTCCCAGCGTAGACGCCATGCAACTTCTGTCTCACTATTTTGGGAGTATAAGATTAATGGTAAGAAATTTTTGCCTCCTAGAAGGTTCTCTATTAAACTAGGAGAAACAGTGGCAGTGTAGCAGCAATGCGTAGCTGCACTGACTTCACTCGAGTGTGCAGACCAGCCACACACACAAGAACATGTCCCTATGCCCAGGGCCACCAGGGGAGACGGCATTAGGTAACACCAAGAATCATGTCGCCATCATGTTTCCTTGCTTTTCTTTTTCCCTACCTTCTTTCCTTCCACCTTTCTTTGTACCTCATCCCCTCATCCTTGAACTGTCTCACATGCTTTCCTTCCCTTCTTTCTTCATAAAATAATATTGCTTTGAAAGATATCTTCTAATTATGTCGTCTCTTTCAGATTTTTAAACAACGTCCTCTTGTGTTTAGACGTTTGTAAGTACTTATACATAAGGAGAAACTACATGTTCAAGCACAGCTATCAACTGTATTCTCCTTAACCATCAAATAAGACTGGGCAGGGTGTGATGGCTCACCCAGTAATCCCAACACTTTGGGAGGCTGAAGTGGGAGGACCCCCTGAACCCAGGAGTTTGAGACCAGTGGGCAACACAGCAAGACCCCATCTCTACAAAAGATTTTATTTTTAATTACCATAGTAGAGTGCGCCTGAGTCCTAGTTACTTGGGAGGCTGAGGAGGATCATTTGAGCCCAGGGGGTCAAGGCTGTGTTGAGCCATGATCATGCCACTGTACTCCTGAGTGACATAGACACTTGTCTCTTAAAAATTAAAAACTAATCATACGATTACAAATGGTCTTCATTAGTATGAATAGGGACCATTTAAATATTTGGCAATCTTATTGATTGAAAAAGTACTGGCCAGGCAGGGTGGCTCATGCCTGTAGTCCCAATGCTGAGAGGCTGAGGTGGGAGATCATTTGAGGCTAGGAGTTCAAGACCAGCCTGAGCAACATAGCAAGACCTCATCTCTAAAAAAAAAAAATTAAAAAATTAGCTGGGCATGGTGACACATGCCTATGGTCCCAGCTACACGGGAGCCTGAGGTAGGAGGTCACTTGAGCCCAGGAGGTCAAGGCTGCAGTGAGCCATGATCACACCACTGTACTCCAGCCTGGGCAACAGAGGAAGACCCTATCTCAAAAAAAAAAAAAAAAAGAAAAAAAAAGGAAAAAGTACCTAGAATTCTGGGATAGATAAGTTCAGTCGAGCATCCCTAATCTAAAAATCCAAAATCTGAAATGCTCTAAAATCTAAAACTTTTCAGCACCGACAGGATGCCACAAGTGGAAAATTCCACACCTGACCTTGTGTGACAGGTGGCAATCAAAATTCAAAATGCAGTCTAAACTGTTTCATGCACAAAATTATTTAAAAATTTCATAAAATTACCTTCAGGCTATGTGTGTAAGGTGCATATGAAATCAATGAATTTCGTGTTTAGACTTGGGTCCCATCCCCAAGATACCTCATTGTATATATGCAAATCTTCCAAAGTCTGAAATATTTCTGGTCCCAAGCATTTCAGAAAAGGTGTAGTCAACCTGCATTAGCTTTATGCAAAAGAAAAATAAAAAGTCGAAATGAAATAAAAATGACCAGACTGTAAGATGTAGAGGAGATCTGTATCCTGTACGTGTCCGATTCGTTGTATGGCTGAAGTGTAACAGTTTTTGTGGTTTCAGCTTTTCAGGGGCTAAAGACACATCATGGACAAAACAGAGTGCATCAACTTCTGGTGGCTATTCCTAACCTCAGGTCACAGGTCTGAATACAGCGCAGAGCAGCCCGCCTCCACCATAGGCGGCTCATGGCTTTATTTTCCTGGTTTTTTTTTGTTTGTTTTTTTTTTTTTTTGAGATGGAGTCTCGCCTTGTCACCCAGGCTGGAGTACAGTGGTGCGATCTCAGCTCATTGCAACCTCCGCCTCCCAGGTTCAAGTGATTCTCCTGCCTCAGCCTCTCAAGTAGCTGGGACTACAGGCATGCACCACCATGCCCAGCTGCTAATTTTTGTATTTTTAGTAAAAACGGGCTTTCACCATGTTGGCCAAGCTGGTCTCGAACTCCTGACCTCAAGTGATCCACCCACCTCGGCCTCCCAAAGTGCTGGGATTACAGGTCTGAGCCACCCCACCCAGCCTGTTCTCATTATTTCTCTTCGTAGTGAGGTAAGATTTGTTCCTAAATGAGGTAGGTCAGGAGAAATAAAAAGAAAAAACATTTTTGTTATTCTCTGAAATAATGTGCTGAATAAACCAAAGGTGACATTTTATGGGTAGGTCTGAAAACTAAAGGATTGTCTGTTGTCATAAAACCAACTTGTGGCATCTCATTGTTGAGAAGGCATAACCTGTGAGCTTCCAGTGGGTCCTGTGAAGTGGCGATCTGAGAGGGTGCCCATCCCCAGAGCATGCCCACTGGCAGGCCCTTTCTACCCAAACCCAAACCCAACTTCAAATGACAATTGTTCCAGACAGCCCACAGCCCAGGGCACACGCTTTCTTCTTGTAGACCAGCCTACCTCCCTCTACGGCTTAGCTCTCACAGTGGAGCTAGCAGGGGACAGACAATTTTCAGTCAAGTTTCATTTTCAATAGAGAAAATCCTATTTTCCCATTAAATGGAGTTGAAAACGTGGTGAGGAGGGGATTAAGGCAGTGGCCACCCCTGCGGTCTGCTGGCCTTGGGCCACATCTTTTAGGAGTGCCTGTGACATTAATTTATACATTGAAAATACTTGAGTCTGTGAAATGAATTAGTACACAAGTTGTTGTTTTCTAAAACTGGAAATTCATTGTTAGAAGTTAACTTAGAACAAAAGAAGCCTTTAAAAATGTACTGTGGTGTATCAGACCCACTGTCCGTGACATCTCTGATGATCTTGCTTAGAAAACAGAGGAAATAACCTTCACTTGGTCATTTAATTAGCTGAGGCCACCATGTTCAGAATCTCGTATCCTTGACCTCCTGAGCATTAATCTGGAAACTCCACACAGTGTACAATGTATCCATTTTAGGTTTGTTTACCTTCTCTTTAATGACTTAACAGAAAAAAACTGCATGATGAAATATATTTTCTCCAAATATATATATATTTATATAATATATAATCTTAGTTAACTCAAAGGTATATACATTGTATAATAAATAATATTTATAAAAAGAGACTTTTTGAATATAAAATCAAAAAGATCAACAACTTCTACAACTTTTTACAAAACTTTGGATACAGCAGGTTGGTAGGAAATTTCGGTTGGATACTATTACCTGACTACGGCGAGAATCATTACAATGCACTCATGTACTATTATTAAATAATTACTTGTCAGCTACTTGAATACGCCCCAGAAACATGACTTTATCACTTTTAATATAGAATACATAGATATGAAAAGATTGTTTTGAAAATTCGTATCCATTCTGCTGAAGTATTCTCACATAAAGCAAGTATTATCCAGTTGACATGATTTAAAACTTTTCAGTCTAAGGTGAGATGGGGAGGGGCATTTCAGACTTGGCGGAGGGGGTGAGATGTGTATCTTTAGCAGGGCTTGTGGCCAGCAGATTTAGAAGTGAAGGCGGGCTCCTGGACGACCATCTTGGCAAGCCCACCTGCACCAGCTGGGAGATCGCTGCCCTGGTATTTTAGGTCAGGGTTAGGTAGACCCCAGAGAGAAGGGGGAGAAAGAAAAATCTTTGTTCTGCTCATTCCCCTGCTGCATCTCTTCTTTCTGATTCTCCCTAAGACAGTTGTTGAACCAATTCATACTGTGAAATCCATGTGCCTCCCTTTTGCTAGCTTTCTCTAGGACGCTCAGCTGGACCAGTATGCCTCAGGGAGAACTCAGCCGTGAGATGCTTCACCTAAGGGAGTAGGTGACTGCTGGTTCCCCTTTGAACTTCTAATCCAGATCCTTGGGAACTGCATGGATGGAAGCTATCTCAGCATGCAGGTGAGGGAGGAAGAGCTGGGGGAAAGAACTCTGTGTCTGTGTTTACTCACATTGGCCCCAGAGAGGAAAGGACACAGTAAGATGGGTCCGTATTGGAGAGGAAGCAAAGGGATGGTTTTCATCCTCCCCATCTGCTAGTCACAAAGTTGGAATTTCAGGAATTGATGGCTACTCCCTCACGGACCCTTTGTCTAACTTATACTAAGGTGACCTGGAGTCCAACTGCTCTACCTGGAGTTATTTGTACAGAGAATCTGCAGGTGAGCAGGGCTGGGAAGGACTGAATGGCCCCTTCTGAAGATACCGCTTATTTATTTAGGAAGCCATTTGAGCTAGAGAAGACTTGCCCCCTTACATAGCCTATTTACAAGGTCCACTACCACCAAAAAAAAAAAAAAACAAAAAAACAAAAAAAAAACTGCATTGACGGTGGAAACTGCAGAATGGTAGAAAAAGATTTTGAGATCTGACTGCCCCTCGTGCAGAACAGGGTTATAGAGAAAATGAGACTGAGAAGAACACATGGCTGCTCTTCAAACGGCTGACCAGGCCACCCTGAGCTGCCAGTTCTTCCAAACTCCAAATCCTACTCTAACAACTGCCACGGACCTTCCTACCACTTCATCCTAGCTAAACCTATGGCTTTTATCAGAATGAGAAATTAGCTCAAATTTGAATGGGAGTGGACCAAGAAAAGGAGACTGCAGGGGTGTGTCCTACTTCCTGACTCCCACCCTCCAGGCGTCTTGGAATGTCACCAGAAGCAGCAGTTTGGAAACAGAACCTTGCCCATGCTGATGTCTTGACTGCCAGGCTGAGAGCTCACATTAGCCCAGCCTGTTCTGTTGGAGTCAAATTTTTTTTCATTTTTATTTTCTTTAACATGTGCAAAGATAAGCCTCAGGTCTGTTCCTATCAGACCCTAGAGAACTAAAAAGAAAGCCCCCTTCTTTAAAAACCACACACCATCCAGAGTAGGGTGAGAAATGTAAGATGAGAGAGAGGGAGAGCCTCCCCGTCCACAGGCGAGTTGGGTCTGGGTCATTTACCACGCGTGCGGCTGGTGACAGTTCCTTGCTGTCTGACGCTGAGGGCTGTGCCCGGCTCTAGGTCCTGCTTCCCATGAGACTTCGCTGAATCCGCCCAGCCACACACTTCACCCCTTCCCAGCGCCCTTGGGGAAAATCAAGAGGAAGAATTAGAAACATAATTCCATTCCCAGAGACCACCCATTGGGGTTCAAAGATCAGAGGCTGCTGATGGATCTGAACGTGTCCCTGGTGCTCAGAGGTGATGAGGACTTGGGTGGTTTCTCCACGCTCTCCTCTGTGCTTTGGGCCTGCTGTTGAGGGAGGTCGTATGAGTCACAGGAGCAGTAAGGCTTTCGAGTCCACAGAATGGGATCGAAATTCTACCTCCCCCACCTCTAGCTGAGGGCCTTGGGCAACAGGAAGCCCAGGAGCAGGTCACTCAGGATGGGAGAAACGGTGCCTGGCCGAGGGCCCAGTCCCCAACTCCAAGTCAACTGCTGTGCTGGGCTCACGCCAGGCATGCACTGTGTTTTTGTACCGCACCAAATAGCTTGATAATGAGCTGTCCAAATGGGAGAGAGCCTACTTAATTACGAACAATTCCTTCCCATTGGAGCAGCAGTGTGTTCATTTTACTCATTTGCATAGTCATATCTCACAAAGGGTTTGAGGCATTCCCAGTCAACCCCCAGCTCTTCTAGGGGGCTGACAAGGCCAAGATAAGACTACTTTACAGAGGCAGAAACAGGCTCAGCCAGATTGAAGGGACACATCCAAGGTCTCTCAGCAAGGCAGTAACAGATCCAGGACTTGGGCGCAGCCAGGCCACTCGACTCTTGCCAGAACCTTTCCAGCTCCAGCTCACCATGTTCACAACAGCAGAGTGACGAGGAATAAATCTGGCACTTGTAAGGCACCAAATCAATGGTTAGCCAGAGACACTGGGTAAAAGCTACAAAAAGCTACAGAAAAGGTGTTTTCCCCACAAAGGAAGGACACAAGCCATTTGACAGGCGCTCTCTCCTCACCGTGTGGAGGGCCCGGGGCCTGCTCTGCGACTCCCTTCTCTCTCCTGCCTGCACTGCCAAGACTGTCAGGGAAGACAAGAGAACAGCTAACGACTCTGTCCCCTGCCATCCCTGCCAGTGCATCCCGCAGGCTCCCGTCTTGCCTAGCGGAGTCTCGGCCGAGCCTGGGCCCATTGCTCCAGAGCAGGCGGCTCTCGCCTGGGGAGGTGGCTCTGGGAGGTCAGCTCTGCTTGGCCCAGGAGCCTCTGTGGCTGCCCTGTGAGCAGCTGGGTCCTGGGCCAGGCCCTTCATGTGCAGGGTCTCCAGTCCACAGGACAACCCTACACAGAACACAGTTCTCATCCCCAGTTCACAAATGAAGAAGCCAGGGCTCAGCGAGGCAGAAGAGCTGGCCTGGGAGTGTTTATCAGAAGGGCACCATGTTGGGAGAGTGTCCTCCACTGGTCACAGAGTGAGGCCTCCAGAGCTTCCACAGAGAAGGGGTTCCGGGTAGGAACCACTTGGACACAGCATCTTGAAACCATATCTATGTAGCACTTTACATAAGATTGAGGAAAAAAAACACTCATTGTCCATTTCAGAAATGGGGAGAAAGAGGGCTGATGAAGAGTACTGATTCTGGCCGGGCGCGGTGGCTCACGCCTGTAATCCCAGCACTTTGAGGGGCCAAGACGGGTGGATCACTTGAGGTCAGGAGTTCAAGACCAGCCTGGCCAGCATGGCGAAACCCGTCTCTACTAAAAATAAAAAAATTAGCCGATCGTGGTGGCGGGCACCTATAATCCCAGCTACTCGGGAGGCTGAGGCAGGAGAATCGCTTGAACCCAGGTGGCGGAGGTTACAGTGAGCCGAGATTGCGCACTTCACTCCAGCCTGGGCGACAAAGAGAGACTCAGTCTCAAAAAAAAAAAAAAAGTTCTGCTGGGCTCCCATTGTCACCACCACTGAACAGAGGAGGAAACTGGCGCTCCCAGGCCAGACAGCTGAGTGGACGAGTGGAGGCGCTGGATTCACCTTCGTCCTCTCCCACTCCCCACACTGCTTTTGTTCAGATACCGACAAAGGTAGTGCCACCTGCTGCCTTTCTGGACTGTCCCCACCAGGACAGAACTTGAGCTACACCGAGGGGCTTCCTAGATGGGCTGAGTGAGTCGCCCCTCAGCCAGAGCTCTTCTCCATGACGTCAAGTACCTCCCATATCTCAGAGAGGCCCGTCCACTTCCCTCCCCTACTCCCTATGGCACAGACATGTGCCAGTAGCTCAGAGGTGCCCTGTGGAACTGCAGGAAGAGGGGGCACTCTACCCTTTCACAGGCTGCTCTCGCCCAGCAGCACCCCAGACAACAATGACCCAGCAGGGAAGTGCTTCCCAATTAACCAAGCCCTGTCCTCGGTGTCCTTTCATTTGTCCCTCACAGCATCTCTGGGGAGGATGACAGATGAGGAACCAGGTCTATGAAGAATTTCTTGCTTGGGTCACACGGTTGGCAAGTGGTAGGAGCTGGAGCAGGGCAGGGCCTAATTCCAACACCCATGCTCATGCCTCGACACACTAGGCTCCTTCTCAGGGGACAGAAAAGGAAGAAAGGGCACCCCAGCCTTAAAACCTTCCACCCCGGGGGTCCAGGACCACTCCTCATCCATGCTGACCTATCCCGGGGTGCTGTGGAACCCAGGGCCAGTGCATAGCGCCTCCCATGCAGGCCACCTCTGGGAAGCTTGGGAACAAAATCCACCCGCCTTTGATCCCTCGATTACTCATCCCAGCCACTCTGAACTTGAATCCCTCCTGCTCCCCGTCATCATCCATAAACTCGGTGAGAGTGCTCCCCACTCCACCCAAGCTTCAGATCTGTCAGGATATGGGCTTATATGCCGCTTCCCCCCACCCACCTCCCTGAGGTTGGTACGATTTATGCTTGTGCAGGAACTTGCCCTCTAAGTTCAAGGTGGATGCACACTGACTCTGCCTCAGGGGTAGAGGAGACATTTTGGCTCGCTGCTTGAGGTATTTAAACTGCCCCCTGCCCTTCACCACCATCACCACTTTATAGTAAGAAAGCTGAGGCCCAGAAAAGTGAAAGAACAGGAAGTTACTGACAAAGTTAGGACCAGACGTCAGGTCTCCCAGCTTCCAGCCCCCCATCTCCAAATAATGCTCAAGAATGACAGCTAGCAGCTATGCAAAAATTTGATCTGGCTCATAACTAACTTGTGTAAAAATGTTAATCAATTGCTGGCACCTAATGTGCACACACTGAATTTTGTTTTTTTTTGTTTGTTTGTTTGTTTGTTTGAGATGGAGTCTCACTCTGTCGCCCAGGCTGGATGGAGTCCAGTGGTGCAATCTCAGTTCATTGCAACCTCTGTCGCCCAGGTTCAAGCAATCCTCCTGCCTCAGCCTCCCAAGCAGCTGGGATTACAGGCACCTGCCACAACGCCCGGCTAATTTTTGTAGTTTTAGTAGAGACGGGTTTCACCATGTTGGCCAGGCCGGTCTCGAACTCCTGACCTCAGGTGATCCGTCCACCTCGGCCTCCCAAAGTGCTGGGATTACAGGCGTGAGCCACCGCACCCGGCCAACACTGGGTTTTTATCTGTGCTTTGTGCAATCCACCAAGTCTCTGCCCAAGGACCATTCCCACGGATGCTTGAAAAATCCTAGCTTCCTATTTTGGCTGTGGGAACTTGTGTGTCTTGGATAGCTTAGAAACAGAAGGGGGTCGTCAAGAAGACGAGATGGGCAAACAACCCCATTCCCTGCGCCCAGGCTCCCAGCCTCCCCCCTGCTTCCCGGAGCCCTACCTGGTGCCCTACTTGCAGGTGTGCACGTCGTAGATGCGAATACACTCCTGGCAGCTGACGTAGCAGCACCAGTGGAAGATGCAGTGGCATTTTTCCTTCCGCTTCTCCGTCCTCGTGTTGTGGCCCCGGCCACAGCAGAGCAGATCGCAGCCATCGATGCCGTGGGAGGTGACATTGCAAGTCCGGTCCCTTGTGCCAAAGGAACCCGTCTCTGGGTTGGGCTCACAAAAGTTGGGGGAGTTCTCGTAGTAGACCAGGTCCCTCTCCGTGGGTGGCTTGAAGAGCGAGTACTTGGCCCGGAGGGTCTCCACCCAGCCTCGGGACTCACGGTGCTTCTCTACTACCATCTCCGAGGCGCTGTCATACTTGTCCTTGAGGAAGTCACCGATGGCACGGAAGTCAGGCTGCGCCCACCAGCAGGTCTTCACCTCACAGCTGCCCGACAGCCCGTGGCACTTGCATTTGAGGTGCATGTGGTCCAGGATAGTCTGGGGGAGAGAAGTGGCAGCTGGCCAACAGACCGACCCCACGAGGGGGCACATCCAGGCCTTCCCTCTCTGCCACTGCCCACCCCCTTCCCTCCAGCCTTCTCTACTCCTCTGTGACAGGAAGAGAACTGATGGGGACTGAGGCAAGACCTAAAGAATAGTGACCATGTTTCCCTCCCCCTTCACACCCCAAGCATGGGTAGACAGCACGTCCACTTCTCACAGCGCATGAAATACGAGTTGTTGCCCAGGCGCGGTGGTAATCCCAGCACCTTGGGAGGCTGAGGCGGGAGGATCACCTGAAGTCAGGAGTTTGAGACCAGCCTGGCCAACATGGCGAAACCCCGTCTCTACTAAAAATACAAAAATTAGCTGGTGTGGTGGCGGACGCCTGTAATCCCAGCTACTTGGGAGGTTGAGGCCGGAGAATTGCTTGAACTCGGGAGGCGGAGGTTGCAGGGACCCAAGATCCAGCCACTGCACTCCAGCCTGGGCGACTGAGCGAGACTCCGTCTCAAAAAAAAAAAAAAAAAGAAAAGAAAAAGAAAAAAGAAATAGGAGTTATCTCCATTTAACACATGGGGAAACTGAGGCTGGGAACTTAACGTGACTCACCCTAGATCATACAAGCATAGTAAGGGAGTGGAGGCTGAATTCAAAGCCAGGTTCCCAGGACTTGACAGCCCTACACCGCGTGCCAAGGTGCACAGGATGGGTGGTGGGTGGCACCTGATCCCACGGGGTGGCCATGCTCCCAGGCCGACTCATCCCGGGTGGGGTGGAGTCCAGGAACTGCCCAAGGAGGAAGGAGGGTGGACAGACGAAGTGGCTGTGGGGTGGGGAGGAGGCCAAGCCTGGCCAAGGGGAAAAGGAGCCCGCGACCCACAGGGCTGCCGGAAGGGGTGAGGTGGGGGCCAGGGCAGCTCCGGAGGGGAAGCGGGGGGCTGCTCCCTGAAGGGTTTGGGGAGGGTAGCCGGGCTCACCGTGCGGCCCGCCTCGTTGTTGTGCTTGTTCATGGCCGAGCGCGCGTCCGGCCTGTTCTCGCGCGCATCCGCGAACTCCCTGGACACTAACACGCCGAAGTCAGCGTCCTCGCTGCAGCCGCCCCACTTCCAGCCTTCGCCAGGCGGCCCCTTATGATGCGAGTCACAGCCGCAAATGGTGGAGGTGCCCTCGGCGCAGGAGCGGGTGACGGCGAAGGCCACGCCGGCCGAGGCGATGGCGTGAACGAAGGCCGACTCGCGGGTGGCTGCGGGGAGGTCGTGGGGAGGCAGCACTCAGGACCCGGCCTGGGAGCGCCTGCCCTGCCTCCACCTCCCAGGCCAGGACGTGAGGGGAACGAGGCCAGGAAGAGTTGAAGAGCTCACCAGCCCTGAGGCAAGAGGGAGGCAGCTTCCCCACCCTCTTTGGCTGGTTTAGACCCAGTTGGGTATTCCCACTTCACCGATGAGCAAACTGAGGCCCTGGGCTGCTGATTAGCTCAGGACCTCAAATGCCACAGGGCAAAGCAGTGCCTGTTAGAAACAGGCGCCGACACCAAACCTCTGGCAGGTTGCTGCAGAGATAAGGCAGCCACTTCTGTCCTGGTCCCACACCCCCTGCCCTCCACCTTCCCAAAGTCCAGAGACCACCCTGCACAGGCCTGAGCCCTCCCACGCCTGAGTGAGATCCAGGTCTGTAAGGAGGGAGGCCTGGGAATCTACAGCCTAAACCTGCCCAGGCCCACCCCTTCCGCACGTGGATGCATAGGGACGGCCCCTCTCCTTTTCTCGGTCTCAGTCGCCCTTTTTGTAAAATGGACACGGCTTCCCTCCGCTCCTAGAGCCCCTCACCAGGAGGGCAGTGGCCCGTGCCTCAGTCTCCCCATCCCCATTCTCCTGCCCTCACGCCCAGGCACGGCCAACTCCCTCCCAGAAGGGTAGGGACACCGGGCAGTTCCCCTGGTTCTGTCCCAGGGTCCAGCGCAGGGAAAGGAGAGACTCTCAAGGGTGTGCTCCAGCCTCCTCACAACGGTCATCGTCTCTGCATGTGCTTCATTCACATGGAAAGTTTTACTCATTTTATAGATGTGGACATTGACGATTAGGGAGGCCAAGGCCTGCAAGACCTGCAGCCCAACCATCTCTCTCCTCATGGCAGGACCCGGGAGCCGGAGGTGACTCGCCACCTGACACAGGCTGTGAAACGCCGGGCCGGCCTAGTCGGCAAAATTGGTCATAAATGTGACCAAATTTATTTAGAAGCCAGGCGCCCGCCTCCCCTCCTGGGCTGTGGGCCGAGTGCTGCAAGAAGGAAGCCCGGGACCCCTCTTGGCTCCCGCGGCCGCTCTCCGCGGCCCCCACGCCCTCCTGCGCCACCTACAGAGGGGCCCGTCCCACTTCCAACGACGGGAGGGCGAAGAGTGCAGAGCTGGTCCCGCCCGCGCCCCGCGCCTGCGCTGCCAGGGCCGACCGAGGACGGCGGCAAGGGGGCCCGACGTCCCGCGTCCAGTTGTGCTCCCGGCCTCGGGGTCCCAGCCGCGCCGCTCACTCGCCCCAATCCTAGACGCCCCAGCCCTGGGGGCGCCTCGGGGAAGAGGGGCCGAGGGCGGGTTCACAGGGCGGGCGCCCCTCGTTTCCGGCCGGCCTGCGGCCTCTCGCGGCGGCAGCGGCGCCCGGGCCCCGGGCCGCGCTGGGTTCCCAGCCCCGGGAACGCGGGGGCGGCGGGGGCGGGGCGGGGATTAGCCTGGGAGCGGCGCTGACAGCCCCGCTGTGCCTTCCCCGTCCGGCGGGGCCCGCTGGGCCGCTCAATCCGCCTTTGTTCGCGCGGTGTCACACCGCATTACCCGCATAATGCGGCCGCCGGGCCCGGGCCGCCGGGCCGGCCGCCACCGCGTAGCAACGGGCGGCTCCCGCGGCCGGGCCGCGCCCCCGGCCCCGGCGCCGGGCCGCGAAATCCCCATTGAAGCGGCGCCCCCCGCCCCCGCGCCGCGCCGCGCCGCGCCGCGCCGAATGGCCAGAGGGCGTGTGAATGGCGCGGCGGCCGCGCGGTGGGGGGGCGGTGCTCGGGCGCTTTTCAGGCCGCCCAGGCCCCTCCGGCGCCCGCCCCCGCCCCTGCCCCCGCCCCCGCCTGGGGAAGCGCCTCGGGCCCGCCGCGCCGCCGCCGCGCCTCGCCCCTTCCGGCCGCCGACCCCGCCGCCCCCAGACTCGCGGAAGACGCGCGCCCCGGGCTGCCCGACCCGCTGCGCCCCGGGTCTCAAAGCGCGGGGCAGAGATTAACCCTTGGCCGCCCACGCGGCGGTGGTGTGGGGACTCGCCGGGGGCGGGGTGCAAACGTGGGGCCGGAGCTGGGCGCGAACCTGGGTTCAAGGTCCGGGCTCTGGGCACCGACCGGGGCGCGTATGCGCTCGCGGCGTCTTCCGGGATGCTCTCCTCGCCGCCGCCAGCAAATTCCCAAACTCTCGGGCACACATCGCCCCTCCCCCCGCAACCCAAACCTGTCCTCGGGCCATCTAGGGACCGGGGCGTGTGCCAGAACCTACGGTGGTGACTTAAAACGTTCAACGCGGAGTGAATGGGTAGCGCTCCCAGAGCCGCTTTCCCCTGGCTCTTGGCCGGAGACGGGAAGAGCGATCAGAGGTGACTCGCTTTTGGGGAGCGCGTCTAGACGCAGGGTTGTTTGATTCAGCGCTACCTGGCCCGAGGAGGGGCACCGGAAAGCGCTGAGACCAACACACCGACAAGAACGAGTTTGAAATGCAAACCGCCGCCACTTGGCCCCAATTAAGAGGCCAAATCTTTTATGTCAACAAGGAATAATTAGTTTTGGCAATAGAAGCGTAAACAGAATCATCATCCATTGATTTGCTAATTACCCTCCTGTCCCATGACAATAGCCAGCACTTTGCCTGTAGGTGGGACAGACCCTGAGCACCTGAGGCACCGGTAAAGGGGAACTGCACTCTAAAATGGGGGTTGTCAGCTTCCCCCCCAACCCCACCCAGCACCCCACCCCTTCACCTGAACGTCAGATCCCTTTTCTTTCTGGCTGTATAGGCAGCTCTCATTCATTCCCTAGCTTCTAATAGGAGGGAGGGCCAGGCTCAGCGGTTTGGGTGGCAGAGCAACTCTGGCTGTGGCCAGCCCGGCCAGGATCGTTAAATTCCTGGACACTGCCGTTCCACAAAGAGCTGCCCATCTTCCACCCAGTCCATGAGCCCCCAAGTCCCCTTCTTGGGAGGAGTTGTCCCACTTAGCCTCCCTCCCAGGGCCTGCAGGTTCAAAGTCAAATCATGTGGTTCCCTGTCCACTTGAGGCACAGCCAGTTAGACTCCCAGGCTGCAAGACGGCCGGAAAGTTACCCAGAGGCCAGTGCACCCTCTAGCCCCACCATGATTCCTGGGCATATCCAGCTGACAGGGCATGAGGATGAACAGAAACCTAGAGGGGCTCTTGGGGGCAACGCAATGCTACCACAGCACCAGGCAGCTTCCTCACCTACTGAGGACTTTCTAGATGGGAGGGACCTAGGGGTGGCAATGCTCTCACCCCCACCCCAAAGCGGTATTTGCATAGCACTTAACACAGCATTGGGGAAATGTCACAAATGTCCACAGCAGGAGCCTGAGGCGCCCACTGTGCAAAAGCCAGGAAGGAAGTCTGTGGCCTTCTTGGTGTCGGCCCTCAAACCTCAGGATCCTGGAGCATCTCAAGGCGGCCCAGCCCCCAGCAGCGCCTGGGAAGGTGTGGCAGTCATGCAACCAAATTTATCACCCTCCCAGAGGGACCCTGGCTTCAGAGAAGAGGCACCCTGACTGGGGTGGAAGGGCATACAGTCCTGATCCCTCCCCCCACCCAGCCCCTCCCCCCCCCTCAGCCCCAAGGCAGTACCTTTGTCGAGGACGGGCCCAAAGATGGCCAGGCTGTCATCTATGGTGGTGCAGTTCCAGCGGCGGCCCCGGAACTGGTGCTGGCACTCCTGGATGCCCAGCTTCACGCCCTCGGCCACGCTGGGCATGATCTCGATGTAATTGCGGCAGAAGCGCAGTTGCTTGGGGACCAGGCCTGGGATGGAGCCGCAGAGCAGGGGCTGTGAGCCCAGAGATGTGTACTGCTGGCCCAGGGCCAGGGACCTGCAGGCAGACAGAGGGTAGTAACACTGTGGGCACAAAGCACAGAGCCCATCCTGGGCACCATGGCCGCTTTGTGAACCCTCCGGGGTAGGTGGAGAGGCAGAGGGCCTGTGCCCTGGCACCTGAATGTGCTACCTTTGACCTCGGGAGCATGCCGCCCCTCAAAGCGCAGAGCTCTGACCCACGCAAGTCAGCCCTCTGGCTGCATCCAGCTTGCAGGGGGATGGGACCGCAGAAGCCGCTTGTGGGGGCCCTTGGGGGCAATGCAAAGCCATGAAAAGAGGTTTGGACTAGAAAGATGGTATTTGGGGCCCAGATCCAGTCCTTTCCAGGTTCTGGGTCCAGCTTCCCTGATGGGCATTGAAGAGATCAGGCTGGGCAATTTCCAAGGCAGTCCAGGATACTGGGGCCACATGGACACTTCCAGTGACTCATGGGACACGCGCGCGCGCGCACACACACACACTACCCTTGGCAATGCCCTCAGCCTCTTCCCTGCGATGGTGCCAGCCCAGCCCAGAGCCTCCCAGTATCTCCCCAAGGAATTGCTGGCTTGCACCAAGTCCTTTGTCTACCAGGGCCTCCATGACCATCTTTCCAGTTTCCTAGAAGTTTCTAGAGCTCCACCTCTTTTCTCATGAGAGACTGGAGCTTGGCTTTGTGTCAAAACAAGTTTAGCACAGAGTCAGAAGGGAGATCTCAGATCTCACTGCCCACACCCAACACCAGGTGACTGGTCAATTCACTCCATTCCTCTGCCCCTCGCTTTGTAATCAATATCCCATCAACTCTCTCAGGTTTTATAGTCAACAACAGAAAGAATGACCTTATGGGGGTGGGGCAGAAGAGTTTAAAATACTAGAAAACCAAGGTAGGAATTACGACTTTTCCGTTCCCTGCCCTCAGCACAGGAACAGCAGAAATGACATTTTCTGGGAGAACCTGAGAAAATGATCCGTGAGTGTCAGTGGCCTTCAAGGACAATTGCAATCTGCTGTATGACCAGGGGCAGTGTGAGCTGGAAGAAGGGGCCCATCTCCTCTCCCTCTGTGTCCAGCACTGACCAAGGCTTTGGTCCAGCATTGGCCTAAGTCAAGTTTCCCACAAAAAGTGATGGGCAAAAGCCTCGGAAAGAGGGGCCGGGAGAAGACCCCATGGGGCAGGGTGAGGTTTTTTGTGTGCTTTTTAGTACACAAAAGCTTCTGGGCTGGACACAGGGCCGAGCCAAACATCTGCCATTTGGCAACTGTTACTGCTTGCCAGGCACTTTATATACAACATTTCTGATCAATTCCCAAACATGAAGAACATCACTATCTCCTGGACTAGGAAACTGAGGTTTAGAGAGTGAATTAGCTTGCCTACGGCTTTTTGGTCTGTGGTGGGTCAGAGAGTGCCATGTGCCTTCCCCCGGGTCCCTCCTCCATACTTGAGCTTGATGTTGGCCTTGGCCAATTCGTGGAGACTCCAAGGCACAGAGCTCCCTGGGCACCGTGCAGGGGCATGCTACCCATCCACCTTGGTTGTCTCCAGGCTCAGTTGTCAGGGGGAGAGGCAGGTTCTCCTTTTTCCATTTGTTTATTTTGGGTGGAGGAACTGAGGAGCCAGATCTGGGAGTTTGGATGGTAACATCTGTGAGGCATTCCAGGTCTTAAGCACTGAGCTTTTTCTAAAGAGAAAGAAGCAGCAGCCAGAAGTTCTTTTTTTTTTTTTTTTTTTTTTGAGACAGAGTCTCGCTGTGTCACCCAGGCTGGAATGCAGTGACGTGATCTCGGCTCACTGCAAGCTCCGCCTCCTGGGTTCACACCATTCTCCTGCCTCAGCCTCCCGAGTAGCTGGGACTACAGGTGCCCACCACCACGCCCGGCTAATTTTTTGTATTTTTAGTAGAGACGGGGTTTCACCATGTTAGCCAGGATGGTCTCGATCTCCTGACCTCGTGATCCACACACCTCGGCCTCCCAAAGTGCTGGGATTACAGGCGCGAGCCACCACGCCCGGCCCAGAAGTTCTGATTTATCGGTGGTAATGGCTAATTACTGATTTCCCCGGTGCCTGGCCCTGAGCAGAGGCTTTTCCTTGGGTTTGCCTCATTTAATCCTCAAAATAGCCCCAGCACAAAGTAGGGTCATTATTAGCCCCATTTTACAGATGGCTTAGCCTTGCAGGTTGATGAAGCAGCCCAGACCACAGAGCTCCTATGGAATTGCTGGTTGGAACCCAGGGTGTCAGACTCCAGAGCCCATGGGGGTCATCACTATGTGACCCTGCCTGCTGGGCAGTGCCTGCCTGGGTCTTCATGGGGTGAAGGTGGCTTCAGGCCTGGCCCATCTGCACCCTGGGCCTCCATACTGAGCACATGCCTGAGTGGGTAGAGTCAGTGAGCCCAGAGCCCTGATGGGCACACGGCGCACACAGCACTGCCCCTGCCCTGTTAGAAGCAGGTTAGAGTGATCATATAATCCCTGTGGTTTATTATGGGCCTATCATGTGCTGGACACAGTTCTGAGTGCTTGTGTCTGTTACCTTATGTAATCCTCACGGCAGGTCTGTAATAAAAACTTCATTATCATCGCCATTGTCCCATTTCCAAGATGAGGAAACTGAGGCCAGGGAGCTAAGTACCCTGCCCTGTCTGCCAGGCTGCAGAGGTCCCCGTTGAGCCTCCCTCTGGGCTCAGGCTGCCCCTCCCGTGCTCTTAAGCAGCATCTCCAGCCCAGCCCTGCTGTGCCAGCTGCCCCCACAGCCCTGCAATCACTGGAGGGGAAACTGAGGGAGAGTTCAGTGCAGACAACTCGGCCTTGCACCATCCTAGATGGGCAGCTCAGGAACAAGACCCAGGGAAGAAGCCTGGGCTGTCCCCGCTCCTTCCTCTGGTGTTTGGGACCCAGAGCCCTATATGGGACCACTGGAGCGGAGAGCTGAGGCGGGAGTGAGAGGCACTCGGAGACCCTTCCTCTGCCCTCCTCCTTCCCCTCCCGTTGCCTTCCTGCCTCCTCCTTCCTCCCCCTCTCCCAGCCCTTGCTTGACACCTTCTGCAGGCCTGGGCACCCTCAAGCTAAACTGGAGGCTGAGCCCTGGTCCAGCAGCAGAACCCACAGGAGGAGCCCTAAGGGAGCACAAAGCCCATTATACAGATGAAAAACAGAGGCCGACCATGCCAGGTGGCTCACGCCTGTAATCCCAGCTACCCAGAAGGCTGAGGCAGGAGAATCGCTTGAACCTGGGAGGTGGAGGTTGTTGTGAGCCAAGATCATGCCGCTGCACTCCAGCTTGGGCGACAGAGCGAGACTTCGTCTCAAAAAAAAAAAAGAAAAAGAAAAAGCAGAGGCCGTGAAAGAGGACCAACTTGTGCGAGGTCACACAGCCATATCCACAGAGAAAGCCAGGCCGGCTGGCTTGGGGGACTGAGGAGTCGGGGGGCCCATGCTGGCAAGGCGGCTCCTCACCCAGCTCTCCAAGGGGCTCCCTGCTTCCTGGTTTCACCAGTTACCTCCCTCAGGGTCCCAGGTGGGTCTTCGCAGCCCAGCAGAGCACCTGAGCTCTGGCACACTGCCTGCATGGCTTGATTGGCCTCAAAGGTCGGAGTGCTTCCCAGACATCTCCAGGAAGAAGGTGCCACTGAGCCCTTCCTGCTGTGCAGACGCAGTCTCTCCTCTGCCCCACAGGGATTTCCTTCTGTCCCCACAGTTACCCGGATACTGGCAATACTAATGACAACTATTTATGTAGCACTTGCTCTGTGCCAGTCACTTCAAATACATAATCTCACTGAATCCTCACAACAACTCTGGGAGGTGGGCATTGTTATCCCCATTTTGCAGATGAGGAAACTGAGGCATGGAGTAGTTGGGCGACTTATGCAAGGAAGTGGCTGAGCCAGAATTCAAGCCCTGAGTTTGTCTGACTCCCAGTGTGATGTCCTCTGAGAACAATTCCTGAGCCTCAGTCATGATGAGCTGTTTTCCCTCTTTCCACCAAACCCTGTCTCCTTCCTGTTGCCCAGGTCCCACCAACTGTGGACCTGGGAGCCATGGTGCCAGGGTCCCATCCAGCTCTACCACTTCCTAGCTGCTGATCTCAGCAATTTTCTTAACCTCTATACCTCAGTTTCTTTATCGGTAAAATAGACACGACAGGAGGAATAAGTGACACAATCCAGTGCATGGCACGTGGGGAGCCCTTGCTAGATGGTGGTTGCTATGGTTACGGTGTGTGTGGAGCTGTCCCCAGCACTTTGTTCCCTGCCTTGTCACCAACCTCATTTCTCCCATCCTTGCATCCCTGACTTGGTAGAACACATCAGAAATCTCAGCCCCTTCCTATCCAACACTGGAAAGGATGCCTGGATCAGACCTCAGTCCTCACAGGGGTGGCAGAACAAAGACAGTTGTGATCTGGATGAGGGTTCAAGGTCACTCAAAGAGTGCAGGCAAAAGGACATTTTCAGGATGCTCCATTCAAAGGCTTCAGTTCAGATGGGGTCATCCTGCGAGTAATTAGCAAGGCCTCTGGCGATGGGGCTTAGCTCCTGGGCCAGTGTCGGAGACTAAAGAGGCTGTGGCCATGGGATTGATTTCTGCAGGATGGCTGCCCTTCCCCAAACATGCCCGGCCACCCCCACCCTGAGCCTCCTGCCCGCACACTGCTGAAATTCCACCATCGCAGACACATTACTTTAACTCGCCACTCCTATTCCCCATTATTGAAGTACACGTTCCACTTCGGGAGGCGGCACAGTGACTCTCATGCTCCTCGATTCTTTGTGCCAAAGTGTGCGTGGCTTTGACGGATTTGCCTAGCCAGCTGAATGACTCCAGCGGGGCTGTTTCACACTTCTGCACATTTGCACATGCTGAGCCCTCGGCTCGAAGCACCTCTCCACTGCCCGGCCCCCGGCAACCATTCTACACCATCCTTTGAAACCTGATTCCTAGGTCACCACCATTCTAAAGCCTTCTGTGAGCTCCAGACAGAAGTCACCTCTCCTCCGCCTGAATCTTTCCTGTACCTAATTCAAACCTTCTTATCCCAAAGTGCTGAACTGATTTGTTTCCAATTCCATCTGGCTATGCCAGTCTCAGTCTCCAAGAAGAGAGGTAGTGGTAGTGTTTTCTCCAGTTATTCCCCGGTCCCTACCCCATCACACACACACACACACACACACACACACACACACACACACACACACACACCCCAGCCCACTCGGCCTTCCAAAGGGCCGGGCACATGCTAGGTATTCATGATTCTGGAGGAAAGGAATGAAGAACTCTTCCAAAGGACGAGCCTGATGCCCCTCACTCGCCAGACCTCCCGGCATCCGGAGCTTCCGCCTACACACAGGACAAGACTCCTTGGTTCCGCTGAGGAAGTTCCTACGTTTAGGATCTGAGATGATGGCCAGGCTCCCAAGGGGGATAGAGACCTGCCTGGCACTGACAGCTGGTGAGGGGGAGGGCGGAGGACCCTGCCAGGCCTTCGCAGCTGGGCCAGGGGCTATTTATACCCAGCTCCTGGCCCGGCCCTTCCCTTCCCTAGGACCCTGCCACCCTCCTCCTGAAGCCGGCTCATCCTCCACTCCGACCACCCACTGCCCAGCTGGGCCGAGGACACACACGGGCAGCCAGGCGGATGGGCTGCGGGTGCCCTGCACAACAGGCTGCTTGTGGAAACTTTGGTGTTGACCCCTTGGAGTGAAATATCCCTCCACAAATAGGCAAGACCTAAACCTTGTGCATGGCCTTATCTAACTCCCATCCCCACCCCAGTTCTGTGCCTCTACCCTGATAACGCCTGCTGTGGCCAGAGGGCTGCAGGAGGCCTGCATGGTGAGCACAAGGCAGAGAGGACCTTTTTTTTTCTTTTTTTGAGACAGAATCTTGCTCTGTTGCCCGGGCTGGAGTACAAAGCGTGATCTTGGCTCACTGCAACCTCTGCCTCCCAAGTTCAAGTGATTCTCCTGCCTCGGCCTCTCAAGTAGCTGGGATAAGAGGCATGCGTCACCATGCCCAGCTAATTTTTGTATTTTCAGTAGAGACAGGGTTTCGCAATATTGGCCAGGCTGGTCTGGAACTCCTGACCAAGTGATCCACCTACCTCTGCCTCCCAAAGTGCTGGGATTACAGGCGTAAGCCACCATGCCTGGCCATAGAGAACATTTTTAGAGAACATTTTTAATCAGTGAATTCAGGTCAGCCTGGATGCTGCATTGACTTACGCACCTAACATATGGTGAGACACCTAAAGGCACCCTGTACAGTGCGTCCTGCCTGATCTGACACTGGGGTTGTTGGCCTCAGATGCTGCCGTCCACCCAGTGACGGCCAATCCCCTGCTGATGGGGGTCTGACTGTGCTGCCAGGGACACCCACTGTGCTGCCAGCACCCACTCCCCTGAGTGATCCATTAGGGTAGGCAGTCCTGCACCCAACCAGGTGGCCTCCCAAATGGAATCACACACAATCTCCCTCCTCTCCCCTACATACAGAACATATGAAAAGAGGGCCCTGTCCCTCAAAAAGTTAAACATAGAATCACCCTATAATCCAGCAATGCCACACCTGGTATACGCCCAAAAGAATTGAAAATGGGGACTCTGCCCAGGTGCGGTGGCTCACGCTTGTAATCCCAGCACTTTGGGAGGCCGAGGCGGGAGGATCACGAGGTCAGGAGATCGAGACCACGGTGAAACCCCGTCTCTACTAAAAATACAAAAAATTAGCCGGGCGTGGTGGCAGGCGCCTGTAGCCCCAGCTACTCAGAGAGGCTGAGGCAGGAGAATGGCATGAACCTGGGAGGCAGAGCTTGCAGTGAGCTGAGATGGCGCCACTGCGCTCCAGCCTGGGTGACAGAGCAAGACTCTGTTTCAAAAAAAAAGGAAAGAAAATGGGGACTCCAACAGACACCTGTACACCAGTGTTCACGGCAGTGCTACTCACAGCAGCCAAAAGGTAGAGACAACCCAAGAGTCCTCAGCAGATGAATGGATAAACAACAGGTGGCCCATACATACAGTGGGACCCTATTCAGCCAGAAAAAGGAAGGAAGCGGGTGTGGTGGCGGTAATGCCAGCATTTTGGGAGGCTGAGGCGGGTGGATCACCTCAGGTCAGGAGTTCGAGACCAGCCTGGCCAACATGGTGAAACCCCATCTCTACTAAAATACAAAAATTAGCCGGGCCTGGTGGTGCGTGCCTGTAGTCCCAGCTACTCAGGAGGCTGAGACAGGAGTATTGCTTGAACCTGAGAGGCAGAGGTTACAGTGAGCCAGTTGCGCCACTGCACTCCAGCTTGGGCGACAGAGCAAGACTCTGTCCCCCCAACCAAAAAAAAAAAAAGGAATGAAATTCTGATGCTTCTGATGCAAGCTACAACGTAGAGGAAACTTGAAAACAAGCTAAGCGACAGAAGCCAGACACGGAAGAACAAATACTGTATGATTTCACTTACATGAGGTTCTAGGTAAAGACACGCCAGCTTAGGCAACAGAGTAAGACTCTGTCTCAAAAAAAAAAAAAGGAATGAAATTCTGATGCAAGCTACAACATAGAAGAAACTTGAAAACAAGCTAAGCGACAGCAACCAGACACATAAGGACAAACACTGTATGATTCCACTTACATGAGGTGTCTAGGTAAATTCACAGGGACAGAAAGTAGAACAGAGGTTGCCAGGGGTTCTGGAAGGGAGGGAGTGGGAAGTTACTGCTTAATAAGTACAGAGTTTGGGATGATGAAAACAGACGGTGGTGATGGTCACACAGCATTGGAATGTACTTAATGCCACTGAATAGTACACTTTAAAATGGTTAAATAGCAAAATTAAAAAAATCAAAGGAGGGATGGTGCTTGCATCCCCAGCCTTCAACTTCGCATCTAGAGCCCCTGTGCAGGACGAAATTCCAGAGCCCCGGGTCTAGTCTAATTCCCTCTTCCTCTATACGGGAAGATTGAGGCCCAGAGAGGTTTGTCATTTTCCGGGGTCACACAGCTGGCTGCCCAGGAGGTGGGAGGAGAACCCAGGGCTCACAGTTCTTTTACCCACCAGGCTTTTAACCTGGGGGTGATGAATGCACATTCTCAGAAGCTTCTCTGGGGCTGGGCACAAAAAGGACCCACCTGGCTTCACATGGGTGGAGCTGCAGAAGGTGGACCCAGGGG
Source organism: Homo sapiens (assembly GCF_000001405.40). Taxonomy (NCBI): domain Eukaryota; kingdom Metazoa; phylum Chordata; class Mammalia; order Primates; family Hominidae; genus Homo; species Homo sapiens. The sequence continues at coordinate 46,782,068 of NC_000017.11, forward strand.
CTGCGGCCCAGGGAAAGGCTCCCCTCCTCCCTTCGGTCTCAGGGTGCTCTCCAGGGCCAAGTCTCCCCAAGTCATGCCTTCTTTGCAGAAATAGGCCCTTTGCCCTTACCTTTCTCCATGCGGAAATCTAACCATCTGTGCCAGCCTCAAAGGGAAGGCATCTTAAGACTCTGATCTGAAGATCTAGTGTCTCTTAAAATGACTGACATGGCTGCTGAGAGGGAGAGGAGGAGGGAAGGTGAGGAGAAGGAGTCAGAAATCACCTCTCCTGTGGTCATTTTTCTCTCCCTGTGGTGGGGGCCACGGTGCTCCTGTCAACCCCACAACAGGCCAGGGCCAGGTGCTCCACCTGCTGGCTCCTGGGCAGTACTGGACAGAGGCCCAACTTGTTCCTGGGCCCAGAAGGGCTCCACCCTCCACGGAAACTTCTAGAAGGGAAAGGAAAGGTTTGAGGAAAGAGCAGGAAGTGAGGAACCAAGCGTTGGCTTTGGAACTCAGGCCTCTACCTTTCCACTTAGGTCAAGAAGCCGTTCAGGATTGGCAGATGTCAGGACAGGAAGCCTAGCCAGTTCAGGGGCATGTGTGCACACCGTGGGGCTGGGCCTGGTGGGCTCTGATGCACCCAACTACACCCATAGTGACGAGGCAATCACTGCTGTGGATGAGGGAGGCCACAGGCCTGGACTGGAGCCGCTCACCTGGCTGCTTGGCAGGGAGCTTGTGACAAAACCAGAGAAACCTAGCTCAGGATTCCAGCTGCCACTGTTCCTCGCCCTCCTGGAACACATGTGCACCCTGCGGGTACTGAGCACAGGTCTGGACCTTCTTGACATTTCAGTGCAGGGCCAAGGGTAGGGGGTTTCTTCTGAGCCCAAAGGGACTCAGGTGGGGCTGTGTCCTGTGGCTGTGGGAGAGCGCCAAGGTGCCTCAGGGGGTGCCTTTCATCAAAGAAGTGGGACATGTCTCTGGGCCTTGCCATTAGGGGCTAGTTCATTCTCTCAACGGGGCTAGTTCATTCTCTCAACGGGGCCCTCTGGCTCGCCTGCATCTCCAGCAGGGGTGGGAGCACCCTTGCCTATGTCTAGGACAGGAAGGGAAGGGTGAGGGTAGAGTGGGTGCAGGCCCTGAGCTGGGACCCAAGGTCTTGAGATAAAACCATGAAGGAGCAGCTGCCCGGGCTCTAAGCCCAGTGGGCTCCTGTCTTGATTTAGCCCCAGCTGTCAAGACTGGGGCCTGGTGATTTGTGGAGTCAGTGGAAGTGCCTGTCCTTCAGAGAGCAGGTTGAAGTCTGGCCTTGGTAAACAAAGTCATTCACTGCCTATTCACTCAACACGCACGAATTGAGTGATGACTCTCAGCCTGGCAGGGTTCCAGGTTCTGGGAACGTGGAGATTAATGAAGCCACACCTGAGGAGCACCCAGCCCAGGAGGCTGCTGTCAGTAACAGACCAACAAGCATTTCTTGAGCACCTACTAGGTCTGGGCACTGTGGGTGCCTTAAATGAGTGAGACATGGTCCCAAGGCACTTGTAACTTTCAGCCCCAGTAACCTCTGGGCCAGAGGGTGCACGGTCAGGGCGAGCGATCTCTAGGAACGGGGGCAAGTGTGTCCTCACTGCCTCTGGAGGGCTCCATGTGGAGCAGCTACCGAGCTGGAGAAGGATGGCTAGGGGCCCTCAGGTGGAGCCAGGTGGCAGGGGGACAGCCCCAGGCAAGGTGGCATGCCTCCCCAAGCCAGGGTCTAGGAGCCACACAGAGAAGCAGAGGAGGGGAAGCAGCTAGAAAGGGGCCCTGAGTGCCAGACATTATTCGGACAAACTAGCACCTTCCTTAGCTGGGCTTTGGAATATCATCCTGTTAGTTATGTGCAAAATGAGACAAGAGGTGGGTGCTGGGAAAGCGGCTGGGAGGCGGGGTTGACGTGGATGCTAAGGAGACTCTGGGGCCTGGGGATCCATTGCAACCTCCCAGGGCTCAGCTCTCATTGTGCAGCTGGGCCAAGACCCATGTGTCTGGGTCACCGGGGTCTGTGGCAGGGGATGGGCCCGCTGGTCATCTCAGGACAGTGGCTTCAGGAACAGACAGGAAGCTGTGAATAAGGACTGGTAGCCGTTTGGTCCCATGAGAAACAGGAGGAAGGAGGAAAGTATGGCCAAAGTTTTGAGCCAGGATGACCAGGAAGATGGAGATGGTGTCCACCAAGATGGGAAGGTAAGAAGCAAAGCAGCTTTGGGAACAAGACGAGGAAGTGCGTGGGGCCAGAGGGACTTCCAGGCACCACGTAGAGACAGAGCTGGGCCCAAGAGAGGGACGGAAGCTAGAAATCCATCTGGGGATGCTTGTAAGGAGCTAAAAGTTGAATTATACTTTAGGCCCCATCTTGGCTGTGGGCACACGGTGGGAGGACACTGAGCGTCACGGTGGGAGCATTGATGCCATATGCCAAGGGGTGGAGGCACCAGGGAGGGGGCTGGGGGCCAAGGGGCAGCCAGCCCAGCTTCAGGGCCTGAACCTCACACTAGGAGGCTGGAAAGGTGGGCTCTCCCGAAACCTCAGCCCCTGCCCAGCCAACACTGGCAGCAGGCGCCCAGGTCTGGCTTGTGTTTTCCATATTCCGGACGAGGTCCCCACGAGATGCACAGCCAACATACCTACACAGAGGGAGCCACTGTGCCCCTACCTCCTCTGCGCTTTCCCCTTTTTGCTTTTCTTTTTTTTTTTTTTTTGAGATGGAGTCTCGCTCTGTCGCCCAGGCTGGAGTGCAGTGGCGCGATCTCGGGTCACTGCAAGCTCCACCTCCCGGGTTCACGCCATTCTCCTGCCTCAGCCTCCCGAGTAGCTGGGACTACAGGCACCCGCCACCATGCCCGGCTAATTTTTTTGTATTTTTTAGTAGAGACGGGGTTTCACTGTGTTAGCCAGGATGGTCTCGATCTCCTGACCTCGTGATCTGCCCGCCTTGGCCTCCCAAAGTGCTGGGATTACAGGCGTGAGCCACCGTGCCCGGCCTCCCCTTTTTGCTTTTCTTATGATGCATCCTAAGCCTTCAGTGCACAGCTGCCTTCCCTTGGGGACCCCTCTCTGACCACACAGTGGGACCTCCCAGCCCTAACCATGCTCCTGTTACAAGCTACAAAGCCAGCTCTTCCCTGTTGTCCTGGGATCCAGGTTCTGGGTCTATCCCTCACGTTGCCTCGGCTTAACTCTGAGCCTTTGGGCTTTGGCCAGCCCTTCCTGGACCTGTCACCCTGCATTGTGTCACTAATGTCACCGTGAGTGCAGCAGGAACAGAAAGGTGAGGTCTGGGGGTGACTGAGTGGAAGGGGATATCCCAGGCAGTGATCCACGCCATAGGAGAAAAACCCATGCACACGGAGAAAAGATAACCAAGGAAAAAGCTATTCCTTCCCCTCCGACAGGAGCCCCCGAGGACAGGCCCCAGGAGCCCCGGAAACTCACTAGCCCTGCTGGCCAAATGACCACTTCTACATGCTGTGGACGACTTTAGCAACTCCCTTCTGCCCGCAGCTTCTGAAGGTTCCCTTTCAGGGCCACGAGGGGCCTTCCGAGGAGGTGGCACAGCTCAGCTGCCAGGGACCACCTGAGAGCCCGGGAGGACCATGGTTCTGGGCAGCCGTGGGGAGAAGGAAAGGGTGCGGGCAGGAGCTCAAAGCCAAGGGTTTGGCCACAGACTATACCTCAGTCAGAGGGAAGAGGCTGCGGGCCCTGTGCTCCATCCCAGGGAGCCCTGTGGGATGTTTCTTTGGGGAGAAAAGGGAAGGGAGGGAAGGGGTGTGGAGGGCGGGGCAGTGCCTGGGCTGGAATGTTGCAGCTTCTGTTCTCCAAAGCAGCTCCTGGAGCGCCTGCCTGCGGCTCTGGCTGATCTGATAAGATGTGACAAGACCGCCTGAAAAATGTTGAAACCTGTAAAATGTTTAAACCTGTTTTTTGTTGTGTTGTGAGCATGAAGTGCTTTTTCTTTCTTTCTTACCCACCCCCCCACCCCTTCATTTCACAGGAAAGTGAAGTTGATAAGCCTGGAAAAAGGGAGGAGGGTGCGAGAGAGGGATTGTTGCCTTCAGCCAAATTGTGGTCCGGGGCATGGAGCAGTCTGGTGGGACCTGGGGAGGAGGAAAGAGAGTGGAAACAGGAGGGAAGAGGGGACAAGAGGTGAGAGGAGTCAAGGGTGGAAGAAGGAGGAGGACAGGAGAAGCGGGGGATGGAGGGGTCCTGCACCCCTGGCCTGCTCAGCAGCCCCAGCCCATCCTCCCCAGGACCAAACACAGTCCCCCACTTGGCACCCCAGAGGAACCCCAGGGCTGTGGGTCTCTTCCTTCAGGCAGGGGATTCACAGGGAAGGGCCTAGGCCCAGAGGGGTGTCCAGAGACGGGTAAAAGGCAGGGACCTCACTCTTCAGACCCCAGAGCGTCTCCCTGAGAGGCACCAAGCCCACAGGTGGGCAAGTGCTGCCTGGTGACCACAGAGGGGAGCAGCTCCCAAGGACACATGCTGAGAGCTGGGTCCGTTTCTCCACTTTGCTGCGCAGTTCAGGACTCCCAGGTAAAGCCCAGATGCCCTGTGCGTGCTCAGGTAGGGTCCCAGCCCTCTGCCTTCAGACACACAAAGGGGTGCCGTGCTCTCTGTTACTGAGGATGTCATCAAGGCCCAGAGGCCTACTTGGGGTCACAGCATTTCTGCCCATCAGTTTTGGGTGATTGTCATACAGCTCCCCCTAAATGTCTAGTCTTGGCAACTCAGGGGATGCTGAACATTCTAGAACATTCTAGAAACCCTGGTGGGCCCAGGTGTCTCTGGGGGTGCTCATCAGTACAAAGATAGATGTTCAGTAAAGGCCATTTTTCTTTTCTTTTTTCTTTTTTTTTTTTTTGAGACAGGGTCTCACTCTGTCACACAGGCTGCAGTGCAGTGGCACAATCACAGCTTACTGCAGCCTTGAACTACTTGGCTCAACCAGTCCTTCCACCTCAGCCTCCTGAGTAGCTGAGACTACAGGCACATGCCACTATGCTCTGCTAAGTTTTTAAAATTTTTTGTAGAGATGAAGTCCTGCTATATTGCCCAGGCTGGGTTTCGAACTCCTGGGCCCAAGCAATCCTCCCACCTCAGCCTCCCCAAGTGCTGGGATTACAGGTGTGAGCCAGCGTGCCCAGCCAATAAAGACCTGTTGAAGAAAAGTCTCCACCTGTGAAAGTTTTCTTGCTATTGGAGTAGGGCGGGGGCGGGGGAACAATAGGAGTGTCCTGGAAGGGCTTTAGGAGCATTCTGTAAATGGCCACGCATGTTAGTGATTCTATTACAGTGTTAGGTCATAAAATGTCAAAGCTAAGCGGGACCTTTGACATCACCTAGTTCAGCTCCTTGGGGAAATTAAGGCCCAGGGAAGCGATGTGCCTTCCCTGCTGTTCCTCCACTGGTTGGAGGCAGTGCAGAGAGCACAGCCCAGGCCTGCTGACTCCCAGCCAGAGCTTGTCTCTCTCATAGCACGCAGATCGTTCTTGAAGTGCCCCAGACCTGATCATCTGAAGGCTGGGCCTCATTCAGTACCTGCATACTATGTGCCCAAGATGTATGAGATGTAGCCTCGGCCGGGCGCGGTGGCTCACGCCTGTATTCCCGGCACTTTGGGAGGCCAAGGCAGGCAGATCAACTGAAGTCAGGAGTTCGAGACCAGCCTGGCCAACATGGCGAAACGCCTGTCTCTACTAAAAACAGAAAAAATTAACCAGGCGTGGTGGTGGGCACCTGTAATCACAGCTACCCTGGAGGCTGAGACAGGAGAATCGCTTGAACCTGGGAGGCAGAGGTTTCAGTGAGCCGAGATTGTGCCACTGCACTCCAGCCTGGGCAACAGAGTGAGACTCTGCCTCAGAAAAAAAAAAAAAAAAAAGATGTAGCCTCCACCCTCCTCAGTGACCCCACCTCAGTGCAGGTGACCAGTCAGTTGCAGAGTGTGAGAAGTCCCACTTGGGACTTCAAGGAATAGGTGTGCTGAGGGGAAGGAAGTGGGAGAAGGCAAAGAAGTCCCCTTCAAAGAGGTGACATTCGAGCTGGGCCTTGAAGTTGAGCTCAGCTTGGCCAGCTTTTCCTCCTGGAGCTTGGCCATCTGTTTCTTTGCCTCCCACTCCACTAAGTGGAATTCTAATTCAAATTTTTCCTAAGCCATGTTTGCATCTTTAGTTCATTTTAACCTTGTAACATTTCTCCCCTTCCTGACCCCTCCAAACCCTAAGTCAGTCTCCCATTTTACAGATTGGGAAATGAGAACCTTACAGAGTTAGGCTGCCGTTCTGAGCAGCCAAGTCTGCTGGTTCCCACACCAGGACTTTGCTGGGTCCCCACATTGCTATACCCTTCAAGCCAGTTCTGGTAAAAGACAAGACATAGCCTGCCCAGCCCTCTTGTTCGCTTCTGACTCCAGACTTCTATTCATCCCTCAAGGTCCCATGTTTAAATCCCCTTTTAATGTCTCCAATTCAAATTGTTCCCTCTGGCCATTTCCCCAGCTCTTATACATCCGTCACAGGTAACCTTCAATGCACTCAAGTGAATTGTCCACCGACTCCATTGATGGTGAGTTTTTTGAGAGGAGGGATTCTTTCACTCGTTTCCATGTAGAATCTAGCACCTGCTTCAGCAGGTGCAGTGGCCCTGCGAGGACCTCCCTGCGAGGACCTCCCTGCCTCCTTTCCCTGCCCTCAGCAGCCCCACTGAGTGCCCAGTCCTTTCCTTCGTCTCTCCCAGATCCCACAGGCTGTCTCCACGGCGAGCTGAGGGCAGGTGATGGCCATGGCCCTGCTGGCTCTCTGGGCCTTTTAACACAGCTGCTAGCTCCACAGTTTGGGAGTCCTTTGTTTGAATCTTAGAAGCAGCCCAGTGGGGAACACACAAAGCTGTGCTGCTTGGCTGGGAGCTCACTCTTAGAGCAGCTCCCCAGGGCTCCTCAGAGAGCCACCAGCCTGGTGTGTGTCTTTATTCAATAAACATTCACGCTGGGCCAGGCCTTATGCTGGACGCCGGGAGCACAGTGCGTGGGGCACTCCTGGTCTTGCAAGGACTCTTACCTGAACCTGGAGCTGCCCTGAGGAAGCCCATTCTCCTCTTTATGGGGGCCCAGAGGCCACCCTCCCTGCCTCACACCTGATAGCACTGGCCACCAGGGCTGGCACCTACCTGGACTGTCCCATCCACTCTCTTATTCTATGCTCTTCAGAAAACCAAGGACAGTCCCTGACCAGCTGGCTACTGGGGTCAGGGATGCAGGCTATACACTACGGCAGATCACTTGGGGTGGTTTTGAAAAATACAGACACCCAGGCTCCAACACCAGCGTGGCAGGATCAGAGCCTCTGGGGAGGAGTCCAGGAAACTGGATCATTAAAAGCCTCCACCAGAAGTGTGACAGTAGAATGGTATGAGATGATGCAGCAGGAAGGCCCCAACCTTCCCTATGATGTTCTTTGGCCAAAGACGTTTAATCTGATCTAACCAAGCTTTGAGAGGTAACCTCTCAGGGAACACAAGGGACAGAGGAACAAACCAAATGACACCATGGGGAAGCAACTGGACAAATTCAGAGCAGGGTTTGAACCCAGGGCCTTGCCAGCTGGAGTACTAAACCATGGCTGGGCACTTTGAGGCCACAGTGCACTGGACACTGCCCAGGGCTCCAGCTTGGACCTCCAGCTGGGCCTGGCCCTGGCCCTAAAGCCAGCAGTGGCAGATGCGCACGCAGGAGGCAGCTGCAGGTTGGGAGGCCTCACGGGGGATGCTGCGACCACACCCAGGTGCTCAGGGCAACGATTCCACTCTCTACCTTTCAAGGTGGGTATTTCCACCACATTCCCAGGAGGGCTTCTTTGCGCCTCATCCCCCCACGGCGCTGAGGATGGGCAGGTGAAGACAGCCCTGCCCAGCACCTGGACTTCCCCCACTCTATTTAGGGAGGCCCCACCCAAGTTCAAAGCGCTGGCTGCCCCTCCCTTGCAGCCCCATTCTCCATCCCCAGGCGAGGCAGTCCAGAGCGAGCCTCAACATTTTCCTCTGCACCTCCTTCCCCCAACTTCATCAGTCCCTGCCACCCATTCCTCCGCAGGCTCCTTGCTTTAGCTCTGTCCTCTCCTTGCAACAGGCGCCTGGGTTTGCAAACATGCACTCAGCACCTGTTAGGAGCCGAATCTGGGTTCATTACAGACCCACGCAGGACTTCATTACACATTCCAGCACTCAGCAGGGTGGGCCATTGGTTCTCATCCCTGGCTGCATAGTAAGTGGCCCTGCTGAGCTTAGAAACAAGGCTGCCTGGGCCCCCTGCAGAGAAAGGGATTTAAGTGGTCTAGGTGCTCCCTCCCCTCTGTGGTATCCTCCCTCCCTCCCTCAAGGTTGAGAAGCACTGCCCTAGGTCACAGACAGGGCTGGGGACCTGCCCACAGCCCCACCCTGGGTCCACAGCTGGGGCTCCTGGGTCCTCTGCCCTCCCCCTGGGCCCCACCTCCTATTCCCAGTACCAGTCCCTCCAAGTTGTTAGGATCAACCCGTCCCCTGTTTTCCAACCTCTGGTCTTGTCCACTTCCTCTCCCGAAGTAGCCCTCCCCCATCATCTCTCTCCTTGGCCTCTCAGCAAATCTCCATGTTCACGGCCACAGAAGCAAAACTTCCCTGATCCAGCAGCCATGAAGAAGAAGCATTTGGGCACGCCCCTCCGTTTCCGTCCACCTTGGCAGAAATCAGAGGCCGGCTACTGCGCTCGCGTTTTATGTGCGTTCCAAAACACACGCTCACGTACATCGGAAAAGGACAGGATAAAAGATGTGTTTCAAAAGAAACCTTTTCCTCCTGCAGCCTCATGCGTCATCTGGAACCCCCTGCCCAGGCCTGACTCCTCGTTTCCTCTGGGGTTTTCCTCTTTTCTTTTCCCTTCTTCCTGGTTTCCCCTTAGCTTTCTTAGCTGTGCAGTGGGGTGTATCTGTTTGTGAGTAGGTGGAAGTTCTGTCTGCAAAGGTACAGGATGCTCACACTCTTTGGCTTCAAGGCAGCAAGCCTTTTCCCTACTGGGTTGGGGGCTCCACACCTTCCTTGGTTCTTGCCTGCAGCTACATTTCCCCCCAACCCAGGACTTCGCTTTCCTTACTCTTTTTTTTTTTTCTGAGACAGAGTCTCGCCCTGTCACCCAGGCTGTAGTGCAGTGGCGTGATCTCAGCTCACTGCAACCTCCGTCTTCCAGGTTCAAGCGATTCTCCTCCTGAGTAACTGGGATTACAGACGAGGACCACCATACCTGGCTAAATTTTTTTGTATTTTTAGTAGAGACGGGGTTTCAACATGTTGGCCAGGCTGGTCTCAAACTCCTGACCTCAAGTGATCCGCCCGCCTCAGCCTCCCAAAGTGCTGGGATTACAGACGTGAGCCACCACGCCCGGCCTCCTCACTGTTTTCTGACCAGAAATGGTCCACTCTGCTCTGCAGAGCCTCACCTCCTCTCCCACTCCCTTCCTTCCCCTCACTGTGTACAACACCCTGTCACTCCACCAGGCCAGGCATGCCCTGGTAAGGGTGCTGGGGCACAGGGAGTTTCTGTAATTTCTGTCTGCATTCTACTTACATTCATCACAGAAGTAGGAAGGCATTTCTTCTGGGGGAAACACACGTTGTGTAGAAAAGATAAAATCTCTCTCTCTGGCATGGTGGCGCATGCCTATAATCACAGCACTTCAGAATTTCGAGGCAGGGGGATCACCTGAGGCCAGGAATTTGAGATCAGCCTGGGCAACACAGCGAGACGCTGTCTCTACAAAACACAGAAAAATTAGCTGGGTGTGGTGGTGCACACTTGTAGTCCCAGCTACTGGGGAGACTGAGGCGGGAGGATCGCTTGAGCCCAGGAGTTTGAGGCTGTAGTAAGCTGTGATTGCACCACTGCACTCCAGCCTGGGCAACAGAGTGAGATCCTGTCTCTTAACAAAACAAAAGAAAACAACTCTCTCTTACACATACATAGAAATAGCGAACATTTAAAGTCAAAAAATTCTAAATCTCTGCAAATGGGATGTGTGTTCGACACAAAAGGCAAAATGTCAGTGCACATTAGCCCCAGTTAAGGTTCCCCCAGGAATCACCCTGGCCTAAGAGAAGGCTCAAATCACCATGGGTGGGAGGAGGTGTCCTCCAGAGGGGGGATGACGTCATGGAGCACCTTTTTGGGGACACTCAGGCTGTGAATGAAATAAAGAACGCTTTTACAGGTGATTACCCATAATGAATAAGATAAGGTGGGGTACATTTATTTGGGTAGAGAGTGGCTAATAAGGTAGTGAAGAACTTCACCAATTTCCTCAACTCTGCTCTAAGTAAGGTAGTAAGGAGCCTATTCACTGAGGCACTCAGAGTGGCCATTTTATTATTTTTTTGAGACAGAGTCTTGCTCTGTCACCCAGGCTGGAGTGCAATGGTGCCGTGTTGGTTTACTGCAACCTCTGCCTCCCAGGTTCAAGCGATTCTCCTGCCTCAGCCTCCCGAGTAGCTGGGACTATAGGTGCATGCCACCACACCTGGCTAATTTTTGTATTTTTAGTAGAGACAGAGTTTCACTATGTTGACCAGGCTAGCCTCGAACTACTGACCACGTGATCTGCCCACCTCTGCCTCCCAAAGCGCTGGGACTACAGGTGTGAGCCATCACGCCTGGCCAGTGGCCATTATTAATAATAATAGTTAACATTTATTGAGGCCTGACTATGTGCCAGTTGCCATGTAAAGCACTTTACATAGAATACATCCTTTAATTTGCCAAAGAACCCAATTTAACGGATGATGACATGGGCTCAGAGAGGCCAAGTGACTCGTCTAAAGTCACATAGCTAGGAAATGGTGGCACTGAGATGGCAAAAAAAGCAGTGAGGGCTGAGGGAGGTGGCTCACACCTGTAAACCCGGCACTTTGAAAGGCCGAGGCGGGAGGAGCACTTGAGCTCAGGTGTTCAAGACTAGCCTAGCCGAGAAAGCAAGACCTTGTTTCTACTAAAATTAAAAAAAAAAAAAAAATTAGCTGGGCATGGTGGTGACCACCTGTAGTCCCAGCTACTTGAGAGGCTGAGTTGGGAGGATTGCTTGAGCCCAGGAGGTCAAGGCTGCAGTGAGCCAAGATCGAGCCATTTTACTCTAGCCTGGGCAACAGAGTGAGACCCTGTCTAAAAAAAAAAAAAAAAAAAAAAAAAAAAATGAGGGGAGACATTTACCAGGACAGGGTTTATAGAGAGCATGTTCATGGAAGGCTAAGGAGAAAGGGAAGGAAGTGCTCAGGTCCTGCTCTGCTGCTCCGGCCGCTGTTGGGGTTAACATCCCTGTAAATTCAAATGCTGGGCTCCCGCCTATCAGTCTTTTTTCTTTCGAATGTTGGTGCAGATCTTCCGCACTGGAGGTCCATTTCTCTGTGTCTCAGACAAGGCTGGACCCACGCCCAAGGCATTGCAGGAGGAGAGGAGACCCCCGACCTGAGGGCTGGAGGCATTTGTGTGTGAGACAGGACAAAGAATTTCAGGGGACCAGAGAATTCAAGGTGGCAGAGGGTTAACAAGACCTCTCCCAAGACAACACACCCAGCAGATGCTGACAAATGTGGGCAAGAGTTCCTGAGAGAGAGGCCAGGGTAGATGACACACGTTCCCAGCACCTTCCAACCTGCAAAGCATTTCCTCACACAGCTTCTCCATGAATCCTCTCAACAGCCCTGAGAGTAGAGATGCCGGCTCCAGTTTACCAATGACAGATTGCCATCGGCCAGGAAGTGGAGGTGGAGTTGGACCCCAAATCCCATGCTATCGCTATTTTGCCACTCTGTCCAGACCCCACCCTCTGGAGATAACCAGTTTATCCCAGCAGAGTGCATTTATTCGGCACCTGCTATGTGTTCTTCACTGAACTAGGCACGACGGGGACATAACCAAGACAGTGTCACACGGTGAAATCTAACAGGCATGTTCATAGGGAACAGCAGGAGGTTAGCAAGGGGACAGCCAGCTTATAAACTCTCTGGTGGGAGGGGCGTGGGGGAGAGCAAGTGAAGGAGGACATAGAACAGGGGTGGGGGTGGATAAACCACAAGACCTCAGGGGACTGTGCCCTGAGAGAAAAGGAAGAGGATGGGCATTTCTGGGACATTGATGTCACATAAAACTCCAAAACCCAAGGGACCAAGAAGAAAGGAGGCCAGGGCCTGAGGTCCTGCTGATGAGCTTCAATCTTACTAGCGGTGAAGAGGGGTCACCATCTATGGGGCTGAAAGAAGCCCAGGCCCTATATGCAGGCTGGATCCCCCGACAGGACCTGTCAGAGCTAGAAGGAGCCTTGGGGGTCATCTGGTCCAGTTTGCATATTGCACAGGGCTCAGAGCTAAGGCCATCTCACTGGGCTGAGGAGCCAAAGAACATAGTCAGCTCTGAGAAGGGCTCTTCAAGGCTGGCTCTCCTTTGTTTGCAGAACACACTGTACCACCGTGGAGAGGATAAAAATCTAAAATTCAGCACCTTAACCCATTCTCACACCAGTCAAACTTTCGACAGTCCTATTGGTCTATAGATGCCTGGGAATTCCCTCCTTTCCCAGGTCAGGAAGATCTCGACCTCCTTCCACCAGCTTCCCAGGACTTTCTTTTCTTTCTTTCTTTCTTTTTCTTTTTTTTTTTTTTTTTTAACAGATTCTTGCTCTGTCACTCAGGCTGGAGTGCAGAGGTACGATTCCAGCTCACTGCAACCTGCACCTCCCAGGTTCAAGTGATTCTCGTGCCTCAGCCTTCCGAGTAGCTGGAATTATAGGCACCCACCACCATGCTTGGCTAATTTTTGTATTTTTAGTAGAGACGGGGTTTCACCATGTTGGCCAGGCTGGTCTTGAACTCCTGACCACAGGTGATCTGCCCGCCTCGGCCTCCCAAAATACTGGGATTACAGGTGTGAGCCACCATGCCAGGCCCTTCCCAGGACATTTCTGAGACACCTGGTGGGAATTCTTACCTGCTTACCTCACCTGTGTCCCTCTGAGCCACCATTTTGGCCCTCATTTCCCACCCTCGGGTGCTGAGGGAATTGTTCCCTACCAGGAATGAATCCCCAGGCTTGTCTGCTCCCCCATAAACACCCTCTGGAATGTGCATCCGAAACCTCCTACCCCACACCAGCGCATTCAGCCCCTCTACCGGCGCCCCATGTCTCACTCCCCTGGTGTGGCCAGAACTGGGGATGGTGCAAGAATAAAGCCCTAGGCAGTGTGGAAAGCAGACAGCTGACCCTGTGACTTCTGGGGCTCCCCTCCGAGGTGGGGAAGAACAGAGGAGCTGGCCTCTGGGGTCTGAGAAGACCAGCCGGCCCGTGGGCAAAGGGACGACAGCAAATTCTCCTCCAGTGACCCTCAGCCCCTGACGCCCTGTCTAACCCTCTCAGATCCAAAGCTGCGAGCCCTCAGGAACATGTGGCTACCTCTAACCCAGCTCACTTGCCTGGTTAAAAGCAACCACAGGTGTCCAGCCTGCAAACATTTCCCGGCACACAGGGCCCTGTGCAAGGGGCAGTGGGTGACGACACCAAGCCCAGTTCCGGAGCACCCTGCTGTTCTGCGGCACTGCTGACTCACAAACGATTCTGCCGCTGTGCAGTCTCAAAGCCAGCCCCACCCGGGGATCTCTGTCTTCCTTGGTCTGTCATGAAGGTGCTAGTAACCCCCAGGCTTCTCAGATAACTCCTTCTCCTTCACTTGTGCACTCTTGCTCTCTGTCTCTCTCTGTCTCTGTCTCTCCCTCTCTCTCTCACACACACACACATGCATGCACGCACACACACGTGTGCACACATGTTAAATTCTAACCCTTGCAGTACCATGGATTTCCATTTTGTTGAGATGAATAGAGGATTAAAAAAAAAAGAACTGATCAGGTTGTCGGCAGGGTAATTATCAGTAAAAAGAAACAGAGGAGCTGTCCCATCCGCAGGTGGTAGGTGGCACCCTCCACGCCTGCAGGCCAGGGCTTTGTGATCTGGCTGACCCCAATCCTGATCTTATTGCTACCACCCATTACCACGTTTCCTTGGGAGGACTCAACTTCCTAATGAGAAAAACATCCCCCACTTCAAAGAGGCTGCGGGGAGGAAGAATTGAAATGATGTAGATAAAGCTTTTGTCACAGTCCCTGGCACATAGTAGGTGCACAATAAATGTTGGTTGCCATTGTCATAGTGCTAATAAAGACCAGTGACATCCTCTATGCCAGGCACTGTTTGTGTGCTTGCCGCATATTAACCCCATAATAATTCTGTAAGGAAGGTATGTTATCATCACCCCTATCTCAGTGGGGAAACTGAGGCAGAGATTGGCCCACATTACCCAGGTAATTAGGGACACATCTGGTCTGGCTCCAGAGGCTGAAGACTTAACCACAATGTTCTCCTGCCCCTCTCAGAAGGAGTTGGATGAGAGATCCCATCTGTATGTCCCACTCGGGGCACACAGAGAGGCAAGCGCAACTTGGTTCCTGCCCCGCAGGGGCTCCCAGCCTCATTGGGTGACAGATCCTAAAAATGCAACTACAGGGGACCTAAGACGGGAGAATGATTCACCAGCCAGACAGCCCGGGTGTCCCCTGGTGCAAGATGAGCGGTGCCTGATCAGTCCCTGGTTCCTGGCTGCTGCATAGGAGAGGGGGCTCAGCTGGATGGCTGACTGATTGGCTGACTGCTTCATTCATTAATTCCTGAGTGCATTCATTCATTCCTTCCACTCAAGCCCTCCAGAAAGGGTGGTCTGGACTGAACTAGTTTACACGGGATGATTACAACAGAAGTCAGAGGACTCTCAGCTTGGTTACCGAGGAAAATAAGACCACAAAACCAAACTGACTGAAATAGGCAGGAGAATCTTCTCGATCCCATTTTCCAAATGGGGGAAAATGGGAAAAGGGCTCCAAGGTTAAATATTTTTGGAAAACAAGTTAAACAAATAAAAACGGGTCACACTGGCAGGACCTCTCAGTGCTGCAACTATGCTAATGAGCTGCTAATATTCAAATGAGAACAATAAACACCAAGAGGCTCCAAGTTGCCTGTGGCGATTCTTAAGTTTATTTGACTCCAGAAGCCTTTCTCAACAGGATTATGTGGGGCTGATGTTATAAGAAACACACTATGCGATGTCCTACTCTGGCCCAAGAGCTGTCTGGAAAAGCTGTTCCAAAAACCTGGGAGAGAGTGGAAGTGAGGCTGAGAGGACTCCCAGGAAGACGGCAGCTCCAGGCTGGGTTTTGAAAAATCCTGGGAAGTTCAGGGCCAAGTGGAGGAGGGAAAGGAAAGAGTTTTCCAGTAGGGAATGGGATCCTGAGAGAAAGACGGTGAAGGCCCAAGGCAGTGGAGTCCTCAGGAGTGGGCTTGCCTCGGGCGGGAAGAAGGGCCTTGGGCCATGGGAAAAACAATCTCAAAGATGACAGCACAGATGGGCACAACCTCTTTGGAAAACAGTTTGGCATCATCTTGTAAAGCTCAACATTCACACATCCTGCAACCCAAAGTTCCACGCCTAGGCAGGTACCTCCATGAACACCTTTCCCTGCTGTGCACAGCGAGATGCACATCCATGGCCAGGAGACAAAATAGATAAACTGTATATTCTAAAGATGGACTATTATGCAACTGTGAGCATGTGAGAACTACAGCAAGATCCAGGAACAGTTTGAAACTTAGAAACACAATGCAGAGAGAGAATAGCTCAACATAGAGGGCCACATGCAGTATAACACCATTTTTATAATGCTAAAAATAGGCAAAATAAAACATTTCATTTAGGCATTATTACCTGGGAAAACCAGTTTTTTGTTTGTTGGTTTTTTGTTTTTTTGAGACAGGGTCTCCAGGCTGGAGTGCAGTGGCGTGATCCCGGCTCTCTGCAACGTCTGCCTCCTGGATTCAAGCGATTCTCCTGCCTCAGCCTCCCGAGTAGCTAGGACCACAGGCGTGTGCTAACACACCCAGCTAATTTTTGTATTTTTAGTAGAGATGGGGCTTCACCATGTTGGCCAGGCTGGTCTCGAACCCCTGACCTCAGGTGATCCTCCCGCCTCGGCCTCCCGAAGTGCTGGGATCACAGGCATGAGCCACTGTGCCCAGCCAAAAACCAGTATTTTTAAGTAATGGAATAAATAGGTAAAATTCAGGATGTGGTCACATCTAGAGGGAGATGGGGAATGGGCTGAGGAGGACCCACAGATGGACACGACGGCCTAGTCACGGTCTGGTCCTTCAGGGACATAGTGAGGCTCAGGTTTTCATTCTGTCATCATGTCTAATATATATGATTGTTCTCTTGTATATGTCAAGTATTATGTAATAAAAATATTTTTGATCAGCTTGCAGGAGAATAGCTGGTATCTGCTTAGGCTTGTGCCAGCCATACCATTGGCACATCAGCTCTTCTTCACCCTGAATTCCTTCTCAGAGTTTAGCAGCCCTCTCTCGCCTAAAGGTTGGATGCACACAGTGACTGCCAGCCCTGGATCAGCCTGCATCCCACCCAGGCCTCCTGCACTTCCAGCCACACTCACTCACTGTGCTTAGCAAGGGCTTACACAGCCAGTGCCTCAGCCATTAACTAGGGTGATATTAAATCTACACAGACCACTCCTTGGAACCCCCATAAAAATCCCTGATAGGCTGGGCGCAGTGGCTCACACCTGTAATCCCAGCACTTTGGGAGGCCAAGGCGGGTGGATCACGAGGTCAGGAGATCGAGACCATCCTGGCTAACATGGGGAAACCCCATCTCTACTAAAAATACAAAAATTGGCCAGGCATGGTGGTGCGTGCCTGTAGTCCCAGCTACTTAGGAGGCTGAGGCAGGAGAATCACTTGAGCCTGTGAGGCGGAGGTTACAGTGAGCCAAGATCACACCACTGTACTCCAGCCTGGTGACAGAGCAAGACTCCGTCTCAAAAAAAAAAAAAAAAAAAAATCCCTGATAGCTAACCACATTTAATTCACCCTTCCCTTCCTGAGAACTGGAGGCCTTTGTGAGTACTCTGGCTGAACAGGATACCAGAACGCAAGGTCATGCCAGAGTCTGCATTGCCTTTTGTCCACCAAGTCACAGACTTCTGCCACATGCCTCCCCACCCGCTTCTTTCTTCAGATAGGCTTATTGGTTGGGACAAACCAACATAAAGTGTGTGGGATTCCCTGAAGCCAGCCTTTTCTGTTTTGGAAGGAATTCAGATCTTTCTGCTCTAAAGAAGCCTGGCCTGGGAGAGAATATTTTTATAACCCTGCTACATTAGATGACCTGTAGAACATCTTTAATGATTCACCTTCAACTCAGTTTCTATTATTTCTACTTTTTTTTTTTTTTTTTTCGAGATGGAGTCTCACTCTGTTGCCCAGGCTGGAGTGCAGTGGTGTCATCTCAGCTAACTGCAACCTCCGCCTCCCAGGTTCAAGCGATTCTCCCATCTCAGCCTCCTGAGTAGCTGGGATTACAGGTGTGCGCCACCATGCCTGGCTACTTTTTGTATTTTTAGTAGAGACAGAGTTTCACCATGTTGGCCAGGCTGGTCTCGAACTCCTGACCTCAAATGATCTGTCCGCCTTGGCCTCCCAAAATGTAGGGATTACAGGCATGAGCCACTGCGCCTAGCCAGTTTCTGTCTGTTATTTCATTTCAACCTCACAACTACCTTGAGATCATATTTTTTATTCCCATTATACAGAGGAAGAGACTGAGACTCAGATTTTTAAGCAACCACCCAAAGCAAAGTTCTAGAAGCTATGAAGTGGACATCTGGGATTTGCACCACAGGTGGTTCTGTCACAGAGCCTACCCTCTTTCTGGAGTGCTATGTTGCCTCCCCACACCAAGGTTAGATGCCCAGAGCCGGACTTCCTGGGAGATCACAGAGTGAGGGGAGTGCTGTCCCAGAGAGTGGGGACCAGCTGAGCCTGAACTGCAGCCTGCTTGGGAAGGAGTCTGATTCCTGGGCCAAGTGCTAACAGAATTCCTATTTATTTATTTATTTATTGGAGATGGAGTCTCACTGTGTCACCCAGGCTGGAGTGCAGTGGCGCGATCTCGGCTCACTGCAGCCTCCACCTCCCAGGTTCAAGTGATTCTCCTGCCTTAGCCTCCCGAGTAGCTGGCATTACAGCTGCCCACCACCACACCCAGCTAATTTTTGTATTTTTAGTAGAGACGGGGTTTCACCGTGTTGGTCAGGCTGGTCTAGAACTCCTGACCTCAGGTGATCCGCCCACCTCGGCCTCCCAAAGTGCTGGGATTACAGATGTGAGCCACCATGCCTGGCCTGATAACAGAATTCCTAACTGTGCTCCTGCAACACTCAGGATGATGTGTGAGGCTCGCTAGTGATGCAGAGGCCTACAGAGCAGAATCCCTGCCCTCAGGGGCTGACTCTTACACTGGGAAGACAAGACAGATGCACATGAAGAGGTATCTGAGAATACAGGAAAATACACAACAAGTACCAGCTGGTCTTCCTGGCAGAGCATCACAGAGGCAATGAGAATCCAGCTGGAGCAGGGAGACAAGAGTCTGGGACCAGCAGGTGACTCTCAACAGTGTCCTTTCATCCCACAACCTGTCTTTGAGGATCCACTGTGTGCCCTGTGCTATGTTTGGTGGTATGGGTTGAAAGATGATGGAGAACTGGTCCTGCCCACAGGTGACTTACAGTCTAGTCCATGAAATAGATGTGCTCAGAAGGGCCTTTGCTGGGGCCGCGGTGCTGAGGGAAGGCTGCGCAGAGGAAGTGATGGCTGAACTATGATTTCAAGACTGAACAGGAGTTTGTAGTCATCCCAAGAGAAGGCAGGGGGTAGCACAGAGGCACGGAGAAGTGAGGTGTGCACGAGAACAACGCAGACTGTAACATGAAATTAATGTCAGCAAAATGTGTGTCTAACTCACTGAGTACACACCTGACCCTGTGCTAGTCTCACATGCGTTATATCCTTTCATCCTCACAATAGCCCTCGTTATCCCCATTTTGCAGAGAGAAAACCAAGGCTTGGAGAGGTGAAGTCCACCCAGATAAAAAGGCAGAACCATCTAGAGTCCAGGACTGCTGTACCCAGGCCCATGTGCTTACCCATGTTGGGGTTGGGAGAGGAGCGGGTGCAGGGCGGCAGGGGCCAGGCTGAGGAGTATACAACAACACAGTCATATCTGCTGCTGCTGCACTCCTAATTAGACCGTTTAAAAATGACCAAAGTGGCCGGGCACGGTGGCTCACGCCTGTAATCCCAGCACTTTGGGAGGCTGAGGTGGGCACATCACCTGAGGTCAGGAGCTGGAGACCAGCCTGGCCAACATGGTGAAACCCCATCTCTACTAAAAATAGAAAAATTAGCCGAGCATGGTGGCAGGCGCCTGTAATCCCAGCAACTTGGGAGGCTGGGGCAGGAGAATAGCTTGAACCTGGGAGGCGGAGGCTGCAGTGAGCTGTGATTGCGCCATTACACTCCACTCTGGGCAACAGAGCGAGACTCTATCTTGAAAAACAAATTGAATTGAATTGAATTAAATTAAATTAAATTAAAATAAGACTGACTAAACTGATCAGAAAAGAAGATCCGTTGAGGCTGAGAAAGGCTAAAACATGGTCCAAGTTTAACAAAAAGGGACTTGGAGGTAAGTGACCACAGCTGTGAGGGAGGGCAGTGCCACTGTGGGTCTGCCAAGGGAGGGATGGAGATGATGCAGCCACATTAGAGGAGGCAAGCCTTCTTCCCGATGCTGTGCCAGTTCGACCCTAGTGGAACTGTTTCCCCGCCAAGCCCTAAGGCCTGGCTGTAGCATTGAGACCACTCAACGAAGCCTCATCTACCATGTGCCCAGTATTGAAAAGTTTCATGCCAGGTTCACAAACTGTTAAACATAAGATATTCTATCCAGCTCATTAAGCTGTACACTGACAAGTTGTGTGCTCGCCTGTACGCATGTTTGTGATATTATAAAATATATATTTGGTCTTCGACCTAGTTTCCCAGCGTACAACTCCTAAAATCCTTAGAAACTCCAAAGTGATGTCTTTTTGTATGCTAATGAGCTGACGGAAGAGCTGGCAGCCCCTAGGCAGCTTCAAGATTGAGGTTGGTTACCCCAAAAGACCCAGGCAGGATTAAAGGGTTGGACTTTCTTTTCTTTTATTTATTTATTTTGACGGAGTTTGACTCTGTCTCCCTGGCTGGAGTGCAGTGTTGTGATCTCAGCTCACTGCAACCTCCGCCTCCTGGGTTCAAGCGATTCTCCTGCCTCAGCCTCCCCAGTAACTGGGATTACAGGCACCTGCCACCATGCTCGGCTAATTTTTTTGTATTTTTAGTAGAGATGGGGTTTCACCATGTTGGTCAGGCTGGTCTCGAACTCCTGACCTCAGATGATCCACCTGCCTCGGCCTCCCAAAGTGCTGGGATTACAGGTGTGAGCCACCGTGCCCGGCCAAGATTAGAGGGTTGGACTCCCAACCCTAACCCCAACCCCATCCTTTGGGAAGGGGAGAGGGGGCTGAAGATTAAGTTGATCACTAGTGGCCAATGGTTTAATCAATGATACCTATGGAATGAAGCCCCCATACAAGCCCAAAAGGACAGGGTTCAAGTGCTTCCGGATAGCGGAACACGTGGAGGTTCCTGGAAGGTGGTGTGCCTGGGAAGGGCGTGGAAGCTCAGTGCAGCTTCTCCCATACCTCGCCCTATGCACCTCTTCATCTGTATCCTTGTAATATCCTTTATAATAAACCAGTAAACGTGTGTTCCTGTGTTCTGCGAGCCACTCTAGCAAATTAATGGAACCCAAGGAGGAAGTCACAGGAACCCTGATTTATAGCAGGTCAGTCAGGAGCACATGTAAAGCAGCCTGGGGCTTGGGATTGCTACTGGAAGTGGGAGGCTGTCCTGGGAACTAAGACCTCAACCTATGGGATCAGATGCTATGTCCAGGTGGAGATCATCAGAATTGAATTGGATTAGAGGACGCTGGCTGATGTCTGCCGCAGAATTGACAGCTTGCTTGGTGTATGCACGCATTTGGTCGCAGAAGTCTTCTGTACCAATTATTGCAGGGTGAAAGCAGAGGAAAGACAGTTTACGTCTTTTCCTGTACTTTCATTAAAAAGTTAATCACTTGGCCAGGCGTAGCGGCTCACACCTGTAATCCCAGCACTTTCGGAGGCCCAGACAGGCAGATCACCTGAGCTCAGGAGTTTGAGACCAGCCTTGCCAACATGGCAAAACCTTGTCTCTACTAAAAATACAAAACTTAGCCAGGTGTGGCGGTGCACACCTATGATCCCAGCTACTCGCAAGGCTCAGGGAGGAGAATCGCTTGAACCTGGGAGGCAGAGGTTATAGTGAGATCGTGTCACTGCAATCCAACCTGGGCAACAGTGCAAGACTATGTCTCAAGAAAGAAAAAAAAAAGTTAAACAATCATTCTATCCTCCTATCTTGGCAAAAACCTTACTTGCCACCTAGAGGGCTAGGTTACCTGATAAAGTTCACGCTAGACAATGGTGACATGGGAGATCTAGCCCCAGGCCTGCAGCCTGCCCATCCCTTCTGCATCCCATGCTGGAGGCCCCAGCCACACCCTCAAGCTCCAGCCACAGCCCTTGCAAATGAATTTCCCTTGACCAGCCCTTGGCCACAGGCAGTGTGGCCTGCCCTGGCAGAATGGGCCCCAGGCAGAGGCCTGCAGAGCCCGGAAGCAGGCTCACGGCTGTCTGGGCCAGATACTCCAGGAGCCTAAATTCTCATGGCGCAGCTGAAGAGGGTGGGCACAGGCTGTAGGCGGGCATTTCTCCCTGAGGACCCAGCATGCCTTCTCCTTTCAGGTAAAGCGTGTTTTCCCTTATGTCCTGGCTGTGAGGAAACTCAGGGCAAGCTCCATCCTTGCACCTGCATTGACCTTGACTTGCATATTTGTCTTCTCCTTGACCTTGATCCTGCTCTTCTGTTTTTGTTATTTATTTTTATTTTTTGAGACAGAGTCTCACTCTGTTGCCCAGGCTGGAGTGCAGTGGTGTGATCTTGGCTCACTGCAACCACCACCTCCTGGGTTCAAGCGATTCTCCTGCCTCAGCCTCCCCAGCAGCTGGGACTACAGGTGCGTGCCACCACACCCGGCTAATTTTTGTATTTTTAGTAGAGACGGGGTTTCAGCATGTTGGCCAGGCTGGTTCGAACTCCTGACCTCAAGTGATCTGCCTGCCTCGGCCTCCCAAAGTGCTGGGACTACAGGCGCAAGCCACCACAACTAGCCTGTTTTTATTTTGTTATTTAATCTGATGTGTTTTCCGTCATAAGCCTCTTGAGGGCAGGCATGCTGGATTCCAGACTCCCTGCCCTATGGGGAAGGGAAGTGCTGTAAGACACCAGACGGAAGCCTCTAAATCAGAGAGCTGATGGCAGGCCCCCTCTTTCCCTGATTTAAAGGCAATTCTGTGGCTATAGGACTTGCAGGAAGTTGTAGAAAAGCTGGTAAGAGATCAGAAGAGGAAGAACAAGTAGTTAAAGGTGAGTAGAGGATGGGTCACCTGGGAGGAATTGTTCTAGAGAAGGAATGAGAGATGAGGCCAGCCGGACTTCCTGGGTCAACTGGGGACTTGGAGAACTTTTCTGTCTTACAAGAGGTTTGTAAAATGCACCAATCAGTGCTCTGTAAGAATGCACCAATCAGTGCTCTGTAGCTAGCTAGAGGTTTGTAAAATGGACCAATCAGCACTCTGTAAAATGGACCAATCAGCAGGACATGGGCTGGGACAAATGAGGGAATAAAAGCTGCCTCCCCGCCCACCCCCCCCACCCCCAAGCCAGCAGCACCAACCCCCTTGGGTCGCCTTCCATGCTGTGGAAACTTTGTTCTTTTGCTCTTCAGGATAACTCTTGCTGTTGCTCACTCTTGGGGTCCTTAAGACCTGTAACACTCACCGCAAAGGTACGTGGCTTCATTCTTGAAGTCAGTGAGACCACGAACCCACTGGAAGGAACCAACTCCAGACACAGGAAGATTCAGGGATGAGACGAACCCTGGTCCTCAAGTGCAAACTGGAACCCTACCCCTGGAATCCCAGCACTTTGAGAGGCTGAGGCAGGAGGATTGTTTGAGTCCAGTTCAAGCAAGAGTAATGTAGGGAGATGCTATCTCTACAAAAAAAAAGAAAAAAGGCTGGGCACAGTGGCTCACGCCTGTAATCCCAGCATTTTGGGAGGTTGAGGTGGGCGGGTCACCTGAGGTCAGGAGTTTGAGACCAGCCTGGCCAACATGGTGAAATCCCATCTCTACTAAAAATACAAAAATTAGCCAGGTGTGGTGGCGGGCGCCTATAATCCCAGCTACGTGAGAGGCTGAGGCAGGAGAATCGCTTGAACCGGGGAGGTGGAGGTTGCAGTGAGCCAAGATCTTGCAATTGCACTGCAGCCTGGGTGACAAGAGTGAAAACTCTGTCTCAAAAATAAATAAAAATAAAAATTAAAAAAATTAGCCACATATGGTGCTTGCCTGTAGTCTTAGTGATTTGGCAATCTAAGGCAGGAGGATAGCTTCACCCCAGGAGATTGAGGCTACAGTGGGCTGTGATTGTACCACTGCACTCCAGCCTGGGCAACAGAGCAAGATCCTGTCTCAAACCAAACCAAACTGAAACTTGACAGTGATATTCACATCCCCAGGAAGAAAACCTGGGCCTGGATTAAGGAAAGACTGAAGTCAGATCTAAGGAGGAACTTCCTGGCTGTGGTGTGGTGTGGTGTCACTGAAGGGCCTGGCTTCAGGCAGTTTGTCTCTTGTTTAGAGCTCTGGGGTTTACCAACCATGGAGCCTTCGGCAATGGAATGGTGCCTCAGGGCCTCAGTTTCTCATCTGTAGAATGGGGATAACAAGAGTCTCTGCCTCCTGGGGTTGTCGGGAGGATGAGCTAATGTGTGTGCTTTGTTTCCTCAATGTATGTGATACCCGGGACATCATAAGCGAGGAATTACTAGCTGCCACTGGAGCCGCCCACTTGCTTCCGAGCTCCTTACAGCTCCTGGTTGGGTCCTGTGATCCTCGGTTTTCTTTTTTTCTTTTTTCTTTTTCTTTTCCTTTTTTTTTTTTTTTTTTTTTGAGACAGAGTTTCGCTTTTATTGCCCAGGCTGGAGTGCAATGGCCAGGTCTCAGCTCACCGCAACTTCAGCCCTCGGTTGAAGCGATTCTCCTTTCTCAGCCTCCCCAGTAGCTGGGATTACAGGCACGTGCCACCACGCCCGGCTAATTTTGTATTTTTAGTAGAGTTGGGGTTTATCCATGTTGGTCAGGCTGGCCTCAAACTCCCAACCTCAGGTGATCTGCCTGCCTTTGTCCCCCAAAGTGCCGGGGTTACAGGCGTGAGCCACCGCGCCCAGCTGAGCCTCAGTTTTCTCACAGGTAACATGGGGATGAAGAGGCTGCTTTCTCGAGGCTGCTTTAGCTTCCAGGACAGTGCAGAGGTCACAGACTCCATCCTTACTGGTAGCAGAGAAAGGCTCCAGAATCCCCTATGGAAGCTTCAGTTAAGATGGAGAACCACCCAGCCTGAGGCTAGACATTCTCTCCTCCGAAGTCAGGGACTGGGTGGGGTGACCTGCACATGTGTTGCCCAAGGGCAGAAGCGGAGGGGAGGGGAGAGCCGGTTAGAGTTGTGAGGACACCTTGCTGGGTGAATGGGGAGATCCCTGGCCGCCGCTCCCCTCTGCTCCTCCTTGGGGCTCCATCTGCAGAGTGGGGCTTGGCCCTCACGATGGCTGCTGGGGACGGGAGCAGCTCTGTTGGAGAGAGGGTGGGTGCTACCTGGGCACTCCGTCACCTGTGGAATGGTGGCAATAGCACCGTCGGCTTCCAAGGCAAGGGAGGGTGGGAGGAACCAGTTGTGAAGGGAGCCAGGGGTAGGGGTGGACATAGTCATTGGCCAGGAACGAGAGACAGTCCCTAGAGGAAGATTAGGAACCAACCTCAGCTTTAGAGTGGAGAAGATCATGGAGGAAAAAAAAGAGGCGACTTCTCTGAAGACAAGACCTTTGTAGACTTGGGGAAAAGCTGACAGTAAAGAAACAGAAAGAAGGCCGGGCCTGGTGGCTTACGCCTGTCATCTCAGCACTTTGGGAGGCCGAGGCAGGTGGATCACTTGATGTCAGGAGTTTGATACCAGCCTGACCAACATGGTGAAATCCTATCTCTACTGAAAATACAAAATTAGCTGGGTGTGGTGGCGCATGCCTATAATCCCAGGTACTTGGGAGGCTGAGGCAGGAGAATTGCTTGAACCCGGGAGGCGGAGGTTGCAGTGAGCCGAGATCATGCTACTGCACTCCAGCCTGGGCAACAAGAGCAAAACTCCATCTCTAAGTAAATAAATAAACAGAAAAAAAAGAAACAGAAGCAGACTGGAATTCTCATAACTCAAAACTATCCAGTCAGGACCAACTCCCTCCCAGAGCAATGTTTATTTTGCTTTTTAATTCGCATGTGCCTTGCTTCTTTCCAGAAAGGATTTGAAGAGGTTGACAGCAAATGTGTATCCCAAAGACAAGTCTTTATTGAGGATCCATTATGCCCAGGCCAGGTACAAAGACTCCAACATGTCTGCCCTCAAGAGGCTGATGACGGAAAACACATCAGATTCAATAACAAAATAAAAACGGAAGAGCAGGATCAGGGAAGGTCCACACGGGTGCAAGGATGTGGCTTCAGGTGGACCTCTGAGTTTTCTCATAGCCAGGACATAAAGGGAAGCATGCTTTATCAGAAAGGAGAAAGCATGCTGGCTCCTCGGGGAGAAATAAAGCTGAAGGTCGAATTGTAAAAGTGAAATGAACAATTGGCTGTTTCAGAGATACCAACACAAGAATTGGACTAGGGCAAGAAAGAAGATTCTGCCCAGCTGCTTTCTAGCACGTATATGATGGAGACCAGATGCAAAGCAGCAAAAAGGACTAAGTAGAAGGAAAGAGCTTAGTGCTGGAAGGAATCTGAGAGGTCATTTACGCTACCCTTTCTGTTTCACAGATGAGGAAACTGAGGCCCGGGAGGCAGTGATTTGATCAAGGTCGCCCCTTACCCATCCCAGGGGCAACAAAATCCTCACATGGCCACTGCTGTCAGCAACTGTGCAATCCCAGCTTGAGGACAGCCTGATGGCTTGTGGAAAGGTGGCCAGTGAAGAGGACACATCCCCAAATAAGAGACTTCCCAGACGTTCACAAATAGTATCTATAAGCCCAAAGCATCAGCCTTTGAGTGGAAGGTCAAGTGTAAACTTGTCTCAAAACCATCCTTTGGGGAACAAAGTAGAATATGAACAAGCAAATTTTTACCCCAATAACAAGTCCACAACTGAGCCTGAATGGTGGTAGAAGGAAAAAGGCTTTAGGTCCAACAGGGTGTGGGCTCAGGGCTTCCCATGCCATGCCCAGGCTGCACTGTGGGACTCCCTATCTATAAACTGGCAAGAATTAGATTCAGATAAATCATGATGTCTGCATGGGGATCAGCACATAGCACATGGTCAACAAACGTATTAACCTGTTCCTAGATAGAGAAACAACTTCTGCCAATTGCAATCTTAAAATTAATGACTTAGACACTTAAGCATCGTGTGAACTGGTGAACATGGAGGGGGAAATAGTACACAAATAGGAAACGTTTACAAGTGGAACTGGGATTAAAAAAAAAGAAAAAGAAACCCAGGGGAATTGACACTGTGGAGAAAAGGCTCATCTCCACTCCTGGGACAGCAGCCTGCTCAGGTCGAGGGGCCCATCCACCTTGAGAGACCCTCTAAGGACCCTCCATAGTTCAGGGCTGTTAGCTACATGACCTGAGCCAAGTGGGGTCCGAGCTGAGCAGCGCAGAGCAGACTGACCCCAGGTCAACAGGCCCCAGGTTGGGCTGCCTTTTAAAGTCAGAGAGAGGAGGTGGAAGTATTTCAATGAACAAGCAAAGAGGTGAGTATTCCAGTTGAAGTGGGTTATTGGGGGGATCGAGGGGGTTTGTGAAAGTTACAACTGCGCAGGTGGACAGAAGTGAAATCATAGGGAGCCTCAGTACCAGATAGGAAGAGGGGAGCCATGGGAGGTGTCAGAGCAGGGGAGTGGCACCCTCAGCAATCCACCTTGTGAAGATGATTGGTGGGAGCTGGAGAGGAGGCGGGATCCTGCTCACTCACAGCACAAGCCCTATTTGCATTCCTAATGGGCCCTGCGAGATTGGTTTTCCTTGCCGGCCCAGCTGGCTCTGGCAGATAAGTGGGACTCTGTGCCCAGGGGCAGGTTTCCCAGAAAGGTCTTCCAGACAGACCTGGGTGCTTGGTCCTGTTGCTCCCATCCCCCTCCCCAACACACACGTACACACACTCAGTCCTCGCAGTTTTTCCAGCCGAGCTGGAGGGAATGGCTTGTGCCTGTCTCCTAGTTTGCTAGGCCTTACCCAGGCCATTAGGATTCCCTGATGACTACAGGCCTCAGCAGAGCCCCTTCCAGCTGGCAGCCCTTTGCCCTCGCCCCCCTCACCTCCACCTACATCTTCCCATGTGTCCCTGGTTGGAAATCTCACTCTGGGTCTGGCCAGTGGTTTTTGCATTAGGCCAGGAGGATAACCAAGCCCCATGCCCTGAGCTGTGAACCTGGGTATGCCCCGTGACCAGTTGGCTTCAGACCTGAGGCCTCTGTGCCCTCTCCCAGGGGCTCTCCAGTGAGCATCAGGACCCCTACAGGAAGGAGCTGAGGACTCCCCTGTCCAGCCCCACTTCTTCCTCTGCTGGAAATATCAACTCCTCAAGCTCAGAGGCTCAGGGGGGCTCTTAGGTCCATTCTTAGCACTGTCTGAGCAGGGACTAGCTCTTATTCCTCTCCTCTTTTCTTTCTTTCTTTTTTTTTTTTTTTTTTTGAGACAGAGTGTTGGTCTTGTTGCCCAGGCTGGAAGGCAGTGGTGCAATCTCGGCTCACTGCAACCTCCGCCTCCCAGGTTCAAGCGATTCTCCTGCCTCAGCCTTCCGAGTAGCTGGGATTACAGGCTCCCACCACCACGCCCAGCTAATTTTTTGTATTTTTAGTAGAGACAGGGTTTCACCATGTTGGCCAAGCAGGCCTCAAACTCCTGACCTCAGGTGATCCACCCGCCTCGGCCTCCCAAAGTGCTGGGATTACAGGCGTAAGCCCCATGCCCAGCCTTCTTATTCCTCTTTTCTAGGACTCACAGTGATAGTTAACTTCTCTGGAAAGAACCTGACACTTCCCAAGTGTCCTCAGGAAGGAGTCCTCAGCTCCTTCCTGTAGGGGTCCTGATGCTCAATGGAGAGCCCCTGGCAGAGGGCACAGAGGCCTCAGGTCTGAGGCCAACTGGTCACGGGGCATGCCCACAAAGATTATTCCACCTGAAGCTCTTCACGGCCCTGCAAGCAGGCAGGGCAGGTGGTCGTGTTATTATCATCATCCAATTTGCAGATGAGAAAACTGAGGGAGGGAGGAGACTCATCCACTGTCTCACAGCTCTTTGTGTGTAGAGTTTAGAGCTCTGCACCCCCCACCCTTCCCTGAGACCAGCTTTCAGTGACCACCCCCTCCACCAGGCACAGATGGTCCAAATAGCTGGGTGACCTGAACGCGGAATACAGCCTCCATGACTGCAATCTCGGAGCTGGAAGTCTTTGGCCAGCAGCTTATCCAACTCTCCTAGTTACTGAGACTCAGAACAGTTCAGGAAGTTGCCTAATATCAAGATGGTGGCAGAGCCAGGTCTCAGGTGCCCTAACTCCCTGCCCGGAAGCCGCCCACCTCCTCACACTGGCCCCTCTCGCCCCAGAGCCCGCTCTGGCATCTCCTTCATTCCCTAGATGTATGGGTGTGCCTGACATTTCTGGAATTCACTCCACACACATAATGAGGCCATTTTGAGAAGGCCCGCCTCAGGGGGAACCAGAGAGCTGTCTAGTGTCCCCATCCTGACCCCTGCCAACTCCTCCCGGCTGTACAGGCCAGGCTGCAAACAGATAAATCGACACTACTGGCTTCAGCAACTCTACCCCTGCCCGCCCTACACCTTTCCAGCCTTAAGAACTAGCAGTGAGGGATTTGGGATTCACGGCTGCGATGCAGGGAACTAAGCGGCCTTAGGTGTCATCGGGCGGGTTGTTGCATGGGTCAGTGTTAATATGGGAAATGCTGATGTCAACTCAGCAGGTATGGAAACAGAATGGGGGCTCCTGTCAATGGCGCGGAAGTGATTGTAGCTGCACCCAGCGGCATTGGGGTGACTCTCTGAGATATTAGTTTGACATGAGGGTATGGGGCCGTGCCTGCTGGCAGAACCGTTGTGCACCTGGGGTAGCCACTGTGCTCACGAGGGACAGGCTGCCTAACGCTGAAGAACCGGGTTTCAGCCTCTGAGCGCAGGACCTTCTCTCCAGCCCCCATGGCCCACTGAGACCTGAGCAACAGAAAAGGAGCAAACCTGCAGGCAGGCCCTCCCAGGCAGCAGCAGGACAGGGTGCCCGAAGGAGAGCGTGGAGTTGCCTCTCAGAAGATTCTAGAAACTCTGGCTGGGTGCGGTGGCTCACGCCTATAATCCCAGCACTTTGGGAGGCCGAGGCGGGTGGATTACCTGAGGTCGGGAGTTCGAGACCAGCCTGGCCAACATGGTGAAACCCCCATCTCTACTAAAAAATTCAAATATTAGCCAGGCATCCTGGTGCGCACCTGTAATCCCAGCTACTCGGGAGGCTGAGGCAGGAGAATTGCTTGAACTCGGGAGGCAGAAGTTGCAGTGAGCCAAGATTGTGCCACTGCACTCCAGCCTGGGCGACAGAGCAAGGCTCTGTTTCAAGAAAAAAAGAAAGAAAGAAAGAAACTCAACTCTGCCCAGGTGCCTTAGCTATTCCGCTGCCCAGAAGCAGGGAGGAGACCCAGTGCTCCTTCCCAGAAGGCCCGTTTTCCAGCCCGTCGCCATCCAGTCTCCCTTGGAGAAGTCCCGGGAGATGGGATCCAGCTTCCTTCCTCTTTTCCCACCTTCTCCACTCCCAGAAGCTATTCCTGCAATCCTGGCCTAGCCTCTCACTGAGAGCAGGGAATTCCCTCTCTGGCAGCGGGATAAAGAAGGACCCTGCTTAGAGCCGGGACAGCCAAAGGGACAGGGAGGGCCTGGATGGGGAGGAGGCAGAAGTCTGGCCCCTGCTGCCTCCCCACACATACCTCCACCCCCCTACCCCCGCCCCAAGAATGTAATTAAGCAGCAGCTTCTGCCAGGAGCCAAGCTTTCTGCCTTCCGACTATAAATCACCTTCTGAATCATCTCTCAGCTCCTAGAGAAGCAACTTCTGCTCAGGCTGCTCTGGGCGGCCCTGGTGCCACTCCCCCTGGGAAGCCTGCCTCCCCCACCCCTTCTGTGCCCAGCCCCCTGGCTCTAGGTCCCAGCAAGAGTCTGGCAGACTCTGGGGGTCGGGGAATGATTAGGGGACACTCCAGCAACCTTCTCTACCCTGCCCTCCCCTTCCTGAGCAGGTAAAGAGCTGAAGTGAGATTAGCCTGGCCCAGCACCCTCAACTTAAGAATAAAGCTAAAGCACTGTGGGGCAAACAGGCAAAAAGAAGAAAAGGGGAAAACAGAGCCAGGTGGGGCAAATCTGGGAGGGCTTCTTGGAAGAGGCAAGTTTGGCTCCAGGGCTTCAGTGAGCCAATAGCTTGCAGATAGGAGGTGAAAATAGCTAACATCGATATGCTTCCTGTATGCAAGGTATCATTCTAAGAAGTATTCACTCAATCATTTTCAAAACCCTATGAAATAGAGGCAATCATTACACTCATTTTACAGATGAGGAAACTGAGGCTTGCAGAGGTTAACTTGCCCTAGTTACCCAGGTAGTACATGAAAAAGCCAGATGTGAATGCAGATGGCCTGGCTCCAGAAGAGTGGGAGTGTTTGGGGCGAGGTTTGGAAGTGCAAGCAGGTTGGCTTGGCAGGAGTGGGGCAGCCAGCTCTTTGCGATTTAGGTCAGATGGAGCCACAGAAAGAAACGGGTGGACTGTCTAATACAGGCCCGGAATGTGTGCAGTAGAGTGTCATGCTTCACAGCAACGAGCCCAGAACCTGTCATAGCCCTGGGACTCTGAGAGGCAAAAGGGACCCCTCCATGTGGTTAAGGAAAATGAAGCCCAGAAGGAGGCAGGGACTTGAATGAAGCCCAGAGAAGGGAAGGGACTCATCCTAGGTCACAGGGTCCATTGGTATTAAACTTGGAATTCAGACATAGGTCTCTCCATCTCCCCACTCTCACCATTTTCCAGCATACAAGATAACATGGATGTACAGATGTAATATCAGGATGGCTCTAACCTTTGGCGGGGGGTGGGGGTGGGGCTAGGCATACCTCCTCCCTGAGTTAGGAATGAGGGGTGGAGGATGTCTTGCCCTCCTTGGCAGCTGGAGAAGGTTTCTGTGGCTCACATCAGGGTAGGTGGAAAAGGTTCTGCTCAACTCCTGGCTCATCACATTCTGAGACCAGAAAAATCTTCCTTTTTCCCACTTCCTTTTCCCTGGAAGGGTTTGTTAGCTGCATCCTCCTCTGTGATAAGTCACCTTTCCTGTGCCATCCCCTGGCTCCTTATCCCCTGGCTCCTTGTCTCCTGCCCAGACCAAGGAGAGACTTCTTCCAATTCTACATCTGCCCAAGTACCATTAATGTTTATTAGCATTAAGTTCTGTAGTGAGGAGGATGAGAGATGCTTGCTAGGCTGAGTGCATTCTTTGGAGATTTCCACCCAGAGCCCTCGCTGTCTGCCTCAGTTTCTCCACCTTTGTCAGTGACTGAGCATGTATCCAGATGCCAGAGTGTGGGCCCTGGTAGGGCCTGGCTGGGTTTGCCACTGGTGAAGCTGCAGCAAGCACCTCCTAAAGGACTTGGCACCAAAGTCCAGCTCCTGCCTCTTTTGACCTCATCGCCAAAGGTCTTCCCACCAGGCCAGGATTAATTGCAGGGCAGACATCACAGACCCAAGCCCTCAGGATCCCTGGGGTGGAGGTGGGGGTGATACTCAGACTCCACCCATCTCTCACCTCTTGGCCCCGGAGCTGTTGACAAAATGCTCTGAGAGTCTAGAACTTTCCCTGAGAGCGTCCCCTTCCCCCATGCCATCCACATACATATTACAGCAGGTTCTTCTAAGGACATAACTCAGCTCAGGCTCTTGGTATTATTATAACGTTTGACCTGTTTTCTTCTTTTTAAGCAAAATGTGATCCTATCGGAAGAATACCAACAGATCGGCCACCAATTTTGCTCCCTCTGGACTCCGAAGCCCCACCCATAATGGGGGCGGGGTGAGCGGGAGGGCTGTTAACTTCCAAGAGACCTGGACTAATTTCCCCGCCATATCCCCCCCAGGGAAAGGTCTGCCCTGGAAGGGAGACCACCCGGTTAAAGCCTGGCCATCCGATCTGGTATCTGCCCATCTGTCTGTCTGTCTGTCTGTCTGTGGGATCAACAGCCTCCAGCTAGCTCAGCTCCTCACCAGCCCCAGCCAGCCCAGCCCCAGCGAGCTGTAATTCCTGCCTGTTACAAGTGTTAACACCTGGCCTGGGGCCTTCCTCCCCCGCAGTCTCCAGGTGCCTCCCTGGGCCCAGCCCACTGACCCCCACGGGGTTTGACTGAACATGTTCACAAGCCTCTGAAAGGTGGGTGGAGGTGGGAGTGGGTGGGAGAGGCAGCAGGACATCTGACAGATGGGGAAACTGAGGTAGGTCTTAGGCAGGTGCTCGAGTGGGAGGATGGGTCCTGGGATGGCGAGAACTCAGGTGTGCTATTTCCCAGCTCACTGCCCTTGTCCTCTGCAAAACATTTTCACCCAAGCTGTGAGGCAGGGCAGGCTGGGGACTCCTGGGTGAAGTGTAAGGAAGCAGACCCAGATGGGTGGCCACTGGTCCTCAGTCACACAGCGGCAGGGTGAGCTCCTGATCTCCAGCAGGCCCCCTCCATCTGCACGTCCATCGCTGGAATGTAGCAGGTGCTGGGCTAGGCCCTAATAACATAGGTTCATCCCCCCACCCCAGCGCCCCCAAGAAGAAGAAGAAAGACAAGTTTCTCCACCAGGAGCTAACTGGGACTGACAAGGGGAATTCGAGAAATCAGTGCTGTTGTTTCCTGTCCCGGCTCTGTCACTACCTGGAGAACATCTCTTCCTTCCAGGGGTGTCAGTCTGAGGCCCCTTAGAGCTGTCCCTTCTGGTCAACCTTCTGTCAGGACTGGGGTCTGAGCAGTGTGGACTCAGGGTGTCATGCTTGAGGGTCCGCGTGGACAGAAATCCCAGCTACATGACTTCCCCTGTAAATCCTTCCTGGGGAATGCATGAGCTGGGTGGGCCAAAGAGGGCAGGCCAAGATGGGCTTAGATGCTCAAAGTACTGGAATCTGACTGCCAGGCGGGGGGCTGGGTTGGGGAGTGGGGGCAGAAATGGGATCAGGAATCAGAGGCCCATCTACCCTACAGCCCCAGCCCTAACCCTGAGAAGGTGACTCACCCTCCACCCCAGCTCCAAGACCAAAGAAAAACAACCTCAGAGAGAAGGGCCAGTGACTCTAGTGCCTGGACAGACAGGACAAGCTGGTGTCAAGGAAGCCTGTGCCCCTGCCTCTCTAGCTTGCCATCCCTGGCCAGCTGTGCCCCCTGCAGCCACCTTGTGAGACTTTTGCTTCCTGTTGGACCTTCCCTCCAGGCCCATGGCTGCCCACCAAACACCCAAGCTCAGGTGTCATTCATACCCACAGGTAGATGTCTGCAAAGATATTCACAGCCACACAGCCCTGGGCCCAGCACCTGGGGACAGGATCACAGGCGGACTCAGACACAGCCCTCACACAGCTATGGACTTGAGGCTCACTCTCCTCCTTACAAGCACAATCAGGTCATGGCCATGAGCACTGATATTCATGCACAAAGACATCTGTGGGGCTTTCCCCACACTGTCATGAAGGCATGCGCGCGCACGTACACACACACACACACACTCACACACACGCACGCACGCACACACACACTCACATGCCCAGTCATGAACACAGTCAAGCCCAGCGTCACAGGCAGACACAGGCTCTGACCTTTACATGGGCAAAGATACTTCTAGACTTCTCTCTGTCTCTTACACATGTACATACACACATCACAGCACCAGCCACTTGCTCACACTCGTGTGCAGACACACACAGCACAACCTGTCGTGGGCATGGATCCCCCAACACGCCCACACGATTTCACATCCATAGTAGCCCAGTTGCAGGCACAAACACTTTTGCACACAGAGACACACTGGTGTATAGAAAACACCTCTTAGGGTCATAGACCCAGAACACACGCACACACACACACACACACACACACACACACACACACACACCTCTCTCCTTGGCTTAGACAAAGCAGCATTCCTGTCCCCCACCAAATTCCCAAACAAGCCATGTGTCTAGCATTATGTTAGGGCCAATGTCTTGACCTTCCAGGTTTCCCCAGCGTTTCTTCCTATTGGGCAATCCCTATCTAGATGGTCCCCAAGATACCATTTCACACCAGAATCTACACCAACTGGAAGAGTGCCCTCTTCTAGTTCATAGGGCCGGAGAGACTGGTCTCTCTTCCTCAGTCCCTGCCACCTATGGGCCGCCAAACCTTTCCTTCCTACCCTCCCCCAACCCACCAGAGTCTCTGCGAAAGCAAGGCGAAAAACGGCATGGCCTTGGCCCGGGAATGGGAAGAGGGTCAGGAATGGCCGGGTGAGGCTGGACTGGTGTTGGCAGCAGCCTTTCCCCAGACTGGCCGAACCTCCTTCCTGAAGTCCCTGGCTGCCCTGGCCACCCCATGGACTTCTTTATGTGCTGGAAGCCTCAGGTTAGCCCAGCCCCCCGGAAAAGTGTGGGTTGGGCAGAAGAAAGACTTCCCCTTGGCTGGCTGTCCTGGGAGCAACTCCTAGCACCCTCTAAACAGAGACCCTTGGCCATGTCCCCACCCTCTCTCCCAGGAGCCCCAAACACCCAGACACAAATGCTGCCATCCCCAAACAACTGGAAGACTCGGGGTGTGGCCCCCAAGTCTCGCTGTCTCTGCTCCTCCTACCCTGGACTCTGGGTTGGCGAAAGGCAGGGAGTCTGGGGACCTGCAGGCGGTACCGCACCGTGGTGGCACTTCTTTCTGACTTTCACCCCGGGGGCCACAGCCCACTTCTCACTCACAGATCCCAAATTCTTCCTCCTCACCTCCCCCCGCCCAGGCCAAGGCTCTCCTATGTCCAGGAGGGGAAGATTCTTTAATTAAAGTTTTCCGGAATGTAGGGGGCTGGAGACTGGGGAGAGGCGGAGTGTAATTTAGAGAACTGGTTTCAGTGTCTTCCCCTCTGGCCCCTGGGACCTGCGGAGGGTGGGAGAGCGGCGATGGGGCCGCTCGGAAAACAAGGGGACTCCTGGAGCTGGGGCTCCCAAAGCGATGTTTATTCCTCACCCAGGCCCCCCAGACACGCACAGCCCCCCCCAAGCACTGCTCCCGGCTTCCCAGTCTTATTTACTAAAATGTCTTTTGTATCCACATTTCTCAGGGACGGAATTCTCCCTTCCCTCTCCCTTTCTCCTCGGTCCTCGGTTTTCCAAAAGGAAGAAATGTGACATGGAGAATTGGATTTTTGGTCAAAGAACAACAAGCCTACCCCTCCCAGACAACACATTTTCAAGGAACCCCCCTTTTGCCAGGGTGGACAAGCAAGAAATGAATAAAATCCGAATTCAATGGCATCCCGGATCAGCAAATACCATATTCACTTCAGAGGCTCAAGATGAATCTAGAGCGGTGGGGAGAATCTGATGAAATCCCCCCACCCACTCCCCTGCCCCGGGAGGAGCCCTGAAGCCTTTGGGGTCTGAAATAGGAAGGCAAAGGGGGGTTATTATGGGGAATCTCTTGATGGAGGCGCCGGCAGAGGTGGGGTGGCAGTGAAGGAACAGGATGGTTTTGCCCATGAAGACCCCAAAATGGAGAAGAGGAGTGGCTGGGCCCCAGGGACAGTGCTGGATTTCCAGAAACCCAACTGCAAGCAAATGGGGGGTCTTCGGGGGCCTCTAGATTGGGACGGGCAGAGGGTTAGGATCTAAGAATAAGAAACCTTCTGAGATGGGAAAAGTCCTCCAGCCCCTGCAGCGGGGAGCAGGGAAAATGGTGATTATCAGAGGAGCCAGGAGTTGGATTCTGAAGGCGACACCAGCAGAAAATCCAGGAGGGGTGGGCGGGTGGGGGGCTGGAGGGAGGCGAGGAGAGGAGCCCCAGCCCTGCAGCGGCCCACCCCCAGCCGGCGCCCCCACCTTCCCCGGACGCGGCGGAGAAACCGGGCCGCGGGCAGACAAGAGGCGAGTCTTACCACCAAATTGGGTAGCCAGCGAGGACCCTGGTGCCACCGAGCAGGAGGCCGAGGAGCAGCCCGAGCAGGTGGGGCTCCATTAGAAGAGGCGCCGAGGAGGAAGTTTGCCCGCGACCATGAAGAGGGGGAGCGACGCCCCCAATAGTTGGAACAAAGTCCACTTGAGATTGGAAATGACTTTCGGGCTTGTCAGAAGCGCACCTCCACCCGCAGCCGCCCCCCTCCCGAGCCCAGCGCGGAGCAGCCGGGTTTGAGGATGTCAGCGAGCAGCCAATCAGCGCCCGCGGCCTAAGGTAAGAGATGAGTCTGTAGTTCAGCCTGTCAATCACGCGCCCCTCCCGCCCGGCCCACAACTCGGGCTCCGGGAAGGGCATCGCCCAGCAAACTTGGGCAAAGCCCGCGCCCCGGACGCCGCGGGGCTTCGGGGGGACGCGGTGGGCCGGACCCTCTGCTACCGCCGCGGTCCCCCGCTGGCCAGGGTTAGGGCGCGGGGGCTTTGACCCGGGCGTTCACATGGCGAGGGCTTGGCGTGGGCATGAACGGGTGGCTCCTTTGCTGGCGGGGACCGTGACCCGTTGGGACGTGGGCCCGCGAGGAATCGAGGGTAGAAAGCACAGGGATGTTTCCAGAAGCCCCGCTCGGGCAGGTCAGGATCAGAGGGTGGGGGAACGCACCCCCTCCCAGCTTCCAGCCTCCCGAGTCCGCCCGCTCTCTGGCCTCTCGTCCTGGCCGCGGGAGGTCACTTCCCGGGTGTCCGAGGAACGTGCGGAAAAGTCCGCGGAGGCTCGAAGGTCTGGCTGCGGGCGGCGCCGGGGGACGGAGCCGAGTGTCATTTGAGTCTTTTGTCAGGGATCAGATCGGTATCGGGACCTCCTGCTGCCTTTGCATTTCCTGCAACTGACACCAGCGGCCAGTCGCATTTCCTGCTCTCGGAGTCGGGTCACTTTCTCCTCCTTGAGGGGTTCAGGCCCGACCTCTGGCCCGGGTCGGAGGCGTGACCCACAGCCTCAGTGGGATTCTCGGTTGGACCATCAGGGACCGGTGAAACGCGCAGCTCTGGCCGAGGGCGGCCCAGGTCCTTGGAAGACCTTGCTGCCCTCCGGAGCGCCCCTCACTGCCCGACCGTCCCGCCTGAGGCCCCGGTTCTACTGATAGGGAGCTCCAGCCTGGGGTTTGGCGATAAAGGCCCTTGCCCTGTGCGGACACCAAATGCCTCCAGTTACCCACCCCTCCCCACAGGAAAGGAGTCCTTCCAGGCCCCCTTCGGGCTTGCTTCCTCTCCTCTCCCTCTCCAGAGCGAGGAATTAGGTCTCAGCCCTGGGTGGTATTGACATCATGGTCAGGTTTTGGGGACTCACGCCCGGTCACCTGGGTGCCTTTCCCTAGGCCCCCTCCCAGGCCACCTGAGGCACCAGGACTCTGCGCAGCCCCGGTCTGGGGTGAAGGAAGCACTGCCGGTGGGGAGCAGGGACCGCTGTGTAGGGAACTGTGGCAGAAAGGGCAGAGAATGAGCCGACCCGAGTCCCACAGAGGCCTGGAACGGCGGGCGTTCCACGAGGTGAGGGCCATGGCTGAAGGAAGTCTTACGCCAGGGGGCCAGACATTCCTGGCCTTTGATCTGAGCCCCCCGTACCCACAGCTCCAACCTGCTGCCCCTTCTGGTCGGCGAGCCCTCTCCGCACGCGGCTGCTGCCGGCACAGGGAGCGCGGGGAAATGGCCTCGGGGGCACCAAGGGTCGGGAGAGCCGCCTGGGCTTGTCATGGCTCCTGCTGCGTTCCCAGCCCATTGCTGGACTGGAGGGGGTGGGAGGGGAGGTTGAAAGAGAGGAAGGAAGGGGAGGAAAAGGAGAATCCGAGAGGAGGAGAGAGAGAGAGGGGCTCAGAGATGAGAGAGACGCTGAGACAGAAACCAAGAAAACTGTCGGGGGGAGGCTGAGCCACCGGTGTGAGGAAGAAAGGGGCAGGGGGGAGGCGGAGAGCACCAAGGAGCTGCAAGGCGAAGAAAAATCGTGAACCTGACCAGGAGTGGTGAACCTGGTGGGGGCTGCAGAGATGGGGATCCCTAGAGATGCTCCTCATGGCTGGGCTGATTCTGGGGTGCCCTGTTTCTGATTCACCTGGAAAGAGGGTTACCATTGCCATGAATGCAGAGCCTCAGGACCAAGGCTCTGGCAGTGGAGAGCTTTCCACATACCTCCCTCTTGGATGGAGGCCTGCTAGGTCCTACCTGGAGTCCTGTCCCACCCACAGGGCTCCCAGGTGGCTTTCTGATCAGAGCTGCCTGCTGGAGTCCTGCCCAAGGGCTCGGGAGTTCCAGAGCCCCATGACAGTGGTGCTGAGAGCTGGGGAGGGCTACCTTCCCTGGCCACTCAGACACCACTGTGGATGCAGTATGGTGGGGCGACAGGGCCTGGACTTGATGGCTTCTTGGGGTCATTACTGGGCCTCAAGACTCCACAGGTGCCAACCCTGTGAGGTGGGAGCAAAAGATCCGAGGCTGTCGGTGGGAGTGTGTGTTGGCTGAGATATGCCCAGCCAGCATCCTGGGTGCTGTGGGCAAGAACATCATTCCCTGAGGGGTCATGTGTACCTGAATGCCTCCTCCAGGCAGCCTGGAGAACTCAGACGCAGGTCATGTGCATCAGGCAGGAAACAAGTGGGTTGAAGGGTGGAATCTAGGAGCTGGCCATGTGCGCCTGGGAAGTGACAGAGGAGAGGACTGGAACCTACCAGCGGCCCTGCCAGGCCCCTAGTGAATGGAGGTGTGTGTGGGGATTTCCGCCACTTGAAAGCTCCTCAGACAAGGGGAGCCTGAGTCCCTTCCTTTCCCCCAGGTGTCCTTCCTTCAACACAGGTTTAATTTCCTTCCTCCTGCACCCCTTGCGCTGCCGCGGGTGGAAACGCAGGAATGGTTTCTCTCAGGGGAGGGCGGGCGCCCCTGACCACACATCACAGATAGAAACACCCTCTCTCTAACAGGTACCCCAAGCCCCAGGGTGGTTTCACTTGGTGGAGAAAGGGTTAAATTCACTCCAAGACCAGGAAGGGAGGGCGGGGTGGAGGCATCAGCCGGTGGACCAGGAGGCCATCGCCCTGAAAGGAAGGGTGGTCTCTTGGAAGAGGGCAGAAGAGGCAGCAAGGGCCAGGGACCTGGGGACATGGGGTGGCACGTGGGAAGCACTTTTTGTTGTGTGTGTGAATGTGTGGGACCTTAGACCTGGGAAGGGGACCCCAGTCCCAACCCAACCCCTCTCTCTAGCTGGCTCGGAGGTTCCTTTTGATGTGCACTCCCCCGGGGCTCAGAGTCTGCCGCTGTGTATTCAGTGAGGCTCCACTGGACCCCCTGCGGAGGCACCGTGTAGACAAAGAATCCGGTGGCCAGGCCCCCGCCCGCCCTCATGGGGCTACCCGTCTGTCGCGGGGAAGGAGGAGGAAATCTCCGATCCAGGCACTGTGCCATTCATTTTTGCTTGAAACAGGTCTTGGGGCTGCCAGGCGGGAGTCGGGAGCCGGACCAACCTGGGGGGGTAAAGGGAGAGGCGAAGCCGTTGCAGCGGGGAAGCAGGTGGGGAAGTGCGAAGGGCCGAAGGCCTAACACCACAGGGCTTATGGAGGAACAGTGCAAAGGGAGCACATAGGGGGCTCCAAGGCCTCTGACCTGGAGAGGAGGGCGTTTAACTTTCTCCTAGGAGCTGTAGGAACCGCAGAGCGGTTTTAGGCGAGCTCCCTAGAGGCCACTGGAAGGCTGGACAGCAGAGCCTGGAAGCAGGAAGGCCCTAGCGTGGGTGGTGGGCGCAGGAGTAAATCGGATTTCTTTCCACTGCCCAGCCTAGTTTGCTGGCATAGAGGCTGCATCCTGGAAATGCAGGAAGCCCCTGACCTGCACCGAGTAAGCGCATAGTAGGTAAGCACCAGATGTTAATCTAACACACAAAGGAGCGCAGGTGCACGCGGAGGTCGGCTCAGAGCCCAGCGGCGCGGGCGCGCCCCCTGGCGGCAGTGCTGATAGCAAGGCGGGAGGTCAGCAGGCGAGGAAGGGGTCGCGCCTGGTCCCACTCCGCTCCCTGCGGGCCCGGCATCCTCAATTGTTGCTGGTGAGCAGCCCGGATTTCGGAGGATCTTGGTTAAGCAGGTGCCCTCCTGAGTGAATGCCCTTAATCTACCTCGCAATCCCGGAGCTTAGCTGGGGATAAGGGGTGCATGGCTTCAGGCTCCCCTCTCCTCTCCAGACAGGCGGAGGGCGAGCGGGCCCAGGTGATGCCGGTCCAGGGCGCACTGGGGCACCGCCAGATCCACCCTGCGGATGCCTCCCTCTTCCGCTGACATATGGGAGGCTGCCAGCGGCAGGCGGATGTCACCAGTTCTTCCTGGATCCCGAGATCACAGGGGCCGCTGTGGGCACCTGAGAGGTTCTCCCTGTGGCAGTAGTTCCTCCTGTCTTAGCTCTAGCTCCCCAGGGCATTCAGTTTTATGTATTTATATATATATGTATTTATAATAAATATGTATTTATAATAAATATGTATTTATAATAAATATGTATTTATAATAAATATGTATTTATAATAAATATGTATTATATAATAAACACATATATTATATATTATATATTATATATATTATATTATATATATTTATATATTATATATTATATATTTATATATAATATATTATATATATTTATATATAATATATTATATATTATATATATAGAAAGGTGGAATTTCATTCTTGTTGCCCAGGCTGTAGTGCAATGGCGCGGTCTCGACTCACTGCAACCTCTGCCTCCCAGGTTCAAGCGATTCTCCTGCCTCAGCCTCCCAAGCAGCTGGGATTACATGTGCCCGCCACCACGCCTGACTAATTTTTTGTATTTTTAGTAGAGACAGGGTTTCACCGTGTTGGCCAGGCTGGTCTCGAACTCCTGACCTATATTTTTAAGACAGAGTCTCACTGTGTCGCCCAGGCTGGAGTACAGTGGTGCAGTCTCGGCTCACTGCAACCTCCACCTCCCCATATTCAAGTGGTTCTCCTGCCTCCGCCGCTCAAGTAGCTGGGATTACAAGCATGCACCACCATACCCAGCTAATTTGTGTTTTTTTGGTAGAGACAGGGTTTCGCCATGTTAGCCAAGCTGGTCTTGAACTCCTGACCTCAAATGACCCACCCATCTTGGTCTCCCAAAGTGCTGGGATTACAGGTGCAAGCCACCATGCCTGGCCTCCCCAGAGCATTTTGGAAAGCGATTTGCGGTGAAAGTCCTTTAGAAGGGAGGGAATGGGGTGGGGTGGGGGCACTGGCCGGTTGCCTGTCATCTCTGAGTCCCTGGCTTCGGTTGTGGAGTGGAGATAACACTTTCCACCTTGTAGGGAGCTGTCAGCGTTAAATGAGAATGGTGCTGACGGAATGCCAGACTGCGGATGGTGAATACAAAATATTGGGTTTCCTTCTTCTCTTGAGGCAAGGAGTAAGCCTCTCTCTCAGGTCTCTCTTCCTGCCCCAGTCAGTGTCTGCTAAGCAGTCCCCCTTCAGGCGCCCAGGAGCCTTCTCCAGAAGGATTTATCCGGGATAATGTTGTCTGATGTCCCCTTCCAAGACCCACTTCAAAATATCCACTTCAGAGAGGCCCCTCCAGACCCCTTGCCACTCCCTAGCCCTGTCCTGTCAGGCCTCTTATTCAGCTTTATTTTCCAGCATAGCCCTGACACTGATGTGATTAATATGTGATTACACATATTATTATTTTTTTGAGACGGTGTCTTGCTCTGTCGCTCAGGCTGGCATGCAGTGGTGTGATCTTGGCTCACTGCAGCATCCACCTCCTGGGTTCAAGTGATTCTCTTGTCTCAGCCTCCCAAGTAGCTGAGATTACAGGCGCTCGCCACCATGCCTGGCTAATTTTTGTATTTTTGGTAGAGACAGTGTTTCACCATGTTGGCCAGGCTGGTCTTGAACTCCTGACCTCAGGTGGTACGCCCGCCTTGGCCTCCCAAAGTGCTGGGATTACAGGCGTAAGCCCCCATGCCCGGCTGATTATACATACTACATAGCAGACATATCTGCTCAGTTTCTTGCATATGTTGTCCGTCTCCAACTGTGAAATCTCCACAAAGAAACTCCCTCCACAAGACTGCTGAACCCCCAGTGGTGAGGGATCCAGCACTTAGCAGCCCCTCGAAAACACTGTTGATGATGGGCCCAGAGGAGAGGGAGCAGGCAGGGCCGAGGTCTCAGATAGAAGGGCCACTGACTCAGGTCTGGGCTCCCTGTGGCCCCTCAGGGTCCTCAGTGCCCCTATCTTGAGTGGCCCTGGCCCCTACAACTCCAACCCACCCCAGCTACCCTGCTCTGTCGCTTGGTTCCTGTGTCCCTTTCATAGGACCCTGTGCTGCCTCCAGTGGGATGAGATTAAGGGTGGGCAGCCTGTTGGGAAGTCACTGCCACATGGGGGCATCTGGGGCTTGGTGGCCCCTCGTGCTGCCTCTCCAGCCATGTGCCACACCTCTTTCTCCTTCCCTTTCTTTCTCTTCAGCCTCCCTCTGTGCCCCTTTATTCTGCCATTGCCTCATAACCCTGAGCCCCATCCCTGGACATGGCTGGCCTGCCCAAGGCTTTTGGGGCTCTAACCCAAGGCCAGCTCCTAGCATGGCTGTGATCCTACCTGAGGAGTTAGAGCCAGACCTCTGTGTGTGGCTGCCACGGTTTCTCTCAGTCACCTGGAACTAGAGCTCCTGAGTTTTCCTTCCACTCCCCTGTGTATGGGACATAAGCAGGCAGGGAAGGGGAGGGAGCCCTGGTTGCAACCCAGGAGGGGCTTGGAGCCATCTTTGGTCTCTTCTGTCTCCAACCTTAGTCACGATGGGCCCCCACCTTCCGCCTGGGCTCTGAGGGCGGAAAGTGTCTGTATTTCTCATCGCACACATTGACTGCATGCCT
The DNA here is from genome assembly GCF_000001405.40 of Homo sapiens. NCBI lineage: Eukaryota > Metazoa > Chordata > Mammalia > Primates > Hominidae > Homo > Homo sapiens. The sequence continues at coordinate 46,825,454 of NC_000017.11, forward strand.
GCTGTGGACAAGGCTCCACGAGGAATGGGACTACCCTCAAGGAGTCTGCCTTCTTCCTTATAACCCAGCTCCGGTTGATGCACACAGTAGGTGCTCTGTGAATTTCACCTGGTCCATTTCTTCAACGCATCTTCATGGAGCAACTCTGTGTGCAGCTGCCCCTTGGCAGCTGAGCACTGATGAGCAAAAGCAGCCCAGGTTTTGGCCTGCAAGGAACTTGCCATCTGCTGGGGACAGTCATTCATCAGAGGACCAAATACGTAAATGTTTCCTTAAAAAACAAAACCAGGCCAGGCATGGTGGCTCATGCCTATAATCCCAGCACTTTGGGAGGCCGAGGTGGGCGGATCACCTGAGGTCAGGGGTTTGAAACCAGCCTGGCCAATGTGGCAAAACCCTGTCTCTACTAAAAATACAAAATTAGCTGGGCATGGTGGCGCATGCCTGTAATCCCAGCTACTTGGGAGGCTGAGGCAGGAGAATCACTTGAATCCAGGAGGCGGAGGTTGCGGTGAGCCAAGACCGTGCCACTGCACTCCAGCCTCGGCAACAAGAGCTAAACTGTCTCAAGAAAACAAAACAAAACGAAACAAAACAGAGGTGTGGAAGTTCTCTCCATCTCAGGGGTCTTGCGGGGAAGACTTTTGTGGGGGCACATTAGGGAGATAGAATAGAACAAGCCTGATAATATCCTTGGAGATGGTGAAGAAATTTCTAGTGAAGTCCTGGTTTGCACCTTCCAGAACTCTGCCAACTAACCACCTTCTCCACAGACCAGTATGGCCAGTAGCTGTCATTGCTGGGACCTCAGGGTGGCCAGCTATGGGCCCTGAGTCCTGGGAGCCTAATCACATGGATGGAGGCCCAGTGGGCTGGGAATGGGGTCACAGCTGCCTCACTGGCAAGGGCCTAGGCACAGCTGGCACAGACGTTGGAGGGCCCTTGGGCTAAGCAGGGACATCTGCCTGGCATTTCCCACATCCCAGCAGGACCCACCTCTTATGCACCTTTGTCTTGGCTTCTAGATAAGGCCTGAATGGGGATTCACATGTCTGACTGGGAAATCCTCTCTGAGTGGTTGCGTTAGAGCCCAGGTCTACCACAACCCCAGTGAATCCCAGCTCTGCCTCTTACTATGTGACACTGAGCATATTATCTAACCTCTCTGTACCTGCTTCATCAACTGCAAAATGGGTATAATAACACTTGTCTCAAAAAGACAATTGCCTATTCAGCAGAGTGATAGCTGCTGTGTTTGAAATGGCACCTGGGACATGTAAAATGATCGGTGAGCATCCACTCCCTCCCTCTGTGGCAATCAGCTGCTCTTTTTTTTTTTTTTTTTTTGAGATGAAGTCTCGCTCTATCACCCAGGCTGGAGTGATCTTGTCTCACTGCAACCTGCAACCTCTGCCTCCTGGGTTCAAATGATTCTGCTGCCTCAGTCCTCCTAGCTGGGACTACAGATGCAAGCTACCACGCCTGGATAATTTTTGTAGTTTTAATAGAGATAGAATTTCACCATGTTGGCCAGGCTGGTCTTGAACTCCTGACCTCAAATGATCCACCCACCTCAGCTTCCCAGAGTGTTGGGATTACAGGCATGAGCCACCATGCCCAGCCTCAGCTGCTGTTTTTGAACTTCTGGAAGACAGGCTTCTGTTTAGATTTAGTGTAGCTCACACTGCTGGTGGTCCCTTCCTCCAGGATGGCAGAGGCCCCCAGTTTGTTCTGGTCTTTACTCCTCCCCTACCTTGCTCAGAGGTAAATCCTGACTGATCTAAGTCAATCACGGGGACCCATTCTGCTTGCCAGGGATTGGCCTAAACTGGGTGACATGTGCCTGAGGGAGGTCAGCTGAAGGGTGCAAGAAGGTTTCTGGGAAGAGTTTTTGGGGCTCTTAAAATGACACACAGTAAGAAATATCTTTTCCCTGCTTTTGGACATTGTTGTTTTGGGTTGGGATACCTGGAGCTGCAGCAGCCATTCTGTGACTATGAGGAAAGCTGCCTGAAGATGAAGCTGACCGGCAGAGGAAGACAGAGCCAAGAGAGAGAAACAAACTTCATCTCTGACACCATTGCTGAGACACTAACTGCCTTCAGAGGAGTCCTGCTTTGGAACTTCTTGTGATATGAAATAATACATTTTCCTTGTTCGTTAGCCCACTTGAGGCTGTTACTTGTAGCCAAAGGCCTCCTAACTATCTGTATCCTCCTCACCCATCATGTCTAGTGTAGGGTAGTTGGATTAAATGTGGAGACTGACTTACAAGGTGAGTTGCTTTTACTTAAGGATGGATGAGTGTTAGGATTTCTTTTTCTTTTCTTTTCTCTTTTTTTGAGACAGAAATTTCTTTCTTTTTTTTTTTTTTGAGGCAGAGTCTTGCTCTGTCTCCCAGGCTGGAGTGCAGTGGTGCAATCTCGGCTCACTGCAAGCTCCGCGCCCCAGGTTCACACCATTCCCCTGCCTCAGCCTCCCAAGTAGCTGGGACTACAGGCACCCACCACCACGCCCAGCTGATTTTTTTTTATTTTTAGTAGAGACGGGGTTTCACCATGTTAGCCAGGATGGTCTCGATCCGCTGACCTCATGATCCGCCGACCTCATGATCCGCCCACCTCGGCCTATCCCAAAGTGCTGGAATTACAGGTATGAGCCACCGGGCCTGGCCAACAGAAATTTCTTTTCTTTTCTCTTTTCCTTTCTCTCTGTCTCTCTCTTTTTTTCCTTTGGATTTCTTTTTCTTTTCTCTTTTTTTGAGACAGCGTCTCACTCTGTCACTCAGACTGGAGTGCAGCAGCACAATTTTGGCTCAGTGCGACCTCCATCTCCCAGGATCTAATGATCCTCTCACCTCAGCTTCCCAAGGAGCTGGGACTACAGGCATACACCACCACAACAAGCTAATTTTTTAAAATTTTTGGTAGAGATGGGGTTCCATCATGTTGCCCAGCCAGGGTGGTCTTGAACTCCTGAGCTCAAGCGATCCATCCACCTCAGCCTCCCACAGTGCTGGGATTACAGGCATGAGTCACCACGCCCTGCCAGGGCTTCTTTTTCTTGATTTGAGGGTTTGTCTAGGTGGGGGTGAGGTTGCAACTGGAGCCTGGAGCTGGGAGCCTCATTCTGAGATGACTTGTGGGGAGAAAGGAAACAACAAAAGGGAGGGTGTAGGGTTGAGGTGAGGTTTAAGATGCATCCAGAATGTAGTTCTGCCCAGGTCGGGCACGGTGGCTCATGCCTGTATTTCCAGCACTTTGGGAGGCCAAGGCAGGCAGATTGCTTTGAGCTCAGGAGTTTGAGACCAGACTGGGCAACTTGGTGAAACCCTATCTCTACAAAAAAAAAAAAAAGAATTGCCAGGTGTTGGTGGCTCGTGCCTGTAGTCCCAGCTACTCAGGAGGCTGAGGCTGGAGAATCGCTTGAGCCCAAGAGGCAGAGGTTGCAGTGAGCCACTGCACTCCAACCTGTGTGACAGAGTGAGACCCTGTCTCAAAAACAAAAACAAAACAAACAAACAGAAAGAATGTAGTTCTGCCCAGTGCTGCCTTTGCATTTTCCTAAAGAGGCTGCAACTTGACTGCTGATGGGTTTGAGGTTCATGAAAATGTTTTGGAATTAGTGGTGAAGGTTGCACAACTTTTTCAATATACTGGAAGCTACTGAATTGTGCACTTTAAAATGGTGATTTTTTTATGGTGTGCAAATTATATTTCAATTTTTTTTTTTAGACAGAGTTTCACTCTTGTCACCCAGGCTGGAGTGCAATGGAGCAATCTTGGCTCACTGCAACCTCAGCCTCCCAGATTCAAGTGATTCTCCTGCCTCAGCCTCCCCAGTAGCTGGGACTACAGGCATGTGTCACTATGCCTGGCTCATTTTTTTGTATTTTTAGTAGAGAAAGGGTTTCACCATGTTGGCCAGGCTGGTCTCGAACTCCTGACCTCAGGTGATCTACCCGCCTCAGCCTCCCAAAGTGCTGGGATTACTGTGTAAGGCACCACGCCTGGCCTCAATTTTTTAAAAAGAGAAAAAGCAGCAGCCCAGCCACCTGCCTCCTACAGTCTCCCCTCTGCCCTTCATTCTCAGGTGTCTAGGAGCCATTCTCAGGCTCCCTGAGTGTGTTTCGGGGATGGAGGGGCACAGCCCCACCAGCCATGCCACACAGGAGCACTTCCTAAAGTCTCTGCTGGGAGGGGCTGGTGGAAGCCTTGCCTGGGGACACTGGGACTCACTCTTTCACCTGAGGGGATGGTTATCTCCTAAGGCCTGGTCCTCACTGGCCAAATAGCCTCAGGTTGGGATGGGAGTAGGGGGTGGGGGCAAAGTGATGCTGTGGTGGGGTGGGGGGAGCATGAGTTCTGTGATCAGAAAGAACAAGTTCACATCCTGGCTCCCTGCTGCTGAGCTGTGACTTTGGGCAAGTTATCTAGATCTCTCTGTGGCCGTTTCTTATCTGGCAAATGGGTATACTAATTCCACCCTTGGCAGGGTTAAATGGCATAGTTTACCCAAAAAGCTCAGGGCATCTAGTAGATAACACAGGCTGACTTCCTAAGACCTGTTATTATCATGAGACCAAACATAATGGCAGAATCCTAACCAGGCTGTCTTAGTGATTGAGGACTGTTGGTGACGAGATGTTCCCAGCTCTCTTGCTTTTCTCAGACTGCCCAAAAGCCTTCCTCCCCTCATCCTCATCACCCACCCCTACCTTTGCCTACCATAGCCTCCCCACCCCCACACCCAGCCTTTTGCTATGCACATCAGCAGGTGTGGTAATGTGGGAAATCATATTTCCTTTCTTTTTTTTGAGATGAGGTCTCGCTCTGTCGCCTGGGCTACAGTTCAATGGCACAAACACGGCTTACTGCAGCCTCGACCTCCCGGGCTCAAGCAATCCTCCCACTTCAGCCTCCTGAGTGGCTGAGACCACAGACATGCACCACCGCACCTGCCTAACTTTTTATTATTTTTAGAGATGGTGTCTTCTTCCTACACTGCCCAGGCTGATCTCCAACTCTTGGGCTCAGGAGATCCTCCCCTCTCAAAGGGCTGGGATTACAGGCATGAGCCACCACACCTGGCCAGAAATCATATTTCTGAATCCCAAATCAGAGTACATGGCATAACCAAAATATTTATTCTTTTACTTTATTTTCTTTTTTCTCCAGAATTTAAGAAAATCTGAAATGAAAATCTGAAATGTAGTTTGGTCAAAGGTTGGACTTTTGGGAGCATTTTGATGGCTAGTGGTGACACTTCTCATGGCTAGAGAGGGCCACGGGTGTTCTAGAAGGTGAGGCATGGGTTAAACCACTTTGAATCACACATGGAGAAAGCTCATTTATTCACACCCCCTGTTCCATTCTCCTTCACTCCTTCTGAGTATCCTCAAAGAAAAAGTCTGGTTGGTCCTAATACGACTTCAGCACCTCTCCAACACTTGCTAAGATCCTTTTCTAATAAAGAGAGAAAGTCACACATTCAGAGCCTTTGCAGGGCCATAGTGTCTGGTTAGAATGAAACCTCATTGTTGAAAATGAGTAAATCTAAAATCTTCTTTTCAGTTGACGTTATTAAGAACAATGCAAATCAATGTAAAGAAAAGTGTTCAAAAAATAGCAGAACAGGTATGCATGCAGCTATAGAGTGGGGGTAGCATGGAAATGCCTGGAGTCTGGAAAACACCGGAACATGGGACAACAGAGCTGAGGGCTTGCAGTCAGGGTGCGCTGTAAGTGCCTGACCATACAGTCTGTGTGGTCAGGGCATCTTGGTTGGCCAGAGACCCTGTGGGTGAGCGAGGCTAGAGCTGGCAGAACCCCAGAATTGCACCCGGAAGCCACCTGGCTATGAGCTGAGATTACCCCCAGCATCTGCTCTGCCTCAAGGTACCAGATAGGTGATCTGGGGTGGCCCATCCAGCCTTAAGAGTGGGTTGGATGACAGAGGAGGCCAGCACTAGGCCCCTGTGACTCGGATACTCACGTTGGAGGGAGAGGTGGAGGACGAAGCGTAACTGTCTTCCAGTTGTCCAGAAAGGCTGGGCAAGGTCCTGGGTCACCTTCTCTGTTCTAGGCCCATCAGAGGCTTTCTTCAGGGTCTAGGAGAAGAGGGGGAGGGCCCCAGAGTGGCGGGGTCAAGTTCAGACACCCCTGAGCACTGCTCTGGAGGCAGGCAGGTCAGGCCCAAAAGGTGCGTGGGCCTCAGGGAGCCACTTGTTCCCCTCCGGGTCCCCTCCAGTGAAGAGCCACAGAGGAGGGGACTGGGAAACCAGGGTTCCAGCTTCAGCTTTCTCCTGACTGGCTGTGTGTCCCCGGACAAGGCACTCACCCCCTCTGGGTCTCAGTGTCCCTGCAGGTTGAAACTGCCAAATGAAGAGTTCTTTGGGTCCTGTATGCATTGAGTGAATGCTCTGCTTCCCCGTGATCCCTGAGGCCAACACCCTTTGTGTTCCTGTGCCCTTTCAGGGCAGACCAGGACACTGTGCCAGAGCTGGCTGCAGGCCTCTGGCTAGAGCTACCCCAGCCTTCAGCAGAGGCTTGTCCTCCTAGGTGAAGGGTTGTCCATGCCCAGCCTCGTGAGGCCCGCGTGGTTTTGGGCAGTGCCCAGTGGCACTATTGGCAGGCTCCAGGCACTAAAGGAAGAGACCGAGACCCTGAAAGGTGGGGGAGGAAGACAGAGAAGGAAGAGGTGCCTGCAGAGGGGGTGCTGGTGGCTGCCCCTCACAAACGTGCCAAAGGTTGCCAACTTGAGTTTAAGCCTTGGTTCCAGAACACAAAGCCTCCTCTCTGGGGGCCTTGACCCCTCGGAGCCCCCACCCCGGGCCGGCTGAGCTGCCCGGAGGGAACTAGCCCCAGAAGGGCCTGGTTGTTGGCTGCGAAGTGGCTGGGAGGGAAGTTTTAATGATACACAACACAAGACACAGGGGGGAAAAGAGAGAGGGGGGTGGTGGAGGAGAGAAGGGAGGTTGGGGGGAGAAAGAAAGACCTCCTGCCAGGCCTGTTGCCAGGAAACGGCCAGGCAGCCAGAATCAGCCCTGCTCTTTTCACAGTTGGCTTTAAGCACCGAGAGAAAGCCCGGGCCATAAAGGGGGACATGTGTTGCTGGGTGTGTAAGGCTAGCCTCTGCAGTTAGGGGAGCCCCTGCCCCCGCCCCTGCCGCTGCACCGAGAGCCCCTTGAGCCCCCAGCCCTGCCTCCACGCCTGGGGATTATGGATGAACGATTGAGCTGCCGAGCAATGGAAAAGGCAGGGGTGGCCCTGGCCTTCCAATGTCGCAGCCACTTTGGGGGTGAAACTCACCAGTTGGGTCCCCAGGAAGCTGGCAGGGGCTGGCAGGGCAGGGAGATCTGGGATTCCAACATGGCACGTCCACAGAAAAGTATTCCTATTGGCTCTGCGTGGTCCATCCAGGTTAGGGGGGTGAGGTGTCTGGACTTCTAGGAATCCTCAACAGGGCACTCAGAAGGGAGCTGACAAGTCCCAGAAACCTGCATTCTGGCTCCTGGTTCTTGTCACGGATGCCATGGTGGGAACAGGCCCCTTTAGGCTGTGCCTTGGCACTTGGGGACTGTCCCTGCAGCGCAGTGACTGCTGTGTCCCTGAAGAGTCCACCACACAGCCAGGAAAGAGCAAAAAGAGGGGGAGGGTTGTTGACAAAACGAGCTCATGGCCCTGGCTGCCAATCCAGAGTGATGTCAGCTGAGGAGTGACATGGTGCTCTCAGCACAGAGGACGTCAGCAAACCGGGAAGCAGCATGTGCGTGGAAGCTGGGCCTGAGCCCTGACGCTTCAGCTGAGCTCCCTGGGTGATGGCTCCTTCCACAAGTTCTAACGTCCCACTGAAAGCAAGCTGCAATTTCTGTTGCTTCTTGTATCAATTGCATGAAAGGACGGGCAGTTTCTTTTGATCCTCTGGCATGCCAAGGCCTGAATGCCAGTCCTGGGAGCCTTACCAGCCCTCTAAGAAGAATCAGAAGGTGAGTGTTAGGGAGGAAGGGACAGCCAACCCACCCCGACTCCCCATCTGGTCACCTCACTGCCTGACTTCTCTCTGAGCTTTCCGAGACACTGCTGGAGGCCGACCTGAGCTCAAACTCAAACCCCAGTCTCCTGCTCAGTGTGGTGGGCAGCCCTGCTTCCCTGGCTCATGGAGTGAGTGAGGGTGTGTGTGAGTCAGTTCTAACAAAATCAAGAAATCACTGTATCTTCCAAGAAAGCTTTGACTCAGTGCATGTGTGCACTGAGCTGTTTCCCACGTGAGTGAGCGTCCTGGAAAACAGGCCTGCCCGGGGAAGAAGTGAGCCAGTCTGCCTGCTAGAAACTGCTGGGGGCTCCTGATCGGGAGGCTTGCTTTTCCTTCAACTTCCTTCGCCTCTTTTTCTGGCTGGAGTGTGTGGTTCTGCTAGTTCTGGAGTCTTTCCTGTCCCCATTCTGGACCATGTCCCATCCCAGGTATCAAGAATGGCTCATACCTGTAATCCCAGCATCTTGGGAGTCTGAGGCAGGAGGATCACTTGAGGCCAAGAGTTTGAGACCAACCTGGGCAACATAGTGAGACCCTGTCTCTGCAAAAATTTAAAACTAAGTCAGGTGTGGTGGCATGTGTTTGCAGTCTCAGCTACTCGGGAGGCTGAGGGGAGAGGATTGCTTGAGCCCAGGCATTTGAGGTTGCAGTGAGCTAGGATGGCACCACTACACTCCAGCCTGGTCGATGGAGTGAGACCCTGTTTCAAAAAATAAAAAAAGAAAATGTCTTACTTCCAGAGGGGCTGAATCTCCATGAGGTGGTAACCAAAACGACGGATTTGCCAACTCTCAGGGGGAAGTGGTGTCCTGGGCAGTGGCTGGAGAAGCAGGTGGTGCCTGGGTCTGATCGCAGGAGGGAGGCCTTCTGGGTTCTGCCTCTGGGAGAGGGCAGGCTGCTGGGGAGGGCGCGCATTAGGAGATGGAGAGTTAGGCCACCAAGGAGCCCACTAGGGCACCTGGCAAGTTCTGCTAGGCCTGCCGAGGCATGGCTGGGCTTTACAACAGGGGGTACGGAGCTCCTTGAGTGGAAAGCTCCTCTCGCTGGCTTGCCCCTGATTTCATCTCAAGAACGGTCAACTCTAGCAAGCAAATATACCTCCTGGGCTGTAGGTAGGGGCTCAGCCCTGTCCCTGAGGCTGGGCACAGGCTTGGTCCTTCTCGCCTGCCTCCTCCCCTTCCCTGTCCTCTGTCACACCCCTCCCCCATGCAGAGGAGCCAGTTTTAACCTGGAAGGTTCCCTCTGCCCTCTCACAACTCAGCACCCCTGTTATTCCTTCAGAACCCCTGGCCAGCTCCTCAAGGGCTTCCCCCACGCTAATATACTCTTAGAGTCTGTGGCTTCTGTTTCTCTAGCTTGTTCAGGGAAGAGTCTCTGGAGGCCCACCTTACCCCCAGAAGCATTCCAAAAAATGGCCATTGAGCTCACCTGTCAGTGTTCCTCCCCCAGGCAGCATCAAACTCCCTAGATTGGCCCTCAGTCTCTCTTCTTCTTCTCCTTCTCCTTCTCCTTCTTCTTCTTTCTGGAGACAGGATCTCGCTCTGTTGTCCAGGCTGCAGCGCAGTAGTGCGATCAGTGCTCACTGTAGCCTCCATCTCCTGGGGTCAAGTGATCCTCCCACCTCAGCCTCCTGAGTAGCTGGCACTACAGGAACACACCACCACACCTGGCTAATTTTTTTTTATTTTTAGTAGACAGATGAGGTCTTGCCATGTTGTCCCTTATTCTTTTTTTTCTTTTTTGAGACAGAGTCTCACTCTGTTGCCTAGGTTTGAGTGCAGTGGCACAATCCCGGCTCACTGCAAGCTCCGCCTCCCGGGTTCACGCCATTCTCCTGCCTCAGCCTCCCGAGTAGCTGGGACTACAGGCACCCGCCACCACGCCCAGCTAATTTTTAATATTTTTATTAGAGACAGGGTTTCACCGTGTTAGCCAGGATGGTATCGATCTCCTGACCTCGTGATCCACCCACCTCGGCCTCTCAAAGTGCTGGGATTACAGGCATGAGCCACCACGCCCAGCCCAGTCTCCCTTATTCTTAATGAGGTGACCATGAGTTAATCTCTTAGGTCCACCCTCACCTCCTCCAGGAAGCCTCCCTGACTTACCCCTCCTCCTTTGTGCCTTCTAGCTTCTCATCAGTGTAGTCATTCCTGACCTACAGTGGCCCTCAGCAGTTGCCAAGATTTGTCCCCAAAGCTCAGGGCTGGTGGTCAGGTGGGTTAGGGATGAGTTGTTAAGGGTTGGGAGAATACATCTCCTAATGCAATGAGGAACAGATCCAGCTGGGTTGGAGGGAAGGGAGGAGGGCCTGCGCCCCCTCAGCCCCCTTCACTCCCCACCTCTGCACCCCTGCCTAGCTTCTTAACCAGGAAGTTGAGCTACCTTCACTAAAGAAGAGTGGAGACAGGAGACCCGGCCCTTCTCTCTGGGACAGGACTCTCCTGGTGGGGCTCCTCAGAGGTGAGATCCTGCCTCTGGGCCCCTGGGAGACCCTGGACCTTAAAGTTATTGTGCCCACACATTCTGGATGGGGCCTGCGAGGATGGTCAGGGTCATAGTGCCACCTGCTGGGGCTCCCAGGAACAGCAGCTGGAGAGACGCTGACGTGTGTGTGTGTGTGTGTGTGTGTGTGTGTGTGTGTGTGTCTCGGTTGTGGTGGTGGCGGGGCAATTAATAACACCTCACCACAGATCTTAAAATTCGCCTGATATTGAACCCTTACCCCCTTTCCAAGGAAGCAGCCAAAAGAGTGCGGAGGAAGTGATATTGGAATTCAACTGGGGCTCCCAGGGAAATCCAGGGCTGCAGGGACATAATTGCATTCCTTGGAACTGCTGTTTTTTGAACTTCATTCATGAAGCCTGGTTTCTAGGGATGCTTTCTCTTTTCATGGACCCAGAAGGAAAGTGGAGATGGTTCTTCATGCTTCTATGTGAAATGGGGTTTCAAGGGCAAAAAACAAGTAAGCACTTTGAATATCTTTGTGTTTTTTTACACTGATAAGAGGAAGAAAAGTATGTCACATTGTAAATGTCGATGATTAGAAACAGTCCAAGGTGATCATTGTAATGTCAATTTCTGAAGCAGTTGGGAGAAATAAGTAGGATAATGAAATGAATCAGCACAGTGCCTCTCACTTGCTAAATATGCCGCATGTTGGGAAATTCATTGATAAAATGAAACCCACTGTGGAGAAAGTGACTGGCCTTCCTGGCAAGCCAGGCTGGAGGTGAGCAGGGTTGGCCAGGGTCATGGGGTGATGTCTTGGTTGGAAGCCACCAGGTGACCTGTGTCCTGTTGACACACAAGTATGCTGCTTAGTAACTCCCTGGAATTATTTTTAAAAAGCTAGATGTGTGAATAAAGAATTTGGGGGATTACAATTTTGGTTTGTAAATGAACCCTTTGCTTTAGGAAGAACTCAGCATAGGACCCTTGCAAGTATTTCTTTTTCTTTTTTTCTTTTTTTTGAGACAGAGTCTCGCTCTGTCGCCCAGGCTGTAGTGCAGTGGCGTGATCTCGGCTCACTGCAACCTCCACCTCCCAGGTTCAAGCAATTCTCCTGCCTCAGCCTCCCAAGTAGCTAGGACTACAGGCACTCGCCACCATGCTAGGCTAATTTTTGTATTTTTAGTAGAGATGGGGTTTCACCATGTTGGCCAGGCTGGTCTTGATCTCTTGACCTCGTGATCTGCCCGCCGCGGCCCCCCAAAGTGCTGGGATTACAGGCGTGAGCCACCGTGCCTGGCTGAACCTTGCAAGTATTTCACATGATATTTGTTTTGCCCCCTTCATCCCTTTACTTATGTAACCAAACTCCACCTGCAGTGACAAGGCTGGCCTGATAACCTACTCATGGAGCCAAATGCAGATGCTTCTTAGGCAGAATTTGGAGTATAAATGGGAGAATATTTGGGGGACTGGAGGGTGGGACTGATGTTGGGGAATCAGCAAGCACCAGGCCACCATCTTGCTGTATGACATTTGTTTCCCCATCGAATCCTCACTAGAACCCCATGCAAGAGCTGCCGCTGCCACCCTCGTTTTACAAATAAGGGACTTGTGGCCCAGGGAGGCTGTGTGACCTGTCCGAGGTCATAGTCCTAATAAACGCTAGAGGTGGGATGTGAACCCAGAGAGTCTGGGGTGACTCCAAAGGACTGAGGCTGGGAACACAGGAAGGTGGTGATGCCCCTGCTGGGAATGTGCCTGGGGGAAGGTTTGGAGGGATGGCTCATGGTCAGTGGGATTTAGTTTCCCACTCACCAGGCAGAGGACTGACCTGGTATATGCCTTCAGGGCTGATATGCACAATTGTGCATGTTGTGCACTGCAAAAGGTTACACCACATATGAGGACACTGTGCACATCACGGCCATATTTGCAGTGATTGTTTTCTGACAGTTGGGAAAAAAGTGCCTGGAGGAGGAGGGACCTCTTTCTAAATCACTCAGAGGGGCTTCATGGGTGGGTGGCGTTTTCCACGTGTACATCACCGTCTTTCTCCACCCAAGGGAGTGAGCAGGTACTGGGACAACTTTAGGCCATTGCTCCAACCCCTGTGTTGAGGGGGTGGAGGAACCTTTTGCATTTTCTGCCCCCTCTTCACTTCTCCCAGAAGTCATGGGAGGGGCAACAGACAGCAAAAGCCTTCTCTGTGTCACTGGCCCTACTGTTTTCTCTCTGAGACATCTGGCTGAAAATTCAGGCTCTTGCCATCCCTGTGGAAACAGGATCACATAATTGGTGGTAAGGTGGGGAGGGAAGGAAGGAGAAGTGAGGAACAGCCGAGTGGGTCAGTGGATCAGAAGAGATAGAACGGGGCCTGCCTTAAAAAAAAAAAAAAAAATCACAGGCCAGGTGTGGTGGCTTATGCTTGTAATCCCAACTTTTTGGAAGGCCAAGGCAGGAGGATCACCTGAACCCAGGAGTTCAAGACCAGCCTGGGCAACATACTGAGACCCCATTTCTACAAAAAATGAAAAAATTAGCTGGGCATGGTGGTATTCGCCCATAATCCTAGCTTCTCAGGAGGCTAAGGCAGGAGGATCGCTTGAGCCTGGGAGGTCAAGGCTGCAGTGAGCCATGATGGCGCCACTGCACTCCAGCCTGGGCGACAGAGCGAGACCCTGTCTCAAAATAAATTAATTAATTTTAAAAATTAAAAATAAAATTTAAAAAGTACATATACACACACATCCACGTATATGTAAAATGTCATAGATAATTTGGGTTGTTTTAATAAGCATATATCAGCCTTCAAGCAGATGCAGTCCATAAAAATCCGGGTTTACAAAAACAGATAATTTGGCATAGAGGCCTGTGCACAGAGAGGGGATTACTCACCATATAAAATGGTTTCCAGGGGCTTGTTTTCTTTTCTAAAGAATTTTGTTTTGTTTTCTGAGACGGAGTCGCACTCTGTCGCCCAGGCTGGAGTGAAGTGGAGTGATCTTGGCTCACTGCAACCTCTTCCTCCCGGGTTCAAGCCATTCTCCTGCCTCAGCCTCCTGAATAGCTGGGATTACAGGCGCCCGCCACCATGCCCAGCTAATTTTTGTATTTTTAGTAGAGACAGACTTTCACCATGTTGGCCAAGCTGGTCTCGAACTCCTGACCTCAGGAGTTCCGCCCGCCTCGGCCTCCCAAAGTACTGGGATTACAGGCGTGAGCCACCGCACCTGGCCTCTAAAGAATTTTAAGTGAATTTCCAAGAGTTTCAAAGATGATTGTTATGTTTATGGAATGCTTATTCTATTAGCTCTGAACTCATGCTAATATGTTTGTGGCCATGCGACCCAGCATACACTCTGTCCTTGTGGCCACTGCCAATGGGACCAGCTGTGGGTACCTGACCCTTGGCACTCTTAGCCCCTGGCGGGTCCAGGCAGCACTGGCGTGGTGTCCACTTTTTTCTCAGACACTTGCATCAGGTTGTATGGTAGCTGCCACTGGGCCCCAAAGCTGTATGGCTGTGGCACAACGCAGGCGTCAAGGCAGCCATGACTGCCATGCACAGGCTGTAAATTCTTTATATATATATATATGTTTTTTTATTATACTTTAAGTTCTAGGGTACATGTGCACAATGTGCAGGTTTGTTACATAGGTATACATGTGCCATGTTGATGTGCTGCACCTATCAACTCATCATTTACACTAGGCATTTCTCCCAATGCTCTCCCTCCCCCAGTCCCCCCCGCCAAGAGGCCCCAGTGTGTGATGTTCCCTGCCCTGTGTCCATGTGTTCTGATTGTTCAGTTCCCACCTATGAGAACATGCAGTGTTTGGTTTTCTATCCTTGTGATAGTTTGCTGAGAATGATGGTTTCCAGCTTCATCCGTGTCCCTGCAAAGGACATGAACTCATCCTTTTTCATGGCTGCATAGTAGTCCATGGTGTATATGTGCCACATTTTCTCTTTTCTTTCTTTCTTTCTTTCTTTCTTTCTTTCTTTCTTTCTTTCTTTCTTTCTTTCTTTCTTTCTCTTCTTTCTTTCTTTTTTCTTTCTTCTTTCTTTCTTTCTTTCTTTCTTTCTTTCTTTTCTTTCTTTCTTTCTCTCTCTCTCTTTCCTTTCTTTCCTTCCTTCATTCCTTCTTTCTTTCTTTCTTTTTGAGATGGAGTCTCACTCTGTCTCTCAGGCTGGAGTGCAGTGGTGTGATCTCGGCTCACTGCAAGCTCCGCCTCCTGGATTCATGCCATTCTCCTGCCTTAGCCTCCCGAGTAGCTGGTACTACAGGTGCCCGACACCACGCCCGGCTAATTTTTTATATTTTTAGTAGAGACGGGGTTTCACCGTGTTAGCCAGGATGGTCTCGATCTCCTGACCTCATGATCCACCCGCCTCGGCCTCCCAAAGTGCTGGGATTACAGGCGCGAGCCACGGTGCCCAGCCCATTTTCTTAATCCAGTCTATCATTGATGGACATCTGGGTTGGTTCCAAGTCTTTGCTATTGTGAATAGCACCACAATAAACATATGTGTGCATGTGTCTTTATAGTAGCATGATTTATAATCCTTTGTGTACATACCCAGTAATGGGATCCCTGGGTCAAATGATATTGCTAGTTCTAGATCCTTGAGGAATTGCCATACTGTCTAATTGAACTAATTTACACTCCCACCAACAGTGTAAAAGTGTTCCTGTTTCTCCACATCCTTTCCTGCATCTGTTGTTTCCTGACTTTTTAATGGTCGCCATTCTAACTGGCGTGAGATGGTATCTCATTGTGGTTTTGATTTGCATTTCTCTGATGACCAGTGATGATGAGCATTTTTTCATGTGTCTGTTGGCTGCATAAATGTCTTCTTTTGAGAAGTGTCTGTTCATATCCTTTGCCCATTTTTTGATGGGGTTGTTTTTTCTTGTAAATTTGTTTAAGTTCTTTGTAGATTCTGGATATTAGCCCTTTGCAGGCTGTAAATTCTAAGCAGCAGGAAGTAGGTGTGAGTAGAAGTGGAGGCAGAAAGCAGCCGGTTCTGTTTCCAACTGCATTCTCCTTTCCTGTGCCCCTGTGTCATCACCATGGAACGCCTTTCCCGATGCTACTTCCAACAGGAGGCAGAGGGTGGGAGAATTCAGGTTGGAAGGCTTATCCCTAGGAAAGAGGGTGCCGACAGACAAGGCTCCTTGGAAGCCTGACAAATCAAATTTACCATTTATTGAGCACCTACTATGTGACAGGAACATGACACGCATGATTTCATTTAATCTTCACAACCAGCCCAAAGAGCAGCTTTCTCCCTATTTACAGTCGGAGAAACGGAGGCTCTGAGAGATTGTAAGGGACTTGCCCACGGTCACCCAGCTAGGAAGGAAAGCCAGAAGGCCAGCCTAGGTATCCTGGCGGTCCTGGATCAGAGACACTGCTGTGAGGCTTCCCGGTGGGAAGAAGGAAAGTCATGCATCGATATTCATCACCGAGTGAGAGTGAGAGTTCAGCCCTGTCCCAGGCACCTCTGGGCGGGAGGGTGGAGAATCCGAAAGAAAGAGGCCCGTCCCTGGTCCTCAAGGTCGTGCCAACAGGCCAACTAAGCCATGTCCCAAATTGAGAGCGGGTTAAGGTGGGGGCGTGGGGACGCCCTGACGCAACAGGGCTTCGGAGAAGGGAGCGCTGGGGGCTGCAATGCCAGAGGATTCCTTGAGGAGAAGGGGCTGGTGGGGCGGGTAGGGGCTGGCCGGGAGCAGGACCGGGAGGAACTGGACCCTCTGGACTGGGGAGTGCGGGGTAGATGAAGGCAGAGGAGATGGAGGTTCTGCAGTGTGAGGCAGGCGGACAGGGAAGCCTGCATCCAGCTGAGAGACCTTGAGCAACCACGTCCTCCTCTGAGCTCCGCGTTTGCCGTGTGCAAAGTGAAGGGGTAGGCCGACCCCGCAGGGCCCTTCTTGCGCTCCTCTGCGGTGTGTGGGGGGGTCTCTGGTCCGCGAGAGGACAGTCCCTGCCGCGCCGAGCGTCCTCCAGCGTCCGCGGCCGCCGCGAGCAGCGCTGACCGGCAGGGGGCGCTCCTGCAGAAGGCTGGCCGCGGTGGCGCCCTCGGCGGGGCCTGGGCTGGCCTGGGGACCCGGGAGGCCTCCCCCTCCATCCCTCCAGGTCCTCTCCCACCACTTGCCTTCTCACACCGCCCCTTCCCACTCTATGCTCTGGGATTAAAGGCTTGGGAAGTTGCTGGTATTTAGGTCCTTGGGCAGGCCACTTCGCCTCTCTGTGCCTCAGTTTCTTCAGGCGCAAACTGGGTTGTGTGAGGAAGAGATGAGTTATTGGTCAGGAGAGCCTTCCAGCCACAGGTGAGGTAGATATGCCGCTGCTGCACACCCCAATATCATTCCTAGGGCAGGGGCTGCTGCTCTACAACCTCAGGGTTACAGTTAGCTTTAAATCTTTATTTATTTGGTTGTTTTTTCAGACAGGGTCTCCCTCTGTCGCCCAGGCTGGAGTGCAGTGGCGCGATCACGGCTCACTGCAGCCTCAAACTCCTGGGTTCAAACCATCCTCCTGCCTCAGCCTCCCGAGTAGCTCGAACCACAGGTGCATACCACCATGCCCAGCTATTAATTTTTTTTGTAGAGATGGGATCTTGCTTTGGTGCCCAGAGCTGGTCTCGAACTCCTGGGCTCAAGTGATCCTCCCATCTCAGTCTCCCAAAGTGCTGGGATTACAGGCATGAGCCACCGTACCCTGCTTTAAACTTTTATTCAAAGTCCTTTTGTGCAAAGATAGAAATAATTCCTGGATCCTACAGAGTGCCTGGCATGATGAGTGATGCTCAAAACGTAGCTGTGGAATGATTAGTTTTTTGAAACCATCCAGACAGAAGCTATGAGAAAATCAGACAGTGCACCTCTTCTGAATCACACTGGAAGATGTCCACATTCATCTTCACATTTCTCACCACTGTTCTGTGAGGAAGGTGGACAGGGAGTGTTGTATCCATTTTATGGATGAAGAAACCGAGGTCGCAGAGGAAGCCAGAGACAAGATTTTAAGTTAGGACCCAGGGTTCTCTCCATGCAACCTCAGGTAAATTATCCTGTTGTTGCTAGTGACTCCTATTGGAGACATGTGGTATTGCAACCAGGCCACATTAGACACTGAAGGCACCTCATGAGGAAGAAGGTGGGCACATCCTGGGTGCCAAGCCCAGAGAGGGAGAAACTAGGGTAGATATTAATATCGGAGCTGGGGGAATGAAAATGATATTTCAGAATCAACAACAGATTGGAAAGGCTTAACTAGTTTAAAACACATTCCCTATTCTTAAGTCCCCAACACTTTTTCAACCTCCTCTCACTCCAAAGTAGAACTTAATGTAGCAAAGGTATGCTTTGTAGGGTGAACCCTTATAATTATAATGACAACCAGTGGGAAAACTTGGTTTCCTTTCAAACGTTTGTGTGACTAATTAGGAGGGACTATTCCATTCGTTAAAGTGAAGAAAGAAGGACTGAAAAAAAAAATCACTCTGCAAAATCCAGCTCAAACATTGCTGCATCTCAGTTGCCATTGTCTTAGCTACCTCTTCCCTGGAACAATGAATTGATTGTCTTCTTTCCTGGGTTCCTGCCTCATTTGGTACTTTCTTCTCTTTACTGCTGCACAGTCGTTAAATATGTGTCTTTGGTGCCAGCTCCCTGGGTTCTAATCCCGGTTCTAAGCTTACTAGCTGGCCAGTTACTTGACTTCTCTGTGCCCATTTCCTCATTTGTAAAATGCTGTGAGCATTAAATGGGTTAACAGTTTTATAGGACTTAGAACAATACCTGGTGTAATGTAAGTGCTCAATAACTAGTTTACACTTATATAGATATGTCAGAATGCTCTCTGTATTTATTTATGTGTCTTTCCCAACAAACTGTGTGCTCCTCAAGGACAAGAACTGACTTCATCATCTCCTATTCCAGGGTTTAGCACCAGATGCTTATTCAAAGTATGTTAAACTGAATATTATGTATTCATACTTTATTATTATTTTTTCTAAGACAAGGTTCTTGCTCTGTTGCAGTTCTTGCTCTGGAGTGCAGTGGTGGCATCATGGCTCATTGCAGTTGCAACTTCCCATGCTCAAGAAATCCTCCCATCTCAGCCTCCAGGGTAGCTGGGACTACAGGCATGTGCCACAATGCCTGGCTAATTTTTTTTTTCTTTTTTGTATTAGCAGGGTCTCACTGTGTTGCTGAGGCTGGTCTTGAACTCCTGGCCTCAAGCAATCCTCCTGCCTCAGTCTCCCAGAATGCTAGGATTATAGGCATGAGCCACTGTATCCAGCCTATACTTTATATAAAGTAGAAAATATGCAGTGAGGTGGAGTTAGCCACCTTTTTTTTTTTTTTTTTTTTGATAAGTTAAGCCTCAGCTTACTGCTTCCCAGAGATAAACCAAGGTTCGAGTCTCTCCTTTGTTTAAAGAAAAACATCTGGCTGGGCCACTGCAGTCCTACCATGAGTTCAGGAAAACGTGCTATGGTCCAACTGTCTACCAGTCAGGACACAGTTAATGAGCACTTCCTGTAAACTTATTTGTACCTGCAGTTCTGATAATATGACCTGGAGGAAATGGTGTGGTGGTGGCCGATTTCTAAAACTAACTGCAAAGGATTGCATTCCTCTAGGCACCTATGAACTTCAAGATGGGACCCCTTTCCTCTCGTCCTTCTTTTTAGAGAGTTTAGAGAGCAAGAACTTACTCAGATGAAAACAAACTAAAAGATGTTGAGAATGCCTCTGTGCAGACCCAAATCTATAGGATGTTATTTATAGTAAATTATGGCATATTTTTAAACTTCTAGTCCCTAAGAAAGTTGTTTTCTTGCCTCCCTCCTTCCCTTCCTTCCTTCCTTCCTTCCTCTTTCTTCTTTCTTTCTTTTTTATTTTTTGGAGATGGAGTTTTGCTCTTGTTGCCCCAGGGCTGGAGTGCAATGGTGGGATCTCTGCTCACTGCAACCTCCGCCTCCCAGCTGCAAGCAACTCTCCTGCCTCAGCCTTCTAAGTAGCTGGGACTACCGGCATGCACCACCACACCTGGCTAATTTTTTGTATTTTTAGTAGAGATGGGGTTTCACCATGTTGACCAGTCTGGTCTGGAACTCCTGACCTCAGGTGATCCACTCGCCTCGGCCTCCCAAAGTGCTTGGATTACAGGCGTAAGCCACAGTGCCTGGTCTCCTTCCTCCTTCTTTTGAGCAGTATCCATAGCTATGTCCTGTGTGGAATGCCTTTCTGTTGTAAAACACCCCAACGTAGAGTCTTTCACTAGTGCTTTGCCCATAGGGGACTTCACGGTGGTTGAAGACAGAATGCCCTGCTGCTCCGTGCCACCTGCCCAGCCATCTCCTAGTCTCTAGGTCAGCTCACTGTATTCTATGCTCCTGGAAGTGGTAACCAGGGCTGGGGTGGGGGTTATATTCACGGTGAGCCCAGTGCCCAAACAGAGCTTGGACATATATGTCACCTGACATACATGAGTCGACTTACAGGGACAATGGAGTGAGTTATCTGAATTTTTTTTTTTTTTTTTTTTTTGAGACAGAGTCTTGCTCTGTCACCCTGGCCAGAGTGCAGTGGCACAATCTCGGCTCACTGCAACCTCTGCCTCCTGGGTTCAAACGATTTTCCTGCCTTGGCCTCCCGAGTAGCTGGGGACTACAGGTGCCCGCCACCACACCTGGCTAACTTTTGTATTTTTAGTAGAGATGGGTTTCACCATCTTGGCCAGGCTGCTCTCAAACTCCTGACCTTGTGATCCAACCACCTCGGCCTCCCAAAGTGCAGGGATTACACGTGTGAGCCACTGTGCTGGCTTTTTTTTTTTTTTTTTTTTTTTGAGATCAAATCTCGTTCTGTCCTCCAGGCTAGAGTGCAGTGGTGTGGTCTCCTTTCACTGCAAACTCCGCCTCCTGAGTTCAAGCGATTCTCCTGCTTCAGCCATCTGAGTAGCTGGGATTACAGGCACCTGCCACCAGGCCCAGCTAATTTTTGTATTTTCAGCAGAGATGGGGTTTTGCCATGTTGGCCAGGGTGGTCTTGAACTCCTGATCTCAGGTGCTCCACCCACTTCAGCCTCCCAAAGTTCTGGGATTATAGGTGTGAACCACCGTGCCCGGCCATGTTATCTGAAATTGAGAGTTCTCCTCCAGGTCACTACTTACTTACCTATAACTACTAGACAGAACTGGACTGCTCAAAGCACTCCTGCTAGTTTCAACCGTTTCAGTACAGATGGCTCATCCTGTCTCTCATGAACATTATAAAATCAGAGGCAGGGTTTGTAGCCATCAATAAGTCAGGTCTGACCTTCCACAGTCCAATGTTTATTCATTCAGTTATTCATTCATTAATTCAGTTATTTAACAATGTTTTTACTGTGGGCTGAAACTCAGTACCACTATGGGAGGAAGTGTGGGATAGAAAAGAAACAGGGGACAGGGTCTCAGATCTTGAGGTGTCTGCAGTCTACACATAGCAGGGATGCCTAATCTCCCAAACTCAAGGACAGTGTATATCAACATAGGCACTGGCACAAAGTACAGTTGTGCCAATAAAGGTTGTAGAACCAATGTGGTGAGTGAGCAGAGGCAGGAATTGTCAGTCAAGGTGGGGTTCCAGCTGCCCTTGGCCACAGAAGCATGGCTGGGTGGGGGGCCACCAAAGGGCTGCTTCTCTGCATTCAGCCTGCCTTGGCTGAACTCAAAGATGCTGCTGGATAAAGGGCTGGAGAATGGCCTTGAATAGGCAAGGGGCAAGAGAAGGTGGGTCCCACACCGTCCTCACAACACAATTCAAAGAGTTCTGTGAGGAAGAAGAGGGAGGGAGGGAGGAACAGAAGTGAGAAGGCCTCGAACTGGAAGTGCCATGGGGAGTGGTGAGCTCTGCCAGCTCTGGAGTGAGCTTCCCAAGATAGGACAGGGGCCCTTCCCGCAGAAGGACAGATGAGTGAAGGTCACAGAGGACTCCAGTCCAGAAATACTGCCCTGCCCCTCCCAAATACCTTTCCTGCAAATGCTTAAAGTTCCACCATTGGAGATGTATTGTTATGTATTTTTCTCCTCCCCACTTTCAGTAATTTTTTTCATTATAAATGTCAAACATTCTTGTCATAGAAAACTAGGAAAATGCAAGGAAGATAAAAACATTTCTTACCCCACACTCCCAACCTCCAAGGCAGCCCCTATTAACATTTTGGTGTCCTTCTCTGCCCCCTTTTTTGTCATTTTCAGGCATGGCTGTGAGTTCCCTGGAGGGGATTCTGAAGCCCACTTTCCCCACTTAGCTTCAGTCCTATTTCAGTCTGGTGTTCCAGAAAAATCAAGTCTTCCATCCCCGAGAGCCAGTGAGTTCTATGACCTTGAGGAAGTCATTCATCTTTCTGGACTTTAGTGCCCTCATCTGTATAATGGGGACAATCATGGCCCACATGCTACCTCACAGTGCTCCAGAGTCAATGCTAGTGCAATGTTGCAAGGGCATTGCCAATACAGTTCAAGTATGTGGGGCTAGGACTGATGGGAGTGGTCAGGACTCAGCCAGTCATCATAAGGCTATGACAAGAAGGCCAGGTCACCTGGAGGATGGGGAAGGACAGGGAGAGGGACAGGTGAGCCCACACCCACACCAGTCCTGTCCAGGCTCCCCAGGACCAGCCCTCCTGGGCAGCTGTGTGTCAGGTCAGCATGGGCACCTTCCCTCGGAGCTGCTGGGGCATCATCTGTTCCACTTCCTGTTGGGTCCAGAGTTCATTTCCAGTGCAGTTTGAGGGAGATTAGAGGAGAGAGCCAGCCTGGGAAGCCGCATTTCCACTTGGGAGGCACAGGAGATATGGAGCCAACCAAAGGCGGATGGTTCCTGAGGGTTTGTTTCAGGCAGGGTGGGCTGGCCTGGGGGCAGGTGCCGGGAAGAGGAAGGAGAGGTCTGCAGACATCCTGGAGCTAGATTTGATGTGGCCATAGCAAAGCTTTCAGCCTCATCATGTTTGTGATTTCCAAAGTGTGTGTGTGTGTGTGTGTGTGTGTGTGCACGTGCATGTGTGCACAAGAGGAGGAGAGGGCTCCAGCCCTGAGCGCTGGCTGCCTTGGGCTGGTTAATGGAGACAGGTAGCTGCATGTGGATATCCAAGAATGCTTCTCTTGCATACCTGTGTGAACGTGTGGACCCAGGACCAGCTGTGGGGCTGCCCAGGAATGTAGACACCCATGGGGGAACAGTGGGGGTCTGTGTGTCACCAAATGCCTGGACTTGGGCTGTAGTGTGTGTGCCCCATGGAGCCCGTGTCCGAGCCCAGGAAGGAGTGCTTCCGTCACCACACATGTGTTTGTATGATACTTTACATGTTTACTGCCATAAAAAGGCCACAAACCAGGGTTATAAGCTGAAAACAACACTTGTTTCCTGAGTACCTACTATGTGCTGGGACCTGTGCCAGACTCTGGAGACACAGAGAGAAGTGAAACTCAGGCCAGCCCTTCAGGAGCCCACAGGGCAGAGGGAAGGTGGCAGAGCAACAAATCATTTATGGCACAGGCTGTAGGTCCCAAGGGCTGCTCTTCATGTCCTTCCTCAGGGATCCTATAATATCACAATTGCAGGGATGATCTGTTTTCACTGCCGTCTCCCCCTCCAGGCTATAAGCCCCTTGGGGATGGACACTTAGGAGGTACACGATGCTCTGTAAGGATGTATAATGCAAAGGTGTCTGTGAGTCAGGCTGTGCCTGGGCAGTTCTGAGCCAGCCATGGCCAATCATGAGCCATAGCCAGTACTGACAGTACCGCTGGGCTAGGGCTGGGCTCAATTCCTGCCTCCACTACAGCTGGCCCACCTACACCTGCTACGTCAGCTCTCCCAGCCTCTGTTTTTTCATCTGTGCAATGGAGTTATGATTGTCCCAGCCTCCCAGAGGGCTTGAGGCTTTAGTGAGATTGTGAGCCAGGCCCGGCACATGTGTGCACGTGCACACACACACACACACAGAGCTTGGTACACAGGAGCTGCTGTGGAATTATTATTATTAGCAAGAAGGAGCTATTATCTGGGCAGTTCTATGCAGCCTTATTGGCCAAAAAGACAGAAGCAGAACTCTGAAGCCTCCATGGGCAAGCTGGAAGGCACCCCAGCAGACAGAAACCTGGTACAGTTCTAACATCAGGAGGAGGGAACCCAAGGGTGGGGCCACGCCATTGGCTGGCAAGGATTCAAGAGCATCCATCTAAATATTTTCCTCGTGTTTCTCACTCTCCAGCCACTGATGTCTCCATCGAGTCTTGGGTGCTTCTTCCAGTCTTTGATTCATAGGCTTACCCATCAGACATCAACATGTAACTTTCATGAAATTTTGAAAAGGTGTCACTTTGGGAGAATGTGCCCTGCCTTCTCCATGCACAAGCATGCTTATGTGTGCTTAGGGGCATGAGAACAGGAGGAGCAGCTGGGCAGCCTGAGCTGAACCCACTCCATCCTCACCTGCCTAGGGGGTGTGGCTGGGGCCTGGTGGGGTCTGTCTGCCACCCCAGTCCATGGCTCTTCCTTCTCTCTGACTCACACTGGTCCAGCTCAGGCCCCTCATCCTCTAGCTTCTGTGATCGTGGTTCAAAATCTTACCAGTGATATGCTGGAGCTGGGTCCAGCTGGCCTGCAGGGCTAGCTGTGCACATCTCTTCCTAACTCCAGTGATCAGAAACGATGCCACATTGGTGGCATGAAGTCAGCCATGATGGGAATATTTAAGGCACAGAGATCAACAGATGATACAAATCAGACCACCATCAACCCTCCTTGAGAACCAGTTGTAAACACCATCACACCCCAGTCCTGCCTGCAGGTATAACGATCACTGATATTAGGTGCCGGCACCTGCTAGGCATTTAATATCTTTTTTTTTTTGTTTTGAGATGGAGTCCCATTCTATTGCCCAGGCCAGAGTGCAATGGCGTGATTTCGGCTCACTGCAACCTCCACCTCCCAGGTTCAAGCGATTCTCTTGTCTCAGCCTCCTGAGTAGCTGGGATTACAGGCATGCACTGCCACACCCGGCTAATGTCTTTGTATTTTTAGGAGAGACAGGGTTTTGCCATGTTGGCCAGGCTGGTCTCGAATTCCTGACCTCAGGTGATCCTCTCACCTCGGCCTCCCAAAGTGCTGGGATTACAGGCATGAGCCAACGTGCCTGGCCAGCATTTAACATCTTACCTGCACAAAAATCCTGTTAGATATTTCTCATCATCCATATTTCATATGGGGCTCATAACTTACATGATTTGACTCCAGGTCTCTGCACATTACATTGGGCCATGTGGCCTCAATAAGTAGAACCATGGGATTTGATAGGGCTGGCAGAGCTGTTAGGAATCATCAGATCATGTAATCACTGCGCTCATTTGACAGAGAAACTGAGCTCAAAGAGGCTCAAAGAGGTGGGGGCTTCCTCTGTTAATGCCACCTAACACGGTAGCCACCATCTTCCCAACACCTCCCTCAACACCTCTCTCAGCCCCCTACCATGCTGGTGTCCACTGAAAAGCCAAGGTCGCAGTCACTTGATGTTCCCTATGCATGGCTGATTTTTTGGAAACTTTACATGCAGATCTTGACATTCATTGCAAGTTATATTTTGTTTTGCTTGATTTGACCCCGTGTTCGAGACTCTCAAAAACATTTTAAATCTCACTTGGGTCATTGGTTGTATGTCTCCTTTCTAGACAGGTACCACGCGCCGCTTTGATCTCTGCACCTTCGCAGCAGAAATTGGGGTTAAACTTTAAAAAATAATAAGCAAAACAGAACTTTGGGGCCCAACACTTGAAGTTCCCACCCTATCTACCAGAGATTCTGGCATCTACACACCTTGGAAAGTGGGTCCCTCCTCCCGCAGGGCTCTGTCTGCCCCACTGTCCACTTTGGATTTCTGCGCTGGGGAACATCAGCAGCATTTTGTCAAAAGCCCACGGAGGCCCACGCTGCGCGCCTCGCCGGTAACAGTCACTCTCCCGTTTAAAAACAGAGCGCCCTTTCCTCTCTCCCCTCTGCCCAAGACTCTTTGCCTGGCAACAGGGTCCCCTGAGCCATTGGACATGCATTTCCCCCGCTTCCAGAGAGCGGTTCTGCACCAGGACCCGGCCCTGCCCTGAGTCTGCGGGCTGCGGCGAAGAGACCGCACTTGCCCGGCAGGAGGGCGGACAATGACCCGGGTTTTCCACCGACTCCAGATGCGTCCCTCCTCCTACCCCTCCACCTTCTCTACCTCGGAGAAGCCATTGCGCTTGCCTCCGCCCCATCCCGGAGAGGCAGAATCTCCTCCGTCCCCGCCTCGTACCCTCCTCCCCGCCTCTCCAGGCCCGGGGGGCTTCACGTTCAGCCACCGCGACCCCGGGCGGGCGCGGCGCCAGGTGAGCGCTCACCTGGGGCCGGAGGGCGGGGCAATGGGGGAGGGGCGGGGGCGGTCCAGGGGCGGCTGCCCCACCCGCGACGGGGCGGGGCGAGGGCGGTGGGGCCAATGGGGCGGGGGGCTCGCCGCCCGGGGCTGGGGAGCCTCCCAATCTCCTCCTTTCCCAGCGCCGCCTGCCCCGCCCCACCCGGGTTTAAAGTCCCGCGGGCGGGTGGTGGCGGAGCTGCGAGCTTGAGCGGCGCGAGGAGATGCTAGAGGGCGCAGCGCCGCCAGCACCATGCGCCCCCCGCCCGCGCTGGCCCTGGCCGGGCTCTGCCTGCTGGCGCTGCCCGCCGCCGCCGCCTCCTACTTCGGGTCAGTGCCCGCCGCGCCCCCCGCCCGCTCCCCGGCCTGCCTGTCTCTCCCTCCTGCGCTACAGCTGGGCCAATTTTTCCCTCCCGCTGTCCTTGGCCCCGCCGAGGTCTCGAACTCAGACCCTAGCCCGGCGCGACCCAACCCACTTCGCAGTCGGAGTTCGCGCCCTGAGTTCGGTCTCCAGCTTCCCCGGCTCCGAATCCATCGCCCTGTTCAGTGTCCGAGTCTCTGGTCGCCCCCCAGCCGCCGCTCTCCTCATCCCGCCGGGTCTCGGACTCTGCGCACGCCTCGGACCCTGGCCCCGTCCGCCCCGGCCCCGCCCGTTCAGGCGTCAGTCCCGCTCTCTGATGCCCTCTCGGGATCCTCACGCCGGTGCCCTGTCTGCCGCCATCCTGGCCTCCGGCGAGCCGTCCTTGCCTCGGACTCCTTCCCCACCCTCCGCCTTCGCCCTGCGGAGCGGAGACCGAGAGGGCTGGGTGGATGGGTGGGACGGGCTGTTCCCGGTCTCGGGGCAGAGGATCGTGCGCGTCCAGGGAGAATGGGGGAAACCTCGGACGGTGAGAGCGCCAGCTGGAGACGCAGGAAGGAACCGTGCGCTGGGGAAATGCGACCACATCTCAGACCTGGCATGGGGTGATTTCTCAGGAGAACACTGGAAAGAGTGAGAGGGCCCAGTGTGTGTGTGTGTGTGTGTGTGTGTGTGTGTGTGTGTGTGTGTGTGTGTGTACATGGTTGGAAAAGGAGGATCACAGTGGGGGGTGACACCTGGGGGACAGTGGGGTAGGTGACACTGGGGAGAGAGCCGGACAGGAACTATGTGGGGAATGTTTGGAGCAAAAGTTATAGGGCAATTGTTTCCAGTCCCTTCTTCTCTGACCCTGAATTGCAGGGATTTGGTGAGGGATGGGGGCGGGTATCATGGGTAAGAAGGCACCTTCCCACCATCCACCCAAAGCCAACTCCAATATGTACAGCCTGTTACTTTAAGCCTTGCCTCCTTTTAAAATCTTCACCCCAAATCAATAGGAGGCTTACAGTCTGAGTATATACAGCAAAGGCAAGAAAACACCAAGCAAGTGACCTGCTAGAGGCTGCTTTGAAGAAGTAGCCAGGGAGAGGTATGTAAAGGTCTGAGAAGTTCTGCACAGGTTGGAGTAAGGGCTGTGGGCTAATTTCCAGGTCATGACCCCTGGTGGAAACATGTCTGGGCTGTGGAGGAGGGTATCATCCCAGACCCTAGCTCTGGGCTTAGCTTGCTAATGATATGGGAAGACCACTCAGTCTCTGGGCCTCACTTTCTCCTTTTGTACAAAGAAGGGGTTGAACTTGATATGACTGATCCTTTTGCGATCCACCCCAACAGCAGTGCACAACTTGTTTGTTTCCGAAGATTTCAGGCTTGAAGGAATGGTTGTTCCCTCGGCAGGCAGGATGTCATCATCACTAGGGCACAGACTCTGGGGTCAGTCTTGCCACTTGCTAGGTGTGCTCTTGGCCAAGTCACTTAACTTAACCTCTCTGTCTCTCAGTCTCTCAATCTGTAAAATGAAGATTATACTGCCTATTTTATAAGAAGATTGAGCTAGTACATGTAAAGCACTTAGGACAGTGTCTAGCATGCAGTAAGTGCTCAACTAATGCTAGTGACTTTTTTTTTTTTTTTTTTTTTTTTTTAAGACGGAGTCTCCCTCTGTCACCCAGGCTGGAGTGCAGTGATGTGATCTTGGGTCACTGCAACCTCCATCTCATGGGTTCAAGCGATTCTCCTGCCTCAGCCTCCTGAATAGCTGGGACTATAGGCGCGTGCCACCATGCCCAGCTAATTTTTGTATTTTTAGTAGAGACAGTGTTTCACCATGTTGGCCAGGCTGGTCTCGAACTCCTGATCTCAATCTGCCCAACTCAGCCTCCCAAAGTGCTGGGATTACAGGCATGAGCCACCAGGCCTGGCTAGTTTTTTTCATTAAGGAAACCAGTTATAGAATCTTGATGTCCTGGCCCTAACAGTTTTCTGAGCTGGAATGGAAAGGGATGGGACAAATGGTACCTATATCCTCTTACACACTGGCTCATTTCCACGATTCATTTGTTTGCTTGGTTTTTATGGTTAGAGATGGGGCAAGAGTCAGGTGAGATGAGAGGAGAGGGGTTCCAGGAGGACCACCCTAGCTGCTGTATTGGAAGGGAAAGGTGTTCTCAGCAGTGCATGGGGTTAGAATTTTGAGGGAACTGAGCATGGAGCAGCCTTGAAAATGACATGTGAGATGGTCAAATAGGCCTGGGTTAGGGCTGAGAGGGATGAGTATCGGAGCCACCTCTTCCAGGTCAGGAGCCCAGCTGGAAAGAGCTGACAAAAGACACAAAAGCCACCACCACCCCAATCTGGGGAGCAGGACAGATGCTCAGAGAATCAGCTAAAACTGGGGCCTCATGATGTTAAGTGTTTGGTCTCAGGGAACAGACAGGATTCAGCCTGAGCTCTCAGTTAAGAAACCCTCTGGTGACTCAGACCAGGTTTCCCAGCTTCCCATCTGCATTCGCTGTCTGGGAGGAATCTGGTATCAGTCATCTACACTGTAGTGGGAAAGTGAGGCAAAGCGCTTCTTCCTCCGCAGTCATTTGCATTTGATTATAACACAAAGTGCTTTGGCATCCTGATAAGAGAATATGCAAACATCAGGAGGGCAGGTGAGGCCGATCTTCTTGGGCTCTTTGAAATCATAGAATCGTAGACTTCAGAGTTGGAAGTGACCCCAGAAGGATCTCTGGTCCAAAACTCACTGCTTCAAGCAGGATGTATTATTATCCCAATTTTTCAGATGAGGCAACCCCCAAACCCCAAACCACAGTGAGCCAGCTGTTGGTTCTGCTGCTTTTGAGTGAGCCTAGAGCCTAATTCTGTTAATGGTGATAAAAAAAAACATAACTAGTATTGCAGTTTACAAATCTCTTTTTTCTTTTTTTGAGATGGAGTCTTGCTGTGTCACCCAGGCTGGGTGCAGTGTCATGATCTCGGCTCACTGCAACCGCCACCTCCTGGGCTCAA
This sequence comes from Homo sapiens, assembly GCF_000001405.40. Classification (NCBI taxonomy): domain Eukaryota; kingdom Metazoa; phylum Chordata; class Mammalia; order Primates; family Hominidae; genus Homo; species Homo sapiens. Next base: position 46,854,762 of record NC_000017.11, read on the forward strand.
GCAATTTTCCTGCCTCAGCTTTCCGAGAGCTAGGATTACTGGTGCCCCCCATCACACCCCACTAATTTTTGTATTTTTAATAGAGATGGGGTTTCACCATGTTGGGCAGGCTGGTCTTGAACTCCTGACCTCAGGTGATCCACTTGCCTGGGCCTCCTAAAGTGCTGGGATTACAGGCATGAGCTACCATGCCCAGCCCATCACTTTCTCATACAGCCATCTCTCTCATCTGATCCTCAGAGCCATTTCTCCAGAGCCATGTAGGATGGGTGTAAATAGTTCCCACAAGGAATCTGAAGGTCAGAAAGGTTCAGTCAGTCACCCAGTGTTACACAGTGAATCGGTGGGGGAGGTTGAATAGAAACCCTGCTTCCAGTCTGGGCCCTTCAACCTACAGGAACAGCCTCCAGTGCTAAGACAGTATGATTCCCCCAGGGCAGCAGTGGCTGCAGAGAGGCCGAAGGGGGTGAGGGTGGAGGGAGCCTCCCTTCCCTGCTTAATTGACTCTTTTAGACTCTCTTGGCTGTAGTGAGATGGATAAGGCCGCACATTCTTTTCTGTCCTCAGTAGTGAGACGGGTTGCACTGACCCCTGCTAGACTGTCAGTTTGGCTCACAGAACAGCATGATGGCAGTGGGACAGGAGGCGGACCAGAGGTGAGGGTCCAAGCTAGTCCTGGCTCTGGGACACTCTCTGTGTTGTCCCTGATCAAGTCACTCATCTCCAAGGTCAGTAGCACCTGGAGGTGCTAAGGTTCCCTAATGCTAACAGGGCTGGTCCTGGCTCTGGAAGTCTAGGATTGCTGAAGAGTTTTTATTTTGGCTTTGAATGCCTAGGAATTCCACAAATGTTAACTTCTGTGATGTTGTATAAATGAAAATGCACTGCATTATGTGATGAGCTGGGCACAAGACAGGCCCAGTTACCCAATCCAGTCTATTTATTTATTTATTTAGAGACGGAGTCTCGCTCTGTCACCCAGGCTAGAGTGCAATGGTGTGATCTCGGCTCATTGCAACCTCCACCTCCCAAGTTCAACAGATTCTCCTGCCTCAGCTTCCCCAGTAGCTGAGATTGCAGGCATGTGCCACCATGCCTGGCTAATTTTTGTATTTTTAGTAGAGACCATGTTGATCAGGCTGGTCTGGAACTCCTGACCTCAAATGATCCACCCACCTCAGCCTCCCAAACTGCTGGGCTTATAGGTGTGTGCCACCATGCCCGGCCCCCAGTCCAGTCTGTAAGTTATCCGAGTGGCTTTGTAACTAGAAATAGTTTCTGTGGATGCAAGTTTTTAAATCATAATTAACTTTGGTGATGTTTCTTCAGTGTGTGACCTCTGCACTGGTTGAGTTTCTTTCCTCTCTAGGGATAGTACAGAGAAGTTTATGAAAGCCCAAGACAGTGAATCCCAGCTTTGCCTGTTGCTAACTGTGTGACTTTAGACAAATGTCTTAACCTTGCTGAGCTTTGGGTTATGAGAATACCTATCTGAGAGGTGAGGGTGAGGCTTAATTGAAACAATGAATGAAAGGGCTGGATAGGGTGTCTGGCACATATGTGCTAAGTGCTCAGTCCAGGCTCACTCTCAGTGGATGCTGGGGTTCTAAACATCATCCCAGGTGGTGGAAGTGTCATTACTATAATTCCATTGGAGAAACAAAACATAATCTTTATTTTCCCCCCAAATCGTTGTTATATACAATGAAATGCATGCTTTTTCTTTCTTTTTTTTTTTTTTGAGATGGAGTCTCACTATGTCGCCCAGGCTGGAATGCAGTGGTGCAATCTCGGCTCACTGCAGCCTCCGCCTCCCGGTTCAAGTGATTCTCCTGCCTCAGCCTCTCAAGTAGATGGGATGACAAGTGTGCGCCACCATGCCCAGCTAATTTTTGTATTTTTAGTGAAGACACGGTTTCACCATGTTGGCCAAGCAGGTCTCAAACTCCTGACCTCAGGTGATCCACCCACCTCAGCCTCCCAAAGTGCTAGAATTATGGGCGTGCACCACCACGGCCAGCCAATGCATGCATTTTAAATTGCACAGTTTGGGTTTTAACAAATTATACACCTGTGTAACACATTTGTGGTGACTCCAATGACTACATAGAACATTTCTACCATCCTAAAGGATCCTTTGTTCCTCTTTGCAATCAACCCTCTCCCACCAGCCCATGGCTACTCCACTTCTCCGCTTTCAGTCACTATGTGTTAGTTTTGCCTATTCTGGAAGTTTATATCATGAAATTGTGAGTATATAGCCTCTTTTGCTTGGATTATTTTGCTCAGCATAAAGCTTTTGAGATTCATCCATGTCGTTGAATATAGCAATAGCGAATTCCTTTTTATGGCTGAGTATTCCTTTGTATGGCTATACCACAAATTATTTATCCATTCCCCACTTGATAGACATTTGGGTTATTTTGGCTGGGCGTGGTGGCTCATGCCTGTAATCCCAGCACTTTGGGAGGCCGAGACGGGCAGATCACTTGAGGTCTGGAGTTCGAGACCAGCCTGGCCAACATGGTGAAAACCCATCTCTACTAAAATTACAAGAATCAGCTGGGTGTGATGGTGGTGGTGCATGCCTCTAATCCCAGCTACTCAGGAGGCTGAGGCAGGAGAATCACTTGAACCCAGGAGGCAGAGGTTGCAGTGAGCCAAGACTGTGCCACTGCTCTCCAGCCTGGGCAACAGAGCAAGACTCTGTCTCAAAAAAAAAAAAAAAAAAAAAAGATATTTGGGTTATTTGCAGTTTTGGACTATTCCAAATAAAGCTGGTATAAACATCCATGTACATCTCTTTTTGTGGGTGTATGTTTTCATTTCTCTTGGATAACTGTCTAGGAGTGGATTGTTGGATCAGATGGTTGATATATGCATAACTTATAGAATTGGCATTTTTCAGAGTGGTTTTACCATTTTACACAGTAATGTATGAGAGTTCCAGTTGCTCCATATTCTATGGTCAGCTATCATCAGTTTTAACTTGTGGCTATTTTCGTAAGTATGTAGTAGTATCTCATTGTGGTTTTAATTTGTATTTCCCCATTGATGAATGGTGTGTTGAACATTTTCCCATGTGTATATTGGTCATTTGAATATCATTTCATTGGGTTATTTGTCTTCTTATTGAATTGTAAGAGTTCTTTATGTATTTTGTTGTTGTTGTTGTTGCTGTTGTTTGAGATGGAGTCTCACTCTGTATCCCAGGCTGGAGTACAATGGCATGATCTTGGCTAACTGCAACCTCCACCTCCTGGATTCAAGCAATTCTTGTGGCTCAGCCTCCCAAGTAGCTGGGACTACAGGCATGCGCCACCATGCTCGGCTAATTTTTGTATTTGTAGTAGAGATAAGGTTTCATCATGTTGGCCTGGCTGGTCTTGAACTCCTGACCTCATGTGATCCACCCACCTCGGCCTCCCAAAGTGCTGGGATTACAGGCGTGAGCCACTTGGCCTAAGAGTTCTTTATATATTTTGGATACAAGTCTTTGTCACAAGTACTGGTAATATTTTATTCCTGCCCGTGACTTGCCGTTTCATTTTCTTATTGATGTCTTATGAAGAACAGATGTTTTTAATTTTGATGAAGTCCAGTGTATCAACCTTTTCTTGTATGGTTTGTGCTTTGTTGGTGTTCTACCCAAGAAATCTCTGCCTACCCAAAAGTTGCAAAGATTTCTTCCTACGTTTTCTCCTTTTTATTTTATTTTATTTTATTTTATTTTATTTTTTGGAGAAATGATATCTTTCGGTCCTCCAGGCTAGAGTTGCTTCTGCTGCTTTTGAGTAAGCCTGGAGCCTAATTCTGTTGGTGGTGATAAAAACATAATAACTAGTATTGCAGTTTACAAATCACTTTCTCATACAGCCCCTTCTCTCACCTGATCCTCAGGGCCATTCCTCCAGAACCATGTAGGATGGGTGTAAATAGTTCTCACAAGGAAACTAAATGTGTTACACAATCACAGCTCACTACAGCCTCGACCTTCTGGACTCAAGTGATCCTCCTGCCTTAGCCTCCTGAGTAGCTGGGGCCACAGGCATGCGCCATCACGCCCAGCTAATTTTTTATTTTTTTGTAGAGATGGGGTTTTGCTATGTTGCTCAGGCTGGTCTCAAACTCCTGGGCTCAAGCAATTCTCCTGCCTCGGCCTCTCAAACTGCTGGGATTATTGGCATGAGCCACAGCTAGAAACTTATAATTTTAGCTTTTTTTTTTTTTTTTTGACAGAATTTCACTCTTGTTACCCAGGCTGGAGTGCAGTGGCATGATCTCGGCTCACTGCAACCTCCACCTCCCGGGTTCAAGTGATTCTTCTGACTCAGCCTCCTGAGTAGCTGGAAGTACAGATGCCCGCCACTGTGCCTAGCTAATTTTGTATTTTTAGTGGAGATGGGGTTTCACCATGTTGGGCAGGCTGGTCTTGAACTCCTGACCTCAGGTGATCCACCTGCCTCGGCCTCCCAAAGTGCTGGCATTACAGGCGTGAGCCACCACACCCAGCCAATCTTAGCTTTTACCCTTAAGTCTATGGTTCATTTTGAGTTAACTAGTGTGTACAGCATGGAGTAAGGGGCAAGCTTATTATTTTGCATATGAATGTCCACGTGTTTCAGTGCCATTTGTTGAAATGATGATGTTTTCTCCACTGTCATCTTTGTTGCTCATCAATTGATTCAATATGTGTGGGCCTATTTCTGGACACTCTACTCTGTTTCATTTATCTATATGCCTATCCTTATGCCAATACTATACAGCCTTGATTACAGTAGCTTTAAAAAAAATTTTTCCCCAATAAGCCTTTTATATTCCTAGATTACTATAGCTTTATGTTAAGTCTTGAAACTAAGTACTATAAGTTCTCTAACTGTGCACTATTTTTTCGAAATTGCATGGGCTATTCAGGGTCATTGTATTTCGGCATAGATTTTAGTAGTATCTCGTCAATATCCACATGAAAGCCTCCTAGGATTTTGACTGGGATTGCATTGAATCTATACATCAGTTCATGGAAGATTGACGTTCTAACAATATTGAGTCTGCTGATTTGCACACAGGCCATATCTTTCTATTTAGAGCTTTTGTAATTTCTCTCAGCAGTGTTTTCTAGTTTTCAGTGTGCAGGCATTGAAAATTTAAAAAAAGAAATTCTTCCAATGTGCTCTATGTATTTAGATAGTATTGTTTTTATTTTTAATAAAAACACATTTTTAGAAATTGAATTGGGGCCTGAGAAAAACATAGTTGGAGGGAAGGAAAGGTAAAAGAAATTTTACTGCTTTGGGGGTGGTGGACTGAAAGCCAAACATCGCTGATAAGAATCACTGTGTTTTGGGAAGGAATTTAGGCCAGCTTGTCTCTGGCTGAGCTGTAACCCCTGAGGAGCTGGGCTCCAGAGTTGGGCTGAGAGTCATCCTAGCCTCTTCAGTGGATGATGGTGGACTTTCTGTGGCTGAGGACGGGAAGGAGGAGAGGAGGGAAGCGGGGCCGGCAGACTCCCGGGCTGGAATCTCCTAAGGAAGAGAGGTCCTGGTGCCTTTGGGATTATGTGCTCAGGTGGAAGTTGGGCTCAGGAGGAGGTGGGCCAGGTGCTGTGAGGGTGACTCCCATCCTGGCATCAGCATGAGCAGGATCGGACATGGCCCAAGGCCCTGTTATAGTGTAAGGGGCACTGGGCTTGGGGTCACACAGATCAGAGTTCAAATCTCCATCTACCACTTACTGACTGACCCAGGGCAAGTCAGATAACCATTCTGACCCCAGTTTTCTCATCTGTAAAATGGGATAATCTTGATCTCTTAGGCTTGTTGTAAGAGTTAAATGAATGTATATATAGGTATTCAAATGCTATCTCTATATAAGGATTCCAAGAAATCTAGTGATCTGCCTTACAGCGTCCCACGTTTAGAAGAGTCTTTGGTGGTGACATCTGTTCCTTCTTCTCTGTGCCTGTATCCCAGCCACTGTACAATTCAGAACAAACCCAGCCTTTTCTGTGCTCAGCACTTTATGTGCATTACTTCACCTCACATTGTGGCAACCCAGGAGGTAGGTGCTGATATAATTCTCATTTATTTTAAAATTTCACTTTTTTTTTATTTTTAGAGAGATAGGTTCCTGCTCTGTCACCCAGACTAGAGTGCAATGGCTTGATCATAGCTCATGGCAGCCTTGAACTCCTGACCTCAAGCAGTCCTCCTGCCTCTGCCTTCTGAGTAGCTGGGATTACAGGCCCAAGGCATCATACCTGGCCAGTTATCCTCATTTATAGGTGTGCGTGTTGGGGGGAAACTGTCAGAATCCAAGCCAACCTCTTCATCTCTGCCATATGTTGGCAGTGGAACCCCAACTGGAGGCCTGTCCCCTTAGGGCAGCTCTGTCCCTCTGAGCCCCGACCCTGTGGCCCAGGCCCTGCACTTGGTGCATGTCCTGGGCATCTGTTGTCCTGTGTGTCTCAAACTCTTGGCTCATTAGCTAATTTTTCAGGTGCTCAGGTCTTCAATTCACTTGTAGTTTCCTTTAGTAGAGACCTCGGGGCCCTGCTGTTGGCTGAGTCCCACAGTCTCTAGCAGTGCTCCCTGGTCTGCAGTGAATATCTTGGTGGGCAGCGTCCTCTCCCTTTCACTGGCCCTTCCTTTCCCCTGGAATCTCCCTCTGTGCCCTGTCCCATTCACTCCTTCATCTTCTGCCTCCATGGGCTCTCTGGGGCACATACTACCTCACCTAGGCCTGGCCAACTGGGAGCCATGGCCTGGCTTCTGTCAGGATAGGAACTGGACACAAAGCAGAGAGCAGAGACTTATCCCCATCGGACTCCAGAAATCAGCCACACCCACCACCTCATGGCATGCTGGTAGCAGCAGACATGAGCTGGGGGCATAGGGTGGCCTCTTCTACACCCAAGCCCCTCATTGGAGAGATGAAGGCTGAAGAGGAGGGTGAAGAGTCTTAGAGCCAGAAAGACCAACTACCAAGCTCTGGTCAGTCCTGGAAACTTCCAAGAGGCTGGTTTTAGGGCAAGACCAAAGGGTTTGTTTTTCCTGGTGTTACAATCCCTTTGAGGCCAGATGCTGTCAGAATTCAACATTTCTCTTTGAATTTTAGAAAAGTAGGCCGGGTGCAGTGGCTCATGCCTGTAATCCCAGCACTTTGGGAGGCTGAGGCAGGTGGATCACCTGAGGTCAGGAGTTTGAGAACAGCCTGGCCAACATGGTGAAACCCCATCTCTACTAAAAATACAAAAATAGCTGGGCGTGGTGACAGCCGCTTGTAATCCCAGCTACTTGGGAGGCTGAGGCAAGAGAATTGCTTGAACCTGGGAGGCGGAGTTTGCAGTGAGCCGAGATTGTGCCATTGCACTGAAGCCTGGGCAACAAGAGTGAAACTCCGTCTCAAAAAAAAAAAAAAAAGAAAAAGAAAAAGAAAAGGGAAAGAAAAGTAATATAGGAGGTAGGGGAGGCAGAACAAATAAACTTAAAAAATAAAAATTAAAAAATTAAAAGTACAGAAAGGTAACGTATCGTATATTCCATGGCTAACAGCACCTCTAGCAAGATCTGGGGCAGCACCTGTAATCAGACTCTATTAATTTTGCAGGTAGACATCTACAGGTTGGGATAAACAAAGCCCATAATATTCTCCCTGGTTTGGGTCAGGGCTTGCTACCGTATGAGTTCACCACAATTGTTAAAAAAACTTGTAGTTTTCTGAGTTTCCTGGAATTTGGAATTGTGGATAAGGGTTTGTGAATCTGTGGCAAATTCTGAGCCCAAGTCACTGCGAGAGGTTGTGCAAGCTGAGTTTTTTTTGTTTGTTTTGTTTTGTTTTTTTGAGACGGAGTCTTGCTCTGTCGCCCAGGCTGGAGTGCAGTGGCAGGATCTTAGCTCACTACAACCTCTGCCTCCCAGGTTCAAGGGATTCTCCTGCCTCAGCCTCCCGAGTAGCTAGGACAACAGGCGTCTACCACCACACCTGGCTAATTTTTTGTATCTTTAGTAGAGATGGGGTTTTACCATGTTGGCCAGGCTGGTCTCAAACTCCTGATCTCAAGTGATCCGCCCGCCTCGGCCTCCCAGAGTGCTGGGATTACAAGCGTGAGCCACTGTGTACCAGGCCTAAGCTGAGTTTTAAACAAAGACTCAGGCCAGTTGCTTGGCTGGTCCTCGCTGGGTGTCACCAGGCTACCCAAGCACAGATCTTCCCCAGGAACTGAGGTTCAGAGGGAACGGGCCTGGCTCTCAGACCCCAAGGTACAGGGCCCCACAGGGGCTGAGGACCATGGCGGGATGGCCCCGAGATCTGGCACTGGGGAGAGCATACGCCAGCAATCAGTCGTGGGCTAGGGAGGGCGTGGCACAGGCAGCCTCCTCCAGAGCCACGCCCTCCCAAAGCCCGCCCAGCCCCAGCTTGGGAAGGTTTGGCGGTGGGGCGTTAGGTGGTAGCCTCTGCAGCCAGAGAGCAAGACCACAGCGAAGCCAGCAGGGTGGGACTGCAGGGAGGCTGAGGGACAGCCCCGAACTGCACTCCTTGCGTGGGGTTAGACACCTAAGGGGCATAATATGCAGCCAGCAGGTGTCTGTAGAGCATCTGCTTGGGAGGAGCACGCATCTGGACTGGGAAAGAATGGATCTCAGGGTATGAAAAACCATGGCCTCTGCCAAGGAGCTTACAGGATACAGCTTTGAAGAGGAAGAAAGGAGTGTCTGCCATGCGGAACTGATGGTACTATATATACAAAAGTGGGAGAAGACAAAGAAAGAGGATGGTTAGAGGGGGATGGGGCTGGCAAGTAAGGAGGGCTTCCTGGAGGAGGCAAACAAACATCACAGCATACTAGAGCTGTCTGGGACCTCGGGGTGATCAAATGTTAAAAAAGGACATGGCTATAAAAGGTTCCAGGGTATCCATGAGGGCTTTTGGACTGGGAGAAGGTTACAGCATGGGGGTCGGACCGAGTTAGACATGGCAGAGGACAAGGGAGAGACTAGCCTGGCTGAGGGGAGGGTCCCCTTTCTCCAGCCCTGGCTGGCTCTGGATTTAGGACAGTCCTAGTGGTTCTATTCCCAAGGGAGCCGCTCACAACTACATCCATCCCAGGGGGTGTCCTGGACTACTCTGGGGGTGGATCCTTGATCAGGCAGGGAGGTTCCTGCTGTCCCTACAGCTGGGCGAAGGGTGTGGGCCATCCGTGGGGCCTGCAGGAGAACAAGTGGAATCTGCAGCATGGGACATCTCTGCCTAGAGCCTGTGCAAACAATGGCACTGTCCTCATCATTGAGGGGGTCACGCACAAGGCATTCCCCAGAGGCCTGGCCCTTCCAGGGCCCAAGCCCAGCCTGAGCCTGCCTGTGCGTGGGAAGAGGGTGATCGGAGCCCAGGGTGCATTCAAGAACCTGTCAAGGTAGTTAGTTGGTCAATGCGTCATGGTTAAATAACTTGGCTGCAGTCACCCAGCCAGAGTCACCCAGTACCCTGGTTGGGTAGGAACTTGCCACCAGGAGTGCGGTTTCAGCCATGATTTGCCTTTCCCTGAACTTCCCACCCACTGCCTCCACATCCCCACACCAAGCTCCCCCAACTCCTTCTCTTCACATACCAGGCCCTCTCCTTTGAACTTCCCTCTATCTAGCCAAGTATGTTCTCAAGCACTGGTATTGTATCAGACTCTCACACTTTAGTATGAAGAGGTAGGCCACTTCTGTAAGCCTGATTCCTGACTTTTTGCTGAAGAGACTGAGTTTCAGACCAGGGAAAGTAGCCTTTAAACAGAGGGTCTTTCTCTCCCTTCCTGAGGGTCCACCCTTGGGCCACCCAGGGGGTCAGAGGAGTCCTGACCAGGTTTCCTTCCCTCAAAACCTAGCTGTCTTGCATTTCCACCACCTTAGATGCTTGCTGTGGTGATGGCTGATTTGGCTTCCCTGATGTGCTGGGTCTGCAAGCAGAAACTGCCAGGCTTGGTGGAAGCAATCAAGAGACCTGGGCCACAGACCCAGCCCTGCTACCAAGCCAGTGGGTCGCCTTGGACGACCAATCTTGCATGAATTTGTGGCCACCGGAGACCTGCACACTTGGCATGCCCTTGCCCTCCTGCTTCCCCGCACAGCCTCCAGGACACCTTCCAGGAGCCAGCAGAGCAGAACTTCTGGGCCGGGTGACCTTAAAGGGTTTCTCCAGCTCTAACGTATAATGGTTTGAATGGTGTACATTTGGACTCAGCCTAGGAACTGGGGTAGATGTTTACAGTCACAGACTCATAGAGGTGATGGATCCTTCTTTGCAGGAATGACTTTGGGGACCCTCCGCAGCCACTGTGACACCTGATGCATACGTGCCAGGGACAAAGGCTTCCTCTCCTTGGCTTCAGCCCGAGCCTGAGTGGAGAGGGAGAGAGACAGGAGGAAGAAGAAAAAGCATTTCCTTCACAGATGTTGAACTAGCCACACTCTAAATGCCGGGGATTGTTGAGATGCAAAGCATGCTTGCTGTGCGAGCTGCTCACTACCCACTTAGCCCCTGAGCACGTCTCCCTGATGCCATCCCCTGCAGGCAGCCTGGTCTGCGGCTGTGAGACAGGAAGTGGGGCTGTGCTTGGAGAGACAAAGCCTACAGCTGGACCCGGCTCTTTCCTCTCTGAGTCAGGGATGGGTGGGGGACGAGGCTGTGGGGTGGGCTCCAGCGGGGAAGTGTGGCCAGATTCAGTCCTCAGGGTGGGTTCATGGGGATGGAGGGTGAGAGCTGGGTAGGGAAGGAAGGCTGGATCCAGGAGTAGGGGTTGGGGAGCCAGACAGGAGGAACGAGTGGTTTTGAGGTCTGTGGGTGGACTGGGCAAAAAGCTGATGCTTAGAAAAGTCCTTTTTGGTGTGTGTGACAGGGTCTCACTCTGTCACCCAGGCTGGAGTGCGGTGGCGTGATCATGGCCCACTGCAGCCTTGACCTCCTGGGCTCAAGCGATCCTCCTAGCCTGTAGCTGGAACCACAGGCACGTGCCACCATGCCCAGCTAATTTTTTAATTTTTAATTTTGTAGAGACAACGTCTCACTTACGTTGCCCAGGCTGGTTTTGAACTCCTAGGCTCAAGTGATTCACCTGCCTTGACTTCCCAAAGTGCTGGTACTACAGGTGCGCGCCACAATGCCTGACCAAAAAAATCCTTTATAGTTGTACTTTTGTTTATTGATACTCAGTTAATAGAGGTATAAATGAATGAGCGAGTAAGTGAAAAGAGGGGGTGGAGAGAGTTGGGCATAAAGGTAGGAAGGTTGGAAATAGTAGCTTCCGAATTTGCCTGGCTGCAGGACGTCATGGAGGAGGTGCAAGGTGGCATTGGGTGCTGTAGAAGAGAAAGGCACCTGGAAGGTAGAGGGGAGGGTGTGCTCACAGTAGGGGAAATCTGGGGCCTCCCAGTGTAACAGCAGGAGGGGAGAGAAGCCTGGAGTTGGTGTTGAGCAGCCACCCTCAAAAAAGGGCTGCCCAGAGCCATGGTGCCCTCTCTTACTGGGCCAGGCACTGCCCCTCACTGAACTCCCCGCTACTGGGAAGAGGTTGGGAGCGGAGAGCACAGGAGGGGCTAGGGGTGTGTGAGAGTGTGTGTGTGAGTGTGTATGTGCGTGAGAATGTGTGTATGTGTGAGAGTGTGCATGAGTGTATGTGCGAGTATAGGTGTGTATGAATGTGGATGTGTGTGTGAGGGAGTGTGAGTGTGTGTGTGTATTTGTGTGTGTAGGGGGATCAGTGAGGGCCAGGAGAGGTAGACTGAGACGTTTGAGATGAAAGCACAAAGGGCGCACTCACCATGCAAATGGCCTTGCAGCGGAAGCCTGTTATCAGGAGCATCTGATGGGGTTTTTCAGGGTGGAAGCCAGCACCCCGGGCAGCACAAGGCTTTCCCGGTTCCCAGGCAGCTGCCTGTAGTTGGCATGGCCCTGGCGTAATGCACTACTCCTGGACCCTCCAGCTAAGAGTCCAGACACACTGGCATTACCTGGTGCCCTAGAAACCACCTGCCTTGTCCTGTGCCACCCACCCACCACATCCTGGGGATAGCCTCTGCTGAAAGCATCAGACCCTCTCAAGCAGAAACTAGGATGGGAGTAGGTGGAAGAACAGGGCTTGGGGTCCTCTTAGGTGATGAGAAAAGCTCTCCACCAACCTGGTCTTCCCCAAACAGCCTGGAGTGCTCCCTGAGAGCTTCCTCTTGCCTCCTCCTCACCCCCAGGCCTCCTACAGGCAGGATGGGACTGGTCAAGATCAAGTTCTCACCTGCATGGTACCAGGAGTTCTGATCTGGGTCCCTAAGCAGCTACTGGTGTTTCCTCAAGGAGGCAGGCCAGTGCAAAGCTTTCTCTTCCTTCCCCTTCTTGGGGCCTTGAGAGAGTCTGGAGGACTCCTGAGTCCAACCAACTTCCTTCCAGACTGTGAGCTTCTTGAGGGCAGGACCGTGTCCCAGCACAGTACCTGGCACATGGTAGATGCTCACTAATGACAAATACTTATCTGGAGCTTACTGTGTGCTCACTGCTCTCAGAGCATAGAGAGGTAAAGCACCTTGCCTAAGGTAGCACAACTAGGAAGAGGTGGAGGTGGGATTTGAACCCAGGCAGTCTGGCTCCAGCCATCCCCTCTCATGAGTTAAGGTGTATTTGTTTGATGGAATGAGCTCAGTTGGTGAGGGGACAACCCTGAGGTCACCTCGGAGTGAGTCAGACCTAGGACCAGACTACCTAGGCCAGAACAGCCTTGGGGCATGAGATCCTTGGGCCCCACTCTCCAGGCAGGGGGTGGGTGATTACTGAAGGGTGAGGTCCCTGGGGTCCTGCTGACGGTGGACAGAGCAGTCTCCTGGGAGGCTTTTGCCAAAACCTGGGAGAGCCATCTTCTGCTTCCTTCAAGGTCACCCCAGCGGGGCAGCTTTAGCCACAATTGTGGGTGGGGTGTGTGTTGGAGAGTGTGAAAGGAGGTGGGGAAGGAGGTTCCAGGAGGATCAGAAGAGATCTGAGGGTGAGAGTGTGTGAGATGAAGCCCTGAGGGGCACCCTTGACTTCTCCCACTCTAGAGAAAGACAGGCTGGTCTGTCAAGTGGTTGGGGGTGTCCTGGGGTCCAAGCCAGAGGTCATCGCATGTGTGGAGGTGGGGGCTCTGGTTTTATGATGAACCTGACCACCAAGGACCATGGGGTGAAGGTGCAGAGAACAGAAGGGCACAGACTGGGGGCAGCAAGGGGAGGAGGCGGCCGCTGTTCACCTGGGGTCATTGCTTTCTTAATGGGAAAAGAGAGGCTGGAAGTTAGCCTGGGGAGCCTGAGACAGACAGGAATAGTGGAGGTAGCTGGGCCAAAGCAGGTGCAGCCTGATAGAGTGGTGGCCCCAGGAGGCTCAGGAGCACCTGAGTCAGGCAGTAGCCCCCAGCCCAGAAGAGCAATTAGCAAGTTGGCAAACAACCCTTCCTCTGCCCTTTAGTTCAGAACCCTGGTTACTTGTTTAACTGATCTGATAGCATCTCATTGGCCATAAGGCAGCATCTTCATTAAGACCCCCATATTTGGCTGGGCGTGGTGGCTCATGCCTGTAATCCCAGCACTTTGGGAGGCCAAGGTGGGCGGATCACATGAGGTCAGGAGTTCAAGACCAGCCTAGCCAACATGGCGAAACCCCATCTCTACTAAAAATACACAAAAAAAATAGCTGGGCGTGGTGGCACGTGCCCATAATCCCAGCTACTCGGGAGGCTGAGGTAGGAGAATTGCTTGAACCCGGGAGGCAGAGGTTGCAGTGAGCCGAAATCTCAGCACTGCACTCCAGCCTGGGTGATGGAGTGAGACTCGATTAAAAAACAAAACAAAACAAAACAAAACAAAAACACCAAAATAAACACATTTTTCTGGGTTCATAAGACTAAGGAAGCCCACTTGAATTTCTCCAGTTGTCCATCTTACCCCCTTGGCACTCAGCTAACTGTGGGTAATTGAGATTTCACAGAGGGACCCAGTGAGTGGTGTCTGCAGGGCTGGGATGCCAAACAGTATGACTTCTTCCAGGGGATGACGTTGTTCCTGCTGACCTCTGAGCAGGCTGAAGCCTGCCACACCCAGAATTATTCTGGGGTCTAGGAAGATACCTTCCCAGCAGAAGCCATGGGCTGAGCATGTGTCGGATAATTCACTGTTGAGGAAAATAGATGGTCATTTTCTAAATATGATGTCATGGTACTATTTCTTCAAAGGAAATACGATCCCAAACTGCAACACAGAAAATAAACAGAGGGAAACTGGGTCTTTGAGGCCTCCCAGGCTGTCTTCATGGGCCCTGTGGGGTTCCCGAGGCAGTGCCAGGGAGCCTTCTTTGAGAGCAGCCCTGGGCAGACCAGGGCCCGGTGTGGCCTGAGGCCTCTGTGCGGTTGGCTACCTTTCCTGGTCATTAATCGCTACTAAGTGTCATTACCACTAATAAAATTAACCGACTTGATACTGGACTCTCTGAGCCATCAATCTCAGGGTCCATTAGATGAAATTTAAAAAACAGATGCCTCTGGGGTGGGGCCTGAGGATTTGCATTCCACAGAGCTCCAAGGCAACACTGGCCATGCAGAGCTGGGCACCGTTTGAGACCCATTGCTCCCTCCAGGGTCTCTTCCCCTGGGCATCGCGGACATTGTGGTTGGAGTGGAGCCGTTCTGGGCACTGCAGAGTGCTGGGCAGCGTCCCTGGTCTCCACCCACTCCATGCCAGAAGCACCAAAAACGAAAACAAAAATGAACAAACCAACAAAAACCAGATGCCTGTTGAATGAGTGGAGGGGTTTGCTGGGTCTGGCTCCCAAGTGCAGCCTAGGGAATTCTGGCACTCTTCACATGTCAGAGGTCATAATCAAGGATGATGCATTTAGTTAGACAAACCAACTTTGAGCCTTCGCTCCACACTACATGGGAGTCCCAGACAAGAACACAGCTTGGGCAGGGTGCAGTGGCTCACGTCTGTAATTCCAGCACTCTGGGAGGCTGAGGCGGGCAGGTCACTTGAAGTCAGGAGTTCGAAACCAGCCTGGCTAACATGGTGAAACCCCGTCTCTACTAAAAATATGAAAATTAGCCAGGGATGGTGGCGCACACCTGTAGTCCCAGCTACTCGGGAGGCTGAGGCAGGAGAATTGCTTGAACCCGGGAAGTGGAGGTTACAGTGAGCTGAGATCACACCACTGCACTCTAGCCTGGACCACATAGCAAGACTGTCTCAAAAAAAAAAATGTTATATATCATGTCATATCATATGACATATACTGTAGCTATAATGATATAATAATCATAGCTATTATTCTTAAAATGGCATTTGAGGCAGGTCTTGAAGGATATGCAGCTTCATTGGCCAAAATTTCCATCACTCCCTGCTTGCTCTCCCCTCTGTCAATCAGTTGCTATCAGGGAGGTCCAGTTTCTGAAACACAGGAATTGTGTGAGCAGAAGTCGCCACTCACACCAGCCCTCGGTGTGAGAAGGAGGACATTTGAGGGCAAGGTAGCTGCAGCCCCCAAGCTGCCCTCCACACTGGAAGCCAGTCAAGGCGTGGCCTCCTCAGCTGGAGTTGACATCCAGTTCTTCTCTGGACCTGCCAAGGGTCAAACTCTGAGGATTTCCTGCCAGGCTGCAGGGAGGGGTTTGGGTGTAGACCTGGTGGACTGGAAAATTACCCATTTGCCCCCAGATTAATGATTAACGGGTCCCTGCCCTCACCCTGTCTGGGAGAGGAGCCCAGGGCCAGGCTAGGCCAACGGGAGCCCGATAGCATCTGTCTCTGCTCGGAGGTTTCGGAGATATGCTCCATGATGGGTTGACTGCACCTGATGGGTGTGGAATCTACAGGTGATTTCTGAGGGCACCTGGGGCCTGGCCAGGCCGCATACCCTCTGGTGAGGCTTCCAACTTCTGGGGCATACAGAGAGGGCATGGCCTCCAGCCAGATGTCCTGGCTAAGGCAGGTGACTCCAAAGAGGAGAGCTGTGCCCTTGGCTCAGAGGAACATGGGCTTCTCTGACCACTCCTGGCTTGACCACAGGACTTACCTTGGCCAGTGGCACATGAGCAACAGTGGCAAGTGCCACATCCAAGCAGGAGCTCTAAGAGACATTGCCTGCTTCCACCTTTGCTTTTTTTTTTTTTTTTTTTTTTTTGAGATAGGGTCTTGCTCTGTTTCCCAGGCTGGAGTGCAGTGATGCGATCTCAGCTCACTGCAGCCTCCACCTCCCGAGCTCAAGCTATCCTTCCACCTCAGCCTCCCAAGTAGCTGGGACTACAGGTGTGTGCCACCATGCCCACATAATTTTTCTATTTTTAGTAGAGACAGGGTTTTGCTGTCACACAGGCTGCTCTCAAACTCCTGGACTCAAGCGATCCACCTGCTCAGCCTCCCAAAGTGTGGAATTACAGGTGTGAGCCACTGTGCCCAGCCCACCTTTGATCTTTTACCCTGGCTATGAGGCCAGGATATCCCAGAACAGGGTTACTTCTCTTGGGCTGGGTCCTGGAATGATGTATATTCCACCCACACTGGGGGCACCAGGATATAGGACAGCAAACATTTTGAACCAGCAGAGCCATCTCACAGAGAGCTTCTGGGAAGAGGGAAGACGAACTCTAATTCCAATTCCCACCCTGCTGCTGATCTGTTGTATGACCAGTCCAGTCACTGCCCCCTCGTAAATCCTTTGTTTCCTCATCTGGACAAAGGGGAGACTCTGCTTAGCTGGAGAGTAAAGCATCTTGCAAAATGAGGGAAGTTTGGGAAGCTCCAGCTAGCAGGAAGGTAGGCCTGCTTGTCCCAGGCACTGTGGTTAGTCCATTTCATATAATCCTCCCACCAACCCTAGGAGGTAGAGAAGATCACTCTGCCCAGTTTCCAGAAGGGAAAAAACCAAGGTGTCAAGATTGCATAGCTAGAACATCAGCCTTAGAATTTGGTAGCTTGGCTCCAGAATCGATGAACTTTCAATCTAGGAGAACAAGAAGTCTGGGATTGATGGCCTGATGGGAATTCAGCTCCTTCACCTTCATCTAACCATCCATCAGTCCTTCCTTCCTTCCCTTCTCTTTCCTTCCATCCCCTTCTCTCCCCAGGCATCTGTTTGTACCAGGCACCAGGTGGTCAGATGGTTGAAGGTCTATCTGGGAATTATGGAAACATGTTAGATTGGTACAGGATTACTTGGGCAGCAGCATAATGTAAGGGAGAGAGGGATGTCAGGGGACCTTGGCTGGGTGTCCGCTCAATGTCCACATCCCCTCTGCCTGCCCCCTCTCAGGAATGTGGCTCTCTTGGCCAGGCAGCCACCAATACTCTGTGCATTATTTCCCAAACTTCCCGGATCACAAAAGCTGCCTAGGGACTGTGGTAAATGTACAGATTCCCAGGCCCAATTCCAAACCAATAGACCCAGAATTGCCCAGCATGGATCCTGGGAAAGCGTATTTTTAATAAGCACCCCAGATGATTTTTCTAACTGGGCCAATAGGGAAATAGGAAAATAGGGTGGATAAGAAGAGCAGAGACCGGAATCTGGAAAACAGGTTTAAGGTCCTGCAGCAACCTTTGTTACATGAACCTTGGTTTCCTAATCTGTAAAATGGGGACGGGACCTCCAGCGGGTCAGCCTGCTGCCCAGAAGGGCAGTAAATGAAGCCCCTGAGGAGGCCCCTTCCCTTCATTTGCCCCTCACCACCATCCCCAAGGCTCACCTGTCTCCCTCCTCTCGCTCTCTCTAGCCTGACCGGGCGGGAAGTCCTGACGCCCTTCCCAGGATTGGGCACTGCGGCAGCCCCGGCACAGGGCGGGGCCCACCTGAAGCAGTGTGACCTGCTGAAGCTGTCCCGGCGGCAGAAGCAGCTCTGCCGGAGGGAGCCCGGCCTGGCTGAGACCCTGAGGGATGCTGCGCACCTCGGCCTGCTTGAGTGCCAGTTTCAGTTCCGGCATGAGCGCTGGAACTGTAGCCTGGAGGGCAGGATGGGCCTGCTCAAGAGAGGTGGGGAGGAGGGCTAGGGGACGGGGAGGGCTGGGGGAAGAAGCCTTCAGGGAGGAGGAGGCTGGGAGAGGCTGCCCTTTCCTTTTTCCTGGCTCCCGTGCCCAGGCCACACTGCCCTTCCTGCCCTAGCACGGTCCCAAATGAGAAGAGTCACAAGAGTTAATGAGGGGCAGTTGAAGGCCAGCTGTGGCCCAGCCTCAGGTTTGGGGGAGCAGAGGAGCAAGGAAGATCCAAGAGAGGAGGAGACACAAGCCTATTCCTGGAGGAGCTCACAGATAAGATGGGGTCCCCCAGTTGTCTCCCTCTGCCTCTTCACACACACACACACACACACACACACACACACACACACACACACACGAAACAAGGCACATGAAGACGTGAGGATGGGCGGCAGCTGATTCCAGGCCCGATGACACGAGCCAGGCGATGCATTTGTTCACTCCTTTATCTGTCCCTTTGTTTGTCACATCCATCGATCCATCAGTCCCTCCTTCCCTTCCACTCCCATTCTACCTCCCTCCCCACTCCACCCACCCACTAAGCATCCATGGAGGCCCATAGTGAGCCAGGCACTGTGCCAGATCCTGGAGGTTCAGAGCTGAACCAGACCCAGCTACCCTCGGGAAGCATGCAGTCTGGAAGGGAGAACACAGGTCACCATGTGACTCCCTTGCCAAGGGGAAAGGGCTTTTGACAGGGAAGGATGAGGGAATGTGGCTTGAGGACACAGCTCCGGGTGGGTCTCCCTGTCAATTGCCCCTTAAACTCTGACTCAAGTTGCCATTTAAATGGAACTTCTAGCCTGGGCGCAGTGGCTTGTGCCTCTAATCCTAGCACTTTGGGAGGCCGAAGCGGGTGGATCACTTTAGGTCAGGAGTTCAAGACCAGTCTGGCCAATATGATGAAACCCCGTCTCTACTAAAAATACAAAAATTTAAACACTGCAGTTGGCCGGTTGCCATGGCTCACACCTGTAATCCCAGCACTTTGAGAGGCCGAGGTCAGGAGTTTGTAACCAGCGTGGTCAAAATGGTGAAACCCCATCTCTACTAAAAATACAAAAATTAGCTGGCATGGTGGCAGGAGCCTGTAATCCCAGCTACTTGGGAGGCTGAGGCAGGAGAATTGCTTGAACCCGGGAGGTGGAGGTTGCAGTGAGCCAAGATTGTGTCACTGCACTCCAGCCTGGGAGACAGAATGAGACTCTGTCTCAAAAAAAAAAAAAAAAAAATGCAGTGATGCTGTACAGGGCAGCCAGGCCCCTCCTAGGCCAGCTGCTCTCCACGGTCTGCAGCCAAGCTAATGGCCTCTCTCTGTGTCTCTCTCGGGACATCACCAGCACCCAGATGCACTGGAGGGCAGGCAGGAAGTAGTGAGCTGGTGGGAGGCCAGGTTTGGGCCACACCCAGCAGAGAGGAGTGTCGGTGGTTCTGGAGTGGGTGGGATGGTCAGTCTGAGGCAAGTCAGCCAGGAGACTCAAGGTCACTGTATCATTGGGTCTATTCCACAGTGGGTAGCAGAGAATGACATTTGAGAACCATCATGTGTCATAGGAAGCCCATGGGGCTTATCTCAGGGGCCTCAGAAATGGGCCCATCCAAATGGTCATACACCGACCTGGAGTCAAAATGGCAGGTTTAGCCCCAACTGTGCCTACGCCAGGTGTCTGAGTAGCTTCTCTTTGCATCTCAGTGTTCTTCTCTGAGAGGTGAAGGCCGTAGCCCCTGGCCTGCTGCCCTCTGGGAATCTGGGAACATACTCCATAGTGAATTTGTAAATTCCATTTATTTATTTATTTATAAATTAAAAAAATTTTTTTGAGACAAGGTCTCCCTCTGTCACCCAGGCTGGAGTGCAATGGCGCAATCTCAGCTCACTGCAACCTCCACCTTCCGGGTTCAAGTGATTCTCCTGCCTCAGCCTCCTGAGTAGCTGGGAATATTGGCATGTACCACCATGCCCGGCTAATTTTTGTATTTTTAGTAGAGACGGGGTTTCACCATATTGGCCAGACTGGTCTTGAACTCCTGACCTCAAATGATCCGCCCGCCTTGGCCTCCTAAAGTGCTGGGATTAGGGGCACGAGCCACTGTGCCCAGCCTGGAAGTTCCATTTAAATGGCAACTTGCAGTCAGAATTTAAGGGGCAGTTGACAGGGAGACCCACCCGGAGCTGTGTCCTCAAGCCACATTCTCTTGTCCTGCCCATCACAGCGCTGCCACCACCGCCTCTGGCCCTCAGAGGGCGGCAGGCAACCTCTAAGCTTCCTCCTTTCCTCTCTTCCCCCTTTCCTCCCTCCCTATGCCCCTGGGTGCCCGATCCAGGCTTCAAAGAGACAGCTTTCCTGTACGCGGTGTCCTCTGCCGCCCTCACCCACACCCTGGCCCGGGCCTGCAGCGCTGGGCGCATGGAGCGCTGCACCTGTGATGACTCTCCGGGGCTGGAGAGCCGGCAGGCCTGGCAGTGGGGCGTGTGCGGTGACAACCTCAAGTACAGCACCAAGTTTCTGAGCAACTTCCTGGGGTCCAAGAGAGGAAACAAGGACCTGCGGGCACGGGCAGACGCCCACAATACCCACGTGGGCATCAAGGTGAGCATGTCCCTGGCTGCCCGCAGTGCCTTCCCACCAGGGTACACAGCTGGGGAGCATGGCTTGAAGGAGGCCAGCACCCCACTCCCCAAAATACATGAAGAGCCGTGAACTTCATAAAGGCAGGATGAACTTCACGTCTTCAACCAGCATTCCCTTGGCATCTACTCTGGGCTGTGACTGGGTGCCAGGAACACAGCGGAAGCATGGAAGGGTCATGAGTGTCATTGGTGGAAGCAGTGGTCACCAGTGGGAGCCAGGCTTAGGACTAGGTCTGGTGAAGCAGGGACATGTTTGGAGAGGGGTCTCCATTCCAAGGACCAGGCCTTCCTGGAGGTCCTGGAAGCCCAACATTGTTTGAAAACCTCCATCTAGAGCAACTGCCCACTTCTCCATTTTATGGGTGGGAAGATGGAAGTGGCCCAGAGAAGGGAAGGGGCTGAGGTTACACAGTAGTGGGAGGTCTGGAGGGTGAAAAGTATCTTGGTCTATTGAGGGGAGGAGGCTGGGAGACACCAGTGCTCTAGCTGTTTATGAGATTAAGTTCTGAGTTGTCATCACTGAGTTGTGAACCGGGGCTGCTGTGTTCAATCATTGAGTTGGTGTGAACCGGGGCTGCTGTGTTCAGTCACTGAGTTGGTGTGAACCGGGGCTGCTGTGTTCAGTCACTCAGTTGGTGTGAACTGGGACTGCTGTGTTCAGTCGCGTAAGTTGTCTATTCCACAAGAACTCCAGGCCAAGGGGAGGAGCTGGGGCTGAGACCCTGGGTCTCTTTCCCATTCTCCTGCCTCTGCCCTGCTGGGGTTGGTGCTCTGGGGGCAGGCTCTGGCTGCTGGGCCCAGGCCTCTGACCACGCCTCTGTTCTGCCTCCCCCACAGGCTGTGAAGAGTGGCCTCAGGACCACGTGTAAGTGCCATGGCGTATCAGGCTCCTGTGCCGTGCGCACCTGCTGGAAGCAGCTCTCCCCGTTCCGTGAGACGGGCCAGGTGCTGAAACTGCGCTATGACTCGGCTGTCAAGGTGTCCAGTGCCACCAATGAGGCCTTGGGCCGCCTAGAGCTGTGGGCCCCTGCCAGGCAGGGCAGCCTCACCAAAGGCCTGGCCCCAAGGTCTGGGGACCTGGTGTACATGGAGGACTCACCCAGCTTCTGCCGGCCCAGCAAGTACTCACCTGGCACAGCAGGTAGGGTGTGCTCCCGGGAGGCCAGCTGCAGCAGCCTGTGCTGCGGGCGGGGCTATGACACCCAGAGCCGCCTGGTGGCCTTCTCCTGCCACTGCCAGGTGCAGTGGTGCTGCTACGTGGAGTGCCAGCAATGTGTGCAGGAGGAGCTTGTGTACACCTGCAAGCACTAGGCCTACTGCCCAGCAAGCCAGTCTGGCACTGCCAGGACCTCCTGTGGCACCCTTCAAGCTGCCCAGCCGGCCCTCTGGGCAGACTGTCATCACATGCATGCATAAACCGGCATGTGTGCCAATGCACACGAGTGTGCCACTCACCACCATTCCTTGGCCAGCCTTTTGCCTCCCTCGATACTCAACAAAGAGAAGCAAAGCCTCCTCCCTTAACCCAAGCATCCCCAACCTTGTTGAGGACTTGGAGAGGAGGGCAGAGTGAGAAAGACATGGAGGGAAATAAGGGAGACCAAGAGCACAGCAGGACTGAAATTTTGGACGGGAGAGAGGGGCTATTCCATCTTGCTTCCTGGGATGAATGGCTTGGAGCCAGCATGTTCTTGGGAGGTGAACTGCTGGGCTAGGAATGCCAAGGCAGGCAGTGCCAGCTGGAAGTGAAGGCGGGAGCCTGGCTGAGATGGGTCAATCGGGTCCTGTGGCCCTGCTCAGGTGCAGTGGGCTCCAGGTGTCACACACCTCCACCACTCCCCTGGTTTTGCTGTGCCAGAGATGGGGAGAAAGCACAGGTGGTAGAAGCCATCCGTTCAGAGAAAGGAGAGCTTTCTGTGCTTGAGTGGACCCGAGTGAGATCTGTGCCCTGGAGCCCTGTGTCCTTGATTTGGCTTTTCAAATATGCCTCCGCTGAGGCCTCATTCTTGTCTCGAGAGCTGGGTTATGCACACTCACCCAGCCGTGCTCAAAACTACCACCAGTGCAGGTAAGACAGGTGGGAGAACTAGCCACCAAGGCGGGACTCAGTGCACCTGAGGTTGAACAGGGAGACAACGGCCCCTCCCTGTGTTCCCTGCTGGCCAAAGGAATCTTCACTCCCAGCGCAGAGGAGGAGGGCAACAGCTTCCTGGTGCCTGGCAGTGACGTGGCGAGCTCAGTTTCTCAGCTGGCTCTTGAGTGAGCTTTGGTGACTTCCTGTGGCTGGGGCCTGCCTGGTCTGTGACACCCCCATACCAGCTGAGTTCACAATACTGAAGAACAGCTGGCTCACGAGCTATGACTTGAAGTTACATTTCTATTCTTGTGGCTGCTCATCTAGTTAAGGCTTTTGCCCTGGCTGGGGTTATAGGTGCTTGAGTCCTTGCTAAGCCTGGCTCCTGGGTAGCCTCCTTCAGTTCCTAATGGCCTCTCACTTGGCCCTCACTTTGGCTCTTACTTGAGGAGGAGACGTGACTTTGATAATTTCCTCAGATCCTGTGGACATTTTCAGCAGCACCTGCCAAGGCCCTCTGTGAAAGGAGGAGAGACTGGTACCTCCACACAGGCACACATGGATGCACAGCCCCTGGACCAGGCTGGGGGTTCCTGTTGCACATGCCTCTCTTGTTCAGGATGAAGACCTTGCAGGGGTCCCCTTGCTGGAGGCATTGTACTTCCCCAGAGTGGGGCCCGATGCCACCCAGGAGGAAGTGACTTCTTTCGGGAAGCCCTTGGCCACTTTGCTGGCCCTGCCACGCCCATCTGTCAGCTTCCTTTCTCCCTAAACCTAGAGTTGCTGACCCTTCACCAACACAGGAAATTTCAGAATCAGCTGAATGCTCAGAAACCTCGCCTGTGCCAGCTCCAGGACAAAGGCCCGCTGACTGTGCCCTGGCCAACTCCCTGAGACCTCCAAGGGCGAGGAGGAGCTGCCCAGTCTCCAGTGGATCAGGGCAGTCTGCTGGATGCTGGAAGGATTTTTGACTGCAGAGGCCCGGCTGAGAAGCCAAACTGACCTGAGCCCCTCTCGTTAAAATGACATTGCTGACCCAAGCACCTGGCCCACACCTTGGCAGCAGGAGAAAAATGGGGAGAGGGCTGGTTTTCTCCTTTCTTCCACTTCCCCACAGCATGGAGATTTTCTCTGCCTTCCCAATCCATCTTGCTCCTCCGAGACCCCAACTCTGCCTCCACCCAGGCTCAGTGCTGGGCGTAAGGCAGCAGGGACCTCACTGGCAGAGCAGGGGGCCTGGGAGCAACGTGGAGGCCAGAGCACCCTGATCCACCAACATGCCACCTGCATTCTGACTTCATGGCTGGCAGTGCCAGGGTCGTGGGAGGGCAAAGGGCAGGCTCTAAGGCATCTAGGCAGTGGCTGGCTGCTAACATGGACACCCCAAGTCAATGGCACAGTGCAGGTTCTGAGGGCTCCTTGGCTTGTGGGGTCTTCTCTGTCTGTCTCTCTCCCTCTCTTCTTCCTTGCTCTCATCCCTTTCTTTTCCAGTTACCCCTGAAGACCCACCTCGGCCCTCTTGGGGCCCCTGGGGACTAGAGTGACCACTGACCCCTCATTCTACAGCTTTAAGGGAAATGCTCACAGGGTATTTTTGTCTACCTCAAATATATAGTTTTTAGAGCAAAGGAGAATAATTTATATAGCTAAGATATATGAGAAAGTATTTATATTATTTATATAGTTGCTATATTTCACAGACAGCACAGGTGGGGTTTGTGTATTTTCCCGGAAACCCTCTGTCTGGGGAGATACAGCCTGACCTGACCGGGTCCCCCACTGAGCAGGAGGCCGGGTCGCTGGGAAGGAGGACAAACCTGTATTCCATGACTGGGTCTGTCTCGGAGCTGGTAAGCACATGTCCGCTCTGTGATGAGCCCTGGTGGGCTCCATCCAGACCCTCCTTGTGATGTTTTTGTAGATTTTCTGCCCTTCTGGGTCCAGGCCCCCTTCTTCTGCTCTGGCAAAAGTGTCTTACTCATAATGATAATGACAACGAGAATTCCCACACCTGGCATTTGTAAAGCACTTTGCTATTTAGAAACAAAAACTTTTACCCCTTTCATCTCACTTGATTTCTCCGTTATCTCTGTGAGGTAGGTGGGGCCACATTACTGTGGCCATTTTATAGATGAGGTCCAGAGATGGAGAGCTGTGCTCAAAGTCACACCTAAGAGACTTGTTCAATGAATATTTACTGAACATCTCCATAGACCAGGCACTACGGGCTGACCTGCTCTGAGCCCAGGAGCCCCAAAGCCTGGATACCACTGTGAGCCCAAGAACTCAGGGAAGCAGTTCCTTCCCAGGCTGTGATCCCAGCCTTTTGGATCTGGATGGCATGTTGGCACTTCCCCCAAGTGGAGTCCCATGTCTCAGGGGCTTTGGCTGCCTGAGAAGGCTGGAGAGACCAGGAACCCATGGAGGCCACTCCAAGGGGTCCTTCTGCCCACACTGCCCAAGAAGCTTGGGCTACACCACTGGGCCCCTCCCAACCTACAGATGAATTTTGATTGCTCTCATTTGTGTTTTGCTTGTAAAAATGAATTGTTTTCCACTGGATTTCTGGCTGCTTTTGCAAAAGTCAGCTGCGCTGGCAGACTGGGCCTGCATGTCCTCCTGCAGGCAGCTAGAGTGAGGGAGTCTAATGGACAGGATGCCCCAAGTGCCCCCGTTGCTCATGGATGCCCCTGCCTGCCTCTCATGAGCACATAGTCCTGTCCCCTGGTCTAGATAAGCCCAGCTTTCCTGGTACCCTTCATCACCTGGCAGACAGACAGCCCCATGCCAACCCTGGACATTACTTGCTTTTGAACCTTTCCTTTCTCAACAACCATGAACTTCAAATGCTTTCTGTCTCAGGACACTTTAGAATAACAATGGAAGCCATCACTTATTGAGCACCCCTTATGTCCATTTATTCAACCAATGATTATTTAGGGATCTCTTATTGAGCACCAGGCAGCATCCTGGGTGCTTGGTGCAGCAAGGAACAGGACCAAGTCTCTGCCTCATGGGGCTGACATCCTAGTGGGTGAGAAAGACAATAAACCAATAAATGACATGCCAGTTATTTGCATTTACTTTGTCTCAATTTATTGCAATAACTTTGCACATTGGACATGGTCCCCGTAATGGATAAGGAAATGGAGGTTGTGAGATGAGAAGCCTCCTCATTGCAACTGGCAGGCAGTGGGGCCAGGATTGGAACACAGATCTCCTGGCCTCCAAAGTATGGGATTTTTTTCCTCTGTACACTGGTATAGGTCGGGCAGGGATGGATCGCCCCATTTTATTGATTCTGGGTAAACTAAGGCCTAGAGGAAGGAAATAATCCATCCTGGATTACACACCAATTCAGACAGGCCAGAGCCTGCATCCTTCCTGGAGTTGATAAGCATTTCTGGAGCCCTCATGCTATGGCAAGCAGCATGGCTCAGGGTGGGGCGGGATGAAGCCAACCAGGGGCCTTCAGGGACCTACAGTCTAATAGGAGAAATGAGAAGCACAGCCATGCAGTGGTTTGGGTCATTTACACACGAATCCTGTGTCCCTTTTCTGGCCACAGTTCCTTCCCAACATGCTTTGGGAGGCCTCGCCCACCAGGATCCTCCTGGGGGTCTGATGGGAGAGGAGGCCTCTTTCTGAGCCAAGCACAGCAGAGAGTGCCTGTCTCCTGGCTCAGGCCTGCCCTGCCCCAGTTCTTCAGCCCTGCTGGGGTCCACATTGCCTTAACTGGGCTCCCCAGGGCGGGAGGCAGAGGTGGGCCCACAGTCCAGCCCTGCAGGGGCCTACATTTCCACCAGCATCCCCGTCCTAACATGCTCCTTCTACCCAGTGTTCCTGGGCCTGGAGACCAGCTGGCTCTGAGTAATGACAGACACGTCCACATGCAGCAGCAGGCTCCAGTTTATCAAGGGATTTCTCATCTATTTTCTCTCTTGAACCTCACAAGGTGGACACCCTTCTTCTTTTTTTACAGATAGGGGAATTGAGACACAAAATGGTTAAGTGACTTACCAAAGGCTATATCGCTAGCAAGCGGATCCAGGCCTTTTGCCTCCAAACCCCATATTCTCTCTACCATACACCATCCTCACCTCCTCCTGCCCTCATCTGAGCCTTACTTTGTTCCTGCTCATAATCTAGTTCCCAAACAGGCCCGCAGACCCCTCCACCTCCAGCTGCTCAATGCCACCATCTTCCAGGAGGACCGGGGCTTGTTGAGACAGTCACTAGGTGGGTACCCTACCCGCAATATCCCTCCTCCTTTAAAAACAGCCACATGTGCTTTCTGTCTTTGCATTTGCAATATCTATCTTGTTGAATCACTTGTGAGACCTTTGCAGACACCAAGACACTTACATACTTTATCATGTATCTCCTAAGGACAAGAACATTCTCCAACAGAACCACAAGGCCATCACCACATCTAAGAGATGTAACATTGACAAAAATTATCTACTACATAGTCCATATTCAGACTTCCCCAATTGTCCCTCAAAATGTCCTTTATAACATTATTTTCTGGCCAGGCACAGGTTCACACCCATAATCCCAGCGATTGGAGAGGCCGAGGCAGGAAGATCGCTTGAGCCCAGGAGTTCGAGGATATAGTGAGCTGTGATTGCACCACTGCCTTCCAGCCTGAGCGACAGAGTGAGACCCTGTCTCTAAAAAATTAAAATTAAAAAATTTTTAAAACATGTTTTCCTGGCCCAGGATCCACTCAAGAATTAGGCATTGCACGTTGTTTTCATGTCTCTCCAGCTCCCTGTAATCTAGAACAGTCCCCCTCTTTCTTTGCTTTCATAACAGTGATAGTTTGAAGAGTCCAGGCTGCATGTCTCGTGGAATACCTCTCAACTGAGATTTGCCTGATCGTTTCCTTGTACTTGGATTCAGGTTAAACATTTTGGCAATAAGCTGCTTGGGTGATGTGTATCCTATTCTGTGCATGCTGTAAGGAGCCACAGGATGTTTTGCTCTTGTTGCCCAGGCTGGAGTGCAGTGGTGCGATCTCGGCTCACAGCAACCTCCACCTCCTAGGTTCAAGCGATTCTCCTGCCTCAGCCTCTAGAGTAGCTGGGATTACAGGCTCACCCATGATGGGGATGGGGACATTCTGGAGGGAGAGGCACTGGCGGGAAGCATCCTATGCCTGCCCCCACCCTTCCCATTTCTTTCCGATTCTTGACTTCGCTCCATCTCTCACCTGGAGTTCCTTCTTGCAACCGATCATGCAGCAAACACGGATTGGTGGCCTATGGTGCACGAGGCACGTGACAGGGTCCTAGATGCCATGGTAATGAGACTAGGTCCAGCCTTCAGGGAGGTCCCAGACAAGGGGAGAGACAAGCAAAGAGATGGCTGGCATGCACGGTGTCCAGCACTCCAATAGGTGGCTCTGTGCAGGCTCCACCCCACACAGGCATTCCTGTGCAGGCCATTTCCTCATACTCCCCTCTGGGCAACCCCAGGGGTCCATACAACCATGATCCCCATTTTTTTTTTTGAGACAGAGTCTCCCTCTGTCTCCCAGGCTGGAGTGCAGTGGCATGATCTCTGCTCACTGCAAGCTCCGCCTCCCAGGTTCATGCCATTCTCCTGCCTCAGCCTCCCGAGTAGCTGGGACTCCAGGTGCCCGCCACCACGCCCGGCTAATTTTGTTTTTGTATTTTTAGTAGAGACGGGGTTTCACCACGTTAGCCAGGATGGTCTTGATCTCCTGACCTCGTGATCCGCCCACCTCAGCCTCCCAAAGTGCTGGGATTACAGGCGTGAGCTACTGCGCCCGGCCTTTTTTTTTTTTTCCTTTGTGAGATGGAGTCTCGCTTTTGTCACCCAGGCTGGAGTGCAATGGCGCAATCTTGGCTCACTACAACCTCCGCCTCCCGGGTTCAAGTGAGTCTCCTGCCTCAGCCTATAGAGTAGCTGGGATTACAGGCGCCTACCCCACGCCCGGCCTTATTTTTGTATTTTTAGTAGAGACGGGGTTTCACCATGTTGGCCAGGCTGGTCTTGAACTCCTGACCTCAGGTGATCCACCCATCTTGGCCTTCCAAAGTGCTGGGATTACAGGCGTGAGCCACTGTGCCTGGCCTATGATCCCCATTTTATAGATGAGGAAACTAAAGCTCAGAGAGGTTCCCTTGCTACACAATAAGTAGCAGGGCTGGAAATGAAACAGCTTCTTCACTGCCTCTTCCCGGGGAGTGCTGGGCACGGCCTGGGGACAGAGAGACGGGGTATGAGGGAGTTGCAAGGATTCAGGGCGACTGGTGGCATCTTCCAGTCCTGCCACTTGGTCCTCCTTGTCTTCTCCTCTCTCTCTTTCTCCCCACCCTGCATACCGCAAAGAGGAGGTTAATGCCTCTCACGCGTCTTATCCCCCCACTCCCATCCCTCCTCAAGTCCCCAGGGGCTGTGGGGCCCATATTCCTCCCTGGCTCTCTTGGGCCCATTAGTGTGTTTACGCTGGAGCCGTCTCAGGGGAGCTGAGCCCCTACCCCTGCCCCACCGTCCTCCCGCCATGGAGAGTGGGCAGTGGAGTGGTGGAGGCCGGGCAGAGGCACGGGAGAACCTGACCCAGCGTCCGAATTCCTGCCCCCACGTCTCAACAAGTCCAGGGTGGCCAGAAGCCTGGAGAGCAACGGTAGCCCCCCGGGACCCCCACCTCTTCCCACACAGCCCCACCAGAGCCTGACAGGCTCTAATCTCAGCTGTCTTCATGCAGCCAGCCCTCCGAGCCCGGGGTCACCTGACGCTGACACATTTTAATTCAGAAGCTGATTTCTGCTTGTTGGCAACATGTCATTTCTGAAATTGCTTTCTCTGCCCAGAGGCGGGAGATGTCAGAGCTGCGCAGGTGTTGCAGTGGTGCCGCCCCCGCCCCACACCCAGCCCCCTCTCCAAGTTCAGGAAGGATTAAGGGGCGTGAGGGGGCACACAGGAGATCCTCAAGCTCTGCTTCTCATGTTTCCCCAAGTGCTGGGGGCCAGGGATGGGGGACTCCTGGAATGGCCTCTGCTTTCCTTTCCAGCCTGATGACAGAGGCCCAGGGTTTGGTAAATGAAGTTGCTGCTCTGCCAGTGCTGACAACAGCCACAGTAGTTGTTTTGCGCAGGCTTCATACAGGTACCAAGTGCTCTGCAGAGTGCCTCTCGTGTGCATTGTTGTATTTGAATCTTATGACAACGCTCCAAGTTGGTGTCATCCCTCCTTTGCAGCTGAGAAAACCGGGGCTCAGAGGGGTTAGACCACTTGCCTGAGGTCACACAGCAAGTATGAGGCGGGGCCAGCTTTCAGACCCAGTGAAGGCGACAGCTGGACTGGGATTGGGAGGTCTGGGAAGGGAGAGGCCGTGGAGCTGGGGAGGACTATGGCCTGGCTTCTCCTATATTTGCTTCCTGACTTGGTTCAAATATCTCCAGTGAAATTTGTGAACTCCCCCAACTTCCCCACTCCTGCAACCCATCAAATAGTTATTTGCTCCCTCTTTTATATTTCCTTAGCTTTTTTTTTTAGACGAAGTCTTGTTCTTGTTGCGCAGGTTGGAGTGCAGTGGCAAGATCTCAGCTCATCACAACCTCCACCTCCCGGATTCAAGCGATTCTCCCGTCTCAGCTGCCTGAGTAACTGGGATTACAGGCATGCACCACCACGCCTGACTAATTTTGTATTTTTGGCTAATTTTGTATTTTTAGTAGAGATGAGGTTTCTCCATGTTGGTCAGGCTGGTCTCGAACTCCCGACCTCAGGTGATCCACCCGCCTCGGCCTCCCAAAGTGCTGGGATTACCGGTGTGAGCCACTGCGCCTGGCCAGCATTTTTTTTTTTGAGACAGAGTCTCGCTCTGTCACCCAGGCTGGAGTGCACTGGCATGATCTCTGCTCACTGCAACCTCCACCTCCCAGGTTCAAGTGACTCTCTTGGCTCAGCCTCCCAAGTAGCTGGGACTACAGGCGTGCACCACCACGCTCAGCTAATTTTTGTATTTTCAGTAGAGATGGACTTTTATCATGTTGGCCAGGCTGGTCTCGAACTCCTGGTCTCAAGTGATCTGCCAGCCTCAGTCTCCCAGGGTGCTGGGATTACAGGTATGAGCCACTGTGCCCGGCCGCCTTAGCATTTTGTGTATGTTTTGAGTGACAGCCATCTGTCAATATTGGCATCTTTTGTTTTATTGGATGAATGAATGAACAAATGAATTTATAAATCTTGTTCTCCATACTGTTTACCCATCCTCATTTCCCTCACTTGGCAGTGTCTTGCCATAGCAGGCTTCCTGGTGTAGCTGGCACCACATCCCTCCCTGACACACGGCCTCCTTATTGCCCCTGCTACTTGCCTTTTTCTCTCCTCCCTTTCCTTCCCTTCATTCCCCCTGGCTTCCCCTTCCCAACTCTCAGAATCCCTGGCTGCCTCAACCACAAGAACAAAGCTGTGCAGAAGCCTGAACCTGGAGCTTCTGCAAGATGAGGTGGGGAATGAGCTAACCCAGCTGGAAAGCAGCCTGCTGATCCCTGGGAGAGACGGCGCTTGGGCCAACCCACCCTCCCCAAGGTGGTCCCCTGCCTCAGCTCCACCCGCTTCCCCAGATGAACTTCTTTCTCTCCCTCCAGCGCTTCAGAGGATGCACAGCTGTGTGTACTTGACCCTGAGCCTGGGCTAGTGCTGGGGACATAGCCAGTCTGGCTGATACCCATATCAGTACAGAAAGCTGTCCTCACCCACTTCATGCACTAGTTGCATTGGTATGAAGCATTAGCTTTATAACTATCCCATTTACTGCAGGCATAAACCTATATCAATTGGTGGGGATGGAGGTTAAATGAGAGAAGACATCAAAGATGCATAGAACTATTGGGCCCCTTTCAATTAATAAATAAAATTTGTAGGAGGCCATTAGTTTGTACTGTGCTCCTGTAATGGACCCAACAGACCAAACAAATATGGAGTCACTCATGCTAAATGCAATTAACTTGGGAGTATACTCCTAAGTTGCAAAAAGTGGTAACAAATAGCTGAGTTTTGGGGCAGTTACAGCAGCTGAGCATCTGTCAATGTAGGTGGCCAGGTGATTCAATTAAGGATGCTGTAACCAATTAAGCTGTATCTACACCTCACTTCTGTTTTCTATCTACAAATACTGCGTGATCATGTTGCTGGTTGGAGTTCTTTGAATAAGCTGTGGTTCGGAGGGATGCCCAATTCTAGAATCATGAATAAAAGCCTATTAAGATCTTTAAACAAAATTTATTGTCATTTTGTCTTTTGACATTTTACAGATGGGCAAAGTGAGGCCAGGTGAGCAACAGCATCTGTTTTTTTTGTTTGTTTGTTTGTTTTTTGAGACTGAGTCTCACTCTGTCACCCAGGCTGGAGTGCAGTGGTGCGATATCAGCTCACTGCAAACTCCACCTCCTAGGTTCAAGCAATTCTCCTGCCTCAGCCTCCCGAGTAGCTGGGATTACAGGCGTGCACCACTATACCTGGCTAATTTTTGTGTTTTTAGTAGAGACGGGGTTTCACCATGTTGCCCAAGCTGGTCTCGAACTCCTGGGCTCAAGCAATCCACCTGCCTTGGCCTCCCAAAGTGCTGGGATTACAGGCATGAGCCACTGTGCCCGGCCAGCAAGAACATCCTTAACACAAAGTTGGAGTCATGGTAAAATGAGGTCAGGATTGGGCAGGCACTAACAGGACTTTGGAAGTATAGCATTGCTCTATCTCCTGATAATTAATGAGGGATACTGTTTATGTTCCCATTTAAAAATTAAGCCTAAAAAATTGAAATTGGGATCCATTTCACAGAGGATGGTCAAATGTCCAAGAAGAAGGGACAGGTGGTCATTAAAATTCAGATAAACAGAGTTCCCAGTGAGCACTGTCTTGGGAGTAGAACTAAGCAAGCAAAGTCACCTTTCTTCTCTGAGCCTCATTCATTAAAAAAAAAAAATCTCTATATAGATATCTTTCTATAGCAATCTCTCAGAGAGGGCCAGGCGTGGTGGCTCAAGCCTGTAATCCCAGCATTTTGGAAGGCTGAGGTGGGTGGATCATCTGAGGTCAGGAGTTTGAGACCAGCTTGGCCAACATGGTGAAACCCCATCTCTACTAAATACAAGAAATTAGCCGGGCATGGTGGCATATGCCTGTAACACCAGACACTTGGGAGGCTGAGGCAGGAGAATCGCTTGAACCCAGGAGGTGAAGGTTTCAGTGAGCCAAGATCACTCCACTGCACTCCAGCCTGGGCGACATAGCGAGACTCCCTGTCCAAAAGAAAGAAAGAAAGAAAGAAAGAAATCTCTGAGAGAGATAGATAACACATGTAGCACTCCTACTATGTGCCAAACACTGTGCTGGGCCCCAGGGATGAAGCAATTAGTGAGACAGGCGGAGTCCCTGCTCTTAAAACACAGAAGACAGATAAACAAGTCATCACTATTCAATGTGATGAAACTGACAACCCTACTCACCCTGGGCAGCCAAACTCAGTGGCTGGGAGCTAGAGATAGGGAGAGCAGGGAGACTTTTTACTCCATTTCTTGTTGCTTTTGAATTCTGAACCATGTGAATGTATTCCTGATCCAAAATAAATAAAAATAAAATGTGATGAGTTTTCACAAGCGGGAGTGTGCTTATGGGAACATCAGCAGGGAGAAGGGATACCGACCTGGCCTAGAGGATGTCAGAGAAAGCTTCCCAGAGAAGTGAGAGCCCAGCTACAGCCTGAAGCTTAGGGAGGTGTGGGTCAGGTGGGGAGTTGGAGGGAGAGGGATGCAGGTGTCAATGGAAGTTTATGGTGCTGGGTGATAAACACCAACGTTGCAGGGTCACTGGGAGGATTAAAAGTGTCCCCAGAAAGTGCCTGGCACACAGGATGTGCTTACTGTATGGTAGCTATTATTATTCCTCAATTATGGTTGCTGTCATTGGCAGAGGCTAGGGAGAGGGGACCCTAAGGCTGCCACTGACTCTACTGATATATTCCTGGGCCTCTGAAAGGCCTTGGTGACAGGAACTCATAACACTGCTGCGGCATTTTACAGTTTACACTAATCCAATCCTGGGTACAGGAGGGCAGAAAGAAGTTTGAAGCTCAGGGTGGCCCACTAAGGGGGGTTCTTGGCTCTTCTAGAATCAGCTGTCTGTCAAGCACAGGACCAAAACAACCCCACACTGTCTGGTTGCTCATCTTATGTCACAGACCAAGAAATTTCCCCATGCTAGGAAGGGACAGAACTCTCTCCCTGCCCCAGACCCAAGGCAGCAGCATACCGTTCATAGCAGTGAAAACCAGTGTTTCTGAGCACCACCAATGCACCTGGTGCTGTGCAAAATGCTTCACTTGGATTTGATTAAATCCTTGACCTCACAACCACCCTACCAGGAGCAAGCTACTGTAATCACTACCCCCATTTTACAGATGAAGAAACTGAGGCATGCAAAGGTTAAGTAACCTGCATGAGTTCACATTGTCAAGCTTTGACTCCAGGTGCCTCTTAGCCCCTTACTGACCCTAAAGCAGAGCTCTCATGTCTAAAATTTCCTCTGCTTGCCTGCTCAGCTCTTCCCTGCAGCAGGAAGAGAACCATTTCTTCTGACTCTGCAGAGCCTACTAAGTGCAACTCAACCTTTATTCGTATCCTAGACTTAGAACCCATGGAGGCATGAATAAGATTTTGAAAATCTGATTTCCAGGGGGGCCAGATGGTCAGGAGTTGACTATATCTAGATGCAGGATGGGGAGGCAATGAACCACTCACTCAGAGATGTCCCCTTCAGAATCAGGACCTCTGGGTATGACTGCCTTAGCCAGGCAGGAAGTGCCTCCCTGGGCGTGGCGGGGGTGGCTCAGCATGTCTGACCCCCAGAGAGCTGTGGGGCCAGCTAGCCACAGGGAAGCAGAGCTGGAGACCAAGTCCCCTCTGTCCTTTCTTGGAAGGACATGGAAGTCACGTCTTAACCCATAGCTTCATCATGGCCTTAGTGGAGACCAGCCAACTGTCAGGGGTCATGGCCATCAGCCCCCAGTTGGCTAAATGGACCTCTGAGTCCTAAAAGGCTAATTAAGACCTCTGACTTCTGTGTTCTTGGTCCCCTGTCATCCATACCTGTGCTGTGATTATTAGAGCATGCCTTTTCTTCCCTCCCAACCCTGGATGGAGGGGGTCCACATAGCCCTCCCTCACCCTCCTTGCCACAGACACCAAGCCCTTGTTTATTCTGAAAGTGTCAGTTGCATTTCATGAACTCCTAAGCGGGACCTTGGACTTCTGACTCCTAGAAAACAGAAGGCAGCTTCTACTAGCAACCAGACCCCAGCTTTGCACTCAGGGCTGACATTCTTTATCGATGGACCTCTCTGTGACTTTATTTCTACATCATCTGTAAAATGAGGATCGAGATACTAACACACCTACATCGCAAGGATCATGTTCGTTAAAACAAATGCTTAGAATAATGCCTGGCATATTGTCAGCTCTAAACAAGCATTCTCTGCAATTACTATTATTACCGCAAGTATCATCCTGAGCAGCCCCTCCCATGCCACCATTTCAGCCCGGCCTGCATCTCCACCCCTGAGGCCCTGCCTCATTCTTGGGTCTGCTCTATGTCTTTTGTCCCTCATCCCTCCTCCTCCTCGCTCCTCTTCCCTCCCTGTCAGTCCCCCGCTGCTCCTGCAGTCTTGTGCCGACTAATCATGCTGCTGTCAGTTCAGATTAGAGCCCATTACGTTCCTTCATCTCAGCTTAAAATTTTTGTGGTTTCCCAACTCTGCCTAAAGTGCTCCACGAGGGACAAGGGCCATCCAGCTGGAGGGTGCTTCAGGAGGAAGAATTCGGGTCTGTGAGTCCCCTGGTGGGCTTTCCTCCTTCCTGCCAATTCGATAAGAGGCTGGATGGTGGGGAGTGGGCAAAGGAGAGCAGTCCCTCCTGGACTGCCATCAGGAGCTCAGGCCCCGAGACCAGGGAGCGGGAGGTCTTGGCATCCCAGGACCCTCGAGGTAGACTCATACTGGTGTCGTGTGACAGCACTGCTCTGGGACCACATTTGGTCACTCCATTTGAGAATTCCCAGGGCTGTGAAATTTTGCAACTGAGAGACTCCTGGCAAAACCACTGTGCTCAGCCCCTGAACCGGGGTCTATCTCCTTCAGCCACAGGCATGGCCTGTCTTTGTGATGGCGTTGTCCATAGTAACCCTTGGACCTTGTCACAAGCCTGCCTTCCAACAGCCCAAGCTCCAAGGATCTCACCAGCCATGGGGTCCCTCAGGAGCCCTGGGCAAAGCTCTCAGGAAGAGACAAAAGCAGAAGCAAGAGGCACGGGCGGGGGTTGGATGCAAGGAAGGAAGGAAGCCAAGAACCACCCGTTTTAATGCTCTTGTTCAGTGGGCCTGGTATTGAGCCAGGACTTTGCCCGCCTCATCCTATTTAATTTCCATTAACAGCCCCTGAGGTAGGTGCACCTATCACCACTTGACAGTTGAGGAAACTGAGGCACAGCGAAATGAAAAGCCCTTGCCTGAGGCTGGAAAGGGGAAGAGCAGGATTTTGAATTTACGTTGCAAAGCACCTGATGGGGAGAGACAGGAGGGCGACCCCTGGCAGCCTCAGGGCTGTCTGGCTAGTCTCAGCCTCTAGAAAAGTTGGGTCCAGACCCTGAAATTCTGTGTCTGGGTCTTCCTTGTCCTGTGACTTGGGTATTACGTGTTAATAATCATATTTAACCTTTGTGTAGCGCATTCCTGTTTACAAAGTGTCTTCCGTGGCCTTTCTTTTTGAGCCTCGCCATAGCCCACAGGGCAGGCAGGGGTGCCTTATCATCCCTCTTTTGCAGATAAGGAAACTGAGGCTCAGAGAGATGAAGCCTCTTGCCAAGGTCACAGATGGAAGATGACCCAACCAGAACCCAAAGCAAGGTCGCCAGGGCCCAGCTGTGCAGTGAGGACACCACACTCTGACCTCTTTGATGGATGGTCTGCATTCACCCCACCATCTGCAACGTCCTCAGTTGGGCCAAGATCTGAGAGGCTTCCAAGGGGTACGCAGCCAGGGGCTCTCATCTGGGCCCCTCAAACCTTCTCCCTCCCAAAGCTATCAGTTCAGTTGGGAGGATGTCAGTTTGTCTGTACGGAACACCAGGGAGAAAATTATCACCGCCATGAAATGCTTCCCGTTCCACATGACCTGACAGCCTTCCAGCCAGAAATGTCCTTGCATGTGGCCCAGTCTCATCCTCTCACTAGGCCTGGTCCTTCTTTATCCCCTGACCAGAGGACTCCCCTCTGCAGGGGCTTCAGGAACCCCAGAGCTTTCTTGGCTCCAAACTAAATGGTCTCTGTTTCTAGTGAAGGTTAATGGCAGTCCTTAGAGTTTCCAAGTTCCTCCTTTTACTCTTTTTTTCTTTTCTTTTCTTTTCTTTTCTTTTTTTTTTTTTTTTTTTGAGATGGAGTCTTGCCCTGTCACCCAGCCTGGAGTGCAGTGGTGTGATCTCAGCTCAGTGCAACCTCCACCTCATGGGTTCAAGTGATTCTCCTGCCTCAGCTCTGGAGTAGCTGGGATTACAGGTGTCCACCACCATGTCCAGCTAATTTTTGTATTTTTAGTAGAGATGGGGTTTCACCACGTTGGCCAGACTGGTCTCGAACTCCTGATCTCAAGTGATCCACTTGCCTCGGCCTCCCAAAGTGCTGGGATTACAGGTGTGAGCCACTGCACAGGCCTCCTCCCTTTATGCTTGGTGGCTGGAAATGTCACACCCCTGCCTAAAAACCCCAGGTAAGTCCCTCAGCTCTTCCCCACCATCCAGCTTACCTTCCCAGACCCATACCTCCAATGCCCCTCAAGGTACACCACAGCCCCATCCCCTGAGCCAAATCACCTGTCTCTGAATGCTGACCACGTGTTCCCAGCTCTGTGCCTTTGTATGTGCCAGTCCTACTGACAATGACTTTCCTGCCTTTGTCCATCCAACTCACTCCTGCTCAGCCTTAAAGACTCAGCCGTAGAAAGCACTTCCTCTTCTGAGCTTCCACCATCGGACTGATTTTCCCTTTATGCCTGCACTAGCATTGTAGGTGTCTGTCCATCTGTCCATCTCTCTCCCCACACTGGACTGTGAGCTTCTATGAGCAAGAACTGGCTCTCAAGCCACCTCGATTCCTGAAAAAATTCTTCCCCTTCTTTCTTTCCTCCCTCCTCTCCTCTCTCCTTCAATAAATATTTAAACAGTCCTGTGATGTGCCAGGCCAGGTACTGGGGGCTCAAGGATGGACAAAAAAAGGCATGGTCCTAGTTTTCATGGTTGTTCAATCTAGTGGCTGATGTAGATCATCAAATATACATAAAATTAATCAAAAGATTCATCACCACTGTGTAAGTGTCTGTTGAAGAACTGCAGAGTGCTGGCTTATGCAGTCCAGGACTACCTGACCTTTCTTTTTCTTTTCTTTTTTTTTTTGAGATGGAGTCTTGCTCTGTTGCCCAGGCTGGAGTGCATGGTGCGATCTTGGCACACTGCAACCTCTGCCTCCTGGTTCAAGAATTCTTATGGCTCAGCCTCCTGGGTAGCCGGGATTACAGAAGCATACCACCATGCCTGGCTAATTTTTGTATTGTTAGTAGAGTTGGGTTTTCACCATGTTGGCGGGACTGGTCTCAAACTTCTGACATCAAGTGATCCACCTGCCTCGGCCTCCCAAAGTGCTAGGATTACAGGCATGAGCCACCGCGCTTGGCTACCTGAACTTTCTTAAGAAGTACCTGGTGCTGAGGAGTAGGTTCCTGTATTCAAATATTTCATAGCAATCCAGCAACATGTTGGCTGCCTTCTTGGACAGTGGCCACTGTAGTTTCAGCTTGGGGTCCTTTATGGACTTCTGATCCTTTTTATCTATCTTTGCTCAAACTCATTTATCCTCATGTGGCCAGTGTAGTTACAGCTTGGGGTCCTTTATGGACCTCAGACCCTTTTTATCTGTCTTTGCCCAGACTCTTTCATTCTCCCCACCAGGCATTTATGGGTCTCTCCTAGGGTAGTCTAGCCCATATCATCTTGGGTGGAGGGTGTCTGCCTGTGGGACAGTGTATATGAGCAGAGTAGGGGAGGGCAGGACCCCCTTGACTTGGGTAGCTACATGTCACCTGTAGAATCTCCTCACTATGGGGAGATGTAAGAACAGCCATTGAGTTCCAAGCTGAGGTTGGAATCCTGAAAAAAACAAACTGGAAGGCTCTGGCTTCTAGAGGAGTCTAGAAAGATTGCTGTAACTGTCGGCAAAAGAAAGAAGCAAAGAGCCCAATTCATTCTCCTGAGCTAGGGCAGAGCCTGGAAAAAGCCAAGGTGGCCAGGGGCTGAGGGTCCCTGGTGGGGCCAGAGCATGGATGTCATGCTTCAAGTGGGCGTGGAGGTGCCTTGGTGGACATTTTCATCAAGACACAAACAGTGATGCTGAGCACGGCAGGGTTAGCACAGCTGGCTCACCCATGGCTTGGTTTGTAACTCCAGACCAGGATACTCATCCTTTATTTACAGCCAGTGAATTCGCCCCCAAGATTTGGAGAATGCTTACTGTGACCACTTAGGTGCCGCCCTGATTGCAGCCAACAAACACCTGTGAAACACCTCGAACATACAAAACACTGTTGGGTTGCGATGGTATAACAAATTCACCCTGGCTTTGTTCTGAGCTAGTCGCCCTGTTCCTTTAATGTCAATACCTTAGGTACAAAGTGCTGAAGATGCAGCCACGTCCTCAATGGACTCGCAACCTCATGGGACTAACTTCACAGCGGGCAATGTGATTGACTGAGTCCCTTTCCTTCTCTGGGCCTTGGGCTCTTGCTCTGTAATAACAAGGGGGGTCAGCCTACCCGACCTTGGGTTTTGCCAGGCCTCATAAGATTCCAATGTAGGTTTACACAGAAGGTCACTGGCTGATGTGCAGGGGTCATTAAGTCCCCCTAAGACAGGTGCCAGGAAACCTACCAATTGGATAATTAGGCTTGCCCCGACCCTACAGCCCTTGAGGGAGCAGACCTGGACTTCAGCTGCCCTCCCCATGGGGCGGAAGTGCCGGCACTGCGGGGGTCCCCTGGTGGAATGTGGCTGTGGTGGGTGCTGGGACAGAGGGCTTGGCTGACAGATCTAAGGCTGCCGCCTGCCACCAGGTCTCCGTGGGGCCGCCAGCCGGCCCCCCTCCTGTGGAATGACGAGCTCACTCCCCCCACCTGGCGTTTAATCTTTAATGCAGTCCCAGCTGCCCTCGGGCAGGACCCATCAACCCACCCGCTCTGATAAAAGCGATAATTAGCTCTTTTTCAACTTTTCACTTCTCCCCCCTCCACTCTGATGTGTGAGCATTGGGAGGATTCCAGCTAATGGGCCTGCCCACAGCCAATTCCCGGGCCATGCAAGCCGGAATGCACGGGGTCATTAGCGGGGCCTCCCGGGCAGGGGCCTGTGCTCGGGACGGGACGTGCTCGCCTGTCCGCTCTGGGGCATCCCAGCCACTGGAGAGCCGGCCGGATCTCGGCAGAGCAGACCTGCCCAGACAGGCTGGATCCCACCTTCCTTGGTGGTGGCCCCTGCCTGCACCACAGCAGAGACCACAGGAAGGTGGCCTTAGGCCCTCCCAGCGCCCGGCTGAGAGGACACGGGGCCATCAGTCCCCAGGCATCGCCCTGCTCCCAGGGCAGACAGCCCAGCCTGGGTTCAGCCACCGGTCAGTGCGGAGGCTGCTAGCTGGGATCCCCCACCCTAGCCCCACAAGTGACTTATAATAACTAACTTGTACATGGAGCCTTATGAAGTGCTTCCAGTTCTGAGGTAGCCGCAGCCCAAGGCTTAACCATGCAGGCTCAGGAGCTGGGCTGTACGAGTCAAATCCTAACTTCCCCATTTGTGTTATGAGGACGGAACCTCTCTGTGCCACAGCTCTCACCCGTGAGGTGGGGTCAGTGGCCGTGGTGCCTACCATGGAGGCTGATGTGAAGATTGAGATGATGCAGTGAAGTGCTTGACATGGTGCCTGGCCTGTCTGAGCATTCTGTCCCCGCCATTGTCACTATTTGGTTCTCTCAATAGGCCTCTAGATAATTGCTGTTACCCTGCCATGCAGAGGTTCAGAAAGGTTGTGCCTGGGAATTTCCCAAGTTTTATTTTCTTAATGATAATTGATTTAACCAGTCCTCACAGCAACGTTGCATGGCAGGTCCTGTTACTCCCATTTTGCAGAGAAGCAGCTTCCCCACGGCTCTGTGCTGGTACATGGTGGGTGCAGAAATATTTTCTGCTACTCCAAGAATCTTGCCTTGTTTGGAACCATCTGCTGCTGGGCAAGCCCCTGGTCCTACTGCAGGTGTCTGAGGATCCAGGAGACAAGTGGGAGCAGGGCCTGATCTGAGCTTGAGGGGTGGGAGCCTGGTGCTGGGCAGGGTCTTGAAGGGGAAGCTGGTGGGGGCAGAGGGGGTTCCATCTGGGGATTAAGAAAGACCAAGGCCAGGCTGGGCGCAGTGGCTCATGCCTGTAATCCCAGCACTTTGGGAGGCCAAGGCGGGCAGATCATGAGGTCAGGAGATCGAGACCATCCTGGCTAACATGGTGAAACCCCGTCTCTACTAAAAAAACCAAAAAGAAAAAACAAAAAAAATTAGCTGGGCCTGGTGGCAGATGCCTGTAATCCCAGCTACTCGGGAGGCTGAGGCAGCAGAATCACTTGAACCCGGGAGACGGAGGTTGCGGTGAACCAAGATCACACCATTGCACTGCAGCCTGGGCAACAGAGTGAGACTCTCTCTCAAAAAAAGAAAAAGAAAGAAAGAAAGAAAGAGAGAAAGAGAGAGAGAGAAAGAAAGAAAGAAAAAGAAAGAAAGAGAGAGAGAGAAGAAAGAAAGAAAGAGAAAGAAAGAAAGAAAGAAAGAAAGAAAGAAAGAAAGAAAGAAAGAAAGAAAGAAAGAAAAAGAAAGAAAGAAAGAAAGAAAGACAGACCAAGGCCAGGTACTGTGTCAGCTCATGCCTGTAATCCCAGAACTTTGGGAGGCTGAGACAGGATGATTGCTTGAGCCCAGGAGTTTGAGATCAGCCTAGGTGACAGAGTGAGACCCTGTTTCAAACAAACACATTAAAAAAAGACCAAGGTTAGCGCACAGGTCATGAACTGGTCAAGCTCCATCATGGTCACTCTCAAGGCAAAGCGACAGCTTGGCCCTGCCTATTTCCCTCCATCTGCAGACTATGTGCTGCTTTCTATGATGTCCGTCCCACCACAAGGCAGTCCTTGCCACTCACTGTCCCCTATTCCTCCTGGATTCCAGCGCCCAAGCAGGAGGGGAGTGTGTGGGGAGAAAGTCACACAGCATGGGCCTGGGACCCTGAGGGCATCTAGGGCTGGACACCCCCCACCAGAGTCCAGGCCAAAAGAAGTCCCCAAATCAACACTATTGGGTCTTACTAGGGCTTTCCAGCTTCAAGTCAAATGCTACAGACTGTGACTCTCCCACGTTCCTGAGGGGACTACAGAAGACCCACAAGCTAATGGGTGTGCCCCTGGAGGAGGTCGCTAGATAAACAGAAAGAGAGGAACTTCAGAAGAGAAAGAATCTGCTGCGACCGCTCGAGTACCAAGAACGCTTGAGCAGCAGCTCAGCAGCACCAGGCAGACTCTGGCTTGGCTCCTCTTCCTTTGTTTCTGACCAGCTGCGGCCAATGCCTACAGGCTTGAGACCTAGTTCCAGAAGGCGGCCAGCACCTGGAACTGTGGAGCCTCCATCAGTAATGCCCAGGATCACCAGCACCCAGATTTCCCAGGGCTACCAAAGTCTAGGGCCACTGTCTCCAATAGTCATTAGCAGGACCACTGATGCCTAGAATCCGAGGCTACCATTAGCCAAGGTCACCTTCCCCTGGGGTTGTTGACATCTGGAACCACTTGGACCACAGGACATAGGACCTAGAACCCTGGAGGAGTCCACCCAGAGCTGCCATAAACTAGAACTCTAGGTTACCATGAGCCAGTATTGGGGGCCATAGAGTCACTGATGTGGAGTCCATCCTTGGACTCACACTGGATTGAGAAGCTTCCTGGGGTGATGGTGCTTGGTGAATGGCTTTTCTTGTGCAGGCTCTGGGTGTACCTTTTTTTATTTTATTTTTTGTTTTTTATTTTTTATTTTTGTAGAGATGGGGTCTCACCGTCATGTTGCCTAGGCTGGTCTCGAATTCCAGGGCTCAAGCAATCCTCCTACCCCAGCTTCCCCAAGTGCTGGGATTGCAGGTGTGAGCCACCACGCTGGCTACCTTTCTTTATTGACTCTGCTCCATAGCAAAATATCATGGAGACTCCTGAACCCCTTGCTTCTCTCCTACCTGGGTCCTGGGTTCTGGCTGTGAACTTTCCAAAGAGGAAACAAGAGGTGTCATGTGGGTGGGTCCTGCACACCCAGGACCCAGGTGAGGACTGCTCAAGGAGGGAGGGGGTACATGGCCTCTAATGTGGTCTCCTCTTTTTCCAGAAAATACACTGGGAAGTAGGCCAAAGGGTGTCCTGGAGGAGGTTGTATGAATGTTCCGGAGACAGAGCAGAGCATTACTGGGGATGGATCACGGGGCCTGGCCCATCCTAATTGCATCCCCTCCATCCCATTCACCCAAAGGCCAACCTTTCTCCACATTTTTCAGCGTTAGGCACTACCGTGACCTTGCTGAGATACCCCAAGGAAAATGTGGGAAAGAACTTTTCTCTTTCCACCTCCCACCCTCCCCCAGCCAACAAATAGATGGCCTCAGAGCCTCAAAAACATGCACAGAAAAAGTTCCAAACTGTTAACAACTGAAATCTTAGCAGTATCAACAAATAAATGTTGTACATGTAAAATAATTCCCATGGGATGCCTTGGCCTGCTACCCCAAGGGTTT
The DNA here is from genome assembly GCF_000001405.40 of Homo sapiens. Lineage (NCBI taxonomy): Eukaryota > Metazoa > Chordata > Mammalia > Primates > Hominidae > Homo > Homo sapiens. The sequence continues at coordinate 46,898,409 of NC_000017.11, forward strand.
CCATTGCCAAGTTCAAGGTTGTCCCAGGAAGAGGGCTGCTCAGCTGTTCTCTGCCCACCCTGGCCATGGCCTCTTCTTATGAGACCTGGCCTCATCTCTGGACTGACACTGTATGTGAGGAGGGCACAAGTAAGACCTGGAGAAGGAAACTCAACTTGGGAATGGAGGAGCATTAGAGACTAGGGCCAGGAGGAAAGATAGGAAGCAGAGGATGAGGAACGACACCTGAACAGAAAATGGTGATTCTTGCCTTGGGAATCCTCGAGTTTCCAGTGGAATCCTTGCCTAATGTAGCCAGATTCAACAGAGAGTCAGACAATTGCATATTTCAACAGTAATAATAACCAGTCATAATAACAGCACCTAGCCTCCCTCATACATTGAAACATTCGTCCATTGCTGGTAGGAATGTAAATTGGTGTAACTTCTCTGGAAAACGGTCTGGCAGTTCCTCAAAATGTTAAACATAGCGTTACCATATGACCCAGCAATTGCATTCCTAGGTATTTACCCAAGGGAATTCAAACAAATGTCCATGCAAGGACTTCCATGTGAATGTTCATAGCAGCATTATTCATAATAAGGAAAAGGTGGAAACAACCCAAATGTCCATCCACTGGTGAATGGATAAACAAATTGTGGTATATCCATACAATGGAATATTATTTGACCATAAAAAGGAATGAAGTACTGACACACGGCTGGGTGCAGTGGCTCACACTCATAATCGCAGCACTATGGGAGGCTGAGGCTGGCGGATCACTTGAGCTTAGGAGTTGGAGACCAGCCTGGCCAGTGTGGCGAAAACCCTGCCTCTACTAAAAATACAAAATAATAATAATAATAATAGCCAGGTATGGTGTCATGTGCCTGTGGTCCCAGATACTTAGGAGGCTGAGGTGGGAGGATGGCTTGAGCCCAGCGGGGCAGAGGTTGCAGTGAGCCAATATGATGCCACTGCACTCCAGCCGGGGTGACAGAGCGAGACCCTGTCTCAAAACAAACAAACAAACAAACCAACAAACAAAAACAAAGTACTGACATTGACACACAGACAACGTAAATGAGCCTCGAGAACATAATGCTAAGTGAAAGAAGCCAGACACAAAACACTACATATTGTATGATTCCATTTATATGAAATGTCCAGAATAGAAAAATCCATAGACACAGAAAACAGATTAGTGGTTGCCTAGGACTAAGGGGAGGAGGGAATGGGAGTGATTGCTAGTAGGTATGGGTTTTGGGAGGAGGTAATGAAAAATGCTCTGGAATTACTGGTGATGGTTGCACAACTCTGTGAATATACACTGAGTATATACAACCCACTGAATTGTATATTTTAATAGGGTGAACTTTATGTGAATTGTATCCCCATAGAACTGTTATTTAGAATATGCTAGGAGATTGTGTTAAGCAGGTTGATTGCTGTTGTATTTCATTCTTACAGTGACCCCACCTGGAATTAAGGAGATATATAGTGGGGGTAGTTAAGGGCACAGACTCTTCAGTCAAACTATAGGGGTACAACCTCAGCTCATTCCCCTCTAGTTCAGGGACCTTGGACAAGTCACTCAACCCCCGTGAGTCTCAGAGTCCTCATCTGTAGAATGGGCACAAGGATCTGTATCTTATCCACACAGCACAGTGCCTGGGGTACAGGGAGTGCACAGGCATCGGTACTGTTAGATGTAGTAGGAATTCAACAGGAGTACAATTTCACCACCTCCTCCCATCCTTTTCTATATATATACATATACATATATATATATATATATATATATATATATATATACACACACACACACACACATATATATATATATACACACATATATATATGTATATATATATTTTTTTGAGATGGAATCTCGCTCTGTTGCCCAGGCTGGAGTGGAGTCGCATGATCTTGGCTCACTGCAGCCTCTGCCTCCCGGGTTCAAGAGATTCTCCTGTCTCAGCCTCCCTAGTAGCTGGGACTAGAGGTGTGTGTCACCACACCCAGCTAATTTTGTATTTTTAGTAGAGATGAGGTTTCACCATGTTGGCCAGGCTGGTTTCCAACTCTTGACCTCAGGTGATGCACCCGCCTTGGCCTCCCAAAGTGCTGGGATTGCAGGCGTAAGCCACGGTGCCTGGCCCTTTCTATTTCTTGAGCCCCCTGGAAGTACAATCACCCTTAAAGGATGAGGATGGTGAAGAGTTTGGAGAAGGAGCAGCATTTAGGAAAGAGTGTATACCCGCTTCTCGCATTCAACTCACTGCACTGTGTTCAGCAGTACAGTACAAGGTAGGGTGGGGAGACTATAATACTAGCTAATCTTTATTAGGCACTTTGGCAGCAGTTGTATGTGTTTTTTTTCTTTCCATGTCATCCCAGAAAGGTGGTTTGGCCTGGAGATACCATTAACTTATTCATTACTGAACACCATCTACAAGCCAAGCTCTGTGCTCTGGGCCATAAAACAAAGTGGGGATCAAGACAGCCAGGATCTGGTGCTCAGAGGCTTACATTCTAGTGGGGAGGGGAGGTGGATAAGAAATAAATAAACGAAAAGCAATGTCTTTCCCAATCAGCTGTAATGCAATGGAAATTAATCAGATAAAGGGGGAAGGACTGCCCTACATAGGCATTAAAAGAAGATTTATCTGAAAAACTGGTTTCTGAGCTAAGATAGGAGGAAGATGTTTGAGGTAGAGGGAACTGAAGTGAAAATAAGCCCAGCACATTTATTTATTTATTTATTTTTATTTTATTATTATTATTTTTTTAGATGGAGTCTCACTCTGTCGCCCAGGCTGAAGTGCAGTGGTGCGATCTCAGCTCACTGCAACCTCTGCCTCCTGGGTTCAAGTGATTCTCCTGTCTCAGCCTCCCAAGTAGCTGGGATTACAGACTTGCACCATCATGCCCGGCTAATTTTTCTATTTTTAATAGAGACGGTGTTTCACCATGTTGGCCAGGCCGGTCTTTAACTCCCGACCTCAGGTGATCCGCCTGCCTCAGCCTCCCAAAGTGCTGGGATTACGGCATGAGCCACCACGCCCAGCCCAGCACGTTTAAAGAACAGCAAGAGAGCCAATGCAGCTGGAGCTGGGGCAGCCAGGGAGAGTGACACAAGCTAAGACACATGAGGGAGCCAGGGCCCTGTTACATAGAGCAAGCAGGTCTGCGTGAGGGACTTGATTTTTGTATTCAGTGTAGTAGGTGGCATAGGAAAGTTCTCCAGCCTTCTAATGGGAAAGAAGCTGAAGAGAACATCAGAATCCCAAGCAATAGGTCTAGTCTGATATCTCTTCATGCTTAAGGCAATTGAGTCACCTGCAACAAATCCTTTGGTTTCCCCCACAATGTCAGCTGCCTTGTACTGTCTCTGGGCTAAATGGAGCAAGAATTTTTTTTTTTTTTTTTTTTTGAGACAGAGTCTCACTCTGTCACCCAGGCTGGAGCGCAATGGCGCAATCTCGGCTCACTGCAACCTCCATCTCCCAGGTTTCAGTGATTCTCCCTGCCTCAGCCTACCGAGTAGTTGGGATTACAGGCGCCCGCCACTGTGCCCAGCTAATTTTTGTATTTTTAGTAGAGACAGGGTTTTGCCATGTTGGCCAGGCTGGTCTTAAACTCCTGACCTCAGGTGATCCACCCACCTTGGCCTCCCAAAGTGCTGGGATTACAGGTATGAGCCACGGCACTGGGCCGCAAGATCTTTACCACTGGGATTCCTTCTGGTGCCTGGTGTTGACCCAATGAGGTGAGCAGCCTCCTTCCTCCTCCCTAGATGCTGCCCTCCTGAAGCATCTTCCTTCTGGGAAGTCCGGGTGGTGCACATGAGTTTAGGTGTTATTTTTCCCGTGCTTTAGATCAAGCCCAGTCTTCAGCTGTAAATTGATTGTGAAGAAATGGAGGCTCATAGATCCCTACTTGTGCTAACCTTGTCAGAAATAGATGAGGAATGTCTGTGATGCGGAGGGTGCAATGTGCTGAAACTTACTTTCCCCATAAGATGAGATATTCAGAGTAATTCATTTGAAATCTCGATAAGGGAACAGTGCGTGTGTGTGTGTGTGTGTGTGTGTGTGTAAGATAGAGACAGAGAGAGAGACAAAATGCTATGGCAGGAAGTTTTCACTCGGCCAAGTTTTAACAACAAACAAGGAGCAGTTTGTGGCCAAGCAGTCAGTCCAGGGGGAAAAACAAACAGGCAGAGTGGGGGCTTGGGTGGGGGTTGCTGAGAAAGCCAGGAATGAGTTTATCATGCTGCTTCTGGGGTGAGGAAGAAACACAAAACATTTAGATCTTTCACCTGGTTGCCCACAGATACCGTGAGTAGCCAACCCTGTGGTCAGTTTCCCCTTCTTCCTGATAGAGAGAGCCCTGGTTTTGATCAGATACCCGTTCTCCCCTGGGGAAGGGATCGCCATCTTCAGCTAAGGGATAAATCATGACTCACCTAAGCCAGGTGTGGTTATTCCTTTTTCCTTTTCAGAGACTAATTTGCACATAGATGCAGTGCTAGCCAATGACAGTTGAAGGGAAGTTCTGCCTGGGACTGCAGAAAGGTCTCCTTTCTCGAAAAAGGATTCAAGAAGGGGCCAGGTGTGGTGGCTCATGCCTGTAACCCCAGCACTTTGGGAGGCCAAGGCAGGCGGATCACTTGAGGCCAGGAGTTCAAGACCAGACTGGCCACCATGGTGAAACCCCATCTCTACTAAAAATACAAAATTATCCAGGTATGGTGGTGCATGCCTGTAATCCCAGCTACTTGGGAGGCTAAGGCAGGGGAATCGCTTGAACCCGGGAGGTGGAGGTTGCAGTGAGCCAAGATTGCACTATTGCACTCCAGCGTGGGCAACAAGAGTGTGACTCTGTCTCAAAAAAAAAAAAAATGCAAGAAGAAACTGTTCCTCTTATACTTCAGTTATTACAGGAATTGTCTGCAGTCCCCAGATGTGTGGTAGCCCCTTGGCACCATGAGCTGAACTGGCAGGCACTTGGAGGGAGGGTCAAGCAGAAAAACAGAAAAAATCTGAATTTTCAATGATGCCTTTGGGCCCCTGAATTGACCAATCCAGAGGTTCCCTACCTCTGGCCTTCTTATGTGAAATAAATTTTCCTTCTTATTTCAGGTAGGGCTTCCAGGTACTTGTATCCTGATTGATGCTGTCACTCTCACTGGAAAACAATTGGAAGGTAAGAACCATGGCTTCCACCTCTCTGGATTCCAGTACCCTACACCAAATCTGGCTTATTATAGGTGCTCAACAGGTGGGCGGATGTATGGGTGGGTGGCTTAATGGATGTATGGGTGGCTTGGGGAGTAGATGGATGGATGAATGGGTGGGTGAGTGGATGGATGGGTGGGGTGGTTGGATGGGTGGGTGGATGGATGGATGGGTGGGGTGGATAGATGGGTGGGTGGGTAGATGAGTGGATGATGGATAGGTGGGTGGATGTAGGGATGAGTGGGTGGGTAGATGGATGAATGGGTGGCTGTATGAATGTATGAATGGGTGGTCGGGTAGATAGGTGGGTAGATGGATGAAAGGGTTGGATGTGTGTGTGGGTGGATGGTGGCTGGCTGGCTAGGTGGATGAGTGGCTGGATAAATGTATGGGTGGGTGGATGGGGGTTAGATAGATGAGTTGGTGGATGGGTGAGTGACTGGGTAGATGAATGTATGGGTGGCTAGATGGCTGGATGGATGGCTGGGTAGGTGGATGTGTAGGGTGGCTGGGTGGCTGGGCAGATGAATTAGTGGGTAGATGGGTGGATGGGTGGCTGGTTAGCTGGATATATGGGTGGGTGGGAAGGTGGGTAGATGGATGTATGGGTGACTGGATGGGTAGGTGGGTGGATGGATGGGTGGATGAATGGGTGGGTGGGTAAATGAGTGAGTGGATGGATAGGTAGATGGGTGGATGGATGGGGTGGATGGGTGGATGGATGTGGTTGGTGAATGGGTGGGTGGCTGACTGGCTGGCTGGATAAATGGATGGATGGGTTGGTGGGTGCGTGGGTGGCTGGGTGGCTGGCTGACTGGATGGATGGATGGATGGATGGATGGATGGATGGATGGATGGATGGGTGGATGGGTGGCTGGACGGATGATGGATGGATGGATGGATGGATGGATGGATGAACGGGTAGCTGGCTGGCTGGTTGGATGGATAGGTGATGGGAAGATGTGCAGGTGAGTGGGTGGGTAGATGGATGAATGAATGTGTGGATGGAGCTCACCATCTCTCATGGCAACCTTATCACAGCATCTGCTCTTCTAGTTCTCATTGTATTCTCAATTCAGGTTAGAGTGGACTGAAGAGGCATAAAGTTTCAAACTCAGGAGACTTGCATGAAGCCTTCACATGAACACAGGCCTGTTCTCCACTTGGAGATGACAGGAAACTTTCCCAACAAAGGCCTCAGAAACAGTGTCCTTGCCTGGGGTTTCCTGCAGAACTCTGCTTCTCCCTTGAAGATGGGGCACTCCCATCTCTTTGGGGCCCCTCCCGGGTCTCTGCCTCCCAACACACAAAGCAGGAGTTGTCCACCCCCACCGTAAAGAAACCAGCTGTGGGATCTTTCAGCAGGTCTCCGCTTGTTCCAAAGCCTCAGTTTCTACATTGGATAAAGGGGAATGGCAGCGGCCCTAGAGAAAAGACCTTTTTTTTTCTTTTTTTTTTGAGATGGGGTTTCGCTCTGTTGCCCAGGCTGGAGTGCAATGGCTCCATCTCGGCTCACTGCAACCTCTGCCTCCCGGGTTCAAGCGATTCTCCCTGCCTCAGCCTCTCAAGTAGCTGGGATTAAAGGTGCCTACCACCACACCTGGCTAATTTTTGTATTTTTTAAAGTAGAGACAGGGTTTCATCATGTTGGCCAGGCTGGTCTCGAACTCCTGACCTCAGGTAATCCACCTGCCTCGGCCTCCCAAAGTGCTGGGATTACAGATGTGAGCCACCGTATCCAGCTGGGATGACCTTCTTAGACAGCCTGTGTCACAGAATTTGTAGTTCCCTTTAAAGATGATGCTTGGAATAACCCACTTCCAGCAAGAGTGGACAGCAGCAAGAAGACTTTGTTTCATCCTTCAGCTGAGTCGTAAGTTGTTTCCTTTTGTACATGTCACACATGAAGAAGAGAGCAAGCCCTGGTGCAGGATGGCACCTGTGGCTATGAAACAGAAGAAAATCTATGGCCCTACTAGGGATTGACCCATGACCTTGACCTTTTGGGCAAGGAGCACCGACAGCTAAGCCATCATCCCCAACAGCCCAGTGTGCATCAGATGGTATGGACGTGCAGCCTGGAACAGCCCCCTGGAAGACAAACAGCCAAGTCATTAATCAGTTGCTTTACCCCTGTACTCTGTGTGTTTGTGTGTGTGTGTGTGTGTGTGTGTGTGTGTGTGCGTTTGTTGGGGGATGGGGTAAGGGTATTGTGTGCCTGTGAGTATGTGCCCAGCCCTCCAGACCAGGGTCCTCAAAGGGACCTGCCCCAGTGTGAAGGAAAGACCCCGCCCAGCAATGAGGGAGTGGCCAGGACATCTTTCCACAGCATCTGGGAGGAACGGGCAGGGCCGGATATGGGCTGCCGACCTTCTCCCTTCCTCCTGAAGAGGAAGCTCCTCCTGCGCCACCTTTGTGCTGACCGCTGGGTGGTTACGAATGTGTTCCCTGCCTGTCGTTCTCTTCCTGAGCAGTGAGGAGCAGCTCACTCAGCCCAGCCCAGCCCCCACTCCTGAGATCCAGCCCATGAAGGAGCTCTGTGTCCTGGCTTCTGACCAGGCTGATGGGTGGGGTGGGAGGCAAGGACCAGAGGCTGAGTCAAGGCCTTCACCCAGCCTCTTCTGGAGCATGGCTCCCTCACCTCTCCCATAAAAAATAGACATAAGGTCGGAAAGGACTTCCCTGAACTAACAGGACAGGGCCTGCAGAAGGCCTGAACCCTGGCCAGCAGACAGGTGATGAGCATGTCTACACCAGGAAGGTGGGGAATAAATTTTATTTTAAAAATTAAATTAAATTTATTTAAGAGACATGATCTTGCTCTATCACCCAGGCTGGACTGCAGTGGTGAGATCATAGCTCACTGCAGCCTTCAACACCTGGAGTCAAGCCATCATCCTCATGCCTCAGCCTCCTGAGTAGCTGAGACTACAGGTGCATGCCACCATGCCCAGCTAATTTAATTTTATTTAATATAACACTCCAATACCATGTATCATGTGCCCTTTATAATTATGAACTGATATTATATAAGCCTCATAACAACCCTATGAGAAAGGTGCTCTGATTATGCCCACTTCATATAGGAAGAGGCTGAGGCACAGAGAGGTTAAGCAACTTACCCAAGATCACCCATCTAGTAAGCAGCAGAGCCCAGATCTGAATTCAGGCTGCAGAGTTGAAGCTTTTACCTAATATGCAATGCCACCTCCCAGAGGCACAAAAATAAAAGCATTGCTTGAACACCAGATGTGTGCCAGGCACTGTCACAGAGTCCTACCTGGAGCTCACTAACCAGGTACTCTCAAATACATGATTTCATTTAGTCGTCACAAAAAACTCATAAGGAAACTGAAGGTCAGACTAGTATAAGTTGTAAAGAGTAAGTTGTATAAAGATGCACAGCCAGTCACTGGCCCAACACAGGTCTCTCTGATGGCAAGACAAGATGGCTTTCCTCTCCACCGGGAGTACGTATCCTAGAAGCAGTTGCCAATGAAGGGAAGAGGGGCTTAGATCATTCAAGTAGCCTGCCGAGGTCAACAGACAGCAGAGGGCTGAGCCAGGATTCAAACACAGGCCTTTCTGATGCCTCTATGAGCCACTGCCAAGGCTTGGGGCTCTTCCGGGCCCAGCTCTTCCCAGGACTGCAATTCCCCAGGCGGGGCTTCCTTTGGAGGAAGAAGAAGCGGAAATGTCATGCTCTGGACCCACCTGGTAAAGAGAGGTTGACCGTGGCAGTGAGTACTCGGGGCACCTGGGGCCAGCTGACCCTTGTGCTTCAGACACAGGTGTTGGGCTCGGTGGGAAGGTCTGTTGGTCCTCTGCTCTTACCTGAGCATCTCCTCTTTCTCTCCAGCCCCAGCTCTTGGCATAAACAACACTTTGGAGACCCTCAGTGCAATTTAGCTCCCTTAACTTTTTTTTTTTTTAAAGGGCTCACACCTGTAGCTCCAGCAGATTGGGAGGCTGAGGCAGGAGGATCGGTTGAATTCAGGAGTTCAATACCAGCCTGGGCAACATAGTGAAACCTCCATCTCTACAAAAAAAAAAAAAACAAAAAACCCAAAATTAAGTAGGCATGGTGGTGTGTGCCTGTGGTCCCAGCTACTCAGCGGGGGGGGTGAGGCAGAAGGATCGCTTGAGCCCAGGAGTTTGAGGTTGCAGTGAGCCATGATCGTGACACTGTACTCCAGCTTGGGAGACAGAGTGAGACCCTGTCTTAAAAAAAAAAAGTGTGTGCGCTATTTTCTGAAAAACAGGAGCAGACAAAAAGGCCCCATCAATTTCTATTTTGCCCTGGGCCCCTTAACCACAACTCCATTTGGGAATGGCCGGTAGAAGAGTTCAGTCTCGGCACTGTGGGAGAGCAGGCTGGGGGGCAGCTCAGCCTGGGTTACCGACCCTCTAATCCCCCAATGGTGGAATGTGCTTGATTCCAGGAGGCTAAGGTTTGGAGGGTGGGTGAGCTGCAGAGGCTGCTATGGCCCTGCTGTTTGACGCTTCATGATAGATGAGCCCCCAGTCCTCCTGTCTCTGTGTCCCCCCTCCTCCCCCACCGCCCCCCTCACTCTGTGAGGTCTGGCTTGTGCAAGGAAGCCTGTCAGTGTCAGGACACGTTGGCCTCATGGCCCGCAGCGGGAAGGGGGCCTCTGAGGGATGCCTGCTGTCTGGCCCTCTCCTCAAGAGGGGTCCTCTCACCCTATGCCTCAGGGTCCTGGGCGCTTCCCTTTCAAAGCTGCAAAATGATCGCCATTAATGCAGCTTGTCTCCTGGAGGCGCTGAAAATAGGGTAAGGGAGGAAGGGCCCCTGACTGCCTGGCCTCCGAGAACCGGCATCGGTCTGGCTTAGTTGAGGCTGGATGTGGAAGAGAGAAGGGCACAGGCTAGCTTGGTGGATGTTGAGTGGGGATTTTGCCCGAGGGGGTGGGAGCCATTAGGACCACCCTGGGGACTGCTGTGAGTTCAGCTGTGGACTTCTGCAGAGATGTGGCCGCCATCTGGCTGCCAATGAAAGAACCATATTGAAGCCTGCCATGCTGGGAGCAGGGGAAGACAGGCCACATCCCCAGGGTCAGCACCTGCACCTTCCGGAGACTCAGTGCCTCCCAGGGGCCTCCGTGCCTCACTCTGGCCCTAACCTGAAAGTCCCATTCACCTCCAACAGAAAGCTCACCTGGGACTGCCCTCATACCCCACTCTGAGATCCACTCTTTCGATCTGAGGGACCTCAGAGGAGCCCAAATGGAGGAGCTATTCAGTCTGGAAAACTGGGGACCCACTTTGTACATCTGCATGAGGAGGCCCTGGGCTGTCAGGCTGGGAGAGGTGGGTCTGGTGGAAGAAGTACCATCCAAGGCAGCTCTGCCTTCCAGGAGCCTGCAGTCTCATCAGAGGCCAAAGGTTACAATCCAGACCAGCCCTGAGCCATAGAAATGTAGCATGAGTCTCACTCTGTCACCCAGGCTGGAGTGCAGTGGCACATACATGGCTCACTGCAGCCTCCAACTCCCGGGCTCCCAAGTAACTGGGACCACAGGTATGCACCACCACCCCTGGCTAATTTTTAAAATTTTTTTTGTAGAGATGAGGTTTCGCTATGTTGCCCAGGCTGGTCTTGAACTCCTGGGCTCAAGCAATCCTCCTGCATTCGCTTCCCAAAGTGCCGGGATTGCAGGAGTGAGCCGCTGTGCCTGGGAAGATGCATGTATTTAATATGAGCCATGTATTTAATTGTAAATTTCTAGATGGCACATTTAAAATGGAAAAAGGAGCAGAGGAAATTAATACATTTTATTTAATCCAATACAGATGAAAAATATCGTTTCAACATAAAACATAAATGTAAGCATATTAATATTTTACCTTTTTACCTTTTTCTGTACTGTCTTCGAAAGCCAGTGTATGCTTTACAGTGACATCACATCTCGATTTGCTCTAGCCACGTTTCAAGTACTCAGGAGCTGCATGTGGCTAACAGCTAGCGTATTGGATGGCACAGCTCTAGACGCTGTGGCTTGGGCCATGGCAACAGCACCTTTATTTTTTGTTTAACTTTTCTTTTAAGTTCAGGGGTACATGTGCAGGTTTGTTATATACGTAAACTTGTGTCAGATATTAAGCCTAGTATTTATTAGTTATTTTTCCTGATCCTCTCCCTCCTCCTCCCACCCAGCACCTTCCTTTCAACAGAAGAAAATTCCAGATGGAATGCACAAGGTACAGTGGGTTTGGAGGCATGGAGAAGCCGGTAGAACTTCCTCCTTGGAGGCTTTCAGTCTGGACTGGGCTGCTCCTCCTCCTGGCAGGCTGAAGGCAATCTAGCTGAGAGTATGGCTCCTGAGCACTGGTCCCAGGCCTGGGTTCTAGAATGTCTCTGTCTGCAGGGCTCACTTGCTGCTGTGTGTGTCACCCGAGAGGCAGCATAGAGTAGGAAGGGGGGCACTGGATGGGGGGTCAGGACATTCAGGTTCCAGCTGGGCTCTGAATTCTGCACAATCGGGCAGATCACATCCCTTTCTGGGCCTCAGTTTCCCTGTGGGCAAATGAGCAGGAAGGCAATTACTCAATACCCCCATCTCCCACTCTCCCCTTGAAACCCCAAGGACTCATTGAGTGGCATGGGTCGGGATGATACAGGATCTCCTGCATGCTCAGGGCAAGTCCTGTGGCGCTCTCCTGGGTTGGCACTCTTTGCCACCTGCCAAAAACAACCTCCGCTTCCACACTGGCCTGACACAGCTGGAGTCAATTCACTGATATTTACTCAGCCCTCCAGTGTGCCAGATCCTCCGAGTGCCGCTGCTCTAGTGACTCTCACGGTGGGGTAAGGCATCCTCACCCCACATGGAAATGGAGTAATTCCTGAAGATGTCCTCTTAGCCATCACCTGTCTAGCTTGGAGTAGTTGAGCAGATTCATGGAAAGACATATGCACCTCTTTGTCCTCAAGAAGCATATGATCCAACCTGGAGACTGATTATGTGTGGAAAGTCAATACTCCAGCAAGGTGAATGCCAAGAACAATCAAGGCAAGGGAGTGGAAAGGCTGCCACAGGCTGAGTGGTCGGGAAGGCTGCTGGAGGAGGAGCTGGGATCTGAGCCAGCTTGGAAGCGGGGACAAATCACTTCAGGGAGCCAGCAAAGGCACACAGGTGTGAAAACACACAGTGTATTAGAGCACCCAGCATAGGATCCATGACTTGAGCCCACGGTCAGCTCATGCAGTGCAGGGAAGCAGAGGCTCCAACTTTGGGAGGTAGAGGTGGGTTGGTCTGGGGAAGGCACGATTCCAAGCTAAGGAAGCAGGAGCAGGGAGCCACTGATGGTTCCTGAGCAGGAGCATGACATGCATATGGCGGTGCCAAGGCAGGTGAATGTGAAGGCAGGATGCTTGGAGAGGAAGGTGGGTGCAGAGGGAAATGGCCAGGAGCACCTGTGACAATCACTGTGACAATAACACTCAAAATGGAAAGCCCTTTCATGCCCCTTCTCATTTAATTCTCTTTCAACTCAGTGAAGTACATAGAATGGGTAGTATTGCTTCCTTATTAAAGATAAAGAAAATGAGTTTCAGAGGAATTAATTGATGTGTCCAAAGGGACCAGCTTGGAGAATCAGACTCAGGCTTTGTGTCTAAAAATACTGAACTCTTTCTACTATCCCACATCTTAATGGTCCAGGAAAATGGGGTCCCAAAAGGAGACAGAGATAACCAAAGAAGGCTCCCCAGAGGGGTGAAGTACATTGAGAGGAGAGTAGAACTCAGATGATCCAAGCATCCCTCAGAACTCTTCACACTTCAATACTGACCTGGTGTATCTGATCCAACTGGTGCTTACATGCCCAAGGTAGGAGTCAGTGAGGCCTAAATTTAGGTCTCAGCTGGCCATCAGCCTGCTGCATAGCTTTGGATGTTTTACGTAACCCGGCTGAGTCTCAGTGTTGTTTCTCATCTGCAAATTAAGATAGCTGGGCACTGTGGCTCACGCCTGTAATCTCAGCACTTTGGGAGGCCAAGGTGGGTGGATCACCTGAGGTCAGGGGTTCAAGACCAGTCTGGCCAACATGGTAAAACCCCGTCTCAACTTAAAAATATAAAAATTAGCCGGGCATGGTGGCACACGCCTGTAGTCCCAGCTACTCAGGAGGCTGAGGCAGGAGAATCGCTTGAACTGGTAGGCAGAGGTTGCAGTAAGCCGAGATCACGCCACTGCACTCTAGCCTGGGTGACAGAATGAGACTCCGTCTCAAAATAAATAAAATAAATAAATATAAATTAAGATACCTGGATATGAGGAGCTCGTAAGGAATGAATGAGATCATTATTAGTGAGAGCCCAGAGTGACCAATCTCTCAGCCAGCCCCTCAAGTCTACACTAGGCCAACCCCCATCGCTTGATGTGACACACAAGTCTGTTCCACACCCACGATTGACCAGAAGACCACCATCCTCCCCCTGCAGCTTCCCCTAGCCTCATGCCACCTCTGCCTTCCTCACACCTCCTCTCCTGCTGTCCCAAGGATGTGCACACCTACTCCCTGCTCCGTATGGCCCCAAAGAGCAGCGGGTGCAGAAGGCATTTCTCTAGTCTGGGAGGGCTTCCTAGAAATGCTGCTGAGCCCTGCGAATGCCTAATGACCATGGGAATCATTTAGCAAGAGAAAAAGCCAGACCTTTGCCCTGGCCCAGCTCACAGGTGATGGGGTTAATCGGGAATTCTTTCCCTCCTCAGGGCTGCTGGTAGGGGTCCAGCTCCCCGATGACCTGGGGACATATTAGTCAGTGATAAGTGGGGCTTTCCAGCCCCTTTTATCCTGTTTACAATACACTGGTTTTCCTTAGACAAAACCCTCCTTCCCTGCCTTGCTCCTGGCTGTTATGGCTACATGAGACAATTTGCTGATGGACTCTCTAGGGAGGACAACTTCCTTGGAGTCCCCTTCCCACCTCCTGCAGCACCCGGGGCAACATCCCCTCTACTTGGTGGGTCCTGGAGGGGGCCACAGATGCTTGTTTTTCTCAGCTCATTGCAGCCTCTGAATTCAGAAGTGCCACCCTGTCTGCTCAGCTTTAACCCAAGGGGGTGAGGAGAAATCCAGAGGTGACAAGATGATGTTTCCCTGGCTTTGGGGTGGGAGTGACTGGGGTCATTGTTGCTGTCCAGAGTGGAAGCCATCAGAGGTGTCCTGTTTATCTGTGTGACTCGGCCCTCTTTGGGTCACAAAGGCCAGATGATCCAGCAGCTACCTGGAGGGTGGTTTATGACAGCAGCCTGGTCCTAGTTCCCTTCTGCCACCAACAAGCTTGGCCAGCTTAGGCAGGTGAGTTAATTTCTCTGAAGTTTAGTGTCCTTGTCTAGAAAACTGGCATGGTGATGCCTGTCCTGCCTCCCATGAGGCGGATGGGAGCACAGAACGAGCCACGGCTGTCCCAGTGCCTAAAGGGGAGGCACTGTATTTGGCACTTTGCACTGATTCCAGGTGACGGCTCTTCCAGCAAGAATGGCTCCACCGCTAAGGGCAGTTTTTAATCGCCTAAAAGCCGACTTCCAAATAATTCTAGATTTCTGAAATGCCAAGCAGGTAGGATACTTAGGCGAATAAGTTAATGAAACGGAGTCCATTTCCAGGCAACAGAAGTTTCACAAGCACCTACCTCACACCGGGCACTGAGCTGGATACCAGGAAATGCAGGGATGTAAGACACATCTTCCACCCTCGGGCTAGTGAATGGACAACTGGGACCCCTGTGACGAGTGCTGAGAGGGAGCACCAGTGCTAAGGAAGCATGGGGAAGGGGTTCTAGCCCAGCCTAGAGGTTGGGGCCATGCCCCAAGGAAGGTGAATTCAGAATGGGACTTGAAGAATGAACAGTAATAGCTTAGGCCTGAGACAGAGGGAAGGGTGTTTGAAGCACAGGGAACAGTGCATACAAAGGCCAGAAGACACAAAGACCTTGTGAGGAGAGCTGCAATTATTCTAGTTAGGATGGCGGAAATGACCAGGATGAGGCCAGTACCGAGGGCTCTGTCTGCCACGATGAGGATATTACTGTGTTCTCTAGACACCAGGGTGCCATCAAAAGGCTTAGCATGGCAAGGCACCAACTGTGTTTCATTTTTTACTTTTTTATTTTTATTTATTTTGACAGAGTCTCACTCTGTCGCCCATGCTGGAGTGCAGTGGCACGATCTCGGCTCACTGCAGCCTCTGCCTCTTGGGTTCAAGTGATTCTCCTGCCTCAGCCTCCCGAGTAGTTGGGACTACAGACATGTGCCACCATGCCCGGCTAATTTTTGTATTTTTAGTAGAGATGGGTTTCACCATGTTGGCTAGACTGGTCGCAAACTCCTGACTTTGGGTGATCCGCTTGCCTCGGCCTCCCAAAGTGCTGGGATTACAGGTGTGAGCCACCGCACCCAGCCTACTCTGTGTTTTAGAAAGATCTTTTGGGGAACTTTGAAAAGGATGATTGAAAGTGCAGGGGGTGGCTGAAGAATGATGTGGGCATCTCGATGCACTCTCATATTTTAGTAAGGGAAGTGGGACATAGTCACAGCTGGCCCCAACGGTGCAAGGTGGCATGTGAGCATTGGCACAGGTGGGACACAATAGCGGGGCGGCCAGGAGGAAAAATAATCCGAAAGTGCGCTGGGAAGGGGAGTGACCAGGCCAGGAGAGTAGGGGGGCCACTAATAGTTTAAGAGAAGGGATAATAGAATTATCCTATTTCGGCTGGGCGCAGTGGCTCACGCCTGTAATCCCGGCACTTTGGGAGGCCGAGGCAAGTGGATCACCTGAGGTCAGGAGTTCGAGACCAGCCTGACCAACATGGTGCAACCCTGTCTCTACTAAAAATACAAAAAAATTAGCCAGGCGTAGTGGTGCATGCCTGTAGTCCCAGCTACTCGGGAGGCTGAGGCAGGAAAATCTCTTGAACCCGGAAGGCGGAGGTTGCAGTGAGCTTAGATCATGCCACTGTACTCCAGCCTGTGGGGCAGAGCGAGACTCCACCTCAAAAAAAAAAAAAAAAAAAAAAAGGAAAAGAAAAAGGAAAGAAAAGAAACTCTTTGCCTTAGCCAAGAGAAACCACACAGATTGCCTCCTGGGTCTACCTATACCCATTCCAACTTTATCTCACTGCCTGCCAGGAATGCCCTGTGCCTGCCTTTCCATACATCCTTGTAGTTCAAGGTCCAGCTGAAATCACATCTACTCTAGAAAGTCTTCCTTTGTCATAATAATTCAAAGGGATCTTTCTTTCCTGCATTCTGATAGAACTTAATTGTCCTTACTACTCATTACACACTCGTACACTGTCTTGCACTGTTATATTTTCATAAGCCCTGTACCCTCTCATCCCAACTACATGAGAAACTCTTTGAGGTTGGTTATCTATTGCTGCATAACAAACTAGCCCAAAAGTCAGTGGCTTAAAATTCATCCATTTTACTATATCTCTTGATTTTGTGGGACAGGAATTCAACCAGAGGCTCAGCTGGGCAATTCTATTTCAGATGGAGTCTACAGAGGTCACACAGTAGGATTCAGCTGACAGATAGACACAGAGGGTACGATATGGCTTTGCCCACATGTATGATGCCTTGGTGGGAATGGCTGGAAGACTGGACTCAGCTGGGAATGGTAACGGGAGCCCCTACACGTGGCCTTTCCAGCATGGTGGCCTCAGGTTGCTGGGCTTCTTCCATGATGGCTGGGGCTCCCAGAGTAAGTGCTGCAAGAAGCTGAGTGGAAGCTGCAGGGCTTCTTATAACCTGGCCTTGAAAATCCCAGAATTTCACTTCTTTCATATTCTGTTGGTCCAGGAAGTCATTAAGACCAGCGCAGGTTTAGAGGGAATAAAACTAGACTCCACCTCTCAATGGTAGCAGTAGCAAAGAATATGAGATCATCTCTATTTTATTACACAATTTGCCCTAAGACCTAGGCAAGCAGGGTCCCTAGCTCAGGCCCCAGGCCAGATTCTCAGGGGACCCCACACTTTTGAGTGCTCTTCTTGAAATATTCTAAGTTCTCTTCAGTGGCTGGGATCATCCCAGTTGGTTTCTCTTCAGAGTACTCTGTGACCCACCTCTTGATCTGTGTGGTTGGCCAAATGCCCTGAGGCGGTTCAGGGCTCATGCCTATGGGGTTGTCCAGGGCAACCTGACAAGTAGATTGCTTCTGCTGACCAGCACAGTATTTATTTTATGGCATTGAACAATACTGGGCCACTAGAATGGTACTGATTGGCTAATTTGGGGTGATTCACATTGGATATATGAGTTCAGAACTCTGGGCTACTAACAGTTCACCACCAACCCTTGAGGTTGAGCCACCTGTGTGGGTCAATGCCCTGGCTCTCACCACATTTATGACCACAGTGCCACCTCTGACATGACACAATAATGAGAGTGGATGCATCCTTTAACCTGACTGCTGGGGTACCCCACCTCCAGCTGGTACAAGGTGTTCACCCCTCTCCAAGGCTTTGCAACACATGTCAGGCAATCCTCCAGAAGTGGCCACGCCTATCTTCTCCATTCAAGACCATTATGCTGTAAGGCCAACCAGCTTTTACAATCAATGTCCTCTCTTGCCTCTGATCAATATAGTGATCTCATGAGATACTGGGTTGGTTTTAAGCTGTTCCAGGTGAGGGCCAGATGTTCCTTACATGAATGGAACTTCTCTTCTTGCTCCACCCATGGGCCCTGAGCCTATCCACTCCCTCCCCTGACAACTGATTTCAGTGTGTGGAAGGCAGGGGTGCAGTCAACACTGAAAGAAATCACCTTCTAGGAATTCAGTGATTAAGGCCTAAAGAACTCAAGAGAAGATGTGGTTGGATGATATATTGTTGTAAACATACATATAAAACTCTGATCGGCGAAATTTTATTCACATTTTTCTGCATACTCTAAGCAAAACTTGCCATTGGTGTCATCACTAAAGAAGCACAGGAACAAACTTTGAGTTATGAAGCCAGTATTTGTACGTAGAGTGAAGAATTGTGCAGCATCATGAGTAATGATGTAACCAGCATTAAATAAATGGCATTATCAACACAACCAGCTGTCTTAGTCTATTTTCTGCTGCCATAATAGAATACCACACACTGGGTAATGTTTAAAGAAAAGACGTTTATTCAGCTCACAGTTCTGGAGGTTGGTAAGTCCAAGAGCATGGCACCGTCATCTGGTGAAGTTCATCCCATGATGGAAAAGTGAAAGGCAGAAGTTAGTACATGAAACAGACAGACAATGGCAGCCAAACTTATCCTTTTATCAGGAGTCCACTCCTGTAGTAACAACATCAATCCATTCATGAAGGCTCTGTCCTTGTGACCCAATTGCCTCCCAAAGGCCCCACCTTTCAGTACTGCCACAATGGCAGCCAAGTTTCCAACATATGAATTTGGGGGGGACACATTCAAAGCATAAAATTCTCCCCCTGCCCCCCAGCCAAATTTATGTCCTTCTCACTTGCAAAATGTATTCATTCCATCCCAATAGTCCCAAAAGTCTTAACTCAATCCAGCATCAACTCAAAAGCCTGAAGTCCAAAGTCTCATCTAAATCAGATATAGGTGAGACTCAAGGCATGATTCATCCCAAGGCAAATTCCTCCAGCTGTGAGCCTGTGAAATCAAAACAAGTTATCTTTTTCCAAACTACAATGGTGGTACAGGCATAGGATAGACATTCCCATTCCAAAAGTGAGAACTAGGCAAGAAAAGAAGGGTAACTGGTCCCAAGTAAGTCCAAAACCCAACAGGGAAAACAACATTAAGTCTTAAAGCTAGAGAATAATCTCTGATTCATGTCCCACTCCTGGACATGCTGGGAGGCTGGTTCCCCAAAGCTTTGGGCAGTCCCACCTCTACAGCCTTTCTAGGCTCGGTCCATGCAGCAGCTCTGATGGATTGAGTCTCCTGCCTACAGTTCCCAGGCTGGAGTTGCATACTGGTAGGACTACAGTTTTGTGGTCTTGGAGATGGCTCCATTCCCGCTGCTTCACTAGGCACTGCCCTACTGCAGACTATGTGGTGGCTCCAATCCCACATTTCCGCTTGGCGTTGCCCTAGTGGGGACTCTCTGCAGTACCAGCTTTAAATAAATAGCATTAGGAACTGGAGGGGCAAAGAAAGCTACATAGGCCAATACAAACAGGTTCTGAAGAGTCATGGTATTTGAATAACAATGTTGTTCCCCTTTTCTCATGTAGCCAGAAACTAGTGAGAAATAGCACATTTGACAATAACATAAAGAGATAGTTCCTGGACCCAGACAGAAAGCGATGGTGCCTGAACACTGTAAAGAATATTCACATGCACTTATTAGACAATAAACAAATATCTAAGTACTTTTCTCTACTAATTATTCTAAATCTTTGTTGTTAAATCACTATTCTTCACGAGTCCATGAATTTTATAACACAGTTTTGTTTGTTTGTTTGTTTTTTGATACGGAATCTCGCTCTGTCGCCCAGGCTAGAGTGCAGCGGCGCGATCTCAGCTCACCGCAACCTCCGCCTCCCGGGTTCAAGCAATTCTCCTGCCTCAGCCTCCCGAGTAGCTGGGACTACAGGCACGTGCCACCATGCCCAGCTAGTTTTTGTATTTTTAGTAGAGAAGAGGTTTCACCATGTTGGCCAGGAAGGTCTTGATCTCTTGACCTCGTGATCCGCCCACCTTGGCCTCACTAAGTGCTGGGATTACAGGCGTGAACCGCCGCCCCCGGCCTATAACACAGTTTTTAATCAAATTGCATATACAGACTGGGCCCACAAAAACATTTGCTTGGGGCTCCACAAAACCTAGATACAGTCCTGTCAACGTGATAGATAAATAGGTAGGTATGTAGGTATTAGGTTGGTGCAAAAGTAATTATGGTTTGCCATTAAAAGTAATTGCAAAACCACAATTATTTTTGCACCAACCTGATAGAGATATAGCAGGCAGACACACACACACACACACACACACACACACACACACACACACATACAATTTCCCAGAGCACTACTCACCAATGAAGTACTAATGAAATAGCTCCCCCTGAACCACAAGGGTCATTGGACTGCAGCTCCCTCCCTCCTACAGAATGAAGTCCAAGCTCCTTAGACTGACTTGGCCACAAGCTACCTTTCTGGCCTTGTCCTTTGTCTTTTTGTGCATTATGTTCTAGTAACTTCAAACTGCTTGTAGTTTCCCCTGCACATCATATATCTTTGCTTTTGTGTACGCTGTTTCCTCTTCCTGGGATGTTTTCCCCACTGGCCTTATCTTCCAAGATTCAGTTTAGGTATCATCTCCTCTTTGAATCTCTCTTGAGTCACCAAACTGGGCTAAGTGTTCCCTCCTTGTCATCCCACAGTTCCCAATTACTGTACCCCACACTCACCACATAGGATTCTAATTATCTGTATAGATGTTTACCTCCCAGTATATTAAAGAGCTTCTATGGTAAGGTGGTGTCTTACTCATCTTTGTATATCAGCCCTTGCATTGTGCTTGACACACAGTTATCAGCTCAATGAATCTATAATGTAGGATGATTTATGGAAGGAGACCAATGGACTAAGTCAAGTGGACTCTGGTGAGCCTAGAAAACGTTCTAGTAAAATGAAGGAGAGGCTGGAGGGTAAGTCATGCCAAGAGAATATCAGCAGTATATATCAATTATCCAAGTGGTTTAGCCATACAAGAAAAAGAAAAAATGGGATATAAGTTAAAAATGCAGTAAGCTGGAGAGTGGCATTTTCTTCTATTTAGAGGAAGGCCTAAATACGTATAAAGACTTAAGAGACTGAGAGGCAGAAGGGAGATCTTCTGGACTTCAATTTCCTTATCTGCCTTATCCACCTCCCAGGGATGCCATGAGACCCAAAGGAAAACAAGACATAGGCATGAAAATTATTTGAGAAATTTTTTACATTACTATC
Organism: Homo sapiens; assembly: GCF_000001405.40. Classification (NCBI taxonomy): domain Eukaryota; kingdom Metazoa; phylum Chordata; class Mammalia; order Primates; family Hominidae; genus Homo; species Homo sapiens. The sequence goes on from NC_000017.11 coordinate 46,919,580, forward strand.
CTCTGATAGATTTTTCTGATAGCTTCCAACTACCCGCAGAATAAAAATCTATAAAGAAAAACCCAATCTGACATTTAAGATTTCCTGGCCAGGCGCAGTGGCTCACGCCTGTAACCCCAGCACTTTGGAGGCCAAAGCGGGTGGATCATCTGAGGTCGGGAGTTCGAGACCAGCCTGACCAACATGGTGAAACCCTGTCTCTACTAAAAATACAAAAATTAGCTGGGCGTGGTGGTGGGTGCCTGTAATCCTAGCTACTCGGGAGGCTGAGGCAGGAGAATTGCTTGAACCCAGGAGGCGGAGGTTGCAGTGAACCAAGATTGCACCATTGCATTCCAGCCTGAGCAACAGAGCGAGACTCCATCTCAAAAAAAAGAAAGAAAGAAAGAAAAAAAAATTCCTATGATCTCGTTCTAACCTTTCTTCGACTACTATTATTGCCCCAAACACCCTGAATCCAGCCAGAGGAGATTCATGTTCTTTCCTTCTGTTTGCCTTTGCTCAAGCTATTCCCTCAGCCTCAAATGCCCTCCTCTTCATCTCTACCAGGCAGACACAATAAACATTTTCAGAGTGGTTAGTATATACAAGACACTGTTAAAATTCTATTGATTCTTGAAGGTCTTATTCATATGCTATTTTGTCCATGAACCGTTCTTGCCCTTCCCACGGAAATGGTACTTTGTATCAATTGTAGCATGTATTCTACTTAATAATGTAGCTTGAGGGTATGATTAGTTCTCCCAACAGACCATGAGAGATATGGGAGGTTTTAGGGCTGTGTCTTGCTTGTGTTCCTATCTCCAGTATCTGTGCATGGTACATTGTAGATGCTCAATTATAGAAAAAGTGAAAAAAATAATTTTAGGAAAAGAATGTACATGGGTGGACAGTCTCTTGGGACACAAAACTGGGTGGGATCCAGGATCCAGGAAAAGAGAAGTATCAACTTGTCCAAGAAAAGAATGTCTCCTGCCTTGGGAGGAATAGTAGATAAGCTTGGAGGATGGAAACGGGATAGCCTATGTGGAGACAGAGAAGTGTCCAAACCCAGTCCCAGCTCAAATGCCACCCCTTCATTAAGTCTCTCCTAAATCTCCTCCTAGAGACGACCCCCAGCTCAGCTCAATCTCTTTGGATTTTCTACCTTCTAGAATGTTTGTCTTGATAAATAAAATTCATAGAAAGCCATTGGTTTGGACTGAGCTCCTGCACTAGGCGCAACAGGCCAAACCAAAATAGAGTCACTCATGCTAAAGTTCCAAGCCACAAAGCCAAAATTAAGCTGCTCATCTGACCTTAGGAGAAATCAGAAGAGAGGGAAAATAGCCATATCCCCATGATAAAGGAAGTCCCTTCTGCCTTAACCAATACAAGTAAAATAACTTTGAAACTTGTTCTTTGTTTCTGCTTTTTTTTTTCAGCCCTTTTCTGTCTATAAAGATAATCTCCTCTGCTCAGCTCATCAGAATACTCATTCTATTTTATAGAATAAGGTGTTGCCTGGTGCTAGAATCGCAAATAGCCAGTTAAGATCTGTAACTGTGTTGTATTAAAGGAGAGAAGGTTAGCACTCCCTTTGACAAGGATGGAAGAGGCCCTTGGGCCTGACAACACGCATACGGTTAAGGCATTACCACCTACTTCGTGGGATCTAACCATCGTTTTTGAAATGGTGCTGGGAAAACTAGCTAGCCATATGTAGAAAGCTGAAACTGGATCCCTTCCTTACACCTTATACAAAAATCAATTCAAGATGGATTAAAGACTTACATGTTAGACCTAAAACCATAAAAACCCTAGAAGAAAACCTAGGCAATACCATTCAGGACATAGGCATGGGCAAGGACTTCATGTCTAAAACACCAAAAGCAATGACAACGAAAGCCAAAATTGACAAATGGGATCTAATTAAACTAAAGAGCTTCTGCACAGCAAAAGAAACTACCATCAGAGTGAACAGGCAACCTACAGAATGGGAGAAAATTTTTGCAATCTACTCATCTGACAAAGAGCTAATATCCAGAATCTACAATGAACTCAAACAAATTTACAAGAAAAAAACAAACAACCCCATCAACAAGTGGGCGAAGGATATGAACAGACACTTCTCAAAAGAAGACATTTATGCAGCCAACAGACACATGAAAAAATGCTCATCATCACTGGCCATCAGAGAAATGCAAATCAAAACCACAATGAGATACCATCTCACACCAGTTAGAATGGCGACCATTAAAAAGTCAGGAAACAACAGCTGCTGGAGAGGATGTGGAGAAATAAGAACACTTTTACACTGTTGGTGGGACTGTTAACTGGTTCAACCATTGTGGAAGACAGTGTGGAGATTTCTCAGGGATCTAGAACTAGAAATACCATTTGACCCAGCCATCCCATTACTGGGTATATACCCAAAGGATTATAAATCATGCTGCTATAAAGACACATTTACATGTATGTTTATTGCAGCACTATTCACAATAGCAAAGACCTGGAACCAACCCAAATGTCCAACAATGACAGACTGGATTAAGAAAATGTGGCATATATACACCATGGAATACTATGCAGCCATAAAAAATGATGAGTTCATGTCCTTTGTAGGGACACGGATGAAGCTGGAAACCAACATTCTCAGCAAACTATCGCAAGGACAAAAAAACAAACATTACATGTTCTCACTCATAGGTGGGAACTGAACGATGAGAACACTTGGACACAGGAAGGGGGACATCACACTTCGGGGCCTGTTGTGGGGTGGGGAGAGGGGGAAGGGATAGCATTAGGAGATATACCTAATGTAAATGACGAGTTAATGGGTGCAGCACACCAACATGGCACATGTATACATATGTAACAACCCTGCACGTTGTGCACATGTACCCTAGAACTTAAAGTATAATAATAAAAAATAATAAAATAAAGAAAAAAAATCTATAACTACATTTCTTGTAATTTTGTCTTTTGAGAGTATACATATCTTATTTCCTTTCCCAGACCAGAACCTCTTTGAGGGCAGGAGGAACCCGGTTTTCCCTACTTTACACATGACACATAATAACCACTCATTCAATGTAGGTTTACTGGATGGATAAATAGGAATGGGGGGTAGATAGGCGGGAGAGTGAGTAGACAAATGCGAAACAGGAAAAGCTTGCGCCAGGAAAAACAGTGAAGAGCGAAATCTCCAGACCCCCGATTAAATGGTTTAAAGTGAAGCCAAGCAAGAACCTCCAGTCCTCTCTGCGGCAGAGAACAGCAGATGATAGCGGCTCGCCTTCAACTTTGCTCTGAGGACCTCTCGTTAGTATCCCGCGATTGTCCTTCCTAACGCCTGACTGAATCCTGAGGCTAGCCTTCAGCGAACATGTACACCGCCTTGCCCTTCACGTGAAGCCGAGCCTGTGACTACACTTATCCTTCCGTCGCCGGCCTCATTTCTCCTTCCCCTTCTCCGATCTCGCAACCACTGCTAGTAAGGCGCGCGTGCGGGCAGCCCTGGCCGGCAGGGGAGGGAGGGTCCTGCGACCGGAAGCCGGAAACCGGAAGGGGGGCTGTGAGGACGTGTTCCGAGGAAGCCAGAGCCGGAGCCGTGGCCTGCGGGGCCGGCGACATGGATCCCCTGTTCCAGCAAACGCACAAGTGAGGGCCGGTCGGGGAGCGGGCAGGGGCTAGACGAGGCGAGGCCAGGTGAGCCTGGCTTCTGGGGCTGAGGCCTCGGACGTCAGCCAGGGTAGAGGCCGAGTTTTTCCGCCAGGGCACTGCTGGGGATGCCTCCGAAGTGCTTAATCCTTGGCGGGACTCCCAGGTCAGCCACAGACAGTGGGTTCAGGCTGGGGCCTGGAGACGTGGGGCAGATGACTCCTGGGGTCTGCAAGTTCGTGACTACCTGCTGGGTAGACTGGGTGACGGGAAACTGGCACCTGCAGGTTATAAAACTTTGTCCAGCACTTGTCAACTCGGTGCTCCTGGTTGGTAGACCTCGAGAGGAGACACGGAGTAGGAGACACGGCCCCTGGCCGTAGGAGTGTACTGTTTAATTGGAGAGTCAGGGCACGTACGGGAAAGTATTTGTATTCTTATTCGATTTATACTAAAGACCACATTTTTATGGTACAAAGAAATTGCTGTCCACGTAGCATTCACTATTATTACTTGTTAATCGTATCTGGTTACAGGTTATCGCTAAGAAAATCAAATTGTAATTTAGTTTCTCATAACTTAAATTCCTTGGTAGTGTCCTTTATTCGCATCGTCCTGCACTTTCGGAATTGCTGAGATACGTAGTTGAGTATTAATGGGGCCATACTTACCCTATTTTTGGGGGCGGGGGGCAGAATTATGATTTTTACCCTGTTTTGGAGGGACGGAATTTTATGATTTTTATTTTTTATTGTAAAATATACACAACATAAGATTTACTGTTTTAACAATTTTTAAGTGTACAATTCAGTGACATTGAGTACATTCACAACTTACATCACTACGATCCATTTCCAGAACTTTTTCATCATCCCAGTGTGCCTGTTAATCAGTAGCACTTCATTTCTTCCTTCCAGAACACCTAGTAACCTCTGTTTTACTTCTCTCTATGAGTTTACCTATTCTAGATACTTAATATAAGTGGAGTCATACAGAATTTGTCCTTTTGTATCTGGCTTATTTCACTTAATGTTTTCAGGGTTCATCTATATTGTAGCCTGTTACCAGAATTTCATTCTGTTTTATGACGGAATAATATTCCGTTTTATGTGTCTACCACATTTTGTTATCCATTCATCTGTTGATGGACACTTGAGTTGTTTCCACCATTGGGCTGTTGAGAATAATACTGCTATGAACTCTGGTGTAGAAGTATCTGTTTTAGTTTCTCTTCTCAATTTTTTGAGGTATATACCTATCCTATTGAGAACTTTCAAACTTATGCTGTAGTTTTGTTGATTAAAACACTTAAAATCACACTCCCAAGGCCTGGAAATGAAATGCCCTGAAGCATGAGGAATAAGAGGGTGATGATCCTCTTTCTCTTTCATTTTCTAAGTTTATGGGTTTCTTTTATTTTGGCGATGAGGTGTTTCATTTGGACAGGCGAAAATACAGAACCTACTTTGTAATGACAGAATTTTCTTTTACACTGGGGAGCCCTATTCTCACATAAACGTTATAGGAAGGGACTTAAAACTAGTCTGTGAGTAATTTAGAGAAAGAATGAAACGAAATTATGTTCATGTTACTAAGAAAGGGCCTATCTTTCACAATAGCAGGGCACAATGGGCATAGTAGTGCCTTGAAGTTAATCTGTTATGTATGGTCTTATCTAGTTAATTTAGTTAAAGGATGTTGCCAAGAAGGCCATGACCCATTTTATATTCAAGAATAACTTTATTTAGAGAGTCTTAGACTACCTGTTTTCAGTGCAGCTAATCACAGAGAAAACTGCATGGCTCAGAAGAGGAATTCTAAATGGTACCCCAAACAAGGTGTGTGGAGTGTAGATGCTCTGTAGGCCTCCAACAATGCACCCTTGGACTCTAGCAGCTTGCCAGTTTTTTCTATTAAGGGCCAGATAGTAAATATTTTAGGCTCTGTGGGCTATACGGTCTCTGTAGTTACTACTCTGCTGTTATATTGGGAAAACAGCCATAGACAATATGTAAACTAATTGATGTACCTGTGTTCCAGTACAATTTTATTTATCAAAACAAGCAGTGGGCCAGCTTTGCCCCACAACTATTAGGCCCTCTGCTACCCCGACACTCATTAATTCATTGAATATTTATTGAGCACCTACTATGTGCTGTGCACCATTCTCAGTGCTGGCAGCACAGCCCTGCCCTCGAGGAGTTTACCTTCTTTTATGCTGCAGTATCTTGTCTATCTTTCCTCTCCAGTGCTGAACCAGGAGTGGGAGTTCTGGTTCTAGACCTCCTTACTTTATTTTTCCTCATCTGTAGAATGATATTATAATTTGGGCTGGTTAAACTGTAAGGCTCCTTTCAGTTCCATGATAACAGAACTGATGACTGAATGACTTTCACAAGAAACACGTGGAGTCCAGTGAGCACCAGCAATGAACTTTCGCAACTGCAGAAATTAGTGATTGTAGCTGAGTTGACACAACAGTAGCTGAACTTATTAATTTTACTGGAACTTTGAACCCAGTTTGTGATTATCTCTTGCCGTGTCACTGAATACATTGAGTACATTGGAATTAGATTGACATATTAAAGTTACTTGAAAACTCCTGAACCTACCTGAACAATGAATGAATGAAAATAATGAATGAATGAAAACAATAAACATTTTACACTTAAATGTTTAATTTAGATGAACTTTATAGAGGAGCTAATAGCCAGGCTTCTATTTTTGAGATCCCAATGGTTGTAAAGGTGACCACATTTGTCCCCTATGTAGTCCAAGATCAGTCTCCTGTCCTGGACCTTATCGTATGTCCAGGACACAAGAAGCACTACATTTAACAAGCTCCCTAGGTGGTTTTGATGAGCAGGTAGGCTTAAGAACTGTTACCTTATCTCAAGACCATTTTTTTTCCTGAACAGCGGAGCTTAAGAACTATTACCTTATCTCAAGACCATGTTTTTCCTTTATAGATTTTGCCCTTTAATGAGCGAAATGTAAAGGCAAAGTGAGTGAAATGAAAATGACCAGATTGTTGCCACTACTTTTAAGTAAAGTTAACAACAAACTTACATGATGCTGTGTAGGTTACACAGCGTTTTCATGTTCATCATGGTCAGAGGCAGCCTGGATGCAAAGTGGATGTTATGGGGTGGTGGGGGGCGGTGAGTAGTTTCATGAACTTTTAAAAAGCACTTCCATTAAAAAATTCTTCCTAGATCTTCTGTAAACCTTTTTTAAAGACGGCTACAATGACCCTGGCTTATTTGCTACTATTTCTCTGCTTTGTTATATTATCACCCAAGCCCACCATGGACCCCATGCTAGAGAGGGCTAAGACTTCTTTTTCCTCATGTCCACGCTCCCAAGTCATGCTTGTGTATCACCTGTTTCTTATGGACTTCCAGTGTGTTATGTTGTGTTAGAATTCCCAGTTCAGTTTGAGACAGATTTTGCACTTGGCATATTAGTAGTTCCCACCTTGCCATTCATACTTGCTTTGTTGTTTCATATTTATGTTTTCTTAGCATGAAATGTAGCCGCTGGAATTGTATTATTGGCCACATTGTCTCTGATTGGTTCAAAGCAAATAGAGATTTGATGGGAAAAGTCAGTGGATTATGGGCCTGTACAAAAGTGCTTTGATGAACGTCCTGCCATGTACATCTCCTCAGGGTATGCCAGAACCTCTCTAGGACACATTCCTCAAACTGCTGGGTCATAGCATGGACACATGCTTTATTCTACTAGTTATTGTCAGAAAGCATTTAAAGTGTTTTACCAATTTATAATCCTACCAGCTGGGTATGAGAGTTCTAGTTTCCCTGTTTCCTTATTAATGCATATGTCCCCAAACTTTAAAATATTTGTCAGTTTGATGGGCTGAAGAAATGTGATCTCATTGCTTTTCATTTGTGTTTTCCTAGTTGAGTGTCATTTTGTATATTGATTGACCATTTGGGTTTTCTTTTCTGTCATTTGCCCTTTTTTCATTTAAAAAAAATGCCTTGTTTGACTTTTTGTATTGATTTGTAACAATTCTTTATATATTTTCTGCACGTCAATCCTTTGTTATCTGCTGCAGATACCCTCCAGTCTGTGCCATTCATTTGTTTATTTTGTGGCTTTGGTGTACAGAAGTTTTTTGTTTTCATGTTGTCAGATGTATCCATCTTTTTCTTTGTGGTTTGTGGGTTTTGTGGGGGTGGGTAGTTTTTGGATTTTGTCTTATTTAAGAAATCTTCTGTAACCCGAGGTCATTTATGCACACCTGTATTTTCTTCAGAAAGTTTGAAAGCTGCTCTGCTTTTTCCATTTGGGTTTTAAGTGAGCTTGAGTTTATTTTTATGTGTTACCTGAGGTGGCCTTTTTCTGTACGGGTAACAAACCGGAGCTGTTGGCATTTATTGTAGTCCCTTCTTTCAAAAGCTCCCAAATAACGTGGGGCTGTGTCTAGGCTGTTTCTTTCCTCTTGGGCCAGCTGTAGGGTTTGCCTTTCCTTGTCTGTCTGCACCTGCACTGCCGCCATATTGTTTCCATTGTTACTGCTTTGTAAGTCATAATGGCAGGTGGGACAAGTCATTCCTCCCCCTCCTTCTTCAGAGTGGTCTTGGCTATTCTTTACCTCCCCCCTTTTTATTATGTCACTGTTCGTGTTGATCATATTACCAACTTTCAGATTTTTCTGTTAAATCAGCATTGAAAATTTACCTCACAGCCTGCGTCAGGACTTCCTTAGAGTCCTAATTCTCCTTTCTGTCCCCGTTACCCTCCGGTCCCCTGTACCTGTTCCCTTGGTTGCCCTGCTTCAGGTGTCGGCTACCTCAGGCTGCATTCCTACATCAGCCCCCATACCTCCACACCCCCGCATCATCCCACAATATCCCAGACTTACTTTCCGGAAGCAACGGCCTGGTCTCGGACTCTAGCAGTGATTTCTAGTTGCTTCTCAGGGCCACAGGTCTTGCCTAGGAGCACCCTGGGGAGTCATTTGACAGCTCACCCAGCTTCTTTTGGTGCCCGAGGGCATATCTGGAGGCCATAGGGAAGCCCTGGAAAAGACTGGGCACAAGCTGAAGCCAAAGTTGGGTGCCTGGCTGGCATTGGTAGATTTGGGGTCCTGGTTTGCATTGCTCACGATGCAGAATGGTTGCTGACCTTTCCTCCAGCGTTGGGGATGATGTGAGAGTCCAGCAGGCCCCCTTCATGTGGGCCCTAACTTGGGGAAATCTCCACCGTGAGCACCGGGAAGTGGATGGTGGGGCCAGCATAAGCAGTATCCCGAGGACTGATCATGGAGGACCATTAGGAAGGGGGTCTTAAGGATGACCTTGGCCAGACCGTGGGAAGCCTCCAGAGAGTGTTACCCAGATCCAGGGTACAGTGTTGCATTTCCAAATGAGATGGCAGTTCCTTCGTTCCTTGATATTGTCGGAGAAGGATGTTTACCAAACAGAAGGTCCCTGTCTCAGGGTCTTCCTCTGAATGGTTTCCTCCAGTGAGTCACTTCAGCATCCTCTCCCCCAACCCGATTCCCTTTCAAGCAGCCCACCCTACTTGTAATCCACATGTCTTGAATGAATTTTTGCATATCATTTTCTTCTATCTTCCTTCACCAAATGATGTCTCCCTTCTTCACAGCGATGCTCAGAACTCTTTCCATCCACATAACTTACCTGGTTTCTCTTTCTCAGCCCCACCCCTCTGTCTGCTTGCCTGTGACACCACTGTGCAGAGCTGCCCCTCTTTCTGTTTGTTTATACTTATGTGTATTGCTTTTCTCGTGAATCTTCCCAGGGCTTGTTCATGTCTGTTTAGCCTGTCATTCCTCATTATGTTGTTTCTCAAGGACAAGGATTATATCTCCCTCGCCCTTTGACTCTTCCTGGTACAGGCCAGTGCTTAGCACATTAGGTCGTAGAACAGAAAGTAGGATTGGCCGGGTTCAGTTTGAGGTTTATCACTTGCTGTGTGATCTTGAACAAGTTACATAACCTTTCTGGGCTTCAGTTTTTATAAAATGAGGATGATAATGGTACTTTCCTCATAGGGTTATTGATTTGGCAGAGTATCTTGGATATGGTAAGCACCCATAATCTGCCTATCAGTGTTATTGTTAGTAGTTAAGATATTAGAAACCATGCCAAAACGTGGGACCTAAAGTGCCACATACAAATTTTACAGTTCAGTGATGCTGTCGATTTAAATCAGTTACATGTTGGCATCAGAAAAATTGTCTTTCCTGACTGAAGCGCTGTTGATTACTCCTGTCTCACTCATTTCCTCCCTCTTCCTTTGATAGGCAGGTCCACGAGATCCAGTCTTGCATGGGACGCCTGGAGACGGCAGACAAGCAGTCTGTGCACAGTGAGTAATTAACTGTGGAGACCAGAGTCCTTTCTCTGATGACAGGGTGCTAATGGGCTGGGCTTCCTGACTGCACTCTGCCTTGGGGGCTTAATGATTCAGCGTGGAATGAGTTTTGTTGTTAGGGTGGACAGAAAAACCCTATGGCAAAGTCACTGATTTCCCTGAGTGTGCCCTTTGGAATCCCACAAGTCTTATCCCCCATTACCCCTCCACTCAACCTGACATGGCCCTATGGGAATGGAAGCGCTTGCCTCCATCTATCTTAATCTAATTACCTAGTCCTTAGAGGAATGTACTCCATAAAAATTCAGAGATGTTTAACTGGAATTGGCCATTTCTTCTGAGCTGAGAACTGTGGCTTTTTAGGAGGATTATTCAGAAACGAACAGCAATATTAATTAGTTTAGTTCCCACAGCATGGTTTCTTTTGAGAAGCATGCTGGTTTTTTGTTTTTTTTCATTTTTTTTTTTTTTTTCTATTCTGAGGAAAGGTCCTTTTTCTGAGTTGGTCATATGGACACCACCTGCGGGGGCTGCCTACCCACCCCACTGCTGGGCTCCCTCAGGACCCATTCCTCCTGTTCTCTCATGTCTCCTTTCGCAGCTTCAAAAGCAGCTCTGTTCTTGGTTCTGTGCCCCACCTTGTTCTAATCTCAACTGTCTTTGTTCACTGTGGGCACAAAGGGCTAGGAAGGGGCAGTGTCACTGCTGTCACTTCTTTATGGGGCAAGAAGCAGTCTGGATGCTTTCTTTTGTGCACAGTTTAGCTTCTTTGTTCATCGGACTTTGTTTGCCTTCTCAGCAATCTCATTGTTACATGATTAGAAATGGAAAGAGGTCATTTTGACTGTCTTATCGAAAGGGATAGGGAAAATGACCGTATTTATCGTATCTCTTTACCTCTGTGGATTCTTTCCTGGGCCTTTCCTATTGATATTTGGTTTATTTTGGGGACGTCAACATTGCTCAGCCCACCCATTCTTACAGAAAGCTTTAAGGGAAGAAAGCCTTAAGGGAACTCTTCTCTGTATGTTTCACATACTAATCTTCCCCTTCCTTTATGCTTTTTTTTTTTTAAATAAAAAAAAAAAAACTCATTACTATAGGGAATTCAATTGGCAGCCTTTTTCTAGGTATTTATAATCCACGTCTGAGAATCCCAAAGGAAAAGAGACCTATATCAGAAAATTTAGCTTAAAGTATTTATTTGGACAACCTTTGCATGTTTATTTTCTAAAGGTAGGAAATTTATTTCTACAGATTTACCTTCAGCTTTTTTAAAAAATTGGCATTGTTATGTCATTAACAGCTATATACATGTACTTTTTTCAAAACAACATTTACGGCCTAACTTGAATTTTTTCTGTTATTCATTAGTGTATACATTTTTCTCCTTTTGAAATATGTAGTTCTAGTTTATTGGATATTGAAAAAAAAATCTGTGATTTATCATTGTAATTTAAGTTCACTATCTCTTTTCCAGCAATTATTCTTTTTTCTTTTTTGTACAGTAGTAGAAAACGAAATCCAAGCAAGCATAGACCAGATATTCAGCCGTCTAGAACGTCTGGAGATTTTGTCCAGCAAGGAGCCCCCTAACAAAAGGCAAAATGCCAGACTGTAAGTGCTGACCTCTGACATGGCTCTGATACTCCAGGCCCATCAAGACAGGCTTTTCTCCCTGGGGGAGGTGATAGAATATTCTGAAAACCAACGTACATGTTGAAAAACTATGACTATGCAAAGAAAAAGCCCCCTCAAAGGGCACAATTCTATCTGAGTGATGCCGCTCAAAATAAATAGCCTGTGAGGTTTGTGACTCAGAAACCTTGTGACCCCTTACCTCTTTGGTGTCATTTTGAAATTTTGCCTCCAGTTCTGTTTTTTGACTAGATCCATAGCCACCTGAAGCCTAATGTTGCCATGGAGTTTTGTTCTGCTCTTTGGTTCCTGCTGGGTTCTTCTTGGGTTGAAATGAAAAATCACTTCAATCAGTCCACCCATAATGAAATGCTGATCTAATGTTTGATACTCCAGCATGAAATTAAAATGAAACCACCCTTGCCACCTCCACCCCCAGCGCCTGTTTCCAAAAGTTTTATGAAACTTTGTGGATGCTTTACCTCAAAGATGCCCTTGGGCTTCTTCCAGGAGAGCCATATAATCCATAGAAGGTCAAGAAGAGGTCAGTGAGCCTGCTTCCTGTCCCCTGTTCTCTGTCATGCATCCAGAATCAGAGCAACAGATTCTGAAGTCAAGCTGCTGGAATCTTGTGTGCTACCATCTCACTTTAACCACAAGTTTCTTCTTGACTTTCAACATCGTTGATCAAAATTAGATCTTGTGGTGAGGGGGTATAGTGTGGGGTGGTGTAGGGAGAAGTAAGGAAACGCCGTCTTTCCTCAGTACAAAGCCTGGCCCCCTCAGATTCTGCTGCCCTGAGTTCCTGGAATTTAATCTCTCTCTCCATCAATTCCAGTCGGGTTGACCAGTTAAAGTATGATGTCCAGCACCTGCAGACTGCGCTCAGAAACTTCCAGCATCGGCGCCATGCAAGGGAGCAGCAGGAGAGACAGCGAGAAGAGCTTCTGTCTCGAACCTTCACCACTAACGTAAGCCAGGCCCGTGGTGAGGGTCGGCCTGCACTTGACAGATCGTGGGGGCTGGAGTTCAGATCTCTGAGCGCCATCTGTTTTGGGGGTGTCTGAAGAAGACTGATGATGAGGAAACCAACTGGAAATGACAGGAACTTTGTGCATTGCCACAGAGACTAGACCTAGACAGAGAATCCCTTTTTCTAAGACAAAAACCTGAAGAGGAAGCAGTTAAATTGAAGGGGAATAGGCAGAGGTGAAAATTACCTGGTTGGGCTGGTCTGAGACAGAAAGGTGGAAGTTCACATGGTGGAAACGTTTTTCTGATCAGATAGAGACAGATGATTAGAACTTAGGCCATTTGTAGAGAAGGCAGCATTTCAAAGCTGCCTGCGGGCAGTTGCCATTGTGCCGAGTATGTGTGTGGCTCCAGTGTCAGGTGCATTAAGATGTTTTTGCCCCTAGTCTGAGCAGCAATTTGGAGGAATTTGTTAACAGATGTTTAGGGTTAGATGGACTGCTTGCCTGAGTCTGTCTGAAAGTGTGTTGGTTTGCATGTTTGATTTTTCAGAACCCATTGTCCCTGCCCTTTAGTCTTAACCAGATCATTTCCTGCACATGGCTGTAGAACATACTGGCCTTTTCTGTGTCCTGCATAATATATTCCACTAAATGAAGTGTGCTTTGGCTTTTTGTATTTTGTTTTTTTACAGAGGATTATTTTCTAAAGAGATGTTAGCTTTCTAAGCCAGTTGTTAAAATTCACATCATTTCCTGCTTTGTAGATGTTTAACCCTCAATGCTGCATCCTTGCTTTGCAATAAATTTTCCCAAGTGTTTCAGGCTGTGCCAACATAGTTTTTGCTTCCCCAGACTAAGCAGTCAAGTTACAGTGTTTAACAGTTCAAAAATTTAATGAACTATAAGACACACTAAAAGATGTTTGGATTTTAGATCGTTATAATGTAGTATTCAGGCCTTTTTTAGGCCAAGGATGATCGCTTGGGATTATTTTGTTTTTTGCCAGCCTGGCGTGATGCTGTGCACACCGTCAGTTCTTAATAAACATTGACTTGCCAGATGAAACTTCTTCCTGGTCATTCTACCATATGGAGCTATAATACATTTTTCTGAGAGATAATGGCCCATCAGCCATACTGTTTTAGATGGGAGGGTAAGAAAGATTTGTATGTGAATGGCATTTCATAAGTGCTAGTCAAATTACTGAAGAGAAGTCTCTGAGTCTTTCAAACGCCAGCATCTTCTGACACACTGGGCATTAGCTGCATGCAGAAAACTAGTTAATTCAGGCACTAGGAGTAAAGCACATGATGAAATTAAAAGACCTGACGCCTATCTGTGAGGAGCTCCCCTGTTAGCAGGGGCAGTTGAAAACACGTATGTGCAAAATGATTCCAAATCTGAGCAGCAAAGAAACAGTGGCATAACCTTTTTTTTTTTTTTGGACAATTGAAACTGGAATTTAGGTGGTAAAAACAGCACTAGTGGAGCAGGGCACAATGACACACGCCTGTGATCCCAGCACTTTGGGAGACCAAGGCAGTGGATTGTTCAGGAGTTCACCATCCTGGGTGACATGGTGAGACATTGTCTCTACAAAAAAATATAAAAATTAGCCGGGCGTGGTGGCGTGAGCCTGTGGTCCCAACTACTCTCTGGAGCCTGAGGTGAGAAGATCACTTAAGCCTGGTAGGTCAAGGCTGCTCTCTATCCTGGGTGACAGAGTGAGAGCCTGTCTCAAAAAAAAAAAAAACACGAAACAAACCCCAGCACTACTTGGCAGGAGAGCTTGTGATTGGCAGAAAAGAGAAGGGAACGCTCTCACAGCTGGCGAGGACTTGGCTCCTGCCTATAGTCCACTTTCAGAGCAAAAGTAGAGCCACCAGGATGGGCGTTGGTGTTTCCCTCTACAGTGTGGGTAACAGGGCAGGCCCTGCGCTCAGTACCCACATTCCCAGCTCCACTGGACTTCCAGCTCTGTGATCACTGGACACACTTCCAGCTGTGTGATCTTGGACAAGTTATTCTACCTCTCTGGGCATTTTTTCATCTATAAAATGGGGAGGCCTGTGGACAGATTCCTTGAGCACAGGAGTTGGAGACCAGCCTGAGCAACATGGTGAAACCCTGTCTCTACCAAAAATACAAAAAAGAGAAAGAAAGAAAGAAAAAAGCTGGGCATGGTAGCATGCACCTATGGTCCCAGCTACTCAGAAGGCTGAGGTGGGAGAATTGTTTGAGTCCAGGAGGCTAAGGTTGCAGTGAGCTGAGATCGCGCCACTGCACTCCACCCTGGGTGACAGAGGGAAACCCTGTCTCAAAAAAAAAGAAAATGCAGAAGCACAGCCTCCTCTATCCTTAGTTAACTCTCAGTCTACTTGGAGAGGTAAACTATAGATAAAATAGCTAAAGGACACGAGCAAACATTTAACACTGCATTAAGGGGAAGCCATGGAAAGGAACATTTGGAACCAGCTAGGTTAGTGAGTAGTCAGAGAAAGCCTTTAGGAGACACCCAATGAGGTCTTGAAGGAATAGCTTTTCCTAAGAGGAGATCATGATACAGAGACAAGTATCGTTGGAATGAACGATACTTGTGGAGTGGAACTCATTTGGAGAGTGACAGATCTGAGGAAGTTCCTCTTCTGTGTGGACAGAGGCCACCCCAGGCCTTTGCTTTGCTTTTTCTTATCCATTAGGGTCCGCTGATTCTTTCACCAGCCCCTCCGGCTGTTCTGGCTTGGCCTTGGCCAAAAGACAGAGCAGTGAGACCCCAGGAACTGACTGATAAGCAAAGTTAATCAAGTGCCTGTGTTTCTTTCACAGGACTCTGACACCACCATACCAATGGACGAATCACTGCAGTTTAACTCCTCCCTCCAGAAAGTTCACAACGGCATGGATGACCTCATTTTAGATGGGCACAATATTTTAGATGGACTGAGGACCCAGAGACTGACCTTGAAGGTGGGGTCCCTGCTGGGGGACAGAGAGAAGGCCTCTTGTTTTAGCCTCATCCAACAGTTTAGTAACTGTGTTTATATTTTGATTACGTGTCCTCAAATTGTGATATTTTGATGACAAGACAGAGCCCTTGAGTTTGGGATCCTTTCTGTTGGAGTTGAGTTATTGTGAGCCTGAAAGTACCCAGTTCCTTTGCCAGTGCTTGAAACAAACCATGAAGTGGCCTCTCTTAGGATCCAGGTCTTTTCCCATTTACTGAACTTATCATGAAAGTGAGTGCTACTACGAGGGGTCCAATCACAGGCTGAGAAATTGTGTTACAGAATCTACTCTTGGAAGAATGAAGACGTGGCTGTCCTTTGGTACCTCGCTTTAAGGTGGCTTTCCCTTAGGACCCCTACTGTGGACTGCCTTATAACTAAAACCTTTTGTATTTTAGTAACTGAATCCCCACTGTGCAGTGTTAGGGCTGCCTGGTTGTTTGCAGTAGATTAGAGCTTTAGAAGCTTCTAGAGCTTCTAAAGCCCGTGCTGGTGATCCCAGCGACTCTTCACTCCCTAGCCTTAGGTATTCCTAGAAGCCCTGACCAGTTGGCACTGCTGAGACTCCAGCCCCTGGGAGTGGTTTACAGAAACATTACACAGACTCTGATGTCAGTCATGATGTTTCAGCCTCTGCCCTTTTCCTGTATCAACCCTGATGGATAATAGGGCGTGGGTTCTGTCTGTTATCAGGGTGTGGTCCCCTGTGAATGAAGCACTCCCAGCCACTGAGCTGTGAGAAACAGTCACTCGGAAGTGTGAGCTTTATCTTA